>NT_167246.2:1433192-2041800 GCF_000001405.40 Homo sapiens
GGCCAACTCCAAAATCTTTAAAATCTCTAGCTCCAAATTATTTGGGGAGATGGATTTGAAGTTCCCTTCCATGTCCTCATTTGGCGGCCCTACGATTAAACCTCTTTCTCTGCTGCAACCAGGTTTCAGCTTACTGACTTTCTGTGCCTGTTGGGCAACAAATCTGTTATGGTTACATAAGGAAGTAATCAAAAGCATATATAGTCAGAGAAAAGAAACCAGAAGGATAACTTATTTGTTCATTACAATGGATACTTATTACTATGTGACAGGCATAATTCTAGGCACTTTTATTACAGTGAATAAAGTATACAGAAGCCCCACCCACTGAGAGCCAGGCAGTAAATCAGCTAACCAAATGAATCATACATTAGGAGGAAATTTTTTTTTTCACATTAAGGTTCTAAGGAGGAAATAAATATTATGGAGGAAAAAATAAAGCAGAAAGGGAGTATGAAGAGCAGTCGATATGGTTCCAGTTTTCAATAGAGCTGTCAAAATAGGCTTGAGAAGGTGAAAACTGGCATCAACTTGCAGGCAGTTAACAGTAAGGTGCCAATAGTTGTTATTGCTGGTTGGTGAAATTATGGGTAATTATATTCTTTTATACTTTTCTGTGCTTTCCAAATGCAGCACAATTAACATATTTGCTTTTACAATTAAAAAAATCCCACAATAAATGTTACTTAAAAAAAAAAACTGACACCTTCAGTTGTTCCCCATTTTCTACAGAATAAAGTCCAACTCGTCCTCCATTGGCCTCTTCCCTTTCATCTAAACTTATCTTTCATTCCTTAACTGTCTTTTCCAGTTGGCCTGATACCCTGTGACCCAGATTTGCCAAACAGGGTTGTCAGATTTAGCAAATAAAAGTACAGGACACCCAGTTAAATATGAACGTCAGATAAACAATGAATAATGCAATATTTGAGACATACTAAAAAACTACTTGTTGTACATCTGAAATTCAAGTTTAACTGAGCATCGTATGTTTTTCCTGACAATGTGACAAGTGATCTTCCTTCCCCTGTGCTGGAATAATCTCTTTTCCATCTTTCCAAATTTTTCCAGCTAATCAGAGGGTGGGGAGGAGGGATGGATGTGGGTGGGAATGAGAGATAAGCCTGCCTATCAACTCCTGTATTTAATATAGGATATTCCTGGGGGCCAGGTGTGGTGGCTTATGCCTGTAATCCCAGCACTTTGGGAGGCCAAGGCGGGTGGATCACCTGAGGTCAGGGGGTTCAAGACCAGCCTGGCCAACATGGTGAAACCTTGTCTCTACTAAAATACAAAAATTAGCTGGATGTGGTGGCGCATGCCTGTAGTCCCAGTTACTCGGGAAGCTGAGGCAGGAGAATCACTTGAACCTGGGAGGCAGAGGTTGCAGTGAGCCGAGATTGCACCACTGCACTCCAGCCTGGTGACAGAGTGAGACTCCTCACCAAAAAAAAAAAAAAAGAAAAAAAAAGATATTCCTGGGGAGTAGATGGGTGGTGGAGGGCGGGGGAACAAGGGTGGGGTATTGTTAAAACATCGTAAAAGGGCTCCTTTTTTGATCTTGAATTATGACTTTCCTATAGATAAAAATTGCACCTTTAATCAGAGAACAATGGCCCAGGTGTCAGGTATAGGTGAAAGTCCAAAGTTCTCTTCAGAAAAGAAACTCTATTTTAGTTATACAGAACATTTATTCAAATCTTCCACTATTTAATTTATGTAAAATATCCTAGTCAATGTTTTTAACCCGAGTGTTTTTAAACATTGCTTTTTAAAAAATAAAAAACTTTTAAAATATTGAACCATTTACGGGGGCTTTAAAAACAGACAGCTTTTGTTCCAAATGAGGATGCCTCTCCTTCCGTTTGTCTGACCTACCCTTTGCCCCCATGGTCCCCTACTCCATTTATTAGCTCCACAGAGACCTGACAGAACCTTAAAGTTGATCCCTGAGTCAGACTGGGCCTGTCTCAAGGTCAGCTCACATCTGAAATCAAGCCTCTGCTGAGTCTGTGGAGTAAAAGGCTGATACTCCCTTCTCTCCTGCAAGACAGCTGTGTGCTCTGGCCCAGAGTGGGCACAGAACTGCTGGGCCCAGGCTGTCAGAAACTTCTGGGCTGGCATCCAGCTGCTCCAATGCACAAAGCCAGCTAACGCAGGCCAACCATGCCAGTGAGTCCACATTACAGAAGGACGGGAAGCAGTGGGATGCGGTACCCAGGGGTAGCAGTCTAATCCCTCCCAAAGCCAAATTCTAGAAAAATTTTCCAAATTTAAAAAATGGAAAAGGGAAAAATGGAAAATGGAAAAAATTTTAAATTTAATTTTCCAAATTTAAAAAATGGTAAAAGCTCTTACCCATGGCCATAGTTTTTCATCTTGACATCCTCAGCACTTACCATGGTACCTGGCACAAAACAGCTAATTTTTCAGTTGCCATACTGAACAGCCATTGTATACAGGCTCTCTATATTCCAATGACAACAATCTTTAGGCAACATTGTTAAGTGACAGAACAGTGTTTAGTATGCAAAACTTTGCTTAATAAAGGGGAGAAATACCAATATATATAGTTGTATTTAACTTCTATTTACATAAAGAAACATTGAAAGGATACGCAGAAAACTAATAAAAGTGTGTACCGGTGGGCCAGGGACGGGGGTAGTGGTAGGTGGAATGAATTAAGAAGGGCAAGGTGGTCACAGTCCTACTTAATCTATACCTTTTAATATATTATTTTTTGAGCCAAGTGTATGTATAACCCTTTAAGTTACATAGTTAAAATCATCTATTTTTGGTTATATAATTTTGTAGTAGCAAAAAACTCAACTGAAAAATAGGAAGCTATTCTCTCCATTTCTCTCTGTGGTCACATAGCCGCTCACGTTTAATTCTTTCTAAGCTCACAGATTGACCAACACAGCCACCATACTTGAGTTTCCATGACTTTATAATTCTAGTGCCCATCACTGTCTCAATCTAGATTTCCTTTTCCCCAAAAAAAATCTGCTACGTCACTTGCTATAATTTCTAGCTCTCTGCCAAATGTTTCACACATAGCTTTTATCCTTTTGAAGATAGCATATACATTGTTATATAGTCTATGCCCAATAACCCCAGAGTCTGGAAGCCCCATGGGTCTGATTCTGTTGTCTGTTTTTATTTTTGTTTTTTTTTCTTTTCTTTTCTTTTTGAGACAAGGTCTGGCTCTACGGCCCAGGCTGGAGTACAGTGGCATGATCTCAGCTCTTTGCAACCTCTGCTTCCCAAGCGCAAGCCGTCCATCCACTTCAGCCACCCTAGTAGCTGGGACTACAGGTGTGCACCACCACACCCAACTGACTTTTGCATTTTTTGTAGAAACGGAGTTTCACCATGTTGTGCAGGCTGGTCTTGAACTCTTGAGCTCAAGTAATTCCCCAGCCTCAGCCTCCCAAAGTGCTGGTATGGCAAGCATGAGCCACTGCACCTGGCCTGTTTCTGCTTTTCTTATGGCAATCTCGCCTCTCTGGGGCTTGATTATTTTTGCTTGTTTGCTAGATGCATTTGAGGCCTAGGATGCTATTATCTTCTTCCCAGAATGATTGTTTTTGACACTAGCAGTTTAGAGTCACTTTGAACAAGTTCAATGGTTACTTGAGATTCTCTGGGCTGGGACACCATTTCTACTCCCTTTAAGCCTTTAAAGGCTGCCAAAAATGCAGCTTGGATTCTTAAACTCTCTTCAGCAAATGCTCCCAGAACAGAAGCGACCCCAGTTGCAGGCTCACCTCCATGTTCCTTTCCTTTCCCAAATTTTGGCCCAGCAATTCCTCACTAACCTTTGAATATTTAAGTAAGATACTTAAAAATATTTTACCCAGCATTTTTAGTTGTCTTCAAATGGAGGCTTGGTCTGAATTACTCAGTCCATTAATGGAAGCAGAAGCCCTTCTGATGCAGGCCTTAGTTTTTCAGTAGTTTGCTCTTCTCTGGGCCTTAGCTTTCAGAAAGATTCTCTTGTCTGTAGTAGTAAAGTCTGTATAAAGTCTGCATGGACTTTTCTTGCGTACACACATTGCCACATCACCTCCAGTCAAGGCTGGAAGAGAATCTTGCATTTTACACATCTAATATTTCAGAAGAGCTGGAGTCACAGCAGTCCTCTTCACTGAGCTCAGAAACAAAACCCTGCTTGTGCATATATTCAGGCTGGGACCTCTAAAATGCAGACACCTAAGTGCTCCAGCTTTGAGAATTCTAGCTTCAGTGTGACAACGGCATAAGGAGTTGCCCTACGGTGTAAAGGCCCCTGTGAGGTCTCAGTTTGCAGACCAGGATGTGACAAGGAGATTGGAGCTGCAGTCAGCTCTAGAGGCCGAAAGAGGAGCCAAACAGCAAACAGAGGTGCCAAATGCTGCCTTAGAAATCTGTAAGCCAGCTAAGAGTTCTGCAGTCTCAACTAAACAAAACTTTTTTATTCCATTGGTTTGGGGTGTACTGTTCTTAGGGCTTTTGCCAACTGAATTGGTCTGTGGTGTCTTGAAAGATTGGGGGTCTGCACGGAAAAGGCTCGGAGGCCAGTTCTCTGAGGCTGCCTTTGTTGCAGGAAATAAAATGAATCTTTCCAGAGCCACAGCACTAGCATTTGGAGACCACTCTCAGGGGCTTTGGGGCGTACGACTTTCGGGGCTCTGGTCCTCTGTTTCCCTATCCGTAGAATGGAGACGGCTACTCTGTGAGAAGCCCGAGGTGCGCAGGACCCAAGTGAGGAGCCGGCAACCTGAAGTCCTCAGGATGGGGAGGGATCCGAAGGAGGCGGTGTGAAGACTCAAGAGGACCGCCTTGGGGTGGGAAGAGGACAGCCCGGCACTGGCTGCTGGCCCAGGTGCTGTGATGGGTTTCGTGCGCAGAGAGGCCTGACAGCCTCTGCATCAGTGACCGGGCGAAGAGTGGGGCAGCTCGGACGGTGGTTGGGGAACGTTAGGGAGATTGGCGCGCGGACCACTGGGTGAGCGCCCAGGAACGCCGGACGCGCGCCTTCACGCCCGGGTGCCTGGCGGCGTTTTAGAAAAGCTGTATTTGAAAAGCAACCGATTGGGGTGAAGGCGGGGGAGCGGAATCCTGATTACACTGTCCCAATTTCAGTTGAGGTGGGCTTTTAAAAGAAATCCCAATTCACACATTCGATCAGGTTAGTTACAAGAAAGGCTGGGAGGAGGTGGGGCTGGAAACACCAGAGGGCCCAGATGTCCGTTGGCGACGGTCTTCTGCAAACGACAGAGCGCAAGCCTTGCCCCTGGAATTCTAGAGCCGCCGCAAAGATAGGAACTCAAAACGACCCGAGCCCCGGAGCCGCAGCCCCTCGGGACGGTCACGAGCAGAGCTCCCAAGGGGACCGCTGGGGACTGGGCGGGGGCTCTGCTTCTCACCTGTTCCTTCTCTATCCACTGAGCCCTGACACGTAGGACCAGCGCTACTAACAGACTTGTTTTCCGGTTCAGCTCCCCTTAGGGCTCCTGTTGGAAACCGACCCTATCTGGGGAGCCTGTCTGGGCCACTCCCATTGCCGGAGAACTCTCCTGGGGCGGGGAGATGGCCCAGGTTTGTGGGGCTTGAAAGCTTACACAGTGTTGTGTCTTTTCAAGAAAAAGGATACAGCCGGGCACGGTGGCTCACGCCTGTAATCCCGGTACTTTGGGTGGCCGAGGTGGGTGGATCACGAGGTCAGGAGATCGAGACCATCCTGGCCAACATGGTGAAACCTCGTCTCCACTAAAAATACAAAAAATTAGCTGGGCATAGTGGCATGTGCCTGTAATCCCAGCTACTCGGGCGGCTGAGCCAGGAGAATCTCTTGAACCAGGGAGGCGGAGGTTGCAGTGAGGCAGTGAGCCAAGATCGTTGCCACTACACTCAGGTCTGGCGACAGAGCAACACTCCGTCTCAAAATAAAAAAATTAAAAAAAAAAGGAAAGAAAGAAAAGAAAAAGGATACAGAATTTGACAAAATTAAGAATAAAAGCAAATATGACTTACAATGAGGAAAAACAATGACAGCAAATGATAAATGTTTAAAAACTGACATATCACAAACATCAAAAAATCCCCCCAAAATTCTAATAACTGCTTGAACCACCCCTATATTTTCCCATTTATATTTTTTGATTCCCTCTTCATTCGACAACACTTTTGTAATGTATTTTCCTGGGTGAGAATGAATAATTTGGTATTTCGTCTAGCATAGTTAAGCAAAAAAAGTTTTTATTGAAAGTTTAGAAAAGTTAATATCCATTTCACAATCGTTATTGGTAATAATATGCAAATTTTTAGTGCTATTAATTTTGGAGAAGCCTCTGTGAAGAGTTTCCTATGTAAGCCTGAGATTTCAGGGCATTTCAAGTTTTCTTGGGCAGTGACTAATCTTAAATACTCTTTTAAGTTGCTGAAAGTCATTGGCCTGTTTTTCGTTAAGTCCTTGTTGTAAAGGTGTAGTATGAAACTGTTTGTAGATGTCAATATTTTATGCCAAAACAACAAGTTTTTTAAGTTTTAATGTGTTTATGTGGTTAATTCTTCATCAAGTGATTGTCAAACAATCTAGGCATCTATTCTATTTAAAATGTATCCCTTCCCTTCAATAAATTGCTGGTTTTGGCTGGAACCAAACTTTTTTTCTTCTTCCAATTCCTTTTCTGATGTCAGAATAACTTCTATTAATTTCATGTGCAAATATGCAAGAGATCATTTTATTTCATGATGTATGTATAATTGTATATGCATATTTAATAAGTATATTCCTAAAGAAGAGAGCTTCCATTTTGACTAGACTTTGATGAGACTGAGTAATACGCTTATAATTTTCTACATCTAGGGGTTAAAAGGATTTATTGGCTTCACTGTCCACAGACTTCTGGTGCCTCATGTCACAGCACACATTCTTATTGTGACAGATCTCTGACCTTTCACTTTAGTCTCTGATGTCAGGTGAGTTATCTCAGTGGGTGGTGGTTCCTGTAAGCCACTTCTACACTGAGACGGGTAGCAATAACTTGACTATACATGAAAGTGCTTATGAACCACATATCCTAGTAATCTCAAACAATGTAATCCCAACTTAATTTCCCCTTAGCTAGAACCCCCACATGCTACCTGATACAAGAGAAACTGTGACAGAGGGAAGTTGACGTGGAAGGAGACAGTAATCCTAACCGTGGTTAAAATATGTTACTTTTGCAAATTTTACAAAACACTTAGCATGACCATATTGAACACATTGCTTGGAATTCCAGGGTCTTGGAAAGAACCAGTGCAAGGGATGAACTTAATGGCAGAGCTTCCTCTGCACACTTCACGACTGCAACAGGCTTGTCCCTGAAGTCTCTCCGCTGGGGTCCCACTTCAGGCTGACGTACTGTCTGTGTCACCGAACATCACTCTCTGCATTTGCTTACCCTTTTTGATTCTTCCCTGTGCCTCAGTTTGGAGTTGGAAGCTCATAAATTCCCCTATTATAGGGAAGTGGCTGATTGTGTAACCCTATCCTTTTGTTGAAATAGGTGTGTCCAGTTAAGTATTTACTGTAAACCAGCCCCTCATACGCATTCCACTGGGGGTGGATTCATTGCTTTCTACAACCTCGCCATATGTAATGTCCACACTGGTCCATCTGGCTGTGCTTCTCAAGATCAGCTGTTTTGTAGGACTTGAAATAAGGATTCCTTAACAACCTGGTGAATGCCTAATAGCCTCAATACATTTCAGGCTGTTTTAGTTTTGTTTATTTGGTTTTCGTGTTTTGTGGTGAGAACACTTAAAATCTACTCTCTCAGCAATTTTCAAGAACACAGTGTACCATTACTAACAAATCACCAGAAGGTACAACAGATCTCTTGAAGTATTCCTCCTTGAAGTAACTGAAACTTTGTATCCTTTGACCAACCCATCCCCATGCCCACCACGCCCAGACTTTGGTAACCACCATTGTATTAATACTGTCTGCTTCTACCAGTTAACCTTTTTACACTCTAAGTGAGGTCATGCTGTATTGGAGGTTGTTTCCTCCACGCGACTGGGTGGAATTCAGAGGTTCCTACCAATAACTCATTTCTTTCACCAGCAGCTCCCAAGGGCTCTGCTGAGTCCCCCATGCCTCCTGAATCTGAGATCTTGAACCCCTGCTCCTCCCCAACCCTGTTTTTCTGAGAACTGCCTCATCAAACATAGAGCATAGCAACTTTCCTGAGATTTCTCTAAATTTCCTCTTATTCAGGTCACTGTGCATGACAGATTGACTGCTTGATTCCTGGAAGTCTAGGGATAAAAAGTATTGAGTGCTGGTCTAAAGGACAGGTTTCAGCAGAGGACACAATCTCAGAGCAGACAACTTAAGTTTCAGTATTAGGCATTTCCGTTCTTAAACATTCCTTCACTATTTCTGCCCAAGACATTTCTCACTGGTAAACTTTCCTTGTTGGTTACCTGCCTTCTGCAGCCCTGCAGGCTCTGTCTCTCTCCTGGGCCACCCCTCTTCCTCTTACACAGTTTTATGCTCCCCTTCCCTTCTCTTTCCTTCCATCTTCAGTCTACATATTTCACGGCTAGCTTTCCACAGCCAGATGTTTCTTGCCCTGAGGAATTATGCTATCAGTTTTTAAGCCACCGTTTAAAAGACGGTTGCCAGTGCCCTAGAGTCTTGGCAACAATGCTCCACCTTCCGGAGGTGAAGCGAAATGGTGTCCTGTCTTGAAAGACAGCGCCACCTACTGTCCATCAAGAGACAGCTGCCGAAAACAGCTGAATGACCCTGTTCATTGCCTGTTCTGGGGAGGGTGGCAGATAATCCAGGCAAGAATAATTCGAAGGTACATTGAACTTGAGGTGGTGATGGAACACTTAAGAATGCACAGAAGTTTAAACTCAATAGGGATAGTAATACCAAGCTGGCATCGGGCCTCAGGGAGGTTACAGGATCTGCATAGTGCTAACAACTGTGCATCGGTAGAATGGGAATCTGAATCCGGACACTCCGCCTGTGAAGTCCACGTAGCTCCACCTCGCTGCACTAAGATAGAGTAGATCTCCTTTTATGGATGATCAAATAAGTGAGAGGGAACCCAGGAGCCAGTGGAGAGGAGAATTTTAAGGAGGGGACTGCTGATGATCTAAAGTTTGAGTCATCAGTTTGGATGTGAACTGAGAAAATACCGCTGGGATTTGAGTTTAGGACTTAGTTGGAGACCCTTAGAGAGTGGTTTAGGGTGCCCAGCCCTGGGATAGGCATAGGAGAGTATGGAAAGACAGAAAGACATAGTCCTATCCCTCATGAAGCTAAATGTGAGCCAAAGCCAGGGAAGTTGGCAAAAATCAAATGGTAATAAATGAGACGGTGATTTAGGAAAGAGAGATCCATGTAGAACCTGCAGGCCCCTCTGACACCTTTGTGAAAATTAGGATGGATCAGTTCACTTTCTTGGGGCCATTGCTGCCCTGAGCCAGAGCCCACAGCTTGGCAAGCAACCTCTGGGCTAGGTCTCAGCCCCCATTCATCAGAATGAAGACTGACTTGTTAGGAAAGTTTCATTCAGGAAACTGGGACTTGAGCTGGGCTTCCACTGATGTGAAGGGTTTGGAGCAGCTGTGTGAAAGAGGTAGGAGTTAGGTCTTCCCTGCTGGGAAATGTCAAAACAGAGGCAATTAAGAGTCATAAAGGAGAGAGAGAAGACAAAAATCACCTGACTCTTGGCTCCAGTATTTTTAAAGCATGAGAAATTAGATAAGATCACTCCTTTAAAACAGTTACTGAGCACCTAATATATTCAAGGAGCTATGCCGAATAGGCTGACTCAGGGAAATAAGGACCCTGACAGTTGCGCATTAGTTTGTAGTTTATGAAGCACATCCATTTCCAGCTATGACATTTTGTCCACTTTCTTGTAAAGGAGGCTGAAGTTGTGGCTGCCCCTGAACATGAAGCTACAAATCTCCACAATTAGGACCATAATCCAGATTCTTTGACTAGTCCAGAATTCCTTTCATTCTGACCATCCTCTTCTTAAACATTTTAAAATTTAGGTAATTGTTTAGATAGATGGCACATTTGCTGGCTCAAAATTTTAAAAACACAGGAAAAAGTCTCCCTCTTGCCCCTGGTTTCCACACATCTAGTTTCTCTCTCCAGAAGCAAATTTTACTAGTTCATTGATATATTCTTCCAGAGATGTTCTTTGCATAAAAAGCAAATAAGAATATTTATTCTTCCCCGATTTGTGCAAATAATAGCATATTATACACACTGTTCTGTACCTTGCTTTTAAATTTAATTTATTTTTATTTTTTAAAATCAGTAATCTATGTGTCCAAAGCATAAACCAGGCATGGGCATAGACCAGAAGCCAAGCTGGGATAAACAGGGGGTTGCTTTGTTCCTGTCTGATGTGAGATGGGCACCATTAAGCTTTTTTTTTTTTTTTTTTCGAGACAGAGTCTGGCTCTGTCATCCAGGCTGGAGTACAGTGGCGCAATCTCGGCTCACTGCAAGCTCCACCTCCCGGGTTCACGCCATTCTCCTACTTCAGCCTCCCGAGTAGCTGGGACTACAGGCACCCGCCACCATGCCCGGCTAATGAGACAGGGTTTCACCATGTTAGCCAGGATGGTCTCGATCTCCTGACCTCGTGATCCACCTGTCTCGGCCTCCCAAAGTGTTGGGATTACAGGCGTGAGCCACCATGCCTGGCCAAGCTTTTTTTTTTTTAATGTATCAATTTATGTTGGAGATTATTCCAATAGCAAAAGTTCCCTTCCACACCCCACCCCCTACTAATGGCTGCACAATGTTCTATTGTATGAATGTAGCTAGTTTATTTAGCTTAACTTCCGTTGATGAACATTTGTTTTTTTTCTAAAATTTGAAGCAAATGTTTCTAAAACATTGATGCAATAGGTATATGCATATATTATTTCACATATGCATGAATATATATGTAAAATTTCTAACATCAGAATTGCTGGCTCAAAGAGAATGTACATTTGTAATCTTGGAGGAAATTCTCAAATTCCTACTCCTCTAAAGGAGGAGTACTAATTGGCATTCCCATCAGCAGTGTATGGGAGTGCCAATTTCCTCACACACTTACCAACACTGTGTTACCAAATGTTTGGATTTCTGTCAATCTGATAGGAAAAATAGTATGTCAGTGTTATTTTAATTTGTATTTTCTTCATGAGATTGAGATTATCTTTTAATATGCTTTAGAGACATTTGGTATTTCTTTTTCTATGAAATGTCTGCTGAGATACCTCTGCCCAATTTTCTTCTTGGTAGTTGATAAATTCTTATTTGCAAGAGCTGTATATAAAAGGTAATTAGCCCTTTGATTTTGATGGCAGTTGTAAATATTTTTCTTCTTCCAATGGTATTTCGTCATTTGTCTCTTGACATTGCACTTACGGTTTTTTTTCCCCCATGCAGGTCTTTTTTAATGTGGCTGAATTTATCTTTCTTTCCTTTTATGGTTTCTACATTTGAAACATTCTCAAGCTACTGCTAGTTAAATACAGTGGATTTCTGCCTTCAAGTTGCTCAATAAACCAGTAGGAAAATCAAGAAAAGTACCTAAGTAACTAGTAGAAGTTACTATATAGTCAGTACTATAAGTTGGTACAAAGTGCTGTTTCTTCATCTGTCTATCCATACATCTAATTATCAATCTATCTTTCCATCTGTCCATTAATCCATCCATTTATCAAGCTTTTACTGAATCCTTTCTAAGAGCAAGAAAAGGTATATATAGAGAGATGACATTTTATGGTAATGAAGCCCATGGGCTGGGATAAGAGACACCCAGATCTGAATCCCAGCTCTATGTTTACACCACTGTGGCCTTGGGCAGGTTACTTAATCTGTCCACATTTTTGTTTCTTATACTATTTCATGAGATACGACAGGAATGTAGATTGTGGAGGGGTCAAGGATTGAAGGTTAAAAAACAGACATTGTTGGAAATGCCTTAGGAAGAGAACTATAAGTGAGTACAATGCCTACATTTATAATTTCAGGTGGTGAAATCTGAATCCTGACAAGGTCAAGAGAGTGGCCACTAGGGTGGGTGGCAAAAGCAAAGGTCATTGGATGTGAGCAGGACAAGAACTGAAAGGCCTTGGTGTTAAATGATCATGTACATAGTCTTTGAAATCACCAGGATCATGGTAATTTCACAGCCAGATGAAGGGCAAGTTCTGGGAGGATCCTGAGCACAGGAGCTTCTGTCCCCGGTGGAGTGTGGGATGTGCCACCCTCCCAGCATGTGGATGCACTCACCAACCTGGAATCTCTCCAAACCTCTTTGTTCAGGATCTTACAGAGGTTCCATTATTTAGGTATGATTGATCAAATCACTGGCTGTTGGTGATTAACTCAGTCCCTGGGCTCCTCTCCCCTCCCCAGAGGTCAGAGGTGAGACTGAAAGTTCCAACCAGCCAGGCGTGGTGGTTCACGCCTGTAATCCCAGCATTTTGGGAGGCCAAGGCAGGCAGGTAACCTGAGGTCAGGAGTTCGAGACCAGCCTGGCCAACATGGTGAAACCCCGTCTCTACTAAAAATACAAAATATTAGCTGGGCATGGTGGTGTGCACCTGTAATCCCAGCTACTCGGGAGGCTGAGGCAGGAGATTCGCTGGAACCTGGGAGGCAGAGGTTGCAGTGAGCTGAGATAGTGCCGTTGCACTCCAGCTTGGGCAACAAGAGTGAAACTCTGTCTCAAAAAAAAAAAAAAAAAAAAGAAAGAAAGAAAGAAAGAAAGATCCCACCCTCTAATCACAAGGTTCTTCTGCCAACCAGCCCCCATTCTTCCTCCAAGAGTCACCTCATTAGCATAAACCCTGGTATGGTTGAAAAGGGCTTATTATGAATAATAAAAGATACACTCATCAGAACATAACCATGTGGTAAGTTGAGGTGCATCAGGAATTAAGATGATTCAACTTAAAATTTTTGACTTTATGATGGGTTTACTGGGGTATTGAGTACACTTTCACCTTACAATATTTCTGACTTCAGTGAATTCACTGGGACGTAACCCCATCATAAGTTAAGGATCATCTGTTCAAGGGTTTTAGGAGCTCTGTGCCAAGACTAATTATATATATATCTCACAAGATCACACAACCCACAGCAAACAGTGGCAAAGTGGGATTGAGGGAGGAGGCTCTGAAATGAGGTTTTCAACAAGCGTCTTGGACCCTTAGAAGTTTCAAGTGACAGCCCTTATTAGTGGCACCCCTTAGGGGCTCCCTCAAACTCAATGCCAAGACTAGCCTGACTGGAGGGAACTTAGACAATGGAGTGGGCATTTGATGTTCCAGCATCTTGAGTGGGTGCCATTATTCTGTGACACCTGGATCCTGGGGTTCCATAAGCTGGGGTTCTAGGATGTCCATTCTTAGTTGAGTCTCATTTCCTGTCATATCGACGTCAAAGGCCCAAGACCTTCCTCCTCCCCTTGAGCAAACAAGCCACGCCCTGCACCAAAGTCCATCTCACCTTCCAGCTACCCTAGGTAATTTTCCTGGTAATTCAGTGTTTCTAGGAAAGCATGAGTCTTTCCACCCCCCGCCCTGAGATTTACTGACATATGAACACATATGATTGGCATGATATAAGAACCACTCATCTGCTGGCCATCTCTCCAGGTCTAGAGCCAGAGAAGATGATCTGAAATTGTAGCAGGAGAAATTGAGGTAGGATACTAAGAAAGCTTTTCAGGAGTGGGGCTAGGCAAGAGGTGCAGCATGAGGGAATAAGAGTGAATCCTCAGTATCTAAGGGAGGTGGCAGGTGGCGGGGGACTTCTTTCTTTGGGTCATCTTTGGTGGTGATTTGACAGGAAGGAACAAAGTGGCTTCAAACATTATACAAGTCTCTAGTCTGTTCTGTGTCCTGTTTTCTTTCTCATTCTTTCAGTGTGGAATCTATATGACCCTGGGAGGGATGTTGGTTGGAAGAATGACCAGCTGATGGAGATGCTGCTGTAATTATTGGTGGTAATAATGGGCAGCAGTGAGCCACCCGGTGTGACAGTGTAGGAGAAAACAGTCCAAACTCCTGCCAAACTCTCTCTACTGATGGCAAATCAGAGGAGACTCAAATTGTAAGTTTATAGTGGTCTGGCTTTTGGCCATGACAATGACACCTTGCCCTTTTAATTTGGGGCCCGTGCAAATATTCACTGAAAGCTGTCAAGAGGAAAACAGAATTGGTTATTGAATCACTTGCTTCCTCTAGGTGTATGAAAAATAATTTCAAGTTTAACAAACACAAGGAAACCGCAGGGTCCATGTCAAAGCTGATGAGCTATTTCTGAAACTCGTGAAGAATTGTGGTTTGTGTGGTCTATGTCACGGCACCCTTGAGGGAGAGTGGGCAATTGCCTGAACTTGGAGGCTGTGTCCTGTCCCCAGGCTGCTCCAGGGCTGCCTCCTTCCGACTGGGCCTTCTTATCTGGGACTGTTGAGGGCAACAGGCCTTCCGAAGACCAGTGAAGAAGGAGGCCCTGCAAACAGGAGGCTGACAGGGTAGGAACGAGGCCATGATCCCTTTGCAGAAGGACAACCAGGAGGAGGGTGTCTGCCCCATCTGCCAGGAGAGCCTGAAGGAGGCCGTGAGCACCAACTGCGGACATCTCTTCTGTCGAGTGTGCCTGACACAGCATGTGGAGAAGGCCTCAGCCTCTGGGGTCTTCTGCTGCCCCCTCTGCCGGAAGCCCTGTTCTGAGGAGGTGCTAGGGACAGGCTATATCTGCCCCAACCACCAGAAGAGGGTGTGCAGGTTCTGTGAGGAGAGCAGACTTCTTCTATGTGTGGAATGCCTGGTGTCCCCTGAACACATGTCTCATCATGAACTGACCATTGAAAATGCCCTCAGCCACTACAAGGTAAGCCTGGGTCACCGCAGCCAGGCCCTGCCTCCACCTCGCTGAGGTGCTGCATCCTACATGTTCATCATGCCTGGCACCTCAGAGTAGCTCAACAATGGACATCTCTCTTTGTTTCTTCTGCTTCATCCTGTTTTGGACCCTTGTCTTGCTTTTCTGTGTATATTTTGAGGCTGATGTTTCCATGCATTAATGTGAGTCTGTCTAAAAGAGGATATTGTCAGTGTGATGTTAGAGTCCCAGTCTGCTCATCTGTAGAATAGAGTAATTGGACTAACTAATGCAAAACCCTTTCAGGACTAAAACTGTGTGAACTCCTGGTTGATAGTACTAGAAACTTGGCTAGAAATGTAATCAGGTTTTATATACACTAGTAATTATCCTGCAAATATATTAAAACCTGAAAGTTACTACATAATTTTTTCTCTCTTTTTCTTCCTTCTGCATTTGTCTTATCTTTCCTTTTCCTTTCTTTGCTATGGCAATTATTTTATCTTATTCTGTTAAATTTTCTATCACAAAAGTTACATGCTGTAGGTAATAAATTCAGAAAGCACTGAAAGGTATAAAGTCAAGACTAAAAATTTGTCTTCCTTTCTCCCTCCATTCATAGTCCTCAGAGGTAACCATTGTTTGATTTTTGTACATCCTTCCAAAAAATGTGTGTGCTTATGAATGCACTCTTACACACACACACACACACACACACCCTCAAAGGATTCTCTCTATATTTTTTTCTGTAACTCATTTTTGTTATCTAAAAGTGTGGCTTGAACATTTTCTCATCAGCATGTATAGATCTTCTGAATTATTTTCAAGAACTGTGTGGTATTAAATTCTATGAATGTACCATAAATTGGCAGACATTGGGTCATTTCCAAGCTATTGTTTTGTTTTAAGATTACACAGAACGTTCTAATGAATATCCTTCAACATATATATTGGAGGACCTAGAATATCCAAGATATATTTTGGTGAGAGCATAAGGTAGAAATCTAACTTTAGTTTTTCCAAGTTATAATCAATTTGTCCTATCACCATTTGTTGAATGATTCATATAGTTTCCCCATTGATTTGAATGCCAATGTCATAATATACCATATATGCATATTTTCTTGCATACTGCCTTGATTCTTTGTGCTGTTCTATTCTGTCTATGCTTGCCTATAAGCCAAGGTATTTTAGAGATTTTATCCTTACCATATATTTTAATGTCAGGTATTTTGATAGAATCCTCACAATACTCTTATTTTTCAGAATTCGTGCAGATATTTGTATATCTTTATTTTGCCAATTAGCTTTGGAATTATTTTTATCAACCTTTCCCCTGACCCTAATCCAGTTAGTATTTGACTGGACAATTGACAATATTTTCACATGGCATCCTTCTATCCAATAGTGAAGGCTGAACTTCCAAAGCTGAGGTAGCTTTGAGATACTTGACTTTTGGAGAACATGTTATGATACAGAATGAGAAAGTGGGGAGTCCAGATTAAAAGTGACTACAGAAAGGTAGAGAAATAATTGAAAAAGCCAGAGGCAAAGTTCTATTTGGTTCTAACATCATTCCCTCCAGGTGCAATGTCCACAGGAGAGTGGGGAGGGATTCCTCACCTGCCGATGAAGCAGCATAAGATGGAGAAATTTATTTCCTCACTAAATGATTTTTTCAGGTCTGTCCTTTGTGTTAGATGTCATGCTAGGCATTGTAGAAAGTACAAAGATGATTCATAATTCTTGTTTCAAATCTGTCTTTAAATAATGACAAGAAAGCTAAAACAAATAAATAACGATGACACTTGTTCATTAAGTAAAAACTTAGTAAGTTCCTGCTGTGTGTGAGAAACTGCAGCATGTGCTAGGAATCAATGAAGACAGATGCCATTCCTTCTGCCAGGAGTTTGCAGTGTAGTAAGGGAGACACAAATAAGTAATCAAAGAACTGTAACTTTTTTTTCTTTTTTTTTTTTTTTTTTTTTTGAGATGGAGTCTCATTCTGTCACCCAAGCTGGAGAGCAGTGGCATGATCTCGGCTCACTGCAACCTCCGTCTCCCAGGTTCAAGCAATTCTTTGCCTCAGCCTCCCGAGTAGCTGGGATTACAGGCACCCACCACCAGGCCTAGCTAATTTTTGTATTTTTAGTAGAAACAGGGTTTCACCATCTTGGCCAGGCTGGTCTTGAACTCCTGACCTCATGATCCATCTGCGCTGGCCTCCCAAAAGAACTGTAACTTTTTATTAGTTAGGAAGAAAATAAACAAGGGTCTGGGATGAACAGTAATGGGTGGCCCATGTCCATTTGGTCAGTGAGGGCCTCATAGAGGAAGTGACCTTGAAGCTGAGGGCTGGCAGAAGAGAAATCAACCTGCAAAGACAGGGGGTAGGGAGTGCATACAGATGCCCACACCTGAGAAGTCTTGTTATATTTGAAGAATTTATCATTAGAGTTTGAATCGACAGGACTTACTGAGAGATTAGAAGTGGGTTCTTTGTAAGAAAAAAACAACCCCATCAAAAAGTGGGCAAAGGATATGAACAGACGCTTCTCAAAAGAAGACATTTATGCAACCAACAGACATATGAAAAAATGCTCATCATCACTGGTCTTTAGAGAAATGCAAATCAAAACCACAATGAGATACCATCTCTGCCAGTTAGAATGGCAATCATTAAAAAGTCAGTAAACAACAGATTCTGGAGACGAAGTGGAGAAATAGGAACGCTTTTACACTGTTGGTGGGAGTGTAAATTAGTTCAACCATTGTGGAAGACAGTGTGGTGATTCCTCAAGGATCTAAAACCAGAAATACCATTTGACCCAGCAATCCCATTACTGGGTATATACCCAAAGGATTATAAATCATTCTACTATAAAGACACATGCACACGTATGTTTATTGTGGCATGGTTCACAATAGCAAAGACTTGGAACCAACCCAAATGCCCATCAACGATAGACTGGATAAAGAAAATATGGCACATATACACCATGGAATACTATGCAGCCATAAAAACAGATGAGTTCACGTCCTTTACAGGGACGTGGATGAAGATGGAAACCATCATTCTCAGCAAACTAACACAAGATCAGAAAACCAAACACCACATGTTCTCACTCGTAAGTGAGAGTTGAACAATGAGAACACGTGGACACAGGGAGGGGAATATCACACACCAGGGCCTGTGAGGGGATGGGGGGTAGGGGAGGGATAGCATTAGGAGAAATACCTAACGTGGATGACGGTTTGATGGGTGCAGCAAACCACCATGGCACGTGTATACCTATGTAACAAACCTGCATGTTCTGTCCATGTGCCCCAGAACTTAAAGTATATATATTTTAAAAAGTGGGTTGAAGGAAGGAGGAAGGTCAAAGATGACTTCATGAGTTTCTGGTTTGAGAAACTGAATAGATGATGTGAAAGATAATAACTTGGTAGAACAGGTTTGAATGCAACACCAAGAGTTTCATTTAAGACAAGTTGAGTCCAAGTTGAGACACATCAAAATAGGATCTTACATACGCAGCTGGATCACAAATTTAGATCTCCAGAGTCTTATTCCTAGAACCTAGAACAAAGATCCATCCAGGCAAAGACAATATTTAAATCCAAGAAAAGCGGGCACGGTGGCTCACACCTGTAGTCCCAGCACTTTGGGAGGCCAAAGTGGGAGGATCGCTTGAGCCCAGGAGTTCAAGACCAGCTTAGGCAACACAGTGAGATACTATCTCTAGAACAACAACAGCAACAACAAAGTGAAATTAACAGGATTTAAAAAAAAGAACGTGACAATTTGGGGCTGGGTGCAGTGGCTCACGCCTGTGGTCCCAGCTACTTGGAAGGTTGAGGTGGGAGGATTGCTTGAGCCCAAGAGAGTGAGGCTGGAGTGAGCTGTGATTGTGCCACTGCACTGCAGCCAGGAAGACAGAGCAAGACCCTGTCTCAAACAAAGAAACAAACAACCAAGAAACCAAGGAAACTGATGTAATTGCCTCAAAAGAGGCTAGACAGAAAAAGAAGTTTTGGGGTAAGGTTCTGGGAAAGGCCGTCATTTAGATGTAGGCAGAGGAGGACCCAGCAAAGGAGACAGGATGAGTTGCCAGAAAGGCAGGAGAAAAACAAGGGGAATGGTGCCCCAGCTGCTAAGAGAGAAGGGTATTTTAAGAGATTATAATAGATTGCATTGAACAATGCTAACACTTCAGTAAGATGGTGGCAGAGGCATGAGAGCTGAGTTGGGAGGAGGCACACTTCTTCCATAGTAATAACAGGGAACAAGAGAAGGTGTCTGCAAGCCTACATAGTTTTGCAGTTTTGGAAATCCAGGTTTTGTTCTGGTTTTTATTTTCTCATAATATTTGAGGAAGGAACATCAGCAGTATGGGTGGGATCAGGATGGATGTGAAAGGTTTGAAAAGAAACAAGATGGTGTGATGCAGTGTGGGAGAGCGCTTACAAGAGAAACTATGTAGGGTTGGCAGACAGTATGTAGCACCAATTTGAGGTCTGAAATGTTTAACATGTTTCAGGAGGCTGCCTGAGGACAGACAGCAAACAAGAAGGTGATGGTACATTTTACCATGGATAAGGAGTTGTCTGAAAAGTAACACAGAGAGGGAGGGTAAGGGAGTTGAGTATATTTCTGAAGAAGTGATTATAATGGTGGACCTTATGTGTACTCATGGATATTGACAGCGTAATTTTGAAATTAAGGAGGGTTTTTTTTTACTGATTTTTTCACCATATCTCTATTTATTTGAATTAAACTTTGTAGTTAAGTATTGTAAATTTTGTTCTTTTAAAAGAATCATATAATCCCTGACTGTACTCTAAAAAGACCGAAAAATTTATAAAATCTACAAATTCTTATTTGTATACCTGTTTCCTCACTGACCAGTCAATGTCAGTGTCAATCACTTTAATGTATTTTGCTGGTTTAGTAAGTGTGTGACAGTGATGTACGTTGTTTTACTTTGCTTGATTATGAATGCTAGTAGTGGTGAGGCTTTTATCCATGAAGACTCGCTGTCTGCATTTTCCCCTAGAATCAGGGCATAAATTCTACATGATTGCATCAAAATAGTTTATCTTTTGGATAATGAGCTCCATTAGTTGTGTTTGTTTAACCTACATTTTTTTATTCTGTTATTTCTTCTTAATTATATTTTTGGGCAACTTTTTAGAAATTTGCATTTAAATTGGCTCTATTCTTTTTTATAATATAATCTCCATGTCTTAAATACACAGAAATTTGTTTAATATGAGTGTGCTGCTCTGTTTTATTTTTAAAGGTTTATTAATTCCTGGCTTACTTGGAATTTCATATAGTATGTTGTGTGAAGGATGACTCCACGTTAATTTTTCTTTATTCTGGTATCCAGTTGTTCCCAAAATATTTATATAACAGTGAGTCCTTTCCACATTTACGTGTTGTTTCTCGCTTGACATCAATTAAGTTCTCATGATGGGCTGTTTTTTTTTTACTCTAGTCCATTGATTATTCTTTCTGTTATATAGTTTTGACAACATGTTACTTTATGGTTTATTTTTAAATCTAGCAGCATTTTTGCCATTTAATAATTTTATTACCTGATATTTTTGCTGTCTTTTAAGATGAGTGCTTTTTTACAATGTTTCTAAATTTCATAGATCATTCCATAAGATTTTAATGGTTATTGCATTAAATTTGTTGATTACTAAGAATCATGACTTTTGGGGGTTTAGTTAGTCTTCTCAACCAGTACCAAGATACATCACTAACGGCTTTCCACTATGTATCTGAATCAGATATTAAATTGTCTTTACTTAAACCTCATGTGCCCTGACTCTATTGAGGGTAGCTATGTATTTTACAACACTATTTTTTTTGACAATTTTTACTTGTAGATTCAAATGAGATTCTTTGCTGAGCTCATGTATTTACCATACATTTTTAAAAATTTTCTGACATTTTCTAGATCATAATTGTGTGAGTGATGTTGTTTTTAATTCATATTTTTGGACACAGTTCTGTAAGGAGCATGCATTTTGAAAGCTGTTAATTTTTCTTTTTTTTTTTTTTTTTCAGTGTCAGGGATAGGTACTTTTTGTCTGTTAACCACTTTTCTTTTGTACATTGTGTTAGCAAGTTGTTTAAGAACAAATTTAATGCCCTTTTTTGTCAGATTTTAAAAATTTAATATGATTTAACCTGAATGACAGAATTTTAAAATATTCATTTAGACAAGACAGGTCTTCGACTATTTTCTAGATTTCAACTTGTCTTTTTTTCTCTGAGGAATATTTTGGTAGGTGAAAGTGTATAGAATTTAGCTTTTCAATTCTAATGAGTGTCTTATTTATATTATATGCACCCATTAAATACCTTTATGCAAAAATTGGTGAAAAAGTACTTTTTAGAAACAGAGGACTTTACCTTACTCATTTTGAATATTGTAAACAATATGACAGTATTATCTTCAGTCATTCTATGCCTTTATCTTTATTACTGTTATCTTTGCCTTCTTTTTTTCATTTACACAGTGTCTGTAGTTGGCTTTATTAAATTTTAAACTGCCAGATGATAGGACTGTGGCTTTTTGAACTGGACCTTAATAGGCCTGACTTTGACAGGCAGAAAAATAAAGCACTCCTGACAGAGAGAAGTAAAAGGCCATGAGGAGGTGTGGCTGCACGGGTGTGTTTGGGAAGCAGAGAGCAATGTTGTGTGCTGGTGAAGAGAGTTCAGTGAGCAGAGAGAGAATCCCGGACAATGTCAGTTGGGGCTGGGTCCTGGGGCACCTTGGATGCTGGGTGAAGGAGTTTGGGCTTATCTTTGTTGCTGAGAAGCCATTTTGAAGGGAGGACTAACATCAACAAAGGTGAAATGTGACAGATTTCAAGCTGAATGGCAGGCAGAATGGCAGTCCCAATGTCAGAAACATGAAGGTCAAGAGGAGTGGACTGCAGAAGAGCTTGGGGAACTGGGCAGCATGTTTGATTCTACCATATTGATTTTGAGCTGCCAACAGGGCAGTAGGCAGCACTTAGCTCTCACTTGGAAGCATGAGATGGATTGCTAGGAAAAAAGATTTGGTTTTGGAATTCTAAGATCTGAAGGCTCCAGAAAGGAAAGCTAAGGACATAGTCTGAGATAGAAAAGGGTTGAGGAGCCAACTTCAAGGCTCCTTTTTACAGAAAAAAATGAAGAGGCAAAGAAGCAGTGGCAGAAGGCACAGGTCTAGGAAGGATGGGGTGGAGAGGAGGTACAGAAAGGCACCTGCGGATTTCATGGCTGGAGATCTCAGGTGACTTTGGAGAGAGAGGCTTTAAAGGAGTGATGAGAAACAAGGCGGCTGGCTGAGGAATGACGACAGTGAGGAGGTGAAGACAGCAACACCAAACAACTTGACTGTGAGGGCAGCAAGTGAGTAGATGCAAGCGGTGAAGGCTGTTTGTGCTTTTCAGGACATGAACTCTTGTGCTCGCACAAACAGTTCCACACCAGCCTGCCACCTTCTTCAGCGAGACTCATGAGCGACATCCATGATGCCCATTTATTACTTCCCACTCCTATGACTTTTTTATTTCGTCTCTGCTGGGAAATGCCTGCAGGAAACACCCAGTGACGTGACACGTTTTTAGTAACTTTGTGGTGACATCACTGTCTTCTCTGCTTACTGCAGCTTTCTGTTCACCAAATGCCCTTGCTGACCCCTCACACACACAGTCCTTTGACCTTGATTTCACCAGGAAATTCTCAGGCTGGAAAGAACTTTCAGTTGTCTTCACCATCCCCTGACTTCTACCTGTACATCTCCAAAATCTCCTCAAAAAAGATTAAAAAAAAAAAATCTGAAGTGGGAAAGATTTAGTGAAACACACACTTTTCAGCTAATAGCACATCCTGATCTTTAGTTCACAAATCTCTTCTCGTTTTGTTTTCTATTTTATCATTCACCCTCCAACTGCCCCCCGAACCATGGGCAGCCATTTAAAGCATTTGTTGTTATTTTTGCTTCTCTTATAGGTCATCAAAAACCTGAAAGCAAAATTTTTTTAGAAACTCAAATCATTCTTTAACTCCATAGCTTCAAGGACACAGCGACACATCCAGATGCTGATTTAAGATTGAGAGAGAAGGCACTGCCTACCTGGGCTATGAGTTTGCACCTAGTAAAGGGCTCTATCTTGTCACTCATCCCAGTGAGGACCAGGCAGCAGAGGTAGCAGAGGGTTGCCATTTCCTCTTTAAGGCAATTCCCTCCAGACTGGCTCCATGTGTTACTGTAAAATAGTAAGAAGTGCTAGAAGACTGTCATATAACTTTTGTATGTTGAGAGAAAGCACCCTGAAGTCAAGTAGAAATGGTTCTGTTGCTATCTATTATTTTTTCTGTACTTCTAAGACTGTAAAAAAATTACCCATTACTATTTCCCCCCATCATTATCCAATAAATAAACTCTCAAGTCCCTTACTCCAACCATGATGCTCTAAAAGCATTTCTTTTTAGGCAGAATTTTACATTAGTTGCATTCTGGGATCAGGCCCCCTACCGTGTTCCATTGACTCCTCCCAGTGGGTGCCCCCCTCACTCCCAGTCTGACAAGCAGGTGTGTCTGTCTCTTTAGGAACGACTCAATCGCCGGAGCAGGAAGCTCAGAAAGGACATTGCAGAACTTCAGCGGCTCAAGGCTCAGCAGGAGAAGAAACTGCAGGCTCTGCAGGTGGGTTTTTCGGGTTCCTGGGAAGGACTCCCTGGAGTGTTCTCAGGAGCCCTTACTTAACTATTCTGGACATCTGTCTGTCCCTGGAACAGCCTGATGTGGGCAGATGGTCGTGGAGGCTGAAAACCCGGGTGTTGGCCTTGGCGTCAAAGTTTGCTGGTTGAGTGACCTACGCAAGTTAAGCCCTCTGATCTTTATGTGACTTACATGTTAAATGAGAACCAGTCCTGCTCTGCCTGGATCACAGTAGGGATCAAAGGAGACCAGTGTCTCGTCAACTGAAAATTACTACACAAGCCATAGGCCTCTGTTTCTTTTTATTTTATTTTATTTTTTTTTTGAGATGGAGCCTTGCTCTGTCGCCCAGGCTGGAGTGCAGTGGCACGAACTCCGCTCACTGCAAGCTCCGCCTCCCGGGTTCACGCCATTCTCCTGCCTCACCCTCCCGAGTACTGGGACTACAGGCACTTGCCACCACGCCCAGCTAATTTTTTCTATATTTTAGTAGAGATGGGGTTTCACCATGTTAGCCAGGTTGGTCTCGATCTCCTGACCTCGTGATCCGCCCGCCTTGGCCTCCCAAAGTGCTGGGATTACAGGTGTGAGCCACCGTGCCCGGCCGCCATAGGCCTCCATTTCTGTCTCTGACAGTCTACCTTTCTATTCCTCTTGGTCACATGGCATCTGTAGATATTCAGAGAGTGAGGTGGAAAGGTGAGGTGTCCCTGCCTTTATGAGAATCAAAGCTGCTTCTGCTATACCTGTGACACACAGAGGCAACACCATGAGGGCAAGAGGACTGAGGAATCAGCATTCCTGCTCAGACATTCAGAGACTGTGAAGGGCCAGGAGGGAGCCACCTGACACTGAGTCTTAGGGAGCCCCTTTCCTGTAGTTTCAGGTAGACCACGGGAACCACAGGCTGGAGGCTGGGCCGGAGAGCCAGCACCAAACCAGGGAACAGCTGGGTGCCCTCCCTCAGCAGTGGCTGGGCCAGCTGGAGCACATGCCAGCAGAAGCGGCCAGAATCCTTGACATCTCCAGGGCAGTAACACAGCTCAGAAGCCTGGTCATTGATCTGGAAAGGACGGCCAAGGAATTAGACACCAACACACTGAAGGTGCATACCCTGAGGCCTTCCCCAAGGGCTGGGATTCTCCCCGATAGGAGGCAGCCCATCTGCATCACCCTTCTGGGAGGTGTAAGAGGGAGGGGCCTGTGTGATATGTGGTGACTTGTGGTAGATGTGGCTTGTTCCAGGCTACAGAGTGCTGCTGCAGCAGAATGGGCACAGAAGAGGGGTGTTGCTATGTTCCCCCAGTTCTCAAGGTGGCACCCCAGAGTGGCCTCCAAGAGTGAATTGGGAAAGGAATTTGGAGGTGATAGGAACCTGAGAACCAATTATGATTCTCACTTTTTCTCTCTCCTAGAATGCTGGTGACTTACTGAACAGGTACGAGCTGTCCCTTCTTCTTTCCCACATGTGCATATAAACCCACACAACACAGACATGCACAGAGGTCAAGGAGACCCACTGCTCCGTTAGCTTTTGTATCTTGATGCTACATGGCCAATGGAAGAGCCAATGGAATATATGAATACATATTAATCTATGAAAGATTTCTTTGTTTCTAGGAGTGCTCCACAGAAATTAGAGGTTATTTATCCCCAGTTGGAGAAAGGAGTCAGTGAATTGCTTCTTCAGCCCCCTCAGAAGCTCTGACCTGTTCATCCCTGGGACACCTCACTTCAGGCTCACCTCAGCCTCCTCTCTCTCCTTCCTCCAACCTGTCCAGGCCCCCACTGGGTCTACCCAGTGCATCTTCGGGCCTGCCAGCTCCTGAACATGTCACCATTTCTTCATGTCCACAGTCATCACCTGATGCCTGACCCTCTGACTCTTGGACGATAGCCAGCCTCCTTCCAGGACAGGCTCATGCTTGGGGCTGCCACTGTGGAGGTCGGGGCCCATGGTCTCCAGGAGCATTTGTGAAATCTCCATTTTGCCTGTAAACTGATGGTAGTGCCCATCTCTCACAATCTCATTCAAATAGGATCCTCCAGGCCTCTGAATGGCCCGAGCTCATCAGCAGTGACACCACCTCACATGTGGAGCCCAGCTGAGTTCCTGCAGTACTTGTTGTCTGTACCACTCACCTGGCACTTATTTATTATTGTTGTGGAAGACAGACTCAAAGACAGCCTCCCTTCGTGATCCTCACCTCTTGGAATTCATGCCCTTGTTTGGTCCCCTCCCCTTGAGTGTAAGTGGGATCTGTGACTTGCTTCTAATGAATGGAATAAGGCAAAGGTGATAGGGTGTCACTCTGGCAACTGTGTTGCATTGTATAGAACTCCTCCTTGCTGGCCCACCCTTTTAGAGCCCCTCCTAGGAGCCAAGAGCAGCTTCCAGCCAACAACAAGCAGAGGCCCTCAGTCTTGTGGCTGCAAGAACCTGAATTCTGCCAACAACCCGAGTGAGCTTGGAAGCAGATTCTTCCCCAACTGAGCCGGATAAGAACCTAGTCCAGCCAACACCTTGATTATAGTCTTGTGAGTACCTAAGCTGAGGACCCAGTGAAGCTGTGCCAAAATTTCCCACCCACAGAAACAGTGTGACAATAAATGTGTGTGTGTTTTTTTGTTTTCTGTTTTCGTTTTTGAGATGGAGTCTCACTCTGTTGCCCAGGCTGGAGTGCGGTGGTGTGATGTCGGCTCACTGTAACCTCTGTCTCCTAGGTTCAAGCAATTCTCCTGCCTCAGCCTCCCTAATAGCTAGGGATTATAGGCGCCCGCCACCACACCCGGCTAATTTTTTGTGTTTTTAGTAGAGACAGGGTTTAACCATGTTGGCCAGGCTGGCCTTGAACTTCTGACCTCAGGTGATCAGCCCACCTTGGCCTCCCAAAATGCTGGGATTACAGGTGTGAGCCACCGCGCCTGGCCATGTGTTGTTATAAGGCAGTAAATTTGTGGTAATTTTTGTGGAGTAATGGATAATGAATACAATTGTATATTAGTCATTTTTGTATAAGCCTCACTTCTTTGGGTGAGCAGGGATCATATTCTGTCTGTGTCCTCATGTCTAGAACAGTGTCTGGCTCATAGCTGGTGTCCAGTAAAATTTTAAATGTATGTATAAGTGAACTAATAAGAAAGCATAAGGAAGGGCTCTTCTCAATCCTCTGATTAAAAAGAGCCATCAATTACCTTATAATCAGTATTTATTGAGCCTTTGCCAAAGTAGTCAATACCATACTGAGAGGTATAAGGAATAAAACATGGCCACAATTATAAAACAAGCCACGTGGTGGTGCAAAGAGTGAAAACTACAGGGTCAGACTTGAGTTTAGGTCTCGGTCCTGACACCTAATGCCTCTGTAACCTTGGGCAAATTACTTAGCCTCTCTGAACCTCTGTACTCCCCCCTCTAAAATAAGGGTTATGGTACCTGTGGCCTGGGATTGTTGTCAAAATTAAATACATGCTGAGTGTCTGCTAAAGTGTCTAAAACGTAAACATTCAAATATGTTCATTTTATCTTTTTTTTTTTTTTGGTGTATTCTGGCTTTATTGTTATTTTTTTTAAATTATACTTTAAGTTCTAGGGTACATGTGCACAATGTGCAGGTTTGTTACATATGTATACATGTGCCATGTTGGTGTGCTGCACCCATTAACTTGTCATTTACATTGGGTATTTCTCCTAATGCTATCCCTCCCCCCTCCCCCCACCCCAAAACAGGCCCTGGTGTGTGATGTTCCCCACCCTGTGTCCAAGTGATCTCATTGTTCAATTCCCACCAATGAGTGAGAACATGCGGTGTTTGGTTTTCTGTCCTTGCGATAGTTTGCTGAGAATGATGGTTTCCAGCTTCAACCATGTCCCTAAAAAGGACATGAACTCATCCTTTTTCATTTCATCTTTTTTTAAAAAAACCACTTCCCCTTTTGAAATGAAATATGGAATGATAAAAAAATTTTAAATAAATTCCACTTCACCATCCAGAAGTTTATAATTTAGCTGTGGAACTATGACTAAACAGCTACAGAATAAGAAGAGAGCGTGTAACTGCACTGAATTAGGTATCACAGAGGCTAAGTGCCCTGGGAATTCAGAGGAAAGAAACAGCGAGCCTGGGAAAGTCAGGGTAGGTTTTGTGGGGGAGGTGGGGATTGGACAAGTGGGAGAGGAAGGTGAGAACATTCTAGGTCACAATAACCACATGAATGAAAGCATAGAGGTAGGAAAAAGCCACGGTACCTTTGTAGGAGTGTGAGGAAACCAACCTGGTTAGGCTGGAATGTTCAGGAATGGGGAAGACGAGAAGTCAACAGGCTAAATGGATGACACCAAGACATAGTGAGGTTTCTGAGTCAGGAATGAAGGGAGAAGTGGTGTTTAATGAAAGCCAGTCTGGATCGTTTGCACAAGAAGGACTGGGACAGAGAGTTGGGGGCTGGAAGGAGAGGGGAGGAGAAAGAGCCTAGTGCAGATGTTCAGAAAAAAGGTATAGTTATTTGGCAAGAAGCTGCAGATCTCAGAGAAACATAAGATCCCAAATCTAAGAGCAAGACATTAGCCAAGGAAAGAACACCCCTGAAAGTGACAGCTAGCAATTTCTGCATCCCAGATGGAGTTAATGTCACCAAGAGAACTTGTACTAGGAGTAGGAGGAGACTGACAGCCCCCAGGGTCTCTCCTCAGGAGAGAATTCAGTTATACTGAAGATGCCTTCCAGGCCCCCCTTGGTCCCTTCTGACGTCACCACAGATGATCAGGCCAGGGGTAGGAGTCTGAACAGCAGATAATTGGCCAAACAAGTCTATGAGGTCACCTGTCAAGGAAGACCTTATCAAAGAGGGACAATAGTAATTAACTGAAACCATCAGGTCCTCTCGGAGATTCAGAAGGGATCCATGATGAATGTGTCATTAGTTGGCAAGAAGAGCAGACACAGAGAGAATCAGAGATGCATGTGCAGCCACGATGTATTGGAACAGGTGTCCATGACCCATGCTGCTGAGAGGCCGCAGGAATATCCAGTCTTCACGCTTCTTTGGACTTCGAGCCCACTTCTTACCGGTAGGTCCTGGGCATACAACATACCACTGCATAATGGTCATGAGCACAGACTCGGGAGCCAAACCACAAGACTTCAAATGCTGGCTCTGCGACTTACTATCAGCTGATTTGAGACCAGCTGCTCGGCCTCCACATGTCTCAGTTCTCTTATGTACAAGATGGGCACCTACCTCCTGAGGTTGTTGTGAGGATTAAATGAGTTAATATATACAAATATTTATTATGGTGTTTGGCCAAAATAAGTTCTATGTGTGTGATTGTTATCAGCATTTTTGGAATCTCTAGTTCTTCCTACAGGAACGAGTGGTGACCCCACCAACTCGCTCACGCCTGACATAGCTTCTCACGGGGCCTGGCTCATGGTGGAAAATCGCATTTTCCTTATTTCTGCTTTTATAATAAACTTACCTATCATTTGAACTAACTTGAGTGGGTCTCAGTTCTTTGCAATAGAAAGGGTTGCTACCATGTAAGCTTTGAAAAATGAGGTGTAAACTGTGGATGTTACAAATGTGCAACAGTCCTTCAGAGTCGGAAAGGGTAGCTGGGACTCTGGGGCCTCTAGACTTGAGCACTTCCTGGGGAGGGAACCCAGAGTCCCACTTCCGGCCAGCAGAGCAAGGAGGTTCATTAAGCTGCCTTATCTTGAAGTTACCAGGTTTTAGGATCTATCCACTTCCCCTGTGCTGACTCCATACTCCGAAAGCAAGTAAACTTCAAGTAAAATTACCCTAGGGGAGAAGCAGGTACTGACAGACCAACATGAGTGTTTTCACTTATGAGCAGTTTTATTTCTCAGTGTAAGACATATAAATTGTTCTCACTGACATATAACTATTAAAAGAAAAATAAAATAAAACAATTTAAAAAGAAGAAATATAAATTGTATTTCTGAATCCAAGTCACCTGTGGGGGTGTAGCCAGCATTAAAATAATCGCCAGGACCCATGCAGGCATCTATCTCTGAATGAGGCAGTGCAGCATAGCAGTTAAGAGCTCTTGGGTCAGACATGGATGAACTGGTTGCATGATCTTGGCTCGTTACCAAGATAAAGTGACACAAGGTGTGTAAAGCTCCCGAGCTGCAAGCCAGGATCTTCATACACATACATTTTAGAGGATAATAGTCCTTTCAAAAGACACAGCTAAAGCCAATAAAAATAAACAAAAATAGGATCTACTTTTCTGGAATCACAGGTTTGGGTGCTTTGGATATGTTTTATCATTATATAGGCACTTGTGTGTGTCTGTATTTTTTTGAATATACAACATTTTAATGAGATACTGCACACTCCCAGGGAAAGCAATTCAATCTCTAATCCCTGGCTTCTGATCTCCACCTCTTTTCTACCTGCTGAGGTAAGGATGAACAACAGAACTTCTCAATTGAATTCTAAGCTTGGGCCTAAGCACGCTGTGCCCTCTGCCTTTGAGTTTGCACCCTGGATGGCTCCCCTCCTCCCAGGAGACCCAGTAGGGAGATGACAGAGCATTGTAGTTTACACTGAGCAGAGTAAACAGATGATGTTAAGGAGACTGTCAGTGAAGGGCATGATTATGCAAAATAAAATACAATAGTGACAAGAACAAGAAAATAAAACATGGTCACTATTCCATCCCATTTCTCAGATGTCACTACAGTAGTCTCAATTACGGTAGTCTCAATTCTTTAGACTAAAGTTCATAGGTCATCCAACTTATGCCCTGGCCTCCTTCTGGAATTCTTTTACCTAGCAGTTTCTGAGCCCACAGCTGAGCTATTTGTGACCCATTTGCTCCCACTATCTCATTTCTTGACCTCAGATGGTAATCAACTGATCAGGAAGACAATTTCCCTAGGGTTGAGTGTGGTCCCTGGGTTATGATTTATGGCTATACCTTATGTCCTCCTGCCCCCAGGCCCTGCACCTTAATCTCACCCAGAAGTGGCAACACCAGGAGGAAGGAGGCAGTGAGTGGCGTCGGCTGGGGATGGCACACATCTGCCCATAATGACAATGGAGACAACCCAGTGCTCCAGAGTCACAGGTCATCCAGCCAGTTCTCTGCTGTTTCCTCTTCTTAAGATGCTTCTTCCCCTCTTTTCCCTATTGACCATAGGCATCCTTTAGACCACCCTTTTCAGAAAGCCATCCCCCACTCACCCTCTCCTTCCAGGCTGGGCTATGCCCCTTCCCCTGAACTCCCATAATGCTGGGGTTGGACTTCCCGTAACACCCACCACACTGTGCTGTAATTTCCTCTTTATGTTTCTCTGTCTTCCCAAGAGCTCTTTCAGATATAGAGCAGGTTTTTTTTTTCTCTATATTTTCAAGTCACCAGTGGCCACCACACTGCTTGGTTCATAGTTAACACAAACTAAATGGTTCTAGAGAATGTGATTACATGAACTCTAACATTATTGGAAGAAAACAAGATGAAAAGAGGTGAGATGCCTTGTTTAAAGTCATACAACTGGTTGACAGGCTGGTTCAAGAACCCAGGTCTTCTGACTTCAAATCCAGTGCCCTTTCTATGCAGCTACTTCTGTGCCAAGCACGGATGGTGGTGAGCAGAACTGGCAGCAGCCTGAGTCCCCAGGTACCCTGGCCATCCACTGGGCATTGGGGAAAGGACTTGATCAGTAGATTGAGAGTCCTCTCTTCTATCCCTTACCACCCGGCCCCATCCCATCTTCTAAAGCAGTCATTTCTATTCCAAGTCATCCAGGTGATTCAGCCAGGGATCAAGTCCACATGGTACTTGGGTTGATATGAGTCCTGTACTTAGAGGAGAGTAGGTAACTGCTCCTTCTCAGGAGCTCAGGGAGAAACTGGACCCTCGGCCCCAGAGCCCAAAGAAGGGAATGACCTTCCTAGTGAAGGAGGCAGTGAAGGTGTAGATGGGCTCTCGGGTGACAGCGTTGGTGAAGGTCACCCAGCCCACCTCATAGTCAAGAGACACCCTCACCTGCCGGGGCTGCTCCTTCAGGGTCAGCCGTGTGGGGAAGGAGCCCAGAGCCGAGACGAAGCCCCAAGCCAGCCTCACAGCCCACACCCCCTCCTCTGGCCGCAGCCGAAGCTCCCCCTTCCGCTGCACATCCTCGCTCACCACGCCCACGGTGCAGCTGCCCCCATGGGCCAGGTCTATACTCACCACCCACGTGTGTCTCCCCCCTGTGATGCCAGTGTGGGCCAGAACACAGGTGGCCCGGTCAAAACGCTGGGGGTTGTCTGGTGAGTTCTGCCATTTGTAGGAGAACTGAGCTCGCTGGTGGTCCTCGGACAAGAGGAGCTTGGGGTGGGAAGTCTGAGGGTCTAGAGAAATGTGAGCTGTGGGGATAACCAAAAGGGACAGATGTCAGCAGACATGCTATTACCTCCAAGGAAGGCATAGAAACTCCCCCTGGGCCCCTCCTGTTAGTGTTATTATTACCAAAAACATGTATAGTGCCTACGTGGGCCAACAGTGTGGAACCACCTGGGAACTTGTTAGATATACGCTCTCAGAATCTGCATCCTAACAAGATGCCCAGGTGATTTGCACACAGGTAAAGCCTGAAAAGCCTGCCTCAGAGGATGTGAAAGCTCTCGTTTAGTTCAGTGTGGTCCTCGGGAAAGCTCTTCTGCTCACCGCAAGTTGGCTGGTTTCCAAAGCTGTGCGTGCCAGCTTGGATCTCCTGGGGCTGATATACCACATTCTCCCCTCCTCCCATCTCTATCCCACAGTGCAGCGACATTTCTCCCTTCAGTCCAAACTTCATGATTCCTCCCTGTTTTCCTCCCAGGGCACTGGTGACTCATTTACAGTCTTCCCTCCTGGCAGGCTCTCTGGCTCACCCCTGGGTTATTCACTCTGCCTCAGTAATTCTGAAACTGTCAGAGTCTGAGGACCACTTTTTACCACCAAAAACTGCTGCAGAGCCTTGCGTTTTGTTACTTTTAGTATTCATAAATTGAGAAGCTTCCATAAATTTAGGTCCATCTGTGGGTTAGAGAACCCCCTCCAACAACTCCGTGACTCCCAGGGTCTTAGGCTGGTTGATTGAGAAATGACAGCCTTGAAGGGGTCCATTCTGTTCATTTTTTTCCCACCCACAGGCCGCCCTCCTTCTGTCATCTGTGAAATGACATCTGAGAGGAAGCAGGGGTTCCTTACGTTCTAAAGAGGTGATTATAAACCCAGATCAAAGTCCCCTTTATCCAGAAAGCATTCCCAGATGGACTTTATCCCATTCTGCATTAATCTTTCTATCTACTCGACATGCGCAGATCAGGATGTGAGCTTCATACCACGAATGTAGTATGTGTATGTGCTTGTCCTTTCTTCATGTTTCTCCTGAGAGCCTTACAAACAATGTGACACACACACACACACAACCTATATATACACACATGTATTATATACACACACATATGTGTATATATAATATATATGATGTGTATATGTATCCATGGGTGTTTGTTATGACTATTGTCATAGTCATAACATAGTCATAGTGCAAATCCTGCAAAATTTTCTCTCCTTTCCGAGGACTTCTCATTCTCTCCCATCCTGACATAGGCTCCTTACCTGGCTCATAGTCCAACTCAAAGCATAGTTTTTCTGTAAAGAAAATAAACCAGGATGAGATTTTATTAGTCTTACAAAACCATCAGACACTTAATGATGAGAAAACTGAGGCCAAGAAGAGGGAAGGGACAAGAAGAAGAATGTAAGCTGGAATCCTCTAGACCAGTGGTTCCAAGCTTGCATCAGAATCATCTGGAGCTCTTGTTAAAACACATCTGTTTCAGATTCAGGTGCTCTGGGGTGGAGCTGAACATCTGTATTTCTAACAATTTCCTGGGCAATGCAGCTGCTGCTGCTGGTGGGAGCCCCACTGCCCTAGCCCTGATCAAACAGGGACCATGACTGCCTTGCTCACCTCTGTACCCGCAGAGCCCAGGACATAGTAAATGCTCAAGAAATATCTGCTTAGTGAATAGAGAAATGGGTTCATTTATTTATTATTCCACTTGGAAATAATTTTGGGGAGAGTCAAAGGTCAGCCTTTGATTAGAGTGAAATTTCCTTCACTGACAGGTCACTGGAAGTATTTGCAGGAAATGGAATTATGGGAAAAGTCCTTCTAGGGTGACATAACTGTGGGTGGGTCATTTCAAAATTGGTGTCATCATTCATTCTGTCATGGTTAGTGAGGAGGTGGTTGGCAGAGAGCCATGTCCCATTCCTGACTCTCATCCAAACCCTCCCCCACACCCTACCACCACTCCCTGTTCCGGAAAAGGAAGTGGAGCACAGTCCCCGTAGGACCGTCTAACTCTGAGCCAGACTAACAGAAAGAAAGTGAGAAGGAAGGAGGGACGAGCCAGATACCACAGGGTCAAGATAAATACTGTTGTTGGCTATTAATTAACAATGTTCATCATCAAAAACTTATCACATATTACAAATGTTGCTGTGGGATTTTTTAACTTATTAAGAATGATATATTGTTAATCATTATCTTTCATATTGCTTAATGACCACTAATCAGATTTGTTGAATTATTTTAAAATCAGTTTAACTTTTTCACCAGAAATATTCACCTTTATTCTCTTTCTTCATTGTCACAATATCCTAATAGGCAGATTTTATAAAAATCTGCAAATAAGGAAATCAAGGCACAGGAAGGAATAAGGCTTGCCAAAGTCACACCTTTCAGCAGTGGAGCGTGGAGGCCACTCCTAAACCCAGGCTTCATGGCCACCTGCGCTCTGTGGAGGCCTGGGGTTCTCTTACCCAGAAACATCTTCATCTCCCTCTGCAGCGGGAGGGCCTGCTGGGGAAAGTCCCGAATCCTCTGGCCCAGCTCTGGCGACACAGCCACCGGTTTCCGGCACTTTCTGGTTTCACATCTAGGGGCACAGAAATGGCTGGGTCTGGGAATTATCATCCTTAATAATGTCTCCAGACTCAGCTGGTCATCTTCTAATAGGGCATGATGGCGCTAGTTCCTGCAGGCAGACGTACTTCCTCTAGGATGAATCCCACTGCCCATTTTTGGGCATCTATGGATATACCTGAGAAGGCATTTGGGTATATAGAGGTTTATATGTAAATTTGTATCCTTAAGTGAGAATGTTATATACCTGTGTGGCAATAACTAGGCATGCAGTACATGTATGTATATTTATATGGAAAAAGAAAAGAGAGAAACTATATTGCTTACCTTATTAGAGTGCTTCTGATGTCCTAGGAGAAAGAGATACCAGAAATTCAGTTTCCAGCTTCTCCTTTCCATTTTTCTTTCCTTTCTTTTTCTACTTTTATTTTATTTATTTTTTATTTGCTTGTTTGTTTGTTTGAGAAAGGGTCTCACTCTGGTGCCCAGGCTGGAATACAGTGGCGTGATCATGGCTCACTGCATACTCAACCTCCTGGGCTCAAGGGATCCTCCTACCTCAGCATCTTGAGTAGCTGGGACTACAGGTGTTTGTCACCATGCCTGGCTAATTTTCTTTTTTTTTTTTTTTTTTTTTTGTAGAGATGGGGTTTTGTTATGTTGCCCAGGCTCCTCCCACTTTTCTTATGACTGGAAAAGACAAAATATATTTCTAGCTCTGGACAGGAAAAGGATACCAGATGCATAGAGTCACAGAGCATTAGGACTCACCCATCTCTGTGGATCAGAGCCCAAAGCCTTTATTTTTTAGATAAAGATGGTGAAGTGACCTTCCCCTGCTCACTGGAGGCAAAGTAAGTCTCATACCAAGGTCTCCTGTTTCTCAGTCCTAAGAGCATCATTCTAAGTCATGCTGCCTTTCCAATACTTTGTGGGGACCCCAATACCTCTCCTCCAGTGTGAGGAAGTGAAATAGACCAGGACAAACTTCCTGACTGGTGGTTGGTGACATTTAGGTTATAGAGAATGGTTTGCAACTTACTTAATACTTTTTCAAAGTGCTACTTTCACTTCCATCTTACTGTTGGATCCTCACAAAAGCCCTGTGAAATATTTAAGGAAAGTATCTTCCCTATTTGGCAGATGGTGGGACGGAGAGGTGGAGACCAGAGAGCAAAAAGTGACCAGGGAACTCTTGGAAAAGCATGAACTAGAATTGAGACTTTCTGGTCCTCTGACCCACCTCCCATCTGGGATACAGAGATGTGTGAGTCAGGGAGACATGGCTTAGGCAAGACAAAGATGCAAGAGTCACAGGACAGCACAGGTGGGGCAGGGTTCCGGTTCAGGCCTCACCGTCAGGAGCTCCCTTGCTGGCCTCTCATTCTTCTCCTCCAGTTCTTCAATAAGAGCACTAAACCGGCAGATCTCCCCAGCAACCAGCAAATCAAATTCATCCCGTTGCCTCAAGATGTCCCCATCCTGGCTCTCCAATTGTGCTAAGAGGATGCTCTGCTGTTCCTCTAGAAACTTCCTCAGGTGTGCGAACTCAGAAATCACCTGTTGTCTCTTGGTGGACACCTGAGTCTGAGGGGGCAGGAGGCAAGCCCAAGAGAAAGTTTGCTTCCTCCTTCTCCCTCTGCTCCTCTTCCTCCCCTGTCCCCAGGTAGATCTGGAACTGTGTCATGGTTTCCTTTTCACTTGTCATCCCATTTCGAGAAGCAAGACTCACAGTGTTGTCTCAGCACCATCTGCTGCAGCTTCTAAAAGGGGTAGGGCTTACAGGAGGTGTAGGAGGAGGTGGTGGGGACACCCTACCTCCTGTCTTGTATGAAAAGCACATTATGTGCACAGCCCTGAGCTACTTTACAGTCACAATCTCATTTAATGCTTACAGTAATTCAATGAGGTCATGATGATTTTTACTCTCCATTTTACAGATAAGTAAACTGAAGTTGGAGAGTTGCTTGAGGTCATAGAGTTAGTGTCAGAGTCAGGATTTAAACTCATAATAACTTCAAAGCCCTATAATCTATGTTGCCTCAGTTTCAGGAAGACACTGGACCCTGAGGAAGGGGAGGAACCTGGGGAAGGGGTGATGACTTACCAGGAGGACTTGCATCCTTTTATTTTCTCTTGACTGGATTTCTTGAATCTCCTCTCTCTCTTTTCTTAGACATTTAAGACACTTATGGATTTGTTCCTGGGGAGAAGGAACATAAAATACTCAAGATGGAAAATGATTTGTTCAGGTTTGTCTGGTCATCTGACCCTCTGCCTCCAGGAATGAAATGGCCCCAGGAGAGGAGTCCCTTCCTTAGCTGACAATCCCCGAGCCTTCACCACCCTGACAGCTTACTCCCTTTGGGTCTTCTTCCTCTTGATTTGTCTCTAAGACTTTGGATCAGGACTTTCCCCCTTTATCCTGTGCCATTAGAGGCTGTGACTTGGTTTTCCCACTTGAGTCTTTCTTCAGGTTTAACATTCTATTGTGTTTTGCTTCGGGTAAGTGGTATCTGGGGTCTGTACTGAGTTTGATATGCCCCGCACTGAAATCATTCTGAGTTTCCGACTCATCCCAAAGGAACATGTGTAAATAACAACCCTCCCTTGTTACTGAAATCAATTATCTGTGTATGACTCCAGAGGGGAGAAGAAACTTGGGTAATGTAAAAATAATTGATAAATTGTTTTCAAAATTATTTGCTCCAGAATAGAGTTAGGAACAGGTACACACACGATAAATATGTGTGTTCAAAGATATATTAGAATTCTCACTATCAACTGCTAATTAACTAATTAAGACATCCACACACAGACTTGTACTAAAACATAATTCATAAGCACAATGCATAAACAACTAAAACCAGCACACATTCATTTAATGACAGATAAAATGGCATGCCACATACATTTACCCAGCCTGAATATATGTAAACACGAATTTATTCACAAACAGGAGCTCTCAGTTACACTTACACACTCAAATATATACATACTCAGACTCCCATCCAAACACACCAGACACACTTCTAAACATGCAAACATTAACACATATACACACTGTTTGTACAATCATTCCCTCAAATGCAAACTTCAGACACACCTGATCCATGGCACAGACACACACACTCATGTTTGGTCACTCATTCATTCAACAAGTACTTGTTGAACTCCCGTTATCTGTTGGCCACAAGTGAACACAGAACACACTCAAAAAAACATAAAACATAAACACAATTTTCCATGCCTGGGTCTATTGCCTGGGTGATCATGTAAGTAAGGAGAAAGAATTTGGCCTCCGGGTGGCCTAAATAATCCACAACTCTGCTGTTTCTCTTAGTCCAGTCCAGTCCACCCTGGGATCCCCCAGTTCCCCTTTCCTACCCTATAGGGAGCCGCTGCATCCTCCAGGAAGCGCATGGTGTGGGTAGCGTGCTCCCCAGCCTCCCGGCACACCACGCACAACTGCATCTCATCATCCTCACAGAAGAAGTAGATCTTCTCTCCGTGCTCTTGGCAGACATCCTCCTCTCCCAAACCCAGTGTGGACACCAGCTGGAGGCGCTCAATGTTCTCCACCACGTTAGCCAGCTGCCAGTTGGGCCGGAAGCTCCCAGGACGGAAGGGTTCTTTGCAGAGTGGGCAAGTAGGGGACTCCTCCAGGTCTGGGCCTGGTATCTCACAGTAGCGGGTAAGGCAGGCCCGGCAGAAGTTGTGGCCGCAGTCGATAGTGACCGGCTCCCTCAGGGTACCCTGACAGATGGGGCAGTTGACTTCATCTGCCAGGCTGGTCACAGAGGCAGCAGAGGCCATGCTGGTCCTGCTGCTATGGCTTCCTCAAGGCCACTCTCTCTGCTTGGCCACGGGGGAAGGGCTGGGTCACACACTCACACACCCACACATGCACATGGCTGGACACAGGCACATACTAAATATGCACCAGCACCCATATCGTCACACACTTGCATCTCTGGCAGCCAGGGTTCTATTCTCCTGCCAACAGCAGAGATGGGAAATAGCAGAGGAGAGGAAGGAAGAGGGGCTCACAGCATTTCAGAGGTGACCTTAGATGACCATAACCAGGGGCTGGCCATTCCTTTCTGCCCATCCAGAGACACTCACAGTAGAAGGAAAGTGGTGATATGTCAGCTGTCCACTGTCAGAAGAAATATTCTTTTGGGGGCAAGTGGGAGACTGGGTCACAGAGTGGAGATGCCATTCCAGCCTTTCTGCCATATGGCCAGCTGTCTCCAAAGAGATTGGAGGTATCAGCCAGCCCAGGGCTTGCCCATCAGCAAGCAGGAGAGTGTGGGGGCTCAGATAAGGTCCTTGTGCCAGGGTGTACACTGCACCAGCAACTTCAATGGTGATGCCTCAACTGGCCTGCTGCAGGCCTCAAAAGAGGCTGGAATATTCCCTATGATGGGGAGGAGAAAGAAAACTACTAACGGCCAGAATTTATTTACAATGACGGTACAACTTACATTGATACAAGCAATTTGGCCAGAATTTATTTACAATGACGGTACAACTTACATTGATACAAGCAATTTAAAAGTATGATCTTATTTCTGTGTCTGCTCTGCAACATCAGTGCTATTAGGATCTCCATTTCATAAATGAGAAAGCTGAGGCCCAGCCAGGTTATTCAGCTTGCCCTAGGCACACAAGTAAGAAGGTGAGTGACCATAAATAATTTGCTGTCAGATCTGTCTTCCGAGCAATGCTATTCAACATAAACGCAAAGTGAGCCACATATGCAATTTAAAATTTCCTAGTGGCCATATAAAAATAGTCTAAACAGGTGAAAGTAATTTTAATGATGTTATTTTATTTAGTCCTATATTTCCAAACTATTATCATTTCAATATGTGATCCATATAAAAAGTCATTAATAAGATATTTTACATTTTTAAATTTGTGAAAAGCCTTTGAAATCCGGTGTGTTGGCCGGGCGCGGTGGCTCACGCCTGTAATCCCAGCACTTTGGGAGGCCTAGGATCACGAGGTCAGGAAATCTAGACCATCCTGGTTAACACGGTGAAACCCCGTCTCTACTAAAAATACAAAAAAATTAGCCTGGCGTGCTGGCCGGCGCCTGTAGTCCCAGCTACTCGGGAGGCTGAGGCAGGAGAATGGTGTGAACCCGGGAGGAGGAGCTTGCAGTGAGCCAAGATCGCGCTACTGCACTCCATCCCGGGAGACAGAGCGAGACTCCATTTCAAAAAAAAAAAAAAAGAAAAGAAAAAAGAGAAAAAGAAAAAGAAAAAAAAGAAATCCGGTATGTATTTTACATATACAGCATGCCGCCATTCAGACCGGCCACATTTCAGTGCTCAGTAGACACATGTGGCTGGTGGCTCCTGTATTGGACAAACTAGTTCCTGGGCTGCACTCGTGGCAGGAAGAGCAGAGATTGGATGGGAAGGGGAGGTAATAAAGTGATTAGAGTAAAAAGGGAGCAACCACAAGGGGCTAGGCTGATCACCCAGTGGGAGAATGGGGGAAGGCCTGGTTTTATCCACAGATGTGTGCATGGGTGAAGGACCGTGGCTGCAGATCTTGGTCTTGGCATGAGGTGTGGGAGGAGCGTAGGGCTTTAAGCCAGGAGACTGGGATCGTCCTTAACGTGATACTTTCTAGCTTTGTGACCTTTGGAAAGTCACTTTACATTTGGAAAGTCAGTTTACATTTCTTTCTCTGTAAAATGAAGGTAATAATGTTTGCCTAGAGGGTTATTAAAATTGAATGTAGTAATATAAAAATACTAAACCCTAGATAAATGTGGTTGAAACTGATTATCTGACTAATCGTTTTCTAATGTGTATCAACATAAATCATTTGCATTATGGTTTCTTGCCTTCTCCCCGCTACAGTAAAAATAAATAAATAAATAAATAAATAAATAAATAAAATAGTCCAGTGTTACCCGAACCCCAAAGGGGACTGTTGTGCCAGGTGGTGGGGGATTTGGGACCGTAGGAGGGGCCACCATGGGCAGATGTGGTGAGGGAGGAAAGGAGAGCAGAAGAGGGGACCCGATGAGCAATCCTTACACCCTACCTGCAGTGTCGAAACAGCGTCCCGCCCACACACTTCCGGCAGAATCTCCCGAAGTCCACACCTCTCACTCCAGCCTGGACTTTGATGCTGTGGGCACGCCTCAGAGCCAGAAGTTTATGGCTCCCACCTGCTCAATCTGACAGGAAGCTTCTGCTCCCCAGTTCTCCCCAGCCACTGTGGTCTACAGATTCCAGGAAACCCATCCCCCTGTGACCTCATGGTGTGCTCTGTTCTCCACCCTAGGGACCAGAAGGAGCCAGGAGTAAAGAACTGGCTTACTTGGCCGCCACTGGGAAATTCTGGGTAATTCGAGACGCCCTGGAATTTGGACCCACTCCGCTGATAGGTGGTGGCCAGGGTTCTAGGGAACACAAGAGGCGGAGCCAGGTGGCTTCCCTGTGCTGGCATTCTTGCCTCTCTCTCTCTTTCTCTCTCTCTGTCTCTCAGCCTTGCAGCCGTTTCCCTCTGCGATTCATGTAAGTGTGACTCGATTTCAGGGAAAGGGAACTCGCGTGGGCTGAGGAGACCGGAGTGGACGGGCTGGGGAAGGCACCGTGATGCCCGCAACCCCGTCCCTGAAGGTGGTCCATGAGCTGCCTGCCTGTACCCTATGTGCGGGGCCGCTGGAGGATGCGGTGACCATTCCCTGTGGACACACCTTCTGCCGGCTCTGCCTCCCCGCGCTCTCCCAGATGGGGGCCCAATCCTCGGGCAAGATCCTGCTCTGCCCGCTCTGCCAAGAGGAGGAGCAGGCAGAGACTCCCATGGCCCCTGTGCCCCTGGGCCCGCTGGGAGAAACTTACTGCGAGGAGCACGGCGAGAAGATCTACTTCTTCTGCGAGAACGATGCCGAGTTCCTCTGTGTGTTCTGCAGGGAGGGTCCCACGCACCAGGCGCACACCGTGGGGTTCCTGGACGAGGCCATTCAGCCCTACCGGGTAAGAAGTGTAGCTTTACCTAGGGCCTGTTTGGGGCAGGATGATGTCCTGTTATGAGGGGAGGAAATCGGGCGGGGATCTGGATGAAAGGCTTCCACATCAGGGAACCCTAAGGTTACAGGGACTTTCGAGGCATTCCCAGACTGAAGGCAGATAGGGCTCCACTTGGATGTGTGGTAGTTCCTGGTCTGGGGGGAACTTCAGCTCCAGCTCTCAGAGGACCCCACAGAGGTGGAGTGCAAAGAACTGTAGCCTTGGCTTCACTCACTATGGAAAGAAAGCTCCAATGCCGAGTGGGATCTTCTGCAGATTATGGGCAGGGTAAACTTGTTCTCCCAGGATCCAGACTGGAAATGGGGTTTATAGGGCCCTGACTGCCAGGGCGCAGAGGGGAGGGAGGAGCTGGGAAGGGGAACCTGCTAGCACTGCTCTTCTTCTTGAGAAAGGGAGGGTGGCAGTAGTCCAGAATTGTGAGAATTCCCCATCTGGCCTTGGGGCACTTTCCTGTCAGCCTCTCAGATCTCTCTCTTGTCATCCAGTCACCAGGTCTGGAAGTGGTTACCTTAGAAACATCTCCCAAATCTTTAATTCTGCCTTATCCTCACAGCCAGGTTCTCCCTATCTCTTGCGCAGACTTTGCAGTCTCCATGGCATTTCCTGTCTCCATTCTCACCCTTTCCAGTCACCTTCCAATCTGCTGGGAGACAGATCCTCCTAAAACACAAAGTCACTCATCTGCACAAAATCCTCCCATGTATACCTAGTGCCCAAAGAAAGTCCAAGGTCTTTAGCAAGACATTCAAGGCCCTTTGCAGTCGGGATCCTTCCTCCCTGTCCGGCCTCATCGCTCAGCCTCCCTCCTCAAGGCACCACGTGTCTGGCCAGACTGAGCTGCACTTGCTGTTTTTTCCTGAGTTGTCTTATTCATTCCTGCTTCCAATACTTTTTGCACATAGTCTCTTCCTCCTAGAATACTCTTCTCCCTTCCTCCCACCTCTCTCTCTGTTTTTAAGTATACAATTCAGGGGCACTAAGTCCTTTTCTTTTTTTTTTTATTATACATGTTCTGGGATACATATGCAGAACGTGCAGGTTTGTTACATAGGTATATACGTGCCATGGTGGTTTGCTGCACCCATCAATCCATCATCTACATTAGGTATTTCTCCTAATGGTATCCCTCCCCTAGTCCCCCAAGCCCTGACAGGCCCCGATGTGTGATGTTCCCCTCCCTGTGTCCATGTGTTCTCATTGTTCACCTCCCACTTATGAGTAAGAACATGTGGTGTTTGGTTTTCTGTTCCTGTGTTAGTTTGCTGAGAATGATGGTTTCCAGCTTCATCCATATCCCTGCAAAGGACATGAACACATCTTTTTTATGCCTGCATAGTATTCCATGGCATATATGTGCCATATTTTCTTTATCCAGTCTATCATTGATGGACATTTGGGTTGGTTCCAAGTCTTTGCTATTGTGAACAGTGCTGCAATAAACATATGTGTGCATGTGTCTTTACAGTAGGATAATTTATAATCCTCTGGGTATATACCCAGTAATGGGATTGCCAGGTCAAATGGTATTTCTCATTCTAGATTCTTGAGGAGTTGCCACACTGTCTTCCACAACGGTTGAACTAATTTACACTCCCACCAACATTGTAAAAGCATTCTTATTTCTCCACATCATCTCCAGCATCTGTTATTTCCTGACTTTTTAATGATCACCATTCTAACTGGTGTGAGATGGTATCTCATTGTGGTTTTGATTTGCATTTCTCTAATGACCAGTGATGATGAGCTTCTTTTCATAGGTTTGTTGGCCACATAAATGTCTTCTTTTGAGAAGTGTCTGTTCATATCCTTCACCTACTTTTTGATGGGGCTGTTTGTTTTTTTCTTGTAAATTTGTTTAAGTTCTTTGTAGATTTTGGATATTAGCCCTTTGTCAGATGGATAGATTGCAAAATGTTTCTCCCATTCTGTAGGTTGCCTGTTCACTCTGATGATAGTTTCTTTTGCTGTGCAGAAGCTCTTTCATTTAATTAGATACCATTTGTCAATTTAGGCTTTTGTTGCCATTGCTTTTGGTGTTCTAGTCATGAAGTCTTTGCCCATGCCTATGTCCTGAATGGTATTGCCTAGGTTTTCTTCTAGGGTTTTTATGGTTTTAGGTCTTACGTTTAAGTCTTTAATCCATCTTGAGTTAATTTTTATTTCAGGTGTAAGGAAGGGGTCCAGTTTCAGTTTTCTGCATATGGCTAGCCAGTTTTCCCAACACCATTTATTAAATAGGGAATCCTTTCCCCATTGCTTGTTTTTGTCAGGTTTGTCAAAGATCAGATGGTTGTAGATGTGTGGTGTTATTTCTGAGGCCCTTCTTCTGTTCCATTTGTCTATATGTCTGTTTTGATACCAGACATATTTGATATCATATACTACAGCCTTGTAGTATAGTTTGAAGTCAGGTAGCATGATGCCTCCAGCTTCGTTCTTTTTGCTTAAGATTGTATTGGCTATGTGGGCTCTTTATTGGTTCCATATGAAATATAAAGTAGTTTTTTCTAATTCTGTGAAGAAAGTCAATGGTAGCTTGATAGGGATAACACTGAATCTATAAATTACTTTGGGCAGTATGGCCATTTTCACAATATTGATTCTTCCTATCCATGAGCATGGAATGTTTTTCCATTTGTCTGTGTTCTCTCTGATTTCCTTGAGCAGTGGTTTGTAGTTCTCCTTGAAGAGGTCCTTCACATCTGTGGGCACTAAGTCCTTTTCTCTCCCTCTCTATTCAACTGGAAATTTATCTTTCAAGGCACATTGTAAATGTTTTCTGCTTTCCAAACCTTCCCTTAGGCCTACAGGCAGAGCTGACCTCTGTGTTCCCATCTCACTGTGTGTACCCCTGGACTATTGCATTTATCTATCTGTATTTTAATCACTTGACATTGACTTCTTCCTGAGATGGTGGTCTCTTTAGGGCAAGGACTGGGCCTTTTCCACCTTTGAACCCCTCAGCACTCAACAGTGTGCCCAGGATGTGATAGTTAATAATTGTGAGTTGAATTATTAATTCAGTCACCTCTATCCACCCATTCTTCTCCCCACAGGATCGTCTCAGGAGTCGACTGGAAGCTCTGAGCACGGAGAGAGATGAGATTGAGGATGTAAAGTGTCAAGAAGACCAGAAGCTTCAAGTGCTGCTGGTACAGGCCACGTCACTGGCTACCTTTTCCTTTGAAGGTTTTCTTAAGAGACTCTGGGGAAACCCGTTGGCTGGTATCTGTTTCCTGGCTGAAAAGAACTGACAAACTGTTCTCGTTCACCTTCCTGTGGCTGCACAAAGGCATTTGGGATCTCAGACCATGAGCACTAGAAGTGGTTCTGATGTCTTGCAATCCAAGATCCATCTTGTATATCACATTTTACAGAGCAGAAAACTTAGGACCAGAAAAGCAATGCTCCCAAGGCCACATAGCAAAGCTGAAGTTCATGAGGAACCTGGATTTCTTGACCCTTAATTCATTGTTCTTTCCATCCTAGTCTGTTTGCCTGAACACACCACCTTCAGATGGGAAGCTTGGGGTCAAAAACATATGTTAGTGTCGGGATTCTAGTCCTGACTACAGGCTGACCTTGAGGAGAGTAGGCTGATGGTGTGGCTACATCTGGATCCCTCACGCCTCTCTTTTCATGCTATAAAGTTATGGAGGAATCACAGTGTGAGGATTTCTGGTACCTTGACCAAGGAGAGAGTGTGGGGACAAAGCAACCTATCCACCATCCCTCAGCTCTCATCAACGTATGCCCTGTAGTTGGTGATTTCCACGGCTAAAACCAAAATTACACACTCTCCCACTAAGTTGTGTTGACTCCAATCACAACTTCCTTTTGCCTCTAAGAAATTATTACAGTCTTCCCCACCTAACTCTAAGAAGGCATAGTAGGGTTATGATGGTATTGTAGTTGTGGAAATATTTTTGAAAAGTTCAACATCATTCTGAGAGCATAATGTAGCATTATTATTAGAGTATCTAGCTAAGACAGTAGCACAGCCCTCATCATTGGTAAGTTCATCCTGAGACCTAACTACTTCTAGGCATATTAGTAAATGGAATGAGTCTTGGACCAGTTGCTCCCTATCCCTGTTAATCAATAATAAGTATATAGATGATCATCCTGGAAGCTATCTCTGAGCCCCTTCCTAACCATGTCTGCCTTTTATCCCTTGAAGACTCAGATCGAAAGCAAGAAGCATCAGGTGGAAACAGCTTTTGAGAGGCTGCAGCAGGAGCTGGAGCAGCAGCGATGTCTCCTGCTGGCCAGGCTGAGGGAGCTGGAGCAGCAGATTTGGAAGGAGAGGGATGAATATATCACAAAGGTCTCTGAGGAAGTCACCCGGCTTGGAGCCCAGGTCAAGGAGCTGGAGGAGAAGTGTCAGCAGCCAGCAAGTGAGCTTCTACAAGTGAGAGACACTTCACCACTTTGTAGGATAAGAGAGGGACTCCACGGGGAAGGGGGTGGGCACCATGCTTTGGGCTGGAGAGAGGCAGGAAAGGGAAGTGGAGAGAGGTTAACGGGGTGCAGATCCAGAGGGGCTGGAGACTTGCCCAAGTCATACACTGTGGTCATGTTAAGGGGTTTAGGGTCAGACAGTCTTGGATTTGAATGTTGGCTCTTCCAATTGTGTGACTTGAGTGAGTCTCTTAGCCTCTCTAAACATGGGGACAGCAATAGCACCTCCCTCATAAAGTTATTGCAAAATTATAAGAAACAATCCATAAAAAATGCTTGGCATGATTCCTGATATACAGAAAGAACTCAATAACTGGTGTCTGCTATGGTTATGAATATGTGATCCTGGCTCACATCAGGTCCAGCTGATAACTGAAGGCAGGCCCCTGCTCTCTACCACCTCCTAATCATTGCAGACACAACCCACCCCCACGATAAGGCTGAAACAGGGAAACCAGCACAAATGAACTGACTACAGAAACCCAAATTAGTAAGAAAACATGATGTAAAAGAACAATCTAATGAGTAGGTAATTAAACAGGACAACTCTCTGCAGAAGGAGAGTTTTGAGTTCATATTTTAAGGGAAAAGTGATGTACAGAATCCCTGACAGGAAGGACTTATGGAAACTAAATGTATGTTCTTGTCTTTCTTTTGCAGGATGTCAGAGTCAACCAGAGCAGGTAGGGCCCACTCCCCGGTCCTGCCTCCTTTTACTCAACATCAAGACTGAATGGGAAGGGGCAGGGGCACTTACTGCCACCCACTTTGCCAGGAAAGCAAAGGCACTCTGGCAGACACACTGTCTCATTCAACTGTGCACAAACAGTCCAAACTCACTAAAGATTTGCGTTCTAAAGGTTCATTTTTAAATTGATTGGTTGGTATTGGGGACACATTTTTTCCCCTAGAAGTGAAGTTATAAATAATAATCATGTTTTTAGGTTGATCCAGGAACATTTATTTAATCTATGAAATTATTAGTACTTGAGTCAGTATCTAACACCATTTAAAATGTAATTTAAAGGGGGAATACTTTCTGTAGACTATGATAAGCATGGAAACCAGGAATACCAGCCTGTTCTTTCATTCATTCATTTTTTACACACATCTCTGGTTTCCTTCAGAATTTTCTAATGCTACTGTAAAAGGACAGCCACCAGGAGCCAGTGGCATTGTAAATGCATGGCCCTTTCCTTCCCTGTCTGCTATAAGCATTAGCAGTCTGCACTGAGATGAAGAGAGGTGTAGTGACTAGGGAACAATTGTCACGTGCTTTGTGCCTATTCCCGTGCAGGGAGGATAAACCCAGGGTCCATGAATCAGGAAGTGTCTCCAAACATGCTTTTCAAAGAGCATTAGAGGTTTAGATCTAGAAGGGCTTGGAGGTCTTCCAGTCTGAGGAAGAAACTGAGACCCAGGGGGTGAAGAGTCTTCAAGGTAATGCAGCAAGTGTCTAATGAGGACTGAGCTGGGACCAGAATCAGGAGTTTTTTTCATTGCAATATGTATTTTCGTTGATCCTTTTTTTTTCTTCCCTTCTAGCCTCTTTTCCTTTACAAATAGCAGCATACACAAGGGTAGTTTAAGGCTGTTTTCAAATGGTACCCTGTTGCCCTCTAGAGACCAAAAGGGGTAATGATCTCTGTCCCTCAGCCCCTACAGAACCAAACATTCTCCTAAAGGGGCTTACCTCCAATTCTTGAGAAGTGATTATCCTTAGTTCCTCTTAGGTTTAACTGAAATGCCTACTATTTTAGTAACTACACATTTCCAGCAAAAGTAAAGAAATGATACTCAATTTGATTATTCACCACAGACGCCAAGATCATTCTTTAGTCTGATTTTAGCCTCACGTGGTCTCACCCGAACATTTGTTTTTGGAATTTGGACCTAACTGGTTACCAAACCTGTCTGCAGGTGTGAGATGAAGACTTTTGTGAGTCCTGAGGCCATTTCTCCTGACCTTGTCAAGAAGATCCGTGATTTCCACAGGAAAATACTCACCCTCCCAGAGATGATGAGGATGTTCTCAGGTAAAGGGGAAGGCGCCACAGTTTTCCCCAGTCCCATTAGCTGCCCTCCTGTCTTCCACCCATCTCCATCCTTCTCTGCCCTTGAAACCTGGCTCGAGACATCTTCCCTCCCCAGAGCCTTCCCTTAGTGATCTCAATTTATTCAGGGGCACTATTCCCAGAGCATCTCCTCCACTCCCTAAGGACAGGTGCAGGACTGAGAGTCCAGGAGGGTGAGGACCCTTCTCCTCCACTAGACCACAGCAGAAGCCGAGTCTTCTGTCCTCATCTTCACATTGTACTCAAGTCACCTTGCCCCTGGGGGTGCCTATAAGAAGTAATAAGTCACAGATCTCTCTTTCTATTTCTGCTTCCCTCAGAAAACTTGGCGCATCATCTGGAAATAGATTCAGGTAAACAGCTTGGGATTTGGGGAGTCATTCTTCCATTCATCCATTCAATCCATGGCAGCAAACAGAGCAATAAAATGCATGAATTCTGGAGCTTGATTGCTTGAGTTCTCGATTCCAGTTCTTGCTAGCTCTGAGACACTGGGCAAGTTATTAAGCCTCTGTCCCACAATATTTTCTTCATCAGTAAAATGAAAATAAAAGTACTGTACCTGTCCCATAAGTAGCTGTGAGGACAAAATAAATTAATACATGCAAAGAGCTTAGTATATTACCTGACTCATAGTAAGTGCTCAATTAATGTCATCTACTTGTGTAGATATTACTCGTTGAAAAATACTTATCAAGCCCTAGTTTTTTGAGAGCATTGTGCTGGGCTCTCTACTGATTTGAACAAAAAATGTGCAATTTTTTAAAAATCACATTTATTTTTAAATTGGTGCTTAATTTAGAAGTTGTTTCCATAAGCATCACCTCACTCACTCTGGTATAGGTAAGTGCTTTTCAAACTTAATATGCAGAAACGTCTCCTAGGGATCCTGTTAAAATGCAGATTCTGATTTAGTAGGGTGGGATGGGGCCCAATATTCTGCATTTCTAACAAACACCCAGGTGGTGGGGATGCTGCTGGTCCCTCCCGCTGCACTTTGAGAAGCAAATCCTTAACAGCACCACTTGCTGATTAGGTAGAAGGGCGGTTCAGAGAAGTGGCCCAATGGCAGGCTGCCCAAGTCCAGTACTCCTTCTGCCTCCCACGTGCGTTGCCTGCTCTAGGAACATCTGTGGTTGCCGCCCGCTGTTGATGTCTGCGCGCTCCTCCCTCTAGGGGTCATCACTCTGGACCCTCAGACCGCCAGCCGGAGCCTGGTTCTCTCGGAAGACAGGAAGTCAGTGAGGTACACCCGGCAGAAGAAGAGCCTGCCAGACAGCCCCCTGCGCTTCGACGGCCTCCCGGCGGTTCTGGGCTTCCCGGGCTTCTCCTCCGGGCGCCACCGCTGGCAGGTTGACCTGCAGCTGGGCGACGGCGGCGGCTGCACGGTGGGGGTGGCCGGGGAGGGGGTGAGGAGGAAGGGAGAGATGGGACTCAGCGCCGAGGACGGCGTCTGGGCCGTGATCATCTCGCACCAGCAGTGCTGGGCCAGCACCTCCCCGGGCACCGACCTGCCGCTGAGCGAGATCCCGCGCGGCGTGAGAGTCGCCCTGGACTACGAGGCGGGGCAGGTGACCCTCCACAACGCCCAGACCCAGGAGCCCATCTTCACCTTCACTGCCTCTTTCTCCGGCAAAGTCTTCCCTTTCTTTGCCGTCTGGAAAAAAGGTTCCTGCCTTACGCTGAAAGGCTGAAGTGGGGCGCGCGAAGGGCGGCGAAGCGGAGACGGCGGCTCTCCGGGATCCAGCTCCGCCCCTGGCCAGTGTGCGGCCCGGGGGCTCCCTGTGCCCGCGTGAGGCGAGAGAACAGGGGACTTGAGTCTCGAACAGCGGTTGTTTTTACTTTATTTATCTTAGGCCCTCAGCTCCCTGACGTCCTGAGCCTCCCTGTGACGCTCTGGCCTTCTCTGCACCTCAGAGTGCAGAACCACAGACGGCTTCGGCTGTGCCTAGGGCAACAGCCAACCTAGGAGCCAGCGGGCTTTCGGGGAAAAAAAAGAAAAAGACATCTAAAATAAAATGTTTAAACTGTTTCAAAATAATTATCTTGGGAAAAATCAGGGTTTTGCTGGACTTGCACTAATTTGTACAGTTAACTTCGTACTTTGACACACACCTGAAGATGCCTCCACCTTTGTAGGGCTTAGGGCCTTTTTATCAGCCCTGGGTGGACCCCAGGGCCCCTTCCTTTCCCTTCCCTTCTGGTCATTTCTCTGGACTTGTAGAGAATGTCCTAAGAAAGTGTGACTCACAGACCTCTGGATTCCATGTGTCCAATTAGCGCTGATGGGACTGGAGAAAGGCTTAAATCCAATGGGATCTGCCTGTGTTGGCAATTTAGGGCCGAGATGGCTCGAGGGAGTAGATGCAGAGAGGAAGGGTGATGATCCCTCTGTGACCAAGACACAATCCTGTCCCTTCTTTTAGTCAGGATATCCCTGATGACAGACAGTGGGACAATCACCAGGCCCCATTGTTTAAGAAAACGAGGCTTTTGCTCAGGTCTAACTAACCTCTCAAATATTTGTTATTACTGCAGTTATTATTTGGACACAGAAACAGACCACAGGTTAAAATAACTTTAAAAAGCAAAGTATTAATCCCTATACAAGTGATGTTTCCTTCCACCCCTACCCTTTCTCCTCTCAAGTTGAACACTCACATTCTCACCCTTCCACCCCAACCTCTGAAAAAAATCTGCCTTCAACTCCAATCCAGGTTCCCTGTAGTGTAAGACAATACCCTGTGTACAAGAACACTTTAGGGTCGGCACGGTGGCTTGCGCCAGTAATCCCAACACTTTGGGAGGCTGAGGCAGGTAGATCACTTAAGGTCAGGAGTTTAAGACCAGCCTGGACAGCATGGTGAAACCCTGTCTCTATTAAAAATATAAAAATTAGCTGGGCGAGATGGCAGGCGCCTGTAATCCCAGCTGCTCAGGAGGCTGAGGCAGGAGAATCACTTAAACCAGGGAGGCGGAGGTTGCAGTGAGCTAAGATCAAGCCACTGCATTCCAGCCCGAGTGACGGAGTGAGACTCCATCTCAAAAAAACAAAAAACAAAAAACAGGCTAGGCGCGGTGGCTCACGGTGGTAGGCCGAGGCAGGTGGGTCACCTGAGGTCAGGAGTTTGAGCCTGGCCAACATGGTGAAACCCCATCTCCACTAAATATACAAAAATTAGCTGGGTGTGGTGGCAGACCAGCTACTTGGGAGGCTGAAGCAGGGGAATCACTTGAACCCAGGAGGCAGAGGTTGCAGTGAGCTGAGATTGTACCACTGCACTCCAGCCTGGGTGACAGAGTGAGACTCTGTCTCCAAGAAACAAACAAACAAATAAAACAAAGAACATCTTCATTATTGCGTAAGCCCTGCTCCTAAAGCATGGGTCAGATGTTTTAAAAGCACTCAAAGAGTTTGGACCATATGTGAATTTTATTTAAAAATTGTAACATGAATCAATGTGATGTGAATAATTAACCCTAACTTGACTGTTGGGGAAATAGAGGTTCTTGATATAAAAGAAGCCAGACAATGTGGGGTTTCTTCTGCCCCCCAGTGTGGTGAGCAGAGCCATCCTTATCTGACCCAAGTGGCTTGGTAGTCCAACCTAGTAGTAGTAGTAGTGGTAGTAGTAGTAGTATTGCCCAATGCTTATTATAAAAGTTGTATATGCTCATGGTTAAGAAAATTCAAACATTTTCAAAGTGTATAAATAAAAACCTCTTTCCCCACCCACTCAACACTTCCCCTTGCCACTCCCCATAGTTAAACATTGATATCAATTTTTTGTATATCCTGCAAGTTTTGAATACAAATATACATTGCTTTCTCTTTTTTTTTACATAAATTAGATTATGCCATAAGTATTCTTTGCAACCCCTCCAAAAGAAAAACTATGTGCAACACATGCTAATTGTACCATTGGTCAAATTTGTTTTAATTATATCTTCATTTGAACCTTACAACAAGCCTGTGAAATACATAAGACCTATTTTGTTTTTCTCATGTGGTGGTTGAGAAAACTGACACACAGTTAAATGAACTTGTCTAACAATTTTCACAGCTGGTCCTTGTGACCTGCTGAAGTAGAATCTACCTGTCCTGGAGCTCAGTGCAGTCACATTTCCACCACACTCAGACTTCTAAAACAGACACATCCCAATGGGGCTATGTTTCATTTGCTACCCATTGAATTCATGTTTTAGACAGGGCATTTTTGGTTTCATATGAAACAGAAAAAAAAAAAAAGAACCGATGAACCATAAGCACACTGTATTTCCAAGTCTCTGGTACTTCTAATTTTAGAGTGGTCCAGATAATTTAAAAGTGTGGATATGCACATTTGGAGGCTTTGTGCCTATATTAATAAATTGTTCTGCATAAGAAAGGAAAGAGAAATTTAGAAGCCAAAAGAAATTTGGGAGTGGCTAAGACCTCAGGGTGAGGACTGAGAGCTGCCTGAAGGAAAAGCAGAGGAAAATTATTCATTTGGTGGTCCAGCTGGAGCCACAGGATGGCTGTGTTCCTGTGTTTGTGATGTAAAACTGTCCTCTATCTCCCCTACAGGATCCTCTGCACAACCTGCCTTGCCCCTAATGCTTTTTGTAGGTGTTCCTGAATTCCAAGTGCTGAGTTCTGTCCACTACTGGGCAGGAGGCAAAGAGATCCCACAAAATAATTGCTGGGCTGCTGGACTATGTGAGGAGCAGTCACACTGATGTGCCTCGGAGAACCAGAGGGGTTATTGTAAGGACCAAGGTGGGACCTATAAGGGAATCTCTCTGGAGCCCAGGAACCGTGATGACAGTGAGCTGGTTGTAATGGGAACTAGAGCCTAGGCAGATGCATTGTCTCTCTGGTCGGCTTACTTTGCTCTGGATGTGGGGCCCATTCTCCTGTCTATAAGGAAGCTTCCTAGCTCTACTCATGGCCTTTATTTTCTTTTTCATTTTCAGTTCTTTCCTTCTTTCAGACTTCCAGTGTAGAGTGTTGACTCAGTCATACCTCTCAGTTCTTGGAACACTATCATCATCAGTCCATGCAAGGTCTTCTGGTTTTATTTGTATTTTCTCCTCTCTCCCCAATTTTTATTCCCATTCTCCTCACTCCCAAAGGCAGCTACTCCCTAATGTTTTTCTTTTTTAAAAAATTTTTCAACTTTTAAGTTCAGGGGTACATGTGCAAGATGTGCAGGTTTGTTACATAGGTAAATGTGTGCCATAGTAGTCAGCTACACAGATCATCCTATCACCCAGGAATTAAGCCCAGCACCCATTAGCTATTCTTCCTGATCCTCTCCCTCCTCCCACCCCCGCCCTCCAACAGGGCCCAGTGTGTGTTGTTCCCCCCGCCTCCTGCCATGTGTCCATATGTTCTCATTATTTAGATCCTACTTATAAGTGAAAACATGCTGTATTTGGTTTTCTGTTCCTACTTTAGTTTGCTAAGGATAACAACCTCCAGTTCCATTCATGTCCCTGCAAAGGACATGATCTCATTCCTTTTTATGGCTGTAAAATATTCCATGGTATATGTGTACCACATTTTCTTTATCCAGTCTATCATTGATGGGCATTTAGTTTGATTTCATATCTTTGCTATTGTGAATACTACTGCAATGAACATACACATGCATGTATCTTTATAGAGAACGATTTCTATTCCTTTGGGTATATACCCAGTAAATGAGATTGCTGGGTTGAATGGTATTTCTGCCTCTAGGTTTTTGAGGAATTGCCACACAGTCTTCCACAATGGTTGAACTAATTTACACTCACACCAACAGTGTTAAAAGCATTCGTTTTTCTTCACAACCTTGCCAGCATCTGTTGCTTTTTGACTTTTTAGTAATAGCCATTTTGACTGGTGCGAGATAGTATCTCATTGTAGTTTTGATTTGATTTTCACCTATAACCATCTGATATTTGACAAACCTGACAAAAATGTCTCTAGTAGCAAGTATTACTAATCTATTAATTACTAAACTACCTTTAATCCAAGAGTATTTGTTCTTTGTGCTCAGGATTTCTTTGGCTATTTGGGCTTTTTTTGGGAGGGGGGGGTTGGTCCATATGAATTTTAGGATTTTTTTTTCAAATTCTGTGAAGAATGATGTTGATATTTTGTTAGGGATTGCATTTAATCTGCAGATTACTTTGAACAATATGGTCATTTTAATGATGTTGATATTCCTTCTAATCCATGAGCATAAGGTGTTTTTCCATTTGTGTTGTTTTGAATTTCTCTCAACAGTATTTTGTAGTTTTCCTTGTAAAGATCTTTTGCCTCCTTGGTTAAATTCAATCCTAAATTGTTTTTGGTAGCAAAAATTTCTAAATGAGATTGCCTTCTTGATTTCTTTGTTGGCTAAATCATTACTGATGTAAAGAAATGCTACTGACTTTTGCATATTAATTTTGTAGCCTGAAACTGTACTGAACTCATTTATCATATCTAAGAGTTTTTTGGTGAAATCACACATTGTGTTTCTTTCTTTTGCCTGATCCTTATAGCTAGGATTTTAGTACTATGTTGAATAAGAGTATTGAGAGTAGACATCCTTGCCTTGTTCCAGTGCTTAGAGGAAAAGCTTTCCACTTTTCCTCATTCAGCATGTTAGCTATGGGTTTGTTACATACAGCTCATTTGAATTTGAGGTTTGTTCCGTCTATGCCTAGTGTGTTGTATGTTTTTATCTTAAAAGAATGTTAAATTTTATCAAATGCTTTTTCTGCATCTATTAAGATGATCATATGGTTTTTGTTCTACATTCTATTGATAATATGTATCATGCTTATTTATTCATATTGAAACATCTTTGCATCTCTACTATAAATCCCACTTGATTTTGATGTAGTATTTTTCGATGTGCTGTTGGGTTTGGTTTGCTAGTATTTTGTTGAGGATTTTTGTATCTATCTATGATTTTGTATCTATGTTCATTAGGGATATTGACCTATAATTTTCTTTTTGTTGGTGTTGTGGTGTATCTGTCTGGTTTTAGTATTAGGGTGATGCTGACCTCATATAATTAGTTAGGGAAAATTCCTTCCTCTTTGACTTGTTTGAACAGTTTCAGGAGGATCGGTATTAGTTCTTTGTATGTTTAGTAGAATTCAGCTGTTAATCCCTCCAGTCCTAGGCTTTTCTTCTTTGAGAGACTTTTAATTACTGATTCAATCTTGCTATTAATTATTGGTCTGCTCAGGTTTTCTATTTTTTTCTGATTCAGTCTTGGTAGGTTGTGTGTTTCCAGGAATTTATCCACTTCCTCTAGATTTTCCAATTTTATCTAGTTGTTTATAACAGTCTCTGATGATCTTTAATATTTCTGTGATGTCAGTTGTAATGTCTCCTTTTTCAATTCTGATTTTGTTCATATGGGTCTTCTGTCTTCTTGGTTAGTCTAGCTAGTAGCTTATCAATTCTGTATATCTTTTCAAAGAACCAATTTTTCATCTCATTGATCCTTTGTATTTCTTTAAGTCTCTACTTTCTGCTCTGATCTTTATTATTTCTTTTCTTCTGCTAATTTGGGGTTTGGTTTGTTCTTGCTTTTCTAGCTCCTTCAGGTACATTGTTGGATTGTTAATTTGTAATCTTTCTACTTTTTTAATGTAAGCATTTATTGCTGTAAACTTTCCTCTTAGCACTGCCTTTGCTGAATCCCACAGGTTTTATGTTTCCATTTTCATTTGTTTTTAGATTTTTTTTTTAATTTTCATCTTAATTTCTTTTTTTTTTTTTTTCCAGATGGAGTTTTGCTCTTGTCTCCCAGGCTGGAGTTCAATGGTGTAAACTCGGCTAACTGCAACCTCCACCTCCCGGGTTCAAGCGGTTCTCCTGCCTCAGCCTCCCAAGTAGCTGAGATTACAGGCGCCTGCCACCACGCCCAGCTAATTTTTTTGTATTTTTCACAGAGACAGGGTTTCACCATGCTGGCCAGGCTGGTCTCGAACTTCTGACCTCAGGTGATCCATCCGCCTCAGCCACCCAAAGTGCTGGGATTACAGGTGTGAGCCACCATGCCTGGCCTTCTATCTTAATTTGTTCATTGACCCAATGGTCATTCAGGACCATGTGGTTTAATATCTATGTATTTGTATAGTTTCCAAAGTTCCTCTTGGTATTGATTTCTCATTTTATTCTATTGCAGTCTGAGAAAATATTTGATATGATTTTAATTTTTAAAAATTTATTGAGACTTGTTTTGTCGCCTAATATATGGTCTATGTTGGAGAAGGTTCCATGTTCTGATGAAAAGAATATATATTCTGCAGTTGTTGAATAGAATGTTCTGTAAATGTTAGGTTCATTTGGTCTAAAGTCCAGTTTAAATCCAATGTTTCTCTGTTGATTTTCTGTCTAGATAATCTGTCTAATGCTGAGCATGAGGTGCTAAAGTCCCCCACTATTATTGTATTCCAATCTGTCTCTCTCTTTAGAGCTAGTAATATTTGCTTTATGAATGTGGGTGCTCTGGTGTTTGGTGTATATATATTTAGAACTGTTGAATCTTCTTGCTGGATTGATCCCTTTATCATTATATAATGACATTTTTGGCTTTTTTTTTTCACAATTCTTGACTTAAAGTCTGTTGTATCTGATATAAGTATAGCTACTCCTTCTCACTTTTTGTCTCCATTTGTATGGAATATCTTTTTCCATCCCTTTACTTTGTCTATATTTGTCTTTACTGGTAAGAAACTTTACTGAGTTTCTTGAAACAGCTTACAGGTGTATTATCTTTTTAAATAAATCCAGCCATTCTACATCTTTCAAGTAAAGAATTTATTCCATTTACATTCAAGATTATTATTGATATATGAGACTTTGTTCCTGTCATATTGTTGTTTTCTGATTGTTTTATATATTCTTTGTTCCTTTCTTCTTGTTTGTCATTGTGGTTTGGTGGATTTCTTTAGAGGCACCATTTGAGTCCTTTCTCTTCTTCCTTTGTGTGATTGCTTTACTAGCGAGTTTTATACTTTTGTGTGTTTTTATGATGGTAAATATCATCCTATCACTTCCAGGTTTAGGACTCCCTTGAGCATTTCTCGTAGGACTGATCTAGTGGTAACAAATTCCCTCAGTATTTGCCTGTCTGGGAAAGACTTTATTTCTTTTTCCTTTATACTTTAATTTGGCTGGATCTAATATTCTTGGCTGACAGTTATTTTCTTTCATCATTTTGTATATACCATCCCATTATCTTTTGGCCTGTAGGGTTTCTGCAGAGAAATCCACTGTTTGTTAGTCTGATGAGTTTTCCTTTTAGGTGACTAGGCACTATTCTGTTGCTATTTTTAGAATTTGCTCTTTATTTTGACTTTAGACAGTCTAATTATAATGTGCTATGGAGAAGACCCTTTGCATTGCATCTGCCTGGGAAACATTGAGCCTCCTATACCTGCATGTCCAAATCCCTTGCTAGGCTTGGAAAGTTTTCATCTATTATTTCATTATATAGATTTTCTAATCCTTTCATTTCTTCATCATCCTCGGGGATACTAACAATTCATATATTCAGTTGCTTTATGCTGTCCCAAATATCATGAAGGCTTTGCTAATTTTTTTATCTAGGCAAAGTAAATTGAATTTTTTAAAATTATTTTTTCTTTATTTTTGTCTGACTAGGTTATTTCAAAAGAGCTGCCTTCAAGCTCTGAGACTCTTTCTTCTCCCCAATCTAGTTCTATTGTTGAAGCTTTCAAAGGTATTTTGTATTTCCTTTAATAAATTCTTCATATCCAGATTTTCTATTTTTCTTTTAAAAAACAATCTATTGCTTTATTAAATTTCTCATTCATATCCTACATTATTATCTTTTTTCTTTCTATTGTTTTTCAGAATTCTCTTATATATCACTGAGTTTCTTTTTTTTTTTTTTTTGAGATGGAGTCTCACTCTGTCACCCAGGCTGCAGTGCAGTGGCACGATCTCAGCTCACTGCAAGCTCCGCCTCCCGGGTTCATGCCATTCTCCTGCCTCAGCCTCCCGACTAGCTGGGACTACAGGCACCCACCACCACACCCAGCTAATTTTTTCTATTTTTAGTAGAGACGGGGTTTCACCGTGTTAGCCAGGATGGTCTCAATCTCCTGACGTCGTGATCCACCCACCTCGGCCTTCCAAAGTGCTGGGATTACAGGCATGAGCCACCGTGCCCAGCCTACTGAGTTTCTTTAAAATCAGTACTTTGAATTCTTTATCTAGAATTTCATGAATTTCTTTCTGATTGATAACTGTAGCTGGAGAGGTATTGTGTTCCTTTGTTGGTGTCATATTTCTTTGTTCTTTAGTTTTCTGTGTCCTTACATTGATATCTGCACATTTAGTTGCAACAGTCACTTCTTCCATTTTTGAAATTGCTTTCATAGGGGAGGATTTTTTTCCTGAAGATTTTACGTGTTGTTTGTTGAGTAGGGTGCTTTGGCTTTGATTTTGAGTGCCTATAGTAGTGTGATCCCTGTATGATTTATTTGGCAGTATACAACATCAGTGGTATCTGTGACTTCCTCATTGACTTAAGGTGCACTTATTAGTGAAGGCTGTGGTGAAGTTTGGCTGGGAACTAAGATGCTAGGTGGGCCAGTCTTCAGGCCCTAGTGATGGCAGCGGTGGGTTGAATGAGCCTGTGCTAGGGCCCACAGAGTGGCTTAAACTGACAACAGCGTTAGTGGGTCTTGGAGGGCCAATTATTGGGCCTTCAGGTGACTTGCTCAGATGCTAGCAGTGGCAGCAGTGGGCCAGACATGTGGGCAACTTCTCAGGCTCCTGGGCAGCTGGTGAGAAATGGGTAATGGCAGTAGCAGTGGTGGAACAACCTGCTAGGACCCAAGCAGTCTGTGCTGGTGTTGGTGGTGGCTGTGACAAGTTGGGCAGGCTAGTACCCTGACCCACTGGTAGCATGTGTGGGTGGGTGTCAGTTGTGGTGGTATTGGTAGATTGAGTTGGACTGACCTCAGATCCTGACAGGAATGATTCAGATGCCAGTGGTGGTAGATTGGGCTGGGCAATTTCCGGGCCCCTGGATGATGTGCTTGTGTACTGGGGGGATGGGATCAGGCCAGCAGACCTGTCCTCAGGGCCCCCTGCAATGCATTCAGGTGCTAGCTGTGATAGACAAGAGATGGAGAGGTCCCCAGACCACTGGCAGAATGCTCAGGTGTGGGCTGGCTGTGGTGGCTGCACTGTAGTCCTGCAACCAGGGAAGGCAGGGCCACTCTCAGCTGGCGCATCATGAGCAAGTAGCTGTGGGAAGTGTCATCTGCTCACACCTTTGTCCACACCAGCCCATAGCAGCAGTGGTGGGATTTGTCCTAGGAACGTGCGGAAGTGCCCCGTCTCTACTCTCCCTCCTCAACTTAGCCTTGGCTTGGCGGCAGCAGCCCCAGCCAGGCCCAGGGGCAGAATGCAGACCCGGGTGGTTGAGCTCTCAGAATAATGACTACAGGTTTGCCACCGGGAGGGCAGGACCCCTCTCAGGTGGAAGAGCAAGGACAAGTAGCCACAGGGAGTGCAGTCTTCTCAAGCCCTGGTCTCACAGCAGCCTGTAGCAGTGGCGATGGGATTTGTCCAGGTGGGTGCATGGGAGTGCTCAGTCTCCCATCTCTTTTTTGCCAGGTGGCAGCAGTAGCAGCAGCAACAGCAGCGCCACATCAGTCCGGCCTCAGGTCAAGACTTATGTGATAGGCATTATTCTGGGTACTTGGGATGCATCAGTTTTTAAAAAGTTTCTTTTTAAAGCTCATGCCTGTAATCCCAGCACTTTGAGAGGCCAAAATAGGTGGATCACCTGAGGTCAGGAGTTCATGAACAGCCTGGTCAATATGGCAAAACCCCGTCTCTTCTAAAAACACAAAAAAATTAGCCAGACATGGTGGTGTGCGCCTGTAGTCCCAGGTACTTGGGAGGCTGAGGCAAGAGAATCGCTTGAACCTGGGCAGCGGAGGTTGCCAGTAAGCCAAGATCATGCCACCGCACTCCAGCCTGGGCAACAGAGCGAGACTCCGTCTCTATTAAAAAAAAAAGAGAAAATCTATGGCTCTTTCTGTTCTCCCATAACCATACTCTAAATGCACTCTTTCTGTACCCAGTTTGTCCCTGCTTTAGGACTTTGCTGTTCCCTCTAGCTGATGTGATCTTAGACCTTCCCTCTCACCATTCTGATTTCAGCTCTCATGCCATCTTTTCAGGGAACTCCCTTCTGATCACACATTATAAAATAGATACTAGGTCACTATCTATCACAGACTTATTTCACTTCCTTGCATAGTGCTAATTACTTTTTTTTTTTCAATTTTAACATACTGCCTGTCACCATTTGCTGGAATATAACCTCCAAGAGTGCAGAACTTTGTTAACCTTATCACTGTTGTAACCTAGAAACATCCTGGCACATCACGGGTACTTAATAAATGAATTCAGGAGACATATGAAGCCTGGAGATAACAGATTTGAGAGAATACAGAAAATAGGAGGAAAAGTCAACAAGAAATAATTCAGGCAGGGCACAGTGGCTCACGCCTGTAATTCCAGTACTTTGGGAGGCTGAGGTGGGAGGATCACTTGAGCCCCAGAGCTCAAGGCCACAGTAAGCTACGAGTGCACCATCACTAGAGCCTAGGTGACAGAGTAAGACCATGTCTCTAAAATAATAAAAATTCAGCCAGTTGTGGTGACTCACACCTGTAATCCCAGCAAGGCAAACACAAAATAGTTTGCTGAAAGGTATGAACTGGGTCTTTGGAGGGAGGTATGGGGCAGGGAAATGTTCCTATTTGTAAGAAGCACTGTAGAAAGTTTACCATATGTGCAAGTAGAGTTATACAAAATGAAAAACTATGAATATAAAAAATAAAAAGGGAAAATTTACATGAGCCCACAACTTAGAGAACAGAGAGGAAACATGCTCTTTGCCACTAGCGTAATTTTACAGGTAGTTTCGTATAATCCTCCCTTTTCCATCTTTAAGATGGCAATTTAAAAAATCAGAAAGGACTGCTGGGCGCGATGGCTCACGCCTGTAATCCCAGCACTTTGGGAGGCCGAGGTGGGTGGATCATGAGGTCAGGAGATCAAGACCAACCTGGCTAACATGGTGAAACCCCGTCTCTACTAAAAATACAAAAAAATTAGCCGGGCGTGATGGCGGGCGCCTGTAGTTCCAGCTACTCGGGAGGCTGAGGCAGGAGAATGGCGTGAACCCGGGAGGCAGAGCTTGCAGTGAGCCGAGATGGCGCCACTGCACTCCAAACTGGGAGACAGAGTGAGACTCCATCTCAAAAAAAAAAAAAAAAAAAAAAAAAAAATCAGAAAGGACAAGAAAAACAGTTGACTGTGTTAGGATGCAAGGCTGAATCTCTGCACATTCTATTTCCTCTGAGGCAGTGCTTATTTTCCAAGGAAGAATTTTTGGGTGTGCTATACTGGAGGTCTCCCTTCTCAGGGAGAGTCATCACTTGCTCCAAAACGCTGGACCTCAGCTCAAGGGCACCACTGCAGGAGGAATAAAAAGGTGGAGCCACGCAACAACTCGTCTGTGTTCCGCAGTAGGCTCTTTTTGAGGGACTTCCAGAAATGACAGCATGTGTGCAGAGAACAGAAAGCAAAGTTACACTGTTACAGAAGGCACAGAAGGAAAACCTTCGGCTACTGCTATCAGTGGAATTTCTCTGTAGCCAGACTGAGGTCTGGTGGCATTTGAGATATAATATAGATATAGACCTACAAATACAGATCTCCAGGCTGTTCATTCAACAAGTCTTTATTGAGCACCTACTCTGTGCCCAGCACTGCACTAGGTGCCATGAGAATACAAGAGTAGTATAAGATGTTATCCGCCCTCCAGGAGCTTACAAAACTAGAGGCAGAAATAAGATGTACATGTGACTCAGGCAGCATGTGACACACACAAAGTGGGCAGCTCTGAGACAATGGTGGTCAAGTGACCACTGAGGCCCAGAGCCGTTGGAACAGTCTCTTAGAACAGGGTGGAGGACTTAAAACTTGGATGAACAGGGGCTGGCAGAGCACTTGGAATGGGTAAGGACAAGACTGGGAGATCAATTTGGCTGGAGCAGGGGAGCTTGTGTTAAACTGTGATGATGAGGGGCACCTGGACAGAGGTTGGGTCCGTGGGCAATGAGAAGACATGTTACTCCCTCTCTTGACATGAAGACCTGGTGGGCTTGTGGCCTCCTGCTGCCTTCCTTTCCCTGTCTTCCCATCTCCACTCTCTCCTAGGAAAGTGGAACCTGGATGCTGGTAGGGCCAGAGACAGAGGCTTAACACCCTGCTGGGGAACCCGGTCAGAACTCCCGAGGCAGGAGAGGTTCTGCTCCACTGGATGTTTGTCTTGGTGTTTTTGGATGTGCTGATCAAGAGCAAGATGTTCTGGATTCTTAAAACTCCCCTCACAAGGACCAATCTAGAGATAATTTATTGATCAGTGATCACAGCTTGTACCCCAAAGCCGTGTATGTCTGGATCCTTCCCTAAGACCACAGATAGCTCCAGGGAGTCCCACCTCCTTGGCTATGGAAATATGCTCAGCCCTGGTTTCAGAGAAGCCTGGACTCCACTCTGGACCCCATGAGATGATATGCGCTGGTACTCCAGGCTTTAAATGGCCTGGGAAGCCTCAGTGGATTTTGTTTATTTTCAGCATTGCCATGTATGCTTAACTCTGAGTTGGGGTGGGGTAGGTCTGTTTAAAATGCCAGAGAAGGTGGGCAGCAGAGTGGATTTGTGCAAGAAGGAACCTGGGGGGTTTAAGGACAGCAAAATGATCTTAGGCGTAATTGACTGGTTTTTCTGAGGTCTTGCCACACTGGGCAAGAAAATGCTGCATCGGGCCCTTATTCCAGAGAGTGCAGAGCTGGGGCCAAGGTCGTGGTCAAAAAGGAAAGGAGCCCTCATGGACTCCAGGGTCAGAAGTTCCCTCGGGAAACCAGCAGGAGGTGGGAAAAGAGCCCCATTAGGGCAGTAGATGGAGCAACAGCACTGAGTGAGATTTCAGGGGGCCACAGCAATGGGGAGGTGGCTACCAGTGGATATGGGGTCCCCTGCTCCAGGTGCTTAGGCCAGGCATCCCGTCCCCCCATTGAGAGTCCTGGAATTCCAAAGAAGTGAAGCATCTGAGGGTTGGGGCTGGGGGCAGATGTCAGGGCTCAGGGTCTTAGCAGGAGGCGTGTTCCTGGCCACTTGAGCCACAGGAAGGGGACCAGGCGCCGGGTGAAGGTGGCAGTGAAGGTGTAGATGAGTTCCTGTGACTCTGCGTTGGTGAAAGTCACGGTGCCCCCTTCATAATCCAGGGCGATGCCCACTCTCCGGGGCCGCAGTGCTGGGAAAAGCTCAGCCTCGGGGCTGGTGTTGGCCCAGATGCCGGAGGAGGAGAGGCGCAGCGCCCACACGCCATCCTCTGGCCGCAGGGAGAGGTCTCCCTTCCTCTTCACAGAGTCTCTAGCCACCCCCACCATGCAGCTTTCCAGAACTTCCTCCTCTTCCTCCTCCTCTTCTTCCTCTTCATCGCCCAACGATTCCTCATCTTCGTCCGTTTCCCAGTCGTCATATCCATCCCCATAGCCGGCCTCCTCTTCCTCCTCCTCCTCTTCTCCCTCTTCCTCCTCATCCCCCTCTTCTTCATCCTCAGACCAGCCCTCCCTCTCCACTTCCACTTCCCAGTAGACCTTGCCCCAGGTGAAGCCCTTGCTGCCCAGCACCCCAGGCTCACAGTCAAACTGCTGGGGGTGCAGGTAGGCACTCTTGTACAGGCTGGTGTAGGTCACGCACTTCCAGTCCTCTGACAGCTGCAGGTACCCACTGGCCGACTGTGGGTCCAGGGTGACGCTCACTGTGGGGACAAGGGAAAAAAAAAAAAAAACAGCATCACTGTTTTGTTTTGTTTTTTAAGTCAGAGGGAATAAAATTTATTTTGGCAGATAGCGTTAAACAAAATTAAAGTTGCATACATTAGTAATATAACTCAACATCCTTAATTTGGTATAAGTGTGACACATTTTCTGGCTTTGTATTCTGCTAAATCACCATAACTAAACTGCTTTATAAACATGATATACTGAAATTTAACTTGACTGTTTTCGCTTACGCTCTGATTCCAAACAAAACTTTTCATAAGCTTCCTCTATCTCTGGATCTCTGGGTCCAACTCATCATTAATATCATCCAAGTGTGGATCACCAGTCCCTGAAAAATCTGTTCCATTTTCTTCATAATCCAGAAAAAAAGTCCTCTTTTTCAAGTAACTCTTGATATGCTTCTTGGTAATCCGGATCAGCTGCAGTGAAAGGAACACTATGAAACACAATAACTATGTGAATGACCACTATAAAATGTTGGTTCATTCACATAGTAATTGGGATCTTTTTTGGCTGTTGTATTTCTGTATGATGAAGTTGCATGGACTCTACCCCAATTACTGCACTGGAGTTCTACAAGCTTCAAGAGCATCTGTTTCATGTCTCTGCCACAGCTTGCATCTATAACAACATTTTCAATTTCCTGAATAATTTCTTCCATATCAGTCCTTCCTTTTCCTTCCAAGCATCTTCCAAAACTGACCCTGTCAACTTCAGCAATTTTATTGCACAAATTAAGCTGTCATCCATGGGATTAGAAAAGAGGGCATTCGGGCATTCGGCAACTCCTGAAGACCAACCTGAAGAATATCTGCCCTTGTAACCTGTCCATTTGTTCCTCTGATCTCCAGGTTATGATAAAGCTCTCCCAGAAAGGGTACAAATGCATGAAATTGTTTTGGAGTAACTTCATCCCCTTTTGCAGCTTGATCTTTAATGTCATATTCAGTCCGATATCTTTGAAGTAGAAATTGGCGGAAGGTGCTACTCTCTGTGCTAACTGTCAGATGATGTCAGGTAATTACACAGGTGAGCTCCCATGTAAGAGAAATTTGGGGCTGGGCACGGTGGCTCACGCCTATAATCCCAGCACTTTGGAAGGCCGAGGCGGGTGGATCACAAGGTCAGGAGATCGAGACCATCCTGGCTAACATGGTGAAACCCCATCTCTACTAAAAATACAAAAATTAGCCGGGCATGGTGGTGGGCACCTGTAGTCCCAGCTACTTAGGAGGCTGAGGCAGGAGAATGGCGTGAACCTGGGAGGCGGGGCTCGCAGTGAGCTGAGATCACACCACTACACTCCAGCCTGGAAGACAAAGCAAGACTCCATCTCAAAAAAAAAAAAAAAAAAAAGGCCGGGCGCGGTGGCTCACGCCTGTAATCCCAGCACTTTGGGAGGCCGAGGCGGGTGGATCACGAGGTCAGGAGATCGAGACCATCCTGGCTAACACGGTGAAACCCCGTCTCTACTAAAAATACAAAAAATTAGCCGGGCGAGGTGGCGGGCGCCTGTAGTCCTAGCTACTCGGGAGGCTGAGGCAGGAGAATGGCGTGAACCCCAGGAGGCGGAGCCTGCAGTGAGCCGAGATTGCGCCACTGCACTCCAGCCTGGGCGACAGCGAGACTCCGTATCAAAAAAAAAAAAAAAAAAAAAAAAAGAAAAGAAATTTGGGACAGATGTGGCCTCTGAGTTCCACAAGTTCTTGCAAAGCATCATCTGTTGTAACACAAGCATTCAGGGTCTCTGTAAACTGTTCAATTTCAGTTTCAAAACTACCAGCCTGCTCTGTAAGATGGTTCAAGAAACCCTGAACAGGTACTGACAGAGTGGGATAATCCTCACCATCATCCTCATAGGATTCTCTATAATTAGAATAACCTGATAGGTAAAATTTGACGGTATTCACAGACAGCTCAGACATTAATAAAGAAGCTACAACCACCTAAGGTTTAACCACTGCTAACTCAGTTCTGCTATGGGATTTTATCCTGTGAACTAGATGAAGCTCTCAGGGCCTCGTTTGCTCCCAGACAGGCCGACCTCCTCAATGGTTCTCACGAAAGCAAGTGTGAAAGTGAGCCAGGAGGAGACCACCAGTCTTCACAATCCAAGGGGCACCATTCACATCTTGGTCTATGAGGATGGCGCTCCTTGGTGGTTGGTATGCAGTGTACAACCTAACTGCAGGGCTGAGAGGGGGCACAATAGTGGGGCCTGTGGTGGATATGGCCTCTGGTCTTAGGTTGCCCCTGCTGTTTGCTCTGAATATAGGAGCCATGCAGCCAGGAAGATGAGAGAAAGCTCGGCCACAGGAAAAGGACTGGTGGTAGGACCTGTGAGGATAGGAAAAAGAAAAGCAAACACAGGGCAGAGAAGGATCAGACTAGCAAGCAGAGGCCTCTACTGCAGACTAAAGAGTAGGCTGATTAGAAAGTGCAAAGAGGGAGGGGGGCTTCTATTGTGCAGCTGGGAAATTCTTCCTGTTGCAAAAGGGGCTACCTGGGGGAAAAGTGAGCAGTCAGAATCTCTGCAGGCGGAGTTTTCTATATTTGATGTACATCTGGGAAACACCCTCTAGACACTCACCTGTCTTATATTCCAAGTCTCTCAGCAGCTTCCCTGGGGAGAAAAAAGGACAGCAATGACTCAAGTCCCGAAAATTTATGAGCCCATTTCTTGCTCGGGCAGTATCAATTTCCTGATAGGGATCCATGTCTAAGACAAGAGGCCCTCAGAAGAGTGAGGATCGACAAGGTGATGGAAAGGAGCTGGGTGCGCTCTTTCTACGAGGTAGCCCTGCTCTGACTCCCACCCTTTGTGCGCTCCCCAACCCTTACCCTGGAATTCCCTCAGGCCTCGTTGCAGAGAGAGGAGTTTATCTGAGAATTCTCCGGTCTTTTTTTTAACCACTCGAGCAATGGGTTTCCCAACCCAGAACTTCTTCCGTGGATACCTAAGAAGATGACATACATAACAAGCTGTTACTCAGCTCTTCTTACTTTCCTTCATACTTATCTCTCAATCCTCATGGCAATTATGAAGGGGAGAGGAAAGGTATGATTATCCCCAAACAAGTGACAGAAAAACAGTGGCCCAAAGACACCAGCTGAACCAGGGCTTCAGAACATCAGTAGACTCCACATCCAGGGCGCTCTGTCTACTAAGCCATGTTTCTAACCTCTCTGCTCTGTCCCACCTCAAATAAGGCCAGTGGGCCAAGGAGCTGGGGCTACACAGAGAACTCATAAGGAGGAGAGCAAGTCTCCAGTTCTCAATGATGTGTCCTGCTCCTCAGAAAGGCATCAGGATGAACCATGGGATGTGAGTACCTCTGGCACCATACCACTCCCCATGAATTCAAATGCACCTGGTCAGAAGCGGGGGAACATAAACAAGGGGGATGAGGTACGCCATGGAGAGGAGACTCTTTTACCTGTTTAGGAAGTCTCTCGTGTCCTAGAAGGGAAAGAAAAAAGCACAAGTATCAATATGAATCAAATAAGACTTCAATGCATCTGCACCCAACACTGTAGCAGAGATGGGACATATCAGTGAACAAAACAAATGTGGTCCCTTTTTTATGGAGCTGACATTCCAGTGGGGTCACTGCATAAAACAACAAGAAAACAAACAAAATCGGCACAATGACAGAAGCCACAATGGCTGGGAGATGACATGGGCAACCTCTCTGGGAGATACCTGCGCAGAGAATTGACGGATAAGAAGTACTGGCCGGATGAAGAGAGGTAAGGTAAAACAGGAAAGGGCTTGGTGAGAACGGCAGAGGCCAGACTGCGCAGGGCTGGATATGCATGGTAAGGAGTTTCACTTTTGCTCCACGTACAGTGGAAACCCACCAAGGGTTTCAAGTAGGGGCATGATATGTGTGATCCGCTCTACATGTGGCTGAGACTGCTGTGTAACCTCCAGAGTCCACTCTCCCCTTCCTCCTTTTAATAATAGAACCCCCGGAGTTATTGCTGGTCAGGCGGCCACCTGGGAAGACTACATTTTCCAGATCCCCTACGACAAGGTCTGGTCATGAGACTAAGTTCCAGCCAATGGAATGTGATAGAAAGCAATGACCATAATTCTGGGCATTGTCCTTTAAAAAAAGAAAATTGCTTTCTACTTCCTTTTTACCCCAACTGAATTTTGGACATGGTGGTGGTGAGCCCAACTTTGACCACGCAGCAGAGGACAACATCCCTAGAAGCTGGTGGAAGAACCACATGGAAGTAACCCAGTCCCTTGGATAAGCTTATGTACAGCTACTGTGATAGCTCTAGACCCTGCACCTCTGAACTGTTAACTGAGGCAGAAATAAACTTCTATTCTGTTTGCGTCACTGTACAGCAGTGAGCCAAAACCCTAAGTGACCACTCACTTGGCTGCCCCACAGAGAAGGGACTAAGGAGGCAAGAGGAACATGGGGAGGTTGGTCCGGAGGCTTTTGCCGTGGACCAGGGGAGAGCTAAAGATGGCCTGAACTAAGGTGGTGGCAGTAGGGAGAAAAAGAGAGAAGCAATACATTCCAGGTATTTTAGAGACAGATTCAACTGGACATACTGGTCAAGGATAAACAAGAACAGAGCATGGTTTGTACAGGGGGGAGAATGGTGGTGCTATCTCTGTGACAGACAGGTGGTAGGGCAGGGTGAGTGGGAAGAGGGCTATTCTGAGATGCTCAGATTCCCTTTTGTGAGTCAAAAGCCTCCTTAATACCCTGTATTAATTGATTTTTGCCTTCCTTTCACTCATTCCACAAATATTTATTAAGTGCTTCCTAGGTACCAGGCACTCATCTAGAAGCCTCAGAACAGTTAAAAAAAAAAAAAAAAGAGAGAGAGAGAGACAAATCCCTACTTCTGTAGAGCTGACATTCTAGCAGGGGGAAGCAGACAATAATCAATGTAGCAAATACATCATACTACGTGAGCGATACGCACCACGGGAAAAGAGAGCAGAGTGAAGGGGGATGGGAGCAGGGGCCGGTGGGGTGCAGGCTGGCTTCCTGGAGAGGGTGAGATTTGGGAAACAAATGGAATTAACAAATTGTGGCTGCTGATGACTGCTTCCAAAAGTTTGGGAAGAGTTGTGAGCTTTACTCCAGAGGAATAAGACAAGAAGTCAGAGGCACATCCCAACCCCCCGCTATGAAGCAAGTGCCCAGAGACTGGTAGCACATTTCTGGCCAAGTCCTCTAACATGCCCCTCAAAACATGTAAGTCCAAGGCGGCTTCAGAGGACAGGCAACAAAACAGACAGTGTGTCCTGACAGCTCTGCTGACAAAGGTGGCATAAAAGAGCAAATGAATGGAGCAGTAGCTGGAGTGTGGGCCAGAGGCCCATTTGGGCATATTTCCTGACATGGAAGTTCCTAGAACAGTAGAAAGGGAGAGAATCATACAGGAGAAAGAAGAGTCCTCTAAAGGTTAAAGGTTGTGAGCAGCCCAGAGAGGGTGGGTCCCGAGAGCCAGGGCAGGGCTGGCCCTGCGGAGAAGAGGCTGAAAGACTCAGGAGCCCCCATCCACAGCCACATACAGGGCCTCTGGAGGGAAGTGATCCGCCCAAGTCTCCTGGAGGACTCTTCTCACCCAAGACATCTGAAGCTGTCATGAAACAGGCAGAGCCGAGCAGTGGGGCTGCGGCAATGAGTCATGGCAAGCTCCCGGAGGGGATGTGCCCGGTTACTAACAGAGAGCATCAAGAAAGTTCTTCACGGGGGTGTACAGCAGGAGAAGCAGGGTACAAGCATGCCACCTGATCCTGCAGGGCCTGCCCGGGTTACCAGGGCAGGATGCAGTGTCTCTCTGGGCCTCTCCTGTCACCCCAATCCCTTTAATGTCTTCTTGATGCTCCCAGCCCATAGGTTTGTCTTTCCTTTCCTATCACCTCTATCAAAAGGTCTCTTCTATTTTACACATTTTGTCCTGCTGCTTCTCCCTCTCACCTGTATTTCTATTTTATTTTAATTTTTTTGAGACAGGATCTCACTATGTTGCCCAGGCTGGTCTCAAACTCCTGGGTTCAAGCAATCTGCCTGCCTCAGCCTCCCAAAGTGCTGGAATTATAGGTGTGAATCACCACACCAGCCTCACCTGTATTTCTCTATCAGACTTCTGGACCCTATTTTAGGTCTTTTTCTTACTATACTTTGACAGCCAAATAATCTCTGGGAAAATATTAATGCTAATTAGGGAGGTAGCTGTCCAGTTCCCACGCAGTACAATCAAACTCAAATAAGCACACAGACAAAATCTACCAATACCATTTTTCTGCGTATGGTTGGTTACCCAGTTTTCCTAGCACCATTTATTAAAGAGACTGTCCCTTCCCCATTGTATGTTCTTGGTTCCTTTGTTGAAAATCAGTTGGCTGTAAATATGTGAATTTATTTCTGAGTTCTCTACTCTGTTCCATTGGTCTATGTGTCTGCTTTTATATCAATACATGCTGTTTTGGTTACTACAGCTTTGTAGTATATATATATATGTATATATACATATATATGTATATATATACATATATATGTGTGTATATATATATGTGTGTGTGTGTGTGTGTGTATATATATATATATATATATATTTTTTTTTTTTTTTCTTTTTTTTAATGGAGTCTCACTCTATTGCCCAGGCTGGAATGCAGTGGCACAATCTCGGCTCACTGCAACCTCTGCCTCCTGGATTCAAGTGATTCTCCTGCCTCAGCCTCCCGAGTAGCTGGGATTATAGGTGCGCACCATCACGCCCAGCTAATTTTTGTATTTTTAGTAGAGATGGGGTTTCACCATGTTGGTCAGGCTGGTCTCAAACTCCTGACCTCGTGATCCGCCTGCCTCGGCCTCACAAAGTGCTGGGATTACAGGTGTGAGCCACCACAACTGGCTGTAGTATATTTTGAAGTAAGATAGTGTGAGGCCTCCAGTTTTGTTCTTTTTGCTTAGGATTGCTTTGGCCATTTGGGGTTTTTTGTGACTCCATATGAATTTTAGTTTTTTTTCTATTTTTCTGAAGAATGTCATTCGTATTTTGATAACAGGGATTGTATTAAATCTGTAGACTGCTTTGGGTAGGACAGTCATTTTAACAATATTAATTCTAATCCACAAGCATGGAATATTTTTCCATTTGTTTGTGTCTTCTTCAATTTCTTTCATCAGTGTTTTGTAGTTTTCATTAAAGAGGTCTTTCACCTCCTTGGTTAACTTCATTCCCAGGTATTTTATTTTACTTTTGTAGCTATTGTAAATGGGGTTGCTTTCTTGATGTCTTTTTTAGCTAGTTTGTTATTGGTGTATTAAAAATGCAGTAGACTTTTTATGTTGATTTTGTATCCTGCAACTTTACTGAATTTGTTTATTAGTTCTAAGGGTTTTTTGGTGGGGCCTTTAGGTTTTTCTACATATAAGTATAGCCGTTACGGAAAACAGTATGAGAGTTTCTCAAAAAACTAAAAATAGAACTACCATATGATCCAGCAATCTCATTACTAGGTATTTATCCAAAGAAAAGAAAATCAGTATATCAAAGGGATACCTGCACACTCATGTTTATTGTGGCACTATTCACAATAGTTGAGATGTGGACTCAATCTAAGCATCCATCAACAGATAGATAAAGAAAATGTAGCATATATACACAATGGAGTACTATTCATCCATAATAAATTTGAGTTCATGGAAGTAAGACAGTAGAATAGTAATGATTAGAGGTTGGGAAGGGGGCTGGGGAGAGGAGGGTGGGGAGAAGTTGGTTAACAGATACAAAGTTATAGCTACATGGGAAGAATAAATTCTAGTGTTGTGCAGCATTGCAGGGAGAATATAATTAACTATAATTTACTATACATTTTCAAAAAGCTAGAAGAGAGGATTTTGAATGTTCCAACACAAAGAAATGATAAGTGTTTGAGGTGACAGATATACTAATTACTCTGAGTTGATTATTATATATTATATACTTGTATCAAAGTATCACTCTAGGCCAGGCACAGTGGCTCACGCCTGTAATCCCAGCACTGTGGGAGGCTGAGGCAGGCGATCACCTGAGGTCAGGAGTTCAAGACCAGCCTGGCCAACATGGTGAAACCCTGACTCTACCAAAAATACAGAAAATAGCCAGGTGTGGTGATGTGCGCCTGTAATCCCAGCTATTTGGGAGGCTGAGGCAGGAGAATCGCTTGAACCCAGGAGACAGAGGTTGCAGAGGCAGGAGAATTGCTTCAACCCAGGAGGCGGAGATTACAGTGAGCTGAGATCACGCCACTGCACTCCAGCCTGGGAGACAGAGCGAGACTCTGTCTCAAAAATAAACAAACAAAAACCTCTACATCCCATAAATATATACATTATATAGCACTAAAATTAAAAGAGAAAACACAAAACAAAAAAAGAAACCTACCAGTACCAATAACATTTCCTATACTAGTTTCAAGCTGACACCATTTTCTCTCCCTTCCCTTGACCTTATCCCACCCCAGGGAGAGCTGCAATCTGAGTGCTCTGAGTCATTGAGGGCCAGGCTTCTGCTCTGAGGGCCACTTCTCTGGGTGCATTAGGAAAAGGCACCCCTCCGGGCAAACACAATGGATTTCAGCCCCACCACATCCTCAGCTGTGTGCCTCTGTTCCACACAGTAGGCATTCACACATGGCAGGGGCGTGAGGAGAGGAAGGAGAAGAGAAACGGGCAAAAGGAGATGCAGAAAATGACCCAGTCAAAGAGTATGACGAGAGAAATCTGAGAGAACAGAATGACATCTGGAGGAAAAGAGGGGGCCAGAGAGACATTCTGGACAAAATAAGAACAAGAGCTCAGAGCCCAGGAGTCAGGACATCTGGGCTCAAGCTGTGACCTGACACCCACCCCATGGCCTGGGACAAACTCCTCCCACTCTCTGGACCTCAGTGACTTCATCAGTAGGGGCTGAACTGGAAGGTCTAAAATCCCTGCCAGTCCTCATTCTGTACATCTGAATTCACAACAATGAGGAGCAGGTGGCCGCCTCCTTCTGCAGTCTGTCCCAGTGCACATACTGCAGAGTCTGCCTTGCTATCTCTCCCTCCTAGCTATTGCCCTGCCATTAGCCTGGGACTCCACCTTCCTAGAGATCCTGGGTGGCTCTGCTGCTGACAGACAGACCCAGCCACCCTAAACAGTGCAAGTGGGGGAATACCATCAGAGAGCCCCTCCCCTCCCAGCCTATGAGAGCAGGAAGGTTGAGCCCTCTACCCCTCCAAAGGGGACTGGGCCCTCTTCAGGGTAAGTGTGATCCCCAGAGGCTCCCGGGGGGGAGGAGATGTGGTGCCATTTCAGCTTCACAGCCAGTTCTTCAGCCCCAAACCCTCCCTTTCTCACTATCAAAGCCCCCTCCTCTAGGAGGTGCCCCGAGGCCCCCTTGTCTGCTTTCCATCTTGTTCTCTGTGTGGTAATCCCATGGGCCAAAGAAAACCTGGCCATCTCTGTCTCCCTTCCCCAGTTACCCTATCTCTTCCAGATCCTCTGGGTCTTTGAGAGGAGCTGCTGGTCAGCCCTCCCTCAGCCACCCCCAACCACAACACCATAAAAAGCTTCCACCAGCTGCTAAATGTCTGCCAATGACTTGTTAAGAGGGCTTGTGATGGCAGTGATGAGGATGGAGGATGGTAAATGATATTAATAATCTTCCCTTCCATTTTCTACTATACCATTTAGTTTTTTGAACAGTTTTGTGTAAAAAGTTTATTTTTTGAAGTGACAGCATGCCAGTTATTTCATTTTATGCTCATGCAATCTACAGACTAATTGGCAGCAGTAAGGATTATCATCTCCATGTTTCAGATGACAAAACTGAGCCCCCAAGTCTTCTAAGGTCCTGCAAGTGAATGGCAGGGCTGGGACCCACCGTCCTGGTCCCTGGCGCCCTGCCCAGGGACGGCCTCTCACCTGCATGAGCTCTGCAGCTGGCTGCTGCGCCTTGCCCTCCAGTTCGGAGATGACCAGGGCCAGCCGGGCAAGCTCCCCGACGCCCCGGCTCTTGAACTTCTCCCTGCCCTCCGTGAGCTCCTGCTCCAGCTTCGCCAGCTGTTCCAGCAGGTGTTCCTCCCGCTCCCTCAGGAACTGATGACCCTGCTCAAACTCAGCCACAATGTACTGCCTCTGGTCCTGGAGCTTCTTCTGCAGGGGGCAGGAAGGGGAGAAGGGCTGACACCTCTGCTCAGGGTGGAGGGCCCAGTGCTGGAGGTGTGCAAGGCTGGCTCGTTCACCTCGCTACCCCCGTTCAGGAATTCTACAGGATCTGGAGTGGGAGGAGCTACAGAGGGTTCCTGGTCCACACTCCGCTTCTCAAAGAAGACTCCAGTAATGAATTAGTTCAGTTCACCCCACCACTATATGGTCAAAACCCTGTCTCCACCTGACTGGTCAGCCACAATCTGTTCTAGCTAAACCAGTACGCTCTGGGGCCCCTAGAGAAACTCTGTGGGTCTCACTCATGAGCCGACGCACTTTTCCCTCCTGGACAAAATCTGTCACCTCTTCCAGGAAGTTTTGCTTGATTAATGTCATCTAAGCCTGACCAGCCCTCTCTTCAGCACCCCACTGTTCAGTCTAAAATATCTATATGTACCCCACCCCTGCCATGTAAGACTGCATCCTGTTTCCTCAGCAAAATTGTGTGACGTCTGTGCTTAGGGACTATGTCCTTTCCTGCCTCCAAATCTCCTCCCCAGCTGGGGTTGGGGGAGTCCTCAGTGGCCCTGTTGACTGGTGCTGAGCTGGGGGCAGCCATGCACACTGAGGGCCTGGAGGGGTCCTTGGACTTGGCTGTCTCTAGCTTACTGTTTCCCTCTCCCTAGGCCTAATGACTCACCACTGGCCCTGACCCCACTACTCCTCCACTGCCCACTTCCTCAACATACACAGTTTCCCAGAAAATCAGAACCATTTGATCAGTTCCCCCCAACCCCATCTCTAATCAAGTACATAATGTGCTGCCTGTTTTCTAACTACAGTTGTCCCTTGGTATCAGTGGGTGATGGGTTCCAGGATCTCCCTCCCCAAGGATACCAAAATCCAAGGATGCTCAAGTTCTTATGTAAAATGGAATAATAGTTACATAAAATCTACTATATACTTTAAATTATCACTAGATTACTTATAATGCCTAATATAATGTAAATGCTATATAAATAGCTGTTACACTGAATTGTTTAGAGAATAATGACAAGAAAAAAAATCTGTACATGTTCAGTAGAGACGCTTTTTCTTTTTTCTGAATATTTCTGATCCATGGTTGGGTAAATTCGCCGCTACGGAACCCACAGATATGGAGGAGGTCCCACTGTACTGGCAACCATGATCCTGGGCCTGGACCTCACTACATACAGTGCCATCAGAATTGGCAGACCTGCCTTAGCTGTTTTCTAGCCCTTCCCTCTCAGTTCTTACCCTGGAGCCAGCTCCCTCCTTCTAAACCCTCTCCACTCTCAGGCAACCTTGTCTCTCTCTCTCTCTTTGAAAGGAAGAATGAAGCCACACCTTCTTCAGTCCCCTGGCAGAAGAGAACCAGCAGCTGGACATGGGCCCTGCCTTCAAGGTGACAGTCACAGAAAACGGAAGGGACTCTAGCTGACATCCAGGCAGCCCACTTGTCTCTCAGACAAGAAACAGGCCCAAGACTACACGGCTCAGAAAGACAGCACTTGGGCTAAAACCCAGGTCTGCTACTGCCAGGCTGACACCCATCCTCCCTGTGAGCAGCGCCTAGAAACACCTCCCAGCTGCCGCCTACTTGCCCAGGCTCACCCTGCCCTACACGGGCGCACCGCCTCAGGGCTTCCTGAAACAGCCTCACTTACCAGCGCGGCCAGGATATCAGCTTCTCCCTTTGCCTGGAAGCCCTGAATTTTGTCTCTGTCTCTCCTTAGGGTACTCAGGTGGTTCAGGATTTTTTCCTGTGGAAAAACAAGCAGTGGCAACAGGTGGATGCTCTGGGCTGGGGCAGGAAGGGAGACTCAGGCTGAGTCCTCTGAGGACTGCAAGGTGGAGCATCCAGAGAAGGTGGCAAGGCACCCTCGGGGGTGAAGAGGGCTTACCCTGTGGGGCTGGGCGGCCTTCTCCATGAGGACGGCCGTGTGGGGCCTGTGCTCCCGGGACTCCCGGCACATCACGCACAGCAGCTTCCCGTCGTCCTCACAGTAGTAGTGCAGCTTCTCTCGGTGTCGCTCGCACAACTTTGCATCCTGCTGCTCCCGGGTCACCTCTCCCGGCTGCCTGCCCTTGTCCACCTTCAGCCGCTCAATGTTCTCCACCAGGCTGGCCAGTTGCCACACGGGTCGGATGTTCTCCTTCTTAAAAGGCTTCTTGCAGAGTGGGCAGACGGGGCGGCTCCCTGAGATGGGGCGGACGTCTGTGGTGCAGCTGCGGCAGAAGACGTGGCCACAGTCAATGGTCACAGGGTCCCGCAGGTAATCAAGACAGATGGAGCAGGTCACCTCCTCTTCCAGGCTCCGTAGTGGGGCTGACGTGGCCATGGTATCCTTAGTTCAGAGAGGTCTCCGTTCACTGGTGAGGACTTCTTCTCCTTGGAGACGCGACGTAGAGTCAGGAGCAAGCACAGTAAAGGGGCAAAGGTGGCAGCCTGCACAGGGCTGCCAGCTCCAGCACTCAGTCAATCGACAGACACCACCAGCTCCTACAAGGTTCACACAATGTCAACGAGAAGAGGACCTTATAGATCTAGTCCAACTTCCTCATTGTACAGATAAGGATATGGAAACCCAGAAAGATTAGCTTGGTAGAGTGAAGAGCAGGACAGCCACTAGCCTATACCTTGCTGTTGGGAGAGCCTCAACACCCTTTCCTTCTATCTGTTGGAAAATCGCTGTAATGCACCAACTGTAATAAAAAATCTCTCACTACCTGCTGGGAAACTCATAATGATACATATATAAATCTACAATGTCTACTGTGGACACAGTGCTCCTTCACTCAACTGTGCAAAGCACAAGACACACGAGCAGTCATGGGGGTCCTGACAGAGTCAAGAGACCGCCCGTTTTTTTTTTTTGGTTTTTTTTTTTTGAGATGGAGTCTTACTCTGTCGCCCAGGCTGGAGTGCAGTGGCGTGATCTCAGCTCACTGCAACCTCCGCCTCCCAGGTTCACACCATTCTCCTGCCTCAGCCTCCCGAGTAGCTGGGACTACAGGCACCCACCACCACACCTGGCTAATTTTTTGTATTTTTAGTAGAGACGGGGTTTCACCGTGTTAGCCAGGATGGTCTTGATCTCCCGACCTCGTGATCCACCTGCCTCGGCCTCCCAAAGTGCTGGGATTACAGGCGTGAGCCACTGCACCTGGCCAAGAGACCCCTTTTGTTTGCTCCTCAAGGTTTCAGGTTTCAAGAACTAAGAGAGGGCAATGTGACATGGCTCACCCTGTAAATCCAACACTTTGGGTGGCTGAGGCAGGAGGATCACTTGAATCGAGGAGTTTGAAACCAGCCTCAGCAACATAGTGAGACCCTGTCTCAACTAAAAAAATTTAAAAAATTTTTAAAATACCCCAGTGTAGTAGCATGCATCTGTAGTCTCAGCTACTGAGGAGGCTGTGGCAGAAGGATTACTTGAATCTGGGAGGTGGAGGCTACAGTGAGCCATGATTGTACTACTACACTCCAGACTGGGCAACAGAATAAGAGACTGTCTCAAAACAAACAAAAAACCAGAAAACATTAAAAAACAAACAAACAAACAGCACTGAGGTTCTTTACCAAAACTCGAGAAGCATCAGGAAGCTTCAGGAGTCTGACTGTCAGCATTTCCCTTTGTGAGTATTTCCCTGGGCTGTTCCATAGTTTGGGTTTAATTTGCTTCCCCTAGAAGGCTGGACTCTAAACACAGCCCTCCAGAGGAGCACAGCTTAGCCTCAGTGGACTTGTTCTTGGCTGTAACTGCCTCGTCTAGATGGCAGGAATCCTCAGGTGGCTGTGGCTGCTATGTGCTGTGAGGCCTTGGCTTGTACAGGGAGCGGGGACACACAGAAAGGACTCTGCTTCTGTTTACCTTTGTAGTCCTGACCCAGTTCCAGGCTGAGGTTATGAGCCTCAGCACATCTAACCCAAGAGCAGCCTCCTGCCCCTGACTTTGTGTGACAATACAGAAGTCACTTAAGTACTGAGCCTCAGTGTATCCATCTGTAAAATGGGAAGAGTGATACTTACCTTTAAGGGTTTCTAAGCAGGTCATGTGAAAGAATTATGGGAAAAGTGCTAAGCACAAGCCTGGTACACAGACGGAAATCTAGGAGAGAACCCACAACCCCTGGTTTCCAAATCCAGTGAGTGTCCAAACCACAAACAAAGAGTTAAATTCAAAAGTGGCAGCAAAAGAGGAAGTGAGCAGAACCAGCCACAGTGACACACGTGCTACAGAGTTCAACAACATCGTCACAGGGCAGTACCTGGAGGACTTGCTCTCCTATAGATCCATGGAAGGCAACTACAGCAGCGCTGGGAAGACAACCAGCAGGGCACAGAGGTGACTGCGAGGCTGGAATGAAGCAACCTGAATTACAGGCAAATCAATACTATTAATGATTATGTATGGTGAAAGTCCATCACAACAGAGTTCAGTGGCCTCTGTCAGTAGTGACATTAATGGGACAGAAATAAAACCCCCAGTCTATAAGACCCAAGAGTAAACAAAACAGGGATATAACGTCCACTCATTGAGGGTCTAGTACAATAATACATAAAAAGTGTTTTATAACGTAAAAGGACTACATAAATATAAGAGATTCTTATAGTGCTGATAATAAATTCCAACTGGAAGCACTAATGGATCTAGGTATGTGTGACTTTAAGAGACATAATGAGGGGAAAATCAAGCACCTTCAAAGCTCAAATGAAGGATTCAAGGAATTTAACTGTCAAGTGAAAGTAATATCAAGTTCCTACATGTTAGTAATGCTGGTAGGAATGCTAGGAATTGGCCGGGCACGGTGGCTCACACCTGTAATCCCAACACTTTGGGAGGCCGAGGCAGGTGAATCACAATGTCAGGAGATTGAGACCATCCTGGCTAACACGGTGAAACCCCATCTCTACTAAAAATACAAAAATTACCCAGGTGTGGTAGCATGCACCTGTAGTCCCAGCTACTCAGGAGGCTGAGGCAGGAGAATCAATCACCTCAACCCGGGAGGCAGAGGTTGCAGTGAGCCGAGATCGTGCCATTGCACTCCAGCCTGGGTGACAGAGTGAGACTCCATCTCAAAAAAAAAAAAAGAAAGAAATGCTAGGAATTGCCTGGTCCAACTCCTTGGCTTTACTGTTGAGGAAATAAGCCTGGCTCAGCAGTTTTTCAGTTGTAACATACTGCAAGTGTTTGGAAAGAGGAAAAAGGAGTGGTACTGGGCGTGTCTGTGGGCTTTCAAGCCCTTTATCATGCCTCTTTGCCAAATGGCCTAGAAGTTTAAAAGCTGAGGTTTTTCTTTGTTGAAGGATAGCCTGTGTTATCTTTGGGTTGGGAACTTATTTTGCAATTTACTTGCAAAATAAGAACAATAAAAGGACTATGAAGGCTCAGCTACAGCTCTTCTTCCATGCAAAACAGGACACCTCATCACCCAGGCTCCATGCTGGGGTTTGATGGTCTCTAAACCTCCTGAAACTGTCTAAAAATTATTGCATATGTACTAGATACCTAAAATTGTCTGGGGATTACAGAAGAATAACCTTCTGTAAGATTAATCAGCAAATAAGTAGAAGAGGGATAACAGAATTAGAAAATCATTTTGCGACTGCCATTATAATAGCACAAGGATCATCAATAGATGCTAAAACTATTAGGTGAAAAGTTTTGGGGGATGAGATAGTACCCATGGTGCCAAAGCACCAATGAATGGATTACTTCCTGACATACCTTCGTAAGGAAGAGATCCAGTGGTTATCTTAACTAAGTGACCAAATCCAGCGTCATCAGCAGACGGGGCAAAGTGGCATGTGCTTTCTGGCATGGCACTATATGAATCACACAACATTACCTATGAAGTGTTTGTGCCAAAAATGTTTGACTTGAATGAATCTAGTCAAGACTTTAGATCTAACTTCCAGTTTATAAAAAATATAAAGGAAAGGAATACTCTGAAGTATGTTACAACTGAAAAAGTACTGATGGAGGAATTAAACCACACCATAAGGAAAGAACCAGATAAATCCAGAATGCTGGACATTGCACATGGCAACTGGCCTAGTCTTTTAAAAAGTCAATGTCATAAAAAAAAAACCTTCGAAAGAACTGCTTTTGATTTTTACAGACTAAAGAGAAATAATAACCAAATGCAATACGTGAACCTTGATTGGATCCTGTAAAAAGAAAAAAAAGGTTATAAAAATAGTCTTGGAACTATTGTGGGAAATTTGTAAGTAGGCTGGGTGTTAGATCATATTAAAAAATTATTTCCTCTCTTTCTTTCTTTTTTTTTTTTTTGAGACAGGGTCTTACTCTGTCCCCCAGAGTGCAGTGGAACTATCTGGGCTCACTGCAACCTCTGCCTCCCTGGCTCAAGCAATCTTCTCATCTCAGGCTCCCGAGTTGCTGCAACAACAGGTGCATGCTACCACACTTGGCTAATTTTTAAAGGTTTTTGTAGAGAAGAGTTGCCACTATATTGCCCAGGCTGGTCTCAAACTCCTAGGCTCAAGCCATCCTCCCACCTCAGCCTCCCAAAGTGCTGGGATTATAGGCATGAGCAACTGCACCATGTCTAAAATTATTTTCTTAATGGTATTTACTGAGGTTATGTATGAGAATGCCTATACTTCTTATTTATTTATTAATATATTTATTTATTTTTGAGATGGAGTTTTTCTCTTGTTGCCCAGGCTGGAGTGCAATGGCGCAATCTGGCTCACTACAACCTTCGCTTGCCAGGTTCAAGCGATTGTCCTGCCTCAGCCTCCCTAGTAGCTGGGATTACAGGTGCCCACCACCACATCCGGCTAATTTTTTGTATTTTTAGTAGAGACGGGGTTTCACCAGGTTGGCCAGGCTGGTCTCAAATTCCTGACCTCAGGTGATCCACCTGCCTTGGCTTCCCAAAGTGCTGGGATTACAGGTGTGAGCCACCGCGCCCGGCTGAGAATACCTGTATTTCTAGGCAATGGATGCTGTAGTATTTAGAGCTCCATGTCTCCCACCTAATTTGAAATGGTTCCTTTCTTTTTTTTTTTTTTTTGAGACAGGGTCTTACTCTGTCCCCCGAGTGCAGTGGAACTATCTTGGCTCACTGCAAAGCAAAATAAAAAGCTAGAAAAGTTTTCTGGGGAGGGAGCTACAGTTTTCTATCACATTCTTAAAGAGGTCTGTAGTAACCATCAAAAATGGTTAAATCACTGATACAGAGATCATGGTGCTTGACACCTTGTAGAAGCTCAATACACATTTACTGAACAAGTGAATGGATTCAGGGGAACTGCAGACAATGTTAGTTGTATAGAACCATTTGTTTTTGAGAGTCTGCCATAACTAGATAAATGAAACACAGTACCACTTCTATGACCAATCCCTTCCCTTGCTTATACAGACTCCTTCTGAGGAAACTGAGGCTCAGCAGGGTTAAGCAACTTGCCCAAGAGCACATGGCTAGGAAGCAGTGTCTGGTGCCAAGGCCTCTGCTCAATCCACTACACTCTCTTCCCTACCCAGGCACACTGTAAAATGGGGTCTAATACCAGCTCCTTTGTTAGGAAGCTCAGATGAGGTCATCTACATGGAAGGGCTTTGTAAGCGGAGTAATGCTGACAAAAGAAAGGGGGCATATATTCTGCTGATACTGACCAAAAGCACCCTAGCCTTAGCTATGACAAACTTTCACATATAGGGTGAGCAATAAAGTGTCCCTGTTGGACAGTAGTTTTCCTTCTTAGTGATAGAGGATCTCAAGATTTCAGAATTAGGAGAAATGAGGTTGAGTATGAGAGATGTGAGCAGACCAGAATAACCGCTCCCCTTCCCCATACACAATTCTGTCAGGTCCAATGCAAAATTCACCCTCTCCAAAAACTCTTCCCCAACTTACCGCACCCTGCTATGGTTCTGCCCTTTTATGCCGTCAGTATATTCTCTGTGATCTCAACAGGTTTCCACAATAAGAGGTAACACCATTACCCTTCTCTCCATTCCTGACTCCTGGGCAGACAGAAACCAAAATCAGAGCCAAAAAAAAAAACCTCAGAGATGACCCACTCCACCCCCACTCCCTTTACTCAGATGAGAATTCTGAACCTGAAGAAGTCACTTCATGAACTCCCTTGCACCAGAGGTCACACATCCCTGCTGGGGGTGAGGGGGTATTTTTCTGTCTCTTCAATAAACCAGAAGCGGCCGGGCGCGGTGGCTTCTGCCTGTAATCCTAGCACTCTGGGAGGCAGAGGCGGGTGGATCACCTGAGATCGGGAGTTTGAGACCAGCCTGACCAACAAGGAGAAACCCCATCTCTACTAACAATACAAAATTAGCCAGGTGTGGTGGCGCATGCCTATAATCCCAGCTACTGGGCAGGCTGAGGCAGGAGAATCGCTTGAACCCAGGAGGCGGAGGTTGCAGTGAGCTGAGATCACGCCAATTGCACTCCAGCCTGGGCAACAAGAGCAAAACTCCATCTCAAAAAATAAAAATGAAAAAATAAACCAGAAGCTAGCTGCAATTCTATAGAACCAGGAAGATGCAACAAACAAGCCCTGCAATGTCCTGGTACCCTCCTCACAGGCAGAACTGCAGACACTCCCTACCTTTCTCTAAGAGGTTCCCTTTTCCCTGAAATCCACCCCTCCCCTATAAGTCTCTGGATCTCATAAATACCTAATCTGCATATGTCAACAGACTGGTCAAGGTGACACCATGTAATTTCAAGATGTGGATGCATGCACGATTATTGGCTCCAAGAATAATCACTATGAGCTACAAAAACTAGCTAAAAGCCGGGCACGGGGGCTTGTGCCTGTAATTCCAGCACTGTGGGAGGCTAAGGCAGGAGGACTGCCTGAGCCCAGGAGTTTGAGACCAGCCTGGGTAATATAGTGAGACATTGTCTCCAAAAAAAGAAATTAGCTGAATTAGCTGGGTGCGATGGCACATGCCTATAGTTCCAGCTACTTAGGAAGTTGAGGCAGGAGGATCTCCCGAGCCCGGGAAGTTGAGGCTGCAGACAGCCATGACTGCGCCACTGCACTCCAGCCTGGGTGAAACTCTGGCCTGCCTCCGGCTCCTAGATGCCACCCAGAGAGGTGCCCTGGTAGACAGTGAATCCCAAATGTGGACTCTGGGGCCCAAGAAAGTAAATGGAGAGGCCTGGGTTTTCATCCTGGCCTCCAGGGTACCAGTTCAGGCCTCTCTTGAGTATCCCAAGCTGCTTCTCAAGCATATGTCTGGACCTCCAAACAAGAGCAAAGCACCTGTAATCCCAAAGCACTTAGCCTAGAGCTCCATTCCCTGTGGGTACTCCATTTAAGGGCTCCTGGGTCCCAGATTAATCCCCATATTTTAATCTGAGATAAGCAAACTCTCCATGGGGTAAACTTCCGTGAGACACCTCTAACAAACCTGGAGAGGCCAGAATTCGGGGCAAAAAGCAAGTGATCTGGATGTGCATACTAGGAGTGACTGCACCCCTACTGGCCAGGCCAAAGGCCTGGATCCCAGGCTGTCCCAGGAGATCCCAGTGACTGTGGATGATGCGTTCTTGTGGTCACACTTGGCTTACTTTCCCCACGGAGCTGAGCATCAGTGGTGCTCTGAAGCACAGTGCAGGCCACAAAAACTACCAGGGCTCTGAACGCTAGAAATCCCCACAGGGCTCAAAGAGGGGCAGGAGGTAGCAGCCAGCTGGGAGGTGGATGAGACAAGGCGTTAAATTGCCCTGGTCTTGTGGCTGACCCACAGGGGAAAATTGAGGGTTCTTCATATTTGTGCCAGAATATCTGTCTAATGTTGAATCATGAACCAAGCTCTCTTGTCTAAAATATTCCTAAGTGTCACTTGGTGCTTTGCACCAAATATAGGAAGGAATCCTTTATCATCTTGTGGAATGGTTCAAACCTTGACTACACATCAGATTTGTAGTCTTCAAACTGGTGAGTCTTCAAAACATACCTAGACCAACTGACTTAGGATCTCCAGAGGTGGCCCAGGCTCTGGTATTAAAAAACAAACTTCCCAGGAGATTCTAAAGTCTATCCAGGACTGTGAATCACTAGAACCCCTTATTTACAGAGGAGGAAAGTGAGTGCCAGAGCCTCGGACTCATTTGCCCAGCAGCAGAGCTGGCTGGCAGCAAGGCCAGCACTAGCACGAGGTGGGGTGAGGTGCACCTCCCAGCTCTGGGCTCCTTCCATTCCACCATACACTGCACTTTGGTGCCTGGAAAATGAACTCTTCCCTGCCCATATGGAGTGCTGTGGAGGGTTAGCCTCACAGGCAGAGGAAATCATCCGCCGGAGAAAGGGTAGCGGTGAATTTGAGGAGCTGACAATTGGCCACAGGTGGAGTGCAGTGAGGCGAGCAGAGGAAGGGTGGAGAAACAGGAGGGAACAGATTATGCAAGACTGTGACCCAGGTTAAGAATTTTGGACTTTATCCTAACAGCCCTGGGAAGCCATTGAGGGTTTAAGCAGCAGGATGTTGAAAGTTATTCAACAGCTAGCAGATGTTTATTAGGTGCCGACTATGTGTCAGGCACCGAGGTTACAGCAGAGAACAAAAGTGGCAAACTCCCTGTCCTACCAGAACTTACATCCAGTGACCTGAGGAATCCTTTAGAAGCTGAAATCAGATCCAACTGTGGGATCATCAAACCCTCAAGGGTTTCCTGATTTACATAAACCTCCTCTCCCCTTTGCTGCCCCAGTGCTGCAGCCACTCTGGCCTTTTGATCCTCAAACACACTCGGTCACGTGTTAAACTGCTAATCTGCCCGGGTGACCAACCAGGTTAAACCCCTCAATGGCTTTCTGGTGCTCCAGGAATAAAGTCAAAACTCCTGTCCTTCCTTTCTTCTGTGAGGAGGCTGTCCCAGGAGATCCTAGCTGGATTCCCAGATAATCATGGCCCAGCCTGTGTCTCCAGGCTCATTTCCTGCCACTCCCCACCTCAAACTCACAGCCAAACCAAACCGCTCTCCATGCCTCAAAGTGCTATGCTCTTTCCTGGCTAAGCCCTTCGACAATGTAATTCCTTCTGCCTAGAACACCATCCCTTTCCCACTTAGCAAATGCCTTTTCTAGCTTGAAGTCTCAGCTGAAAGCCACCTCCTCTGGCAATTCTTTCCTGACCTGTCAGATTGGGTCCACATGTAGTCTAGTTATACAGCCCCAAAACACCCCATGCTGCACCCTGTACTTCTCTGCAGTTTTAAGTCCTGACTTATTAGTGTAATTACTCGCTTAACACCAGCTTTTTCCATGAAACAAGGAGAGAGATTGTGTCTGTCTTATCCCCAGAATCTACATATTACTTGGCACAGAGTAGACAATAAAAACTGACTGAGAAAACAAAGCACAAGCACAGAGTATCTGACACAAAGAAGATGCTTCCTACACATCTGCTGAAGGAATGCGAACAATCTTAGCCACCTGCCCTTTCTCTCCAGCAAGATGGTAGTAAATTGGTAGAGAGAGAAGCAATTTCTTCATATTCCCTGTAGCAGCAAGAACAGTGGGCTGCACGTCACCAGCAAATCATCGTATCCAAGGTTTCGCTCCAGCAACTTACAGAAACCAGGAGAAGAAAAAGCTGTGTCTGAGAAAATGGTTGTTGTGGAGTAAATTGTAATAGTGAGAATCACTCCTTCCCTTTTCTTTAGTTTTAGACCTAGGTATACACCCCATAAACAGAGTTTATTTTCTCAGGTTTTGAGCCTCAAATGAATGGAATTTTTTTCCTTTTTTTTTTTTTTTTGCATGTATTTGGGTGGGGGGCTGTCAACATGTTTGTGAGGCTCATCCATGTGATTATGAGCTGATTTTACTTAATTGCTGCTCTCTAACTATACAATTTTTAATGCAGTCTACTGATAGCCATATGAGTTGTTTCCAGTTTGGGACAATTACAAACACTGCTTCAGTGAATATTTCTGCATACATGTTCTAGCACACACAGGCAAGATGTACCCTCAATTTGACTAAGCAGGCCAAACTGTTTCCAAAGTGACTATAGTGCTATGTAGTCTGCTCAGCAGGCTATGAGCACTCATGATGCCCCACAGCCTCACCAACACCTGATAATATCAGCTTTAATTTTTGCCACTCTGGAGGATGGGATATAGAATATCTGTGTGTGTGTGTGTGTGTGTGTGTGTGTGTGTGTGTGTGTGTATTTAACTCCCCAAAAGGAAACAGCATGAGACAGGCCCAATAACAGGCCAAGGAATCCTATAGCAGCAGACCAGATATTGTGCTCCTCGACCCAACCAGTAAATGTTGTAAATGTTTATCTTTGGGGAGAGAAGGGGAAGGGCCCACCCAGCTTCTGTTCTTCTTTCCCTTGGTAACTTACCATCTATGAGTTAGTGAGATGGAGACATCCTAACCATTAATCCAGGGAAAGGGAGGAATCTAAGCCATCAGCAAGGGAGTTAGTGCTTTTCATCAAATTTGAGACACCTGTGACATCACATTTTAGCATCTCTGAAATGTGATCAATTGCATGTCATAATTTAACTGGCAAAATATTTTTTTGATGTGGAGCATAAAATAAGGGCACATAAAAGATTTGGTGGTGCTGTGGTTTGAACATGTCCCCCAAAAGTTCACGTGTTGGAAACGTAATTGCCAATGTAACGGTATTAAGAGGTGGGGTCTTTAAGACGTGACTGGGTCATGAGGGTGTAACTCTCATGAATGGATTAATGCCTTTCTTGCAAGAGTCCATTGGCCAGAACCGTGAGCTGAATAAACATCTGTTGTTTACAATTTACCCAGTCTGTGGTATTCTGTTACAGCAACAGAAAATGGATTAAGACAAATAGCATCTTAGATTTGGTGAGATGTGGCATATTTCCTAAAAAGTGCTGCCAGGATCATCCTTCTAGCACACAGGATCTCATCCTTGTTATTCTCCTGCTTCAAATCTCCTAGCTGAGGCTGGGTTTGGTGCCTCATGCCTATAATCCTAGCACTGTGGGAGGCTGAGGCAGGAGGATCCCTTGAATCCAGGGGTTCAAGACTAGCCTGGCCAACATAGGGAGAGACTGTCTCTAAAATAAAATAAATAAATAAAAATAAAAATAAAAATAAAAACAAACACACCAAAAAAACTCCTACTAGCTGAGGTCAAAACTGCACAGGTGGCCGGGCACGGTGCCTCACGCCTGTAATCCCAGCACTTTGGGAGGCCGAGGTGGGCAGATCATGAGGTCAAGAGATCGAGACCATCCTGGCCAACATGGTGAAACCCAGCCTCTACTAAAAATACAAAAATTAGCCGGGCATGGTGGCACGCGCCTGCAGTCCTAGCTACTCGGGAGGCTGAGGCAGGAGAATCGCTTGAACCCAGGAGGCGGACGTTGCAGTGAGCTGAGATCACGCCACTGCACTCCAGCCTGGGTGACAGAGCGAGACTCTGACTCAAAACAAAAAAAAAAACTGCACAGACATCCTCCCCTGCCCTGCATCCGGCTAGCCCCAACTTACCCATCCAGCCCCAAATCCCTCCTCGTCCTACCTAATTCTCTGGCCATTAGATACACTGAACCAGGAAGACAGCCCCTTCTTCACTCCCCACTCTCCACCCATTCCCTTGTACATGCTCTTCTCTCCAGTCCAGCGCATCCTTGAAGGCTTGAATACAATTTGTCCCCTTATCTGTGAGGTGTTTCCTGTACCCATCCCACCTCTGAGTTGAATGTATCCCTCCTCCTGCAGCTTTGCATATACTGTATTTCTACAATAGCACTATCACAGTGCTTCATACAGTAGCACCCCCCATCCGCTAAAGATACATTCATACAGGAGTCCCCTCAATCCTCAGGAGATGCATTCCAAAACCCCCAGTGGATGTCTGAAACCTGTTTCTCCTACACATACACACTTGTAATAAAGTTTATAAAGTAGGCACAGAAATAGATTAACAATAATAACACAACAGAATAACTATAACAATATACCGTAATAAAAGTTATATGCATGTGGTCTCTCTCTCTCTCAAACTATCTTGTACTGTACTTACCCTTCTTGTGATGAAGGAACAGTGGGAGGGCAAGAGATTTCATCATGCTACTCAGAACAATGCACATCTAAAACTTATGAATTGTTTACTTCTGGAATTTTCTGTTTACTGTCTTTGGGCTGAGGTTGACCATGGGTAACGGAAACCACGGAAAACTAAGCTATGGATAAGTGGCTGTAATTGATATTTTTATCTGTCTTCTCTCCCACCAGAATGTGAACCCAAAGGTCATGCCTCACTGACCTTTTTATCTCCAATATCTGGCACAAAGTAGGGGGTCTGCAAATGTTTGTGAAATGAATGACCTCCTCTAATTCCAGAGCCCTGCCATCTCCATTCTTCCCCCTTTCACTACACACCCCCCTTTCCCACATTAAAATTCTGCTTCAGCAGCAGGCTTCCAGGGCTCTCTTTAGATTAGACATTCTTGCCCACACACATTACCTAGATCTCTCTTGGCCTCCCTCCACACACACACAATTTTGGGGGGAAGAACAAAATTCCATTTCTATAAAGCTGGCAAAATCTAATTCATCCTGATGCCAGCCAATTTATGTTTTTGTCTTCTCAAACCAACTTCCCATTCTCCGTGTCTTTTCTATTCTGATCCTGGGGGGGTCCAAGTCTGAAGTCATTCCAAGAAGCCTCAATACAGACCATGGACTCTCTTCGGGGGTTTGCAGTGTCTTCTGTGGTGGTCACACACAATCTGAGTCCAACCTGTTACTCCCCTGCAGGAAGTGATATCTAAGAAGTCACCCACTGCCTTAGGCCTTCAGTCTCCTTACCTCTTAACAAGGGGAAAATATTTTGCCAAGTTTACCAGGCTATTTGAGGTTGAGGCAAGGTCACATAAGTACGAGTGTCTCATTAGCAAAAAGCTCTATAAAAATACTATGAAAGAGCACAGGAGCCAATGTGAAAAGAGCTCCCAACAGCCAAAGCCACAGTAATTTGAGCAACAAAATTAAGTAGTATTGGATTATAAACCAAAGTATAAAATAAATGTCCCTGAGTCTACACTGAAATTAATGATTGAATAAATTAATAAATTGGGGAGAAGAGAGAAACAAATCTTCCATGCAGAATAACTGCAAACAATAATATGTAGATACTTGCCCTCAAGAAGGGGGAATATAACTCTTGGCTCCCTAGGTATGGGCTGCACTTAGTGACTTCCTTCTAAAGAGGACAATACACGCAAAGAGTGGAAAAGAGACTAACTGTACAGTGGAGAAACCTGAAAAACACTATCTCACCCAAATCAATATTAAGTCATAAATCATGTTAGTACATGCCCTTGATACGATGGGATGATAATGGCAATCTACCTCTGTGGTCTTCCTCCCAGTTACCCATAAGCCCAGTCTTAGGAGAAAAACATCAAATTCCAATAGAGGGGCATCCTACAACATACACGACCAGTATTCTTCAATGCTGTCAAGGTCATCAAAACAAGTCTGAGAAACTCCCACAGCCAAGAGGAGCATAAGGAGACATGACAACTAAATGTAATGTGGTAACCTCCATGGGATCATGAAACAGAAAAAGTACTGAGGTAAAAACTAAGGAAATCTGAACACACTATGGACTTTGGTCAATAATAATGTATTGATATTGGTTAACTGCAACAAATGTACCACACTGAGGTAAGATGTTAATAACAGGGGACCCGGTTTGGAGCATGTGGGAAGTTTGTACTATCTTCTCAATTCTTCTGTAAATCTAAAAGTGTTGTAAGAAATAAAGTCTACTTAAACAATAAAATTGCAATTTTTGAAACATAAAAAGCCTATTTTTTTTAAAGGTGATTTTTTTGAACTTGGGGAAAAACATGTTAGGGATTATGATTTCAGCTAAGAGTTAAAAACAGGAGGTTAAGGCATGCATAAACGAATGTCATTCTCCCCTCTTTTGAAGTACACACAAATCGTGGGTCAAAATTTGAAATCTACTGGAGATTTGGAAGTGTGTCCCTCCCATTTACTCCACAGAGTTAAATTTACACTTTTTTTCTAAGGCCAAATAGGGAGAAAATCAGTAAGAAAAATGCTAATGAGCTGGAAGGAGTGAAAGCACAGCTCCAAGTATTTGTGGCTAAACCGGTTTACTCCGAACAAAAAAAAAAAAAGAAAGAAAGAGAAAGAAAGCATGACACTTTGGTCAGGGAGCTGGATTAGTCGCCTATCTACCAGGCTCCAAGCAACCGGACGGTCATCCAGGCCCCGCTTACTTCTGGTTCCGCAGACTAGAATGGATGGGAGTCTGAGTAGGATACCAGAAAGCGAGAAAGACCCAAGAGGAGGGGGAGAATGTAAGGACAAGCAAACAGGAGGGATCTGGCTGGCAGGGAGGACGCAGCGAACTTGACCCCCTCCTGAGCCCGCCCGGGGGCCTGGCCCCGTTTTGAACCCGGGCCCGGCGGCTGCGTTGGGTCGCCCCAAACCCGGTGAGCGTACGAGACTGTTGCTTCGCTGTATGTCTCATGTGCACCCCCTACTCACCGGTCCCGAGCTCCGGGCCGCGAATCCCGGCCGGCGCCCCTCCTCTCTCACGGCGGTCTGTTCCGGGTCCCGCTCCTGCACGAGCAACCAGCGCGACAGCTCGTCCCCGCCCCGTAATCTCCCGGCTATTCGGGGCCCTTCGCCGAGATTTCTCCCGGACCAGCCCCGGGATTGGCTCCTGCCGAACTTCGCCGTCCAATGGGAACCTTAGTCTCTTTTACGTCACTGATCACCGGGCAAATCCCCAGACAGCCGCGGGCGGTGGGGCACCAGGGGCAGCGAAATGGAAACTGAAATCAGGCGGGACCGAGGCTGCGCCAAGAGCCGCAGCCTGAGTTTGGCGCGTAATTGGGGTGGCCTGTTACACGGTCTAAGGGAGTAAATGCTAAGGCTTAGGAGTCACCTACGTAGGACTCTTGAGAGGGCAATAATCCCCTTTCCACCTCTCGAGACCCCTCACTGCCCAACTCTGGCCTTATGCTGGATCAGGGTCCGAGGGCGCTTTGAGGCGAAGGTGGCGCTCGCCAGGTGCTCAACATTAAATACGAAGTCCCCGTCCCTAACGTGGCCTAAATTTGCTTCCAGGACAAAGCAGGATTTTAGCAAGCAAATACTCTCAGAGACCTATTTACGAAAATTATTACTTCCTAGGTAAAATAACGTTCAACCAGACAGCCATTGTCGCCATTCGACGGAAGGAAAAACTGAGGTTCCAGGAGCTTAAGGGTCTGGGCCCAGTTCAGGGGGGTTGTTTTCGCTCCTCGACGCTGAATTTAGAAACCAGAGGCTACAAAGCGGGCCGAGACTTGGGTTCCCCAGGTCCTTGGTGGGGAGGTTTCCAGGAGGCTCGGGCGCGCCCCCGTCCACGGCCCCGGAAGCTGACGTCGCCGAAGCGTACGCCGCTGCCCAGCCTGCGCTCTCTTCCTGCTCTGCCTGCAGCCGCCGCGTCCGGTCCAGCCGCAGGGCCATGCCCTGTGCTGCGGTTGCCGTGTCCCAGGCGCCGCCGCGTCAAGATCCCCGTCTTTCCCGGCCAGCCAGGCGGCAGCGGCATTCAGCTCGTGCACTGGGCTGGCAGCAGGCTGAGAAGAGGCGGCGCAGGTTCTCCGGGTCAGCCAGTGCCCTGCTCCTAAGGGTAGAGATCTAGCTGGGGACACTGGTCGTCCGCCTAGGCAGTGGTGAGAGGGTGGGCTACAGTTGTTTGGGTATTCATGAATGGAGGAGCTCAGGGTCCTAGACCCTAAAACCTGCTGAATCTTCACCCCTCCTCCGCTGGGGGTAGGGAAATTTGCACTGCATTTAAGCAATGTATAGTGGAGTGGGTGGGACATTCAGAAGAAACCACGCCCACATTTAACACCCGCGTCCTTCCCTTCTACCCCAGCCCAGCATTTTGTCTTTTTCCCCTTTGTCCAGCAGTATAACTCACGCTGCCCCTCCGGGCTGAGAGGAGTGTAGACCTCACCTGCTGAGCACAACTCTGGCGGGCCTGTGCTCTGGAGGTGGTCTCAGCACCTACCTAGACCCTCTTGATACCTGCTTTTTTAGTTGGTGGTGTGGGAAGAAAGTGTGTTTAACATGCTCCTTAAATAATGCTCTGCCGCCGAGCGCGGTGGCTCACGCCTGTAATCTCAGCACTTTGGGAGGCCGAGGTGGGCGGATCACGAGGTCAAGAGATCGAGACCATCCTGGCCAACATGGTGAAACCCCGTCTCTACTAAAAATACAAAAATTAGCCGGGCGTGGTAGCGCGCACCTGTAGTCCCAGCTACTCAGGAGGCTGAGGCAAGAGAATCGCTTGAACCCGGGAGGCGGAGGTTGCAGTGAGCCGAGATCGCCCCACTGCACTCCAGCCTGGGGACGGAGCGAGACTCCGTCTCAAAAAATAATAATAAAATAAAAAATAATGCTGTGCCACTAAGCGTTTTCTCCCTGTCCTGAGGTCTTTGGCCTATTCACAGACCATTCTGGGCAGACTCCAGCCACAAATCCACCACCCCACTTAAAATTCTCTATCCTCTCAGCACACTTAGAGGGGCATGGAAGACTCTTGCAGGGGCTGGGGCTCCTGACATGACAGCTCTGCTTAACTCTCTGACCTCCCTCATGCCACTTCTCCCTCGGTCCCTGTGCTTTCACCTTACACCTGGTCTTGAAACTCCCTGCCCCAGCCCCTTGCATGGCTGCCCGCTTCTTGTCAGTCATGTCTACATCTCAGAAAGGTCTTCCTCCCTCACCCAGTTGAAACCAGTTCCCCATCATGCATTATTCTGTTTCCCTTTCTTCATGCATTTGTTGCCATTTGAAAGCACCTTGTTCATTTCTTTGTCAATGTGTTTATTTTCGATCTTCCTCCCCCTCAGTGTACGCCCCAAGAGAGTTGAGACAACACCTGTCTTCCATGCACATGGCTTCCATGTAAATAAATGTTTGTTAAATGAAATGAGCTCAGTGTGGGCATTTCTTTTTCTTTTTGTAAAAAAATTTTATTATTATTACACTTTAAGTTTTAGGGTACATGTTCACAACGTGCAGGTTTGTTATCATTTAGCATTAGGTATATCTCTCCTAAAGCTATCCCTCCCCCCTCCCCCCACCCCACAACAGCCCCTGGTGTGTGATGTTCCCCTTCTTGTGTCCATGTGTTCTCATTGTTCAATTCCCCAGTGTGGGCATTTCTAAAGCTGCCTGGCCCTGCTTGGCTGGGTATCAGTCATGCACTGAGTCCCTCTCCCACCACACTACATCTTGATTGATACAGCTTCTCAAGTCCAAGTAAGGGTAACAGAAATGGATGCTGGGAACACAATTTCTGCTTTGTGTTGGAGGAGACAGCTTTGGAGCAGCTTTGTAGCTTTGTGCCCCTCTACAGCTTCCTGCTTCATTTAAGGTTCTGAAGCAGAGTTGAAATTCCTTCCTCCAGCTCTCCATTTCTGTGGTCATACCAGATGGAGGCCAAGGCAGCATATGGGGCTGGGTAAGAGTTCTGCGTTGAATTCTCCAGTCTGCCACATTCTGTGAGGCTTTGGGGCAGCTGCTCAACCTCTGTGTGCCACAGGTTCTTCTTCTGTAACATGGAAGTAGCTAGATCTGCTTCGTACGGTTATTATGAGGCTTAAATGTAAAGCTTTGAAATAGTGAATCAGTGCTGACTAGGCCAAAGGGTATGGTATAATTATTTGCATTTGAAATAAATATCTTAAATGGAGCAAGAAGATTTAGTAGGTATATTCCTTGAGCAGCTCTGGTTTAACCTCAGGAGGAACTAAAGGCCGCTGTCTAAAAATGAGTTTGTATATGACAGGGTACAGGAAATGCCACCCCAAAATATGGCACCTTGGAAATTGAGAAAATAGCAGAAACAGGAAGGTTTCTCTGACCTCTTGCTCCTTTCTGCCCTGAAGCAGGCCATAGAAACTAGAGTTCCCCTCGCCCCTTCTTCCCTGAAGCAGGCCACAAAATCTAGGAAGGTCACTCTCTGACCTGCTCCCTCCTTCTCCCTCCTTCATCTGAGGCCCCTTATATAACAGGCATCCTCTCCTATGCCCTGAGGGAGGGACTGCCACACAGGTATGCCAAGAAGAAACTGAATAGACAGGCCTTTCCAACTTCTCAGTTTATCACCGTTAGCTCATACACTTTTGTCCTTGCAATCATACATCTGCCTGACTGTCTATACAACTACACAAATGTCCCCATTTCTTTGGGTTTTCGTTTCTGAAAGTTCCCATGTCATGTAAAACTTGGATAAAATAAATGTGCATGCTTTTCTCTTGTTAGTCTGTTTTTTGTTATTGAAGTCTCAGCATAAACCTTGTGATGGGTAAGGAAAATATATTAGTTTTTTTCCCCTAAGTTTAGTATAAACATATTGAGCTAAATCATACCATTCAGAATCTCAGGATTTTAAGAATACTAGAGTGCTTGGAAAGAGGCCTCCAAACAAAAAACAAACAAACAAACAAACAAAAACTTGAAAACATGAAACTCCCATTGGTAAAGATGCAAATAATCTGTTTGAATCTTTTGTGTGAAGGATACCTTGGTATTAGGGCCAGAATGAATAAATGAATATCTGTAAAGGAAAAGGTAAAAGTTACATCAATGAAACAATTTTAAGCCAACATTTCTGTTTTCTGGTAGAGGCATAAGCTAATAAATAACTTTTGTGCTACTAAAATCTGCCTGCTTTTGTGCTAAGAACTGGCTGCAGGATAAAAAATAACAGGTTTAACTGTCCTTTTTAAAAGGAAAAAAAGGCATTTTGAATGCTAATAGCATTAACTACTGGGTTTTGAACAGAAAGCGTAGGCTGAACCAATCTCTTATATGACTTGGGATGTCATTTAAAATACTTTGTATTCCAAATTTGGTGACTTTTAAATGTCTATTAGCTCAAAAGTTAGTGAAAATATATTGTATAATATATAATGACAAATTCAACTTAAAAAAAAATTTTTTTTTTTTTTTTGAAACAGGGTCTCACTCTGTCACCCAGGCTAGAGTGCAATGGTGCAATCATGGCTCACTACAGCCTCGACCTCCTGAGCTAATGCAATTCTCCCACCTCAGCCTCCTGAGTAGCTGGGACAGATGTGTGCCACCATGCCCGGCTAATTTTTGTATTTTTTGTACAGACAAGGTCTGGCCATGTTGCCCAGGCTGGTCTCAAACTTCTGGACCCAAGCAATCCTCCTGCCTTGGCCTCCCAAAGTGCTGGGATTACAGGCTTGATACAACGCGCCCGGCCGACACTGTAGCATTTTCTAATAGGCCTACGTAAAAATTATCTAATTCTCTAGGGTAGTTTAACTTTGATTTAGTATTTTAGGGTATTTAGAGTACTCCTTAGGGGTAGACATTAACTTGTAGAAAAGTGATATCAATGGAAATGATTCTTGGTCAATAGCAATGTCAATGAATTTTGTTCAGTGGAGGTATAGAAGATGTATGTCCAGTGTATGTATATTCAATCTTCCAAATTCTCTTTGAACTAGTTCTTTTTTTACTAGTCTCTTGTTAGTACATCTTTGATACATGCTCACTTTGTATAGGATACTGTCATTGACTTTTAAAAATTATATTTTGGCAATACATTGCATTTTATTATTATGTCTCTTAATCTTATTATAACAATCTACCCTTCCCTTATTTTCATTCCATTAATTTGCTGGAGAAGCCAGTTCATTTATCCCATAGAATGTTCCCAGTACTGGATTTGGTTGATTGCTTCCTCATGGTATCAATTAACTTGTTCCTCTATTTCCTGTGTATCTTAGATAAGATTCATAAGATAATAAAGGATGCTATGTAGTCATCTCTCATTCTAAGCAATCAAACATTTTCAATATCTTTCACCATATGTCCCTAACCCAGATACTACTAGTCCGTCTCTCTCTGCTATAGAGGTAAGCATCACTCTGCATTTCTGTGATAATCATTCCTTAGCTTTTATTTTTATTTACTTAAAAGGCTTTATCAGATTTGGGGTTTTTGTTTGTTTGTTTTTGAGATGGAGTCTCGCTGTCATCCAGGCTGGAATGCAGTGGCGCGATCTCGGGTCACTGCAACCTCTGCCTCCTGGGTTCAAGTGATTCTCCTGCCTCAGTCTCCTGAGTAGCTAAGATTACAGGTGCCCGCCGCTATGCCAGGCTAATTTTTGTATTTTTAGTAGAAACGGGGTTTCACAATGTTGGACCAGGCTGGTCTCAAACTCCTGACCTCAGGTGACTCGCCCGTTTCGGCCTCCCAAAGTGCTGGGATTGCAGGCGTAAGCCACCGCTCCCGGCTGGGTTCAATTTTTTAAGGAGAATACTTCAAAAGCAGTGCTGTGTACCTATGGTATCACATTTAGAGGTATATGATCTCATCCCACTATTAGTGATGGTAGATTTGATGGAAGATTCAGGTATTGTCAGCCTGATCCCTCCATTCCCCAGTTTGTGAGTTATGGATTTACTGCCTCTCAGCTCCAAAAATGATCCTGAATCTTTTAATTATGTTTTCTTTGCCATCTGGCCCTGAAGCTTTGTCAGTAGAGGGCACTGGAGAGTCATTGCAGGGAAAAACGATTTTGCTTCCAGGTTCTGGTGTGCTGTTTGCCAGGTTCCTGCAGTGAGTGCATGGTTTAGCAGCACCTGCTCCTGCAGCACCCAAAACTTACCTAGTGTCCAGTTACTTCAGTCACAGTCAGCAACACCCAGCAGTGAGCAGCTTCCTTAGGCACCCCTCCTGAAGGGGTTTTATACTGGAGTGTCTCTGGTATGAACAGCTTTTGCCTGCACCCTAGAGAGTGGGTTTCCAGCAAGTTCTGCCATAGCAGAACCACCTTGATGTCTCTACTCTCCCTGACAAGGCTAGATCCCATCCTCTCTTGTTTTCTCAAAAATGGACTAACCATCTATAAATATCTACTCTCCTGCTTCAGCAAATTTTTTTTACCGTTTCACTGAATTATTCTCATGAGCATACAAACATGTTATAATATATCGCTTTAAAAACCAAAACAAGACAAACTCCTTGATACCATAAGTTTTTTTGTTTTTGTTTTTGTTTTGTAGAGTTTTGCTCTTGTTACCCAGGCTGGAAAGCAATGGCACGATCTCAGCTCACTGCAACCTCCGCCTCTGGGTTTCAAGTGATTCTCCTGCTTCAGCCTCCCCAGTAGCTGGGATTGCAGGCGCCCCCCACCACCACTCCCGGCTAATTTTGTATTTTTAGTAGAGACGGGGTTTCACCATGTTGGCCAGGCTGGTCTTGAACTCCTGTCCTCAGGTGATCCACCACCCCCCTCCCCGCCCCACCTCGGCCTCCCAAAGTGCTGGGATTACAGGCGTGAGCCACTGCGCCTGGCCAGTAACATAAGTTTTTAAAAGGTTTTTGCTTCAGGTACTCTCCTATTTTCCTGCTCCACATTTACAGCAAAATTAGAAAATATTGTCTGTACCTGCCCTCTGTTTCCTTTTCTCTCCTTCTTTAATCAAAAACTGTGAAATATATATTCAAAAGTGTACATATAATCCATATACACATTTTAAAGTATTGATGAGATAATAAAGGATGTTATGTAATCATCTGTCACTCTAAGCAATCGAATATTTCCAATATCTTTTATTATGTGCTCCTAACCAATAGATCACTCTCCCTCTCTCTTTGCTAGAGCTGCATTTTTTTGTGATAATCATTCCCTAGCTTTTATTTTTATTTTTATTTTTTGAGACAGAATCTCGCTCTGTCACCCAGGCTGGAGTGCAGTGGCGCAATCTCGGCTCACTGCAACCTCCGCCTCCTGGGTTCAAGCGATTCTCCTGCCTCAGCCTCCTGAGTAGCTGGGACTACAGGCACGTGCCACCACTCCCAGCAAATTTTTTTGTATTTTTAGTAGAGACAGGGTTTCACCGTGTTAGCCAGGATGGTCTCAATCTCCTGACTTCGTGATCCGCCCCATCAGCCTCCCAAAGTGCTGGGATTACAGGCGTGAGCCACCGCACCCAGCTTTTATTTTTATTTTTAAGAGATTAGGTTTCAGTCAGTCATCCAGGCTGGAGTGCAGTGGCACAATTATAGCTCACTGCAGCATGTGAACTCCCGAGCCCAAGGGATCTTCCCACCTCAGCTACAGGCTCATACCACCACACCTAGTGAGCTTTTCTTTTCGTTTGGTTTCACTTCTTTTTCTTTCCTTTTTTCTTTTTTTTTTTTTTTGAGACAGAATTCCGCTCTTGTCACCCAGGCTGGAGTGCAATGGCGTGATCTCTGCTCACTGTAGCCTCCGTCTTCCAGGTTCAAACAATTCTCCTGCCTCAGCCTCCCAAGGTAGCTGGGATTACAGGTGCCCGCCACCACGCCCAGCTAATATTTTTGTATTTTTAGTTGAGACGGGGTTTCACCATGTTGGCCAGGCTAGTCTTGAACTCCTGACCTCAGGTGATCCACTTACCTCAGCCTCCCAAAGTGCTGGTATTACAGGTGTGAGCCACCGCGCCCGGTCCCAGTGAACTTTTCTTCTTATTATTATTTTTGTAGAGATGGTGTCTAGCTATGTCGCCCAGGCTTGTCTCAAACTCCTGGCCTCAAGCAATCCTACTGCCTCAACCTCCCATAGTTCTAGGATTAAAGACAAGCCACCACACCGGCCATCCTAGCTTTTCTTTTTATTTATTTATTTATTTATTTTTTATTTTTTAGTGTTTATTGATCATTCTTGGGTGTTTCTCGGAAAGGGGGATGTGGCAGGGTCATAGGATAATAGTGGAGAGAAGGTCAGCAGATAAACACGTGAACAAAGGTCTCTGGCTTTCCTAGGCAGAGGTCCCTGCAGCCTTCCACAGTGTTTGTGTCCCTGGGTACTTGAGATTAGGGAGTGGTGATGACTCTTAACGAGCATGCTGCCTTCAAGCATCTGTTTAACAGCACATCTTGCACCGACCTTAATCCATTTAACCCTGAGTGGACACAGCACATGTTTCAGAGAGCGCGGGGCCGGGGGTAAGGTTATAGATTAACAGCATCCCAAGGCAGAAGAATTTTTCTCAGTACAGAACAAAATGGAGTCTCCTGTGTCTACTTCTTTCTACACAGACATAGTAACAATCTGATCTCTCTTTCTTTTCCCCACATTTCCCCCTTTTCTTTTCCACAAAACTGCCATTGTCATCATGGCCCATTCTCGATGGTCGCTGTCTCTTCGGAGCTGTTGGGTACACCTCCCAGACGGGGCAGCCGGGCAGAGGCGCTCCTCACTTCCCAGACGGGGCGGGTGGGCAGAGGCGCTCCTCACATCCCAGACGATGGGCGGCCAGGCAGAGATGCTCCTCACTTCCCAGACGGGGCAGCTGCCAGGCAGAGGCGCTCCTCACTTCTCAGATGGGGCGGCTGGGCAGAGGCGCTCCTCAGTTCCCAGACGGAGTGGCGGCCGGGCAGAGGCGCTCCTCACATCCCAGACGGGGCGGCCGGGCAGAGGAGCTCCCCACTTCCTAGATGGGGTGGCAGCCAGGCAGAGGCTGTAATCTTAGCACTTTCGGAGGCCAAGGCAGGAGGCTGGGAGGTGGAGGTTGTAGCGAGCTGAGATCATGCCACTGCACTCCAGCCTGGGCAACATTGAGCACTGAGTGAGCGAGACTCCGTCTGCAATCCCAGCACCTCGGGAGGCCAAGGCGGGCAGATCACTCGAGGTCAAGAGCTGGAGACCAGCCCGGTCAACACGGCGAAACTCCGTCTCCACCAAAAATACAAAAACCAGTCAGGCATTGCAGCGCATGCCTGCAATCCCAGGCACTCGGCAGGTCAAGGCAGGAGAATCACGGGAGCCCAAGGCAGGGAGGTTGCAGCAAGCTGAGATCACGGCAGTACAGTCCAGCCTCTGCAACAGAGGGAGATCCAAGGGAAAGGGGGAGAGGGAGAGGGAGAGGCCAAGGCCTAGCTTTTCTTTATACTTCCTTGATACATGTATGTATCCCTAAACAGGATATTGTCTAGTTTTGCCTATTTTTAAACTTTGTATACGTGGAATTGTAATGTATGTGTTCTTCTGTGACTTGTCTTTATTTTTGAGATTCACCATCTTGATGCATATAGCTTTGGCTTGTTCATTTTCACTGCTGTGTGGTATTCCAAATTTGAAAGTCCCATGTTTTTTTCTTCTCCATTTTACTATTCTTAGAACTTGGTTTGTCTTCATAGTTTTGCTGTTATGACCAATGATGCTATGAACATTCTCATACATGTACCCTGGCACATACCTGCAAGACTTTTTAGAATATGTAACTAGTAATGAAATTTCTGAGTCTTAGAATGTGGTTGCAGTATATATAGTGTTACTTTGTGAGGGGAGACTATTTCCCAGGGGTTGTATAATCTACATTCCCTTTAGTGGCAGATGAAATTCCCATTAAACCACATCTGCAACTTCACTTGGAATTGTCAGACTTTTGACTTTTTGCCATTTTGATGTGTGTGAAATGTTATCGCATTTGGTTTTAATGTGCATTTTCCTAATTATTAATGAAGCTGAGCATTTTTCTTTTCTTTCTTTTTTCCTTTTTTTTTTTTTTGGCCAGTTGTATTTCTCTTTCTGTATAGTGTCTTTTATGTTTTTTATACTTTCTTCTATTGGCTATTTTTAGTTTTCTTTTGGATTTGTTACCAAAATGCCAAGGGTTTGGTCTAGGTTGCTCACTGCACAGTAAGCCAATCACTGAGACAACAAGTATTGTGAGGGAAGAAGGCTTTATTCAGGTGTTGCAACCGAGGAGATTGGAGATCAGTCTTAACTCTGTCTCCTCTTTTCAACAGATTAAAATTAAGGGTTTATAGAGCAGGGAAGAAAGGTAACTACATATGGGAAAACAGGAATTAGGGAGGGGAAAGGAAGAGGAGTTGGTCAACAGGCAGCCTGGGGTCAGTTAGGCAGTCATGAAGGGTGAGGGGTCTGGTGTCTTAGCAGATGCAGTGAAAGGTAAGTTTCAGTTTCCTGATACTACCAGGGAGCCCTGATCGTCAATTTCCTGAGAAAGGAACTCAGATAAGACAAATGTAAGTTTCTCAAGTTTTAAGACTTGTAGGGTAAATTTCTATGTTTATTAAAAGAAAAAAAAACATAATCAGTCCTATGGGACAAATGGGTTGGTTTCAGATTTATGGGAAATATTTGTTTTTTGTATATTCTGGACACTAATTCCTTGTTGGTTATATGTGTTACAAACATCTTCTTGGAGTTTCTGGCTTGTTGTTTCTCTCTCTTTATGTCATCTTTTGAGAAGAGAGAAGCATTTGTTTTTTCATTCTAAAGTAGCTAAACGTATCAATCTTTATGTTTTGGACTCTTGGTCTAGTTTAATAAGTCCTACCTTGTCTTGAGATTACAAAGATAATCTATATTATTGACTAAATATTTTTCAGTTTAGCTGCTATAGACTGAATGCTTGTGTCCCTCCTAAAATTCACATGTTAAAACCTAATCCTCAGTGTGATGGTATTTGGAGGTGGGGCCTTTGGGAGGTGATTAGGTCATGAGATCAGAGCACTACTGAATGGGATTTGTGCCCTTATGACAGAGACCCCAAAGAGCTCCCTTGTCTCTTCCACCATGTGAAGACACAATGAGAAGTTAGCAGTCTGCAACCCAGAAGAGAACATTCATCTGAAACTGACTGTGCACCCTGAGCTCAGACTTCCCCTACCTCTAGAACTATGAGAAATAAGTGGTTGTTATTTAAGCCACCCAGTCTATGGTATTTTTGTCATAGAGGCCTGAACAACTGAGACATTTGCCTTTCATATGTAAATCTTTATATATCTGGAATTAATTTTTGTGTTTAGAGCAAAATATATATTTGTTTCCCCTTTTTTCCATATGGTTAACTAATTATCTCAGTGTCATCTAATGCACAGCCTCTAATTTTCCCCACTGTTTTACACTGCAAGCTCTGTCATATGTTATATATCCATCCATGCCTTCACCAATACTCATTGAGCATCTACTTTATGCTAAGTGCTCTTCTGGGTCCTGGGAATAAAGCAGTGACAAAACAGACAAAAATCCCAGTGGAGCTTGTGTTCTGTTGGAGGAAGGCAAACCACGAACAAAGTAATAAAAAATTTGTAATACTCCGGATGCAGTGGCTCACACTTGTAATCCCAGCACTTTGGGAGGCCGAGGCGGGTGGATCACGAGGTCAGGAGATCAAGACCATCCTGGCTAACATGGTGAAACACTGTCTCTACTAAAAATACAAAAAATTGGCTGAGCGTGGTGGCACACACTTGTAGTCCCAGGTACTTGGGAGGCTGAGGCAGGAGAATCGCTTGAACCTGGGAGGCAGAGGTTGCAGTGAGCCAAGATCCTGCCACTGCACTCCAGCCTGGGCGACAGAGCAAGATTCAGTCTCAAAAAAAAAAATTTGTAATATTAGATGGTGGTAGGTACTATGAATTAACACAAACCAAGAAGGGGAACAGGGAGTGGGGAGAAAATATTACAATTTTAAATAGGGAGGTTAGAGAAGTCCTTACAGAGAAAGTGATATTTCAGCAAATGCCTGAAAGAGGTTAGAGAGCCAGCTTTGAGAATATCTGAGAGAAATGTGTTCTAGGCAACGGGAAGAGTCTGCACAAAGGCCTTGAGGCAGAAGCATGCCTAGCAAGTATAAGGAGCAGTAGGGATGCCAGTGTGTCTGGACCAGAGTGAAGGAGGGGTGAAGTGCAGGACATGAGGTCATCAGGTGAAGTGCAGGACATTAGCTCAACAGAAGTGAGCGGGTCCAGGCTGGGTAGGACCATGTGGCCCATTCTAAGGACTTTGATTCTACTTTGAGTGAGATGGATGGCACTAAAAGGACAAAGGACTGATAGGCTCTGACTATAGGCTTTAACTCATGTTTTAATTTCTCTGGCTCCTCTGTTGAAAATAGAACCAAGGAAGCAAGAATGGAGGTAGCAACATCTGTCAGAAGGCCATTGAAATAAACTAGGCAAGTGATGATGGGGGTTGTGGGAAATAGTCAAGTTCAGAATACATTTGAAGATAGAATTAACACAATTAGGTATGGTGTGATAGGAACAATAGAGACAAGGATTATGCCCAGGTGTTTGGCTTAAGCAACTGGAAGGATGCTGAGATGGGAAAGACTTGATAGAGGGTAGGGGCGTGGGCAGGGACAGACCAGGGGAGAGGATTTGGATCTGATTTTGGATATGCTAATTTTGAGATGTCTATTAGACATGCAAAATGTAGACCAGACTCTCGACTCATTTAAACTACTATTAGTGGCTAGCCTTTTCTTTTACCTTCCAGATTTCTGGGCAACACTCCACTCTTCCTGATGCACACTCTTGCGTTGCAGCCTGGGACTCTACATTTCAAGCAAGATATTCTTACACATAACAAAGCTTGAAAAGCATTGCTTTAAGCTTTCCTTTGTCTCTCCAAGTACCTCCAAATGTGTATTTAATGCTTTTATAATCAGAAAAGTGTTACAAAATCAAATACCCAAAAAAAATTCCCTATTTTCCCAGCATACCATACAACTACTTTCTACAGAGTTTCCAACATTTTGCAGTAAAATCATTGTTCACAATTTTTTTGGGTCACAGTTTTTGGCAAATGAAGCATGGTATAGGATGCCTGGGACTGTGGAGTTTCCCAGGACACAGGACTTTCCACGCAAAACCAGAAAGGTTCCGGACAAACCAAGAAGAGTTCTTCACCCCAGACGTGTGAAACCAGTGGCAAAGTGCCTGCTTTAGGGAAGGCAGCATGGGACAGTGAATCAGAGTGGACACTGAACCTGGGTCCATTTGTGGAAGGTGGTCCTGTTACAGGAAAGAGGTCCCAATCCAGACCCCAAGAGAGGGTTCTTGGATCTCGTGCAAGAAAGAATTCAGGGCAAGTCTGCTGGAGTGCACAGCAAAAGCAAGTTCAGTGGTGAAAGAAGAGCTACCCCATAGACAGAGTAGGGCATTCCAGAAAGTAAGAGGAGGAACGCGTCCACCCTAGGTACAATGCTTATATATATATCTTTATATATATATCATATATATATATGATAAAAGAAGATCATGGGAAGATGTGCTCTGCTACAAGAGTTTGTGATAAAGGATTAATTTCCTTAATTACTATGTTTTGCAAGAATCAATATTATTATCTTTAAAGCAAAATTAGAAGTGCCTTTGTTCTCCAGGTGTCAGGATTATCTGGACATTGCTAAATCTGGGTCAGTTTAGTAAACTTTTTTTTTTTTTTGAGACAGAGTCTCCCTCTGTTGCCCAGGCCAGAGTGCAATGGCACAATCTTGGCTCACTGCAACCTCCGCCTCCTGGGTTCAAGCGATTCTTCTGCCTCCATTTCCCGAGTAGTCGGGACAGGCACATGTCACCACACCCAGCTAATTTTTGTATTTTTAGTAGAGACGGGTTTCACGATATTGGCCAGGCAGGTCTCGAACTCCTGACCTTGTGATCCACCCACCTTGGCCTCCTGAAGTGCTGGGATTACAGGTGTGAGCCACCTTTCCTGGCCTAGTAAATATTATTAATCTATTCCCTTAACCATAAATGTCTAGAGGCTAGGAATACCTATATTTCTGGAAATGCACCCCGCCAAGTTGCAGCCTCATTTTCCTAGCTCTCACTCAAAATGGCGTCGCTCTGGTTGGAATGCCTCTGACAGTCTTTATGAATGATAAAAGAGTGTAGTCAATCATAAAGCTCTGACTCACTCCCAGTTTGCCCTTTCCTTCCTAGAGAATGTCTTTCAGGCTCTTCCTCCCCTCAGAAGCTTTCAACATCCACTCCATTCCCCTAAACTGGGGACCGAGGACATTGCAGCTTCTTTGGTGCTTCTAGGGACCAGAACATAGCTTCTTTTAGTTATGGATTAGGTTTTTATTGCTGCTGTAACAAATTACCACAAACTTAGCTGTTTAAACAACACGAATGTATTCTCTTACACTTCTGCAATGTCGTTGGTGGGCCAGATTCAGATTCTGGGCCACACAAAAGAATTTGAGAGTGAGTCCAAAATAAGACTAGGCAAAGGAGTTTATTGCAAAGTGAAAGTACACTCTGAGAGGCAGAGTGGGCTGCTCAAAGCTAGCTCAAAGCTAGAGGCAGTAGTTAGTGCCTTAAGGGGAATTTCCTTTGTGGAAACTGTACATACATATTAATAAAATACTGGTGAGATCAAGTAAGCAAAGGCAGACCTGTGGTTAGCACATGAGCTACTTGGTCTAACACGCATCCCATGTATCATTAGCGTATAAAATCCCCACGTGGTGGTGTGTTTTTTGCTATTACAATGAGGAAAAGGTCACCATAAGCTAAACCTTGAGCCTAGCTGTGTATGCAAGACCCTGGAGAATTTCCCAGTCACACCTCCACCCACCCCAACCAAGGCAGGAATTTGTAGCTAATAGCTTCTTGGGCTTTTGGTGCTGATTGGCTGGAGATGGGTAGCTACATCATGAACAAAGGGCTTTCGTTCTCTTTCCCAGGCTGTATAGGGTATCAAGAACTTGTAACCACCTGGCAGAATCCTGCAGGACTGCTTGTCTTGCAAAAGACTTCAGTGCTGATGCAGGAGGGTGCAAGTGAAAAGAATTCACTGTAAAAGGAGCCGTGGGGCTTCACACATGGGACAAGTTAGTATGGCCTCCTAACCTTACTTATCTTGCCTCAGTAGGTCAGAGGTCTGAAACAAGTCTCAATGGGCTAAAATCAAGTTGTTAGTGTGGTTGCATCTCTTTTTGAAGGCTTTAGGGGAAAATTTGTTTTCTGTTCATTCTGGTTGCTTGCAGAACTCAATTCCTTGTAGTTGGAGGACTAGGTTCCTGTCTTTTTACTGGCTTTAAACAGAGCTGTTAACAGCTCAAAGGGCTGTAGAATTCCTTGGCTCATAGCCTCTTTTCTCTGTATTCAAATCCAACAACAGTTGGTTATGTCCATCTCATGTCCTATCTCTCTGAGCTACATTCTGCTTCTTCTTCTTTCCACTTTTATTAAAGATTGGTGTGATTAGATTGGACCTCATACGGCCTAATAACCTCCCTTTTTACAAAGTCAACTGATTAGCAACCTTAATTCTCTTTTGCCGTATAACATAATATAGTCAGGTTCTAGGGATTAGGACATGGACATCTTGGGGATAGGGACATTCTTCTGCCTTCTACAAGTTATATGGGATATATTGAACCTCTAATATGTGCCAGGTGCTATCATAGGTTCTGGTGATACAGTAATGAACCAAACAAAGGCCCCAACCTTCATGAGCTTATGTCTCAGTGAAATCCCATATGCAATACTATGAATGTATCTCTTTGTTTATTTTTTAGTACACCTTAAAAATAGCTTTATTGAGTCCAACTGATATTCAATAAACTGCACATATTTATGTTTTTCATGCTCTCTCAAGATGTGGAACAAAAAAATAGCACACATATTTTTGTACCTGCCTGGCAAAAATTCCCAAAGCTTTGCTTAATTCTATTCAGGTTGTTGAACAAAATTTACATTAGCAACAAATACCAGGGAATGAAAATAATGCACTTTTGTTGATAAAGTAACAGATTTTGCCTGGTTGTCTTTGGAGCCGTCATGCTCTGTGTGTGTTTCTGCTTCCAGATTTCTTTTTTTTTCTCTCCAACTTTTATTTTAGGTTCAGGGGTACATATGCAGGTTTGTTACATGAATAAATTGTGTGTCACAGGCGTTTGTTGTACAGATTATTTCATCACCCAGGTAATAAGCGTAGTACCTGATGGGTAGTTTTTTGATCCTCACCCTCCTTCCACCCTCCATCCTCAAATAGACCTCAATGTCTATTGTTCCCTTCTTGGTGTCCTTGTATACTCAATGTTTAGCTCCCACTTATAAGTGAGAACATGTGATGTTTGGTTTTCTCTTCCTACATTAATTTACTTAGGATAATGGCCCTCCAGTTCCATCCATATTGCTGCAAAGGACACGATCTCATTCTTTTTTATGGCTGCATAGTATTCCATGGTGTATATGTACTACATTTTCTTTATTCAGTCTACAGTTGATGGGCAGTTAAGTTGGTTCCACGTCTTCACTATCGTAACTAGTAAACTGCATGTATTTAAAGTATATAATCTGATGAGTTTTGACATAGGAATCCACCTGTGAAATCATCACCACAATTAAAATAATGAATATATCTGTCACCCCCCATAGCTTTTCCCTGCTCCTTTGAATTCAACCCATCCTATAATCCATCCCCAGGCAAATACTGGTCTGCTTTCTGTCACTATAGGTTGGCTTCCTTTTTTAGAATTTTACATAAATGAACTCATAATATGTACTCTATTTTTGTCTAGATTCTTTCATCCAGCATAATTATTTTGTGATTAATCTATGTTGTTGAGTGTATAAATAGTCCATTCCTTTTTATTGCTATATAGTAGTTTATTGTATGGATGTACTACAATGTGTCTATTCATTCAAATGTTGATGGAAATTTAGATTGTTTCCAGTGTTGCCTGCTTCTTGTTGCATTTAGCAAAATATTATAAGAAAGTGCAAACTCAGGCAAGAAATGACCAGATTGCAAGCAGAGATTGAAGGAAATAGAGTCCAGAGATGTGAGTCTTTACAAGATTGAGAAATGCTTTTATATTTCAGATAACAGGAAATATGGCTTTAGTTGCTTGTGTTAGGCCAAATAATGACTGTCCCCCCACCAAAATGTCCACATTCTAGTCCCCAGAATCTGTGAATATGTTACCGTACATGGCAAAAGGGACTTTGCAAATGCAATTAAGGACCTTGAGATGAGGAGATCATCCTGAATTATTCCAGTGGGCCCAATTTAATCACATGAGTCATTAAAAGCAGAAGATCTTTCCCAGCTGCAGTAAGAGAGAGACATGTGATGATGGGACAAAGGGTCAGAGAGATGTGTTATATTGCTGATTTTGAAGGTGGAGAAACAGGGCCATAAGCCAAAGAATGCCAGCAACCTCTAGAAGCTGAAAAAGGCAAGAACACAGATTCTCCCTGTGAGCCTCTAGAAGTAATGTGGTCCTACTGATACCTTGATTTTAGCTTAGCGAAACTAGTGTTGGTTTTCTGACTTACAGAACTGTAAGTTCATAAATTTCTATTATAAATATATAATATATATTATATTATCATAAATTTATATTTATAGATTATACATTTATATTTAAGCAACTAAGTTTGTGGTAATTTGTTAAATCAGTGATAAAAAACTAATACCTTCCTCTAAGCTTTTCCCAAAGGCCTTGTATTAAGGCAAACAGAAGGACAGACGCCTAAGGAAACAATTAGATTAAAGGAGTTTTCTTCCCACTCAAAGTTGTTACCATTAAATTAAGAGTGACATGAGTCATTCAACAGAGCTTAGAACAAAAGATTTCAGAATCAGACCTAGAAAAGAACTTTGGTTGTGGTCATTGATGCATGAAACAAATAAACAAGAAGCCCTTTTAGTTTTTGAAGAAATTATATTCCCAAGGAAGCCATAAAGCCTAACATAAAAAAGCCTGTGGTTAAGCTTAAAATAACTCATAGGCCCTCAAATTGCAACCACAGAAGTCAGGCTGCAAAATCTGTACGGGGCAATCCTAAGAAATGAGTACTCCTCACTTCTTCTTATATTGGCTATGGTAGATAATGGAGAAGAAAGAATCTTCCAGAAAGCAAAGCCAGTGGTCAGGATGACAAACAAAGGAGTTCCTCCCACAGAGAGGACCAGTGATAGTCAGATGGACTAAGCTTGGAACTTACTCCATTGAGAGGGCAAGGATAATTTAGGATTCCTACCCAGTAAGATTTAATCATTGCTGTGGGCCAATGATTGTGTGTTTCTGTTTTTTAAATAAGAGTTTCTTTTGCCATTATCCTGTTCTCACTTCACCATTGTATATTATCTGTGTTTACGTGGTAGAGAGTGATAATTTAGATTTTATTACTTTATGGGTCACTGGGCCATGAGGACTCAAGTGTATATCCAATAGAAAACTGCATGTCACCTAAAGATCCTGGATTTTGAGCTGGATGTCATAACTGGATGAGATATTTCCCTAGGGGGTGAGGTGAGTTTTTTCTAAATGTGAAAAGTAGAGTATATGTGGATTATTGGTGACCATTGCTGGTCTGTGTAATGACTTCTAACTGACCACAAAATCCATTTTCCTTCTCTCAAACAAATAAAGTATAGCTGAGACCTGGCCGGACCACATTTCCTAGCCCTCTTTGCAGTTAGATGTAGCCATGTGACTAGGGTCTTGACAAAGGAATATAAGTTGTGATAAATGAAACAGTCACCTCACAGATTAAAGAGACCTTGAACTTCAGCCCTTCTTGAAACCCTTCATCATTGGTTGAAGCAAATTGATCTTGTAATCACATGTTGAAGATAGAAGAACTTCTAATAGCATGCATCCCTAAGTGACTTCATAGAGTACAACCACTCACCATCTTGATAAACCTACCCAGGACTGTTGAGATGGAAATAAACTATTTTGTTTGAGTCATCTCATTTACAGTTTTCTCCATTATTACAGTTTTGTTTTCTACCCTAACATGCAGAATAAAATAGCTATAGGAAGAAGTAAATAGTTTTCATGTATCCAAATCAACATTTAGGTAGAAGATATAACAGAAGAAAAGATACTATTTATAATATCAACAAAAAGATAAAATACTCTGGAATGAACTTACTTTGAAATGTGTGATACCTATATGTAACAAACACTTAAATACTTTAAAAACCTGAAATATTTCTCGAATACATACATTGATCATCATAAAGTTATCATCCCTCCGGGCTAATCTTAATTTAACTTGTAAAAAATAAAAATACCAGAGGTGTTCTTTTTTTTTTTTGAGACAGAGTTTCACTCTTGTTGCCCAGGCTGGAGAGCAACGGCACAATCTCAGCTCACTGCAACCTCTGTCTCCCGGGCTCAAGCGATTCTCCTGCCTCAGCCTCCTGAGTAGCTGCGATTACAGGCACACACCACCACCCCAGCTATTTTTTGTATTTTAGTAGAGATGGGGTTTCACCATGTTGACCAAGCTGGTCTCGAATTCATGACCTCAGGTGATCCTCCCTCCTCAGCCTCCCAAAGTGTTGGGATTACAGGCGTGAGCCACCGTGCCCAGCCAGGTGTTCTTTTTAACTAGATAAACTGATTCAAAGATTCATATGAAAAATAAAGAAAGAATACCAACTAAACCTCAGACAAGGGGAGCTTGAGAAAAACTGGCTTTGCCAAATATGAAAACATTCTAAAGCCTCAATAACGAAAAGAATGTGATGTTGGTACATAAACAGACAGATCAATGAAAAATAAAAGGAAATCTAGAAATAGACCCAAGCATACAGTAATTTAGTGGATGATAAAAATGGGATCTCAGATCAGTGGAAAAGATAGATGACCATTCAATAAATGCTTTTGAGATAACTGGATAACTACATGGGAAATAATATTTAAAGTTGGGCACAATTCCAACTGTATAGCATGATAAACTCCAAATGGGTCAAAGTTTTCAATGAAAAAAAGGAAATATTCCTTTCTAACTTTGGAGGAGGGCTATCTAACTGTAACTCCAAATCGTAAAAGCCATAGGACAGAAAATTAATAAACTGAACTACATAAAATAAAAAGCAGTTCCGAGTAGCAGAAAATATCATAAAAAATCAAAAGACAAATGAAAAACTTATAGAAATATTTTCATGCATATCACATCCAAAGAAATGACCTCTTTAGCAATTAAAATGCACCTTAAAATTGAGAAGAAAGAGACTAGCAATCTCTGAAAGAAAAAGTAAAAAGAATTTTAACAGACAATTGTTGTTGAAATTCTGTCTGCTGAAATCCTTTTTCCTTTTTTCTGTCTCGGGAACTGTGAAGAAACTCAGAAAAGGAAACAAAAATAGTTATTAAACACATGAAAAAACACTTAACCTTGCTTTTACCAGAGGAAGAAGAAAAACTACAGGAGATATCATGTCTTTCCTGTCAGATTGGCAAAAAGTTAAAAGTTTGGCAACACCCTCTGTTGACAAGGCTATGGAGAAACAAGCACTTTGATTTATTGGTTATAGGAGTCCAGTTTGGGACAAACCTTTTGGAGGACAATTAGGCAATCAATACCTTTCAAAATTGTTTGTGAATACAGCCTTAAACCTTTCAATTTCATTTTTTGAAACTCATTCTACAGATATAATTATACACATGCAAAAATATTATGTACAAGTTTATTCAATACTGCTTGCCTTAACAAAAGATTGGAAAAATTCATGCACCTATCAATTTGAGACTAACTAAACACTCACACACACACGAACAATGGAATATTATGCAATGAAAATCTAATCACAACACAGGAGGTCTCTGTGTGCTTTTGGTAAGATCTCCAAGATATATTGTGAAGTGAGAGAATGAGGTGAAGAACGTTGTATAACAGGCTACCTCTGTGTTAAAAAAAGAGGGAATGAAGAGTCATTATTATATTATCATGAAAAAATTGGAAGATACACAGGTAATTAACAAAAGAGATTACCTCTTTGGGGTAAGGTGTAAACTGGACAGATTGTGGACAGGATTCTGAGTGAGATCCTTCACTGTTCAGTCTCCTTTGCATCAGTAAGTGTCTCTTAAAGTAAATGGACAAGTAGAGGAATGGTGTCAGCATAATGTGGAAGCTGCATTGTGTAATATACAATTTCCCCCATATGTTAATGTTCTGCACTGAGTAATAGCAGCTGTACCAAAATAGCAGCCAAGTCCCAAACACGATTTAAGGGAGCAAGCTATGAATACAATGCTGTGCACAATGCCGTTGACTCCTTCTCCATTTTACTCATTTTGGCTACATTCTCTATCCTGAAGTGCTTACTAAGTAGTTCCCCCAATTTTCATGCACTTTTTCTGAACTATTTTGAGAATGGGAATATTAAGATGTTGCCACAGTTCCATAACAACTTGTTGCTGAGATGCCCCTTAAGAGTGGGGAAGAAAAATCCATTAGACTTTAGAATAATTCCACAAGAGCTTTCTTTTTCTACTTTAGGTGTGATTGACATGCATTTGTAGATGTGTTAGTGCAGATTGCACTTCATGGCACAAGGTCCTATTTGGAGTCATAACAGCAGCTTCTTAATGAAAGAAGGAAGGTGGCAATACAGAAAAAAACAAATCAGGTGTTTTTTTTTAAGCAGGTGCAAAACAAACAAGCAGAAAATAACCATCCAGAGCTACCCATCTTTGTCATCTACATTTTGTGCAAAGCTTCAACTGCTTATCCTCTATAGCTTCTCATGGTGATGTCCCTCCACCTTGTCTCCATAAAGCAGCAGCTTCCATCTTTCCTTATCCCCTTGTATCTTTAGTTCCCCCTTTATTTATTTTATTTTATTTTTTCATTCTTTTAATTGTTATTTTTTTTGAGATGGAGGCTCGCTCTGTCGCCCAGGCTGGAGTGCAGTCGTGCAATCTCGGCTCACTCCAACCTCCGCCTCCCGGGTTCAAGCCATCCTCCTGCCTCAGCCTCCTGGGTAGCTGGGACTACAGGCACGTGCCACCATGCCTGGCTAATTTTTTGTATTTTTAGTAGAGACGGGGTTTTACCGTCTTAGGCAGGATGGTCTTGATCTCCTGATATCGTGATCCACCCACCTCGGCCTCCCAAAGTGCTGGGATTACAGGCATGAGACACTGCACCTGGCCTCCTTTTTTTAATTTTTTTGAGATGGAGTCTTGCTCTGTCACCAGGCTGGAGTGCAGTGGTGAGATCTCGGCTCACTGCAACCTCTGCCTCCCAGGTTCAAGCGATTCTCTTGCCTCAGTCTCCCGAGCAGCTGGGACTACCGGCGCGCACCACCATGCCCAGCTAATTTTTGTATTTTTAGTAGAGATGGGGGTTTCACCATCTTGGCCAGGATGGTCTCGATCTCTGGACATAGTGATCTGCCCACCTCGGCCTCCCAAAGTGTTGGGATTACAGGCATGAGCCACCCCTCAGCCTAGTTCCCCCTTTAAAAAGTCTTTCATCTATTTAGAGTTTAACAAGTCTTTTTTTTTTCTTTTTAAAAACTATGCTAGTATTTTTATTCGAATTGTTATTGCTTTGTTAGTGTTATGAGTATGAAGATGAATAGATTTTGAGTTGCCTATCAAAACTCTGTTTTTCCTACAAACACTGTTGTTTTTTTGTGAACATTTCCATATGAATTCAAGGACCTGCTTTTCCATATCTGTTTAAAAGGCTGTTGAAATTTTGATAGAGATTAATTGAGTCTGTAGATCACTTTGGATATTATTGACAACTTAACAATTTTAAGTCTTTCTACCCATCAACACAAGATGTCTTTCCATTTATTTAGATCTTCAATTTCAGCAATTTTTTATAGTTTTCAGTGTACATTCTCACTTGAGTGTACATCCTCACTTCTCCCTCTCCTTCTCGGTCTCTGGTAACCGCTATTCTCCTCTTCCCTTCTATGAGATCAGCTTTTGCAGTTCCACATATGAGTGAAATCATGTGCCATTTGTTCTTCATTGCTTGGCTTACTTAATATAATGTCCTCTTGGTTCATTCATGTTGTTACAAATGACAGAATTTCATTCTTTTTATGGCTGAAAAGTATTCCATTGTGTACATACGCCACATTTTTAAAAATCTATTCATTCTTTGATGGCCACTTTGGTTAATTTCATATCTTGGCTATTGTGAATAGCGCTGCAGTGAACATGGGAGTGCATGTATCTCTTTGACGTACCAATTTCATTTCCTTTGGATATATATCCATTAGTGAGATTGATGGATCATATAGTAGTTCTACTTTTAATTTTTTGAGAAGCCTCCTTACTGTTGTCTGTAATGGCTTGGATAATGGGGTGGCTATTGGTACGTGTTCCTGAGGAATAGGAAGAATGAGAGAGATAGTGGATTTTGATGTGTGAGTTTAAGGTGCAAGATTCAAGTGGTGGTTCAGTAGGCCTTGGTAGCTCCCCAGAGTTTGCATCTGTAGGTAGAGGTCACTGTTAGTGATAAAGTTGTGGTTTGATTTGTTTTTCAAAATGTAGGTGATACCTACTGTCATGAAACCAATTTTGCAGGTTATAACCAGCATTTTTAAAATGGACTGTAATTTAAAAATCAGAATATATTACAAATAATAAAGAAAAATGGTACCCAACAAAATGTGTGTGTGTGTGTGTCTGTGTGTGCATATGCATGTATATTAGACTGGGACATGAGTGACTTTTTTACTGTGATGTTTCAAAACATGTTTGAAAAAATTAGTTTAAACCATGATGAAGAGATTTCTCAGGCAGTGTATGAATAACAGACCTGTGGATGAACCTAGTGCATTCTTTTCTTTTCTCTTCTTTTGTGACGGAGTCTGGCTCTGTCGCCCAGGCTGGAGTGCAGTGGCACAATCTCGGCTCACTGCAAGCTCCGCCCCCCGGGTTCACGCCATTCTCCTGCCTCAGCCTCCCGACTACCTGGGACTACAGGCGCCCGCCATCACGCCCGGCTAATTTTTGTATTTTTAGTAGAGACGGGGTTTCACTGTGTTAGCCAGGATGGTCTCGATCTCCTGACTTTGTGATCCGCCCGCCTCGGCCTCCCAAAGTGCTGGGATTACAGGCGTGAGCCACCGCGCCCGGCCAAAACCTAGTGGTTTCTAATATGTAGCTCTCATGTTTTCAGATGAGTTTTAAGATACAGGCCCAAATTTTGTTAGTTCTTATTCTCTACTTTTGAATTATTTACAGGAAATATATTTTACTGAGCTGATCTACTGAGAGGTGGGCACAAATCCTTTATACTTTATTGAAAAATTAGTTGTCCAAAATCTTCTAGGATACTCCCACTTAATTACATATATGAGGCCGGGCGCGGTGGCTCACACCGGTAATCCCAGCACTTTGGGAGGCCAAGGCGGGCAGATCACGAGATCAGGAGATCGAAACCATCCTGGCTAACACGGTGAAACCCCGTCTCTACTCAAAACACAAAAAATTAGCCGGACAAGGTGGCCGGCGCCTGTAGTCCCACCTACTTGGGAGGCTGAGGAAGGAGAATGGCGTGAACCCGGGAGGTGGAGCTTGCAGTGAGCCGAGATAGTGCCACTGCACTCCAGCCTGGGCGACAGAACGAGACTCCGTCTCGGGGAAAAAAAAATTACATATATGAGCACCCTTTGAAATGCTTACAGCAGAGCTAGCTGCCTAAAATTAACATTCATCTAACACTGCAAGCCAGAACGTGTTCTGAGTAGTGCTCTGGAAGGGACTTTGGATTTTGAGAAAAAAGGTTGGGAGCAGTTTGAACATAAAAACTATTTTCTCATGGGTTCCATTTTGATGTTCATTAAACTCACAACTTCTTTGTTTTCTTCATGTCTTCTCAGAAAGTGATTTCTCACTTTGAGAGTGAACTCTTTGCAGGACTTGAGCATAGTGATCACAACTGCTGCCTCCCCTCTGAGAAATCTGGAGGATGAGGTTCTCCATCTGTCTTGACTACTTGAGAGACCCAGTGACCATTGACTGTGGTCATGTCTTTTGCTACCACTGCATCATTCAGGTCTGTGAATCTACTAGGCAACCATTACATTGTTCTCTGTGCAAGCCAGCTTTTAAGAAAAAATATCTGCCATGTGTGGCAGATGGCCAACCTGATGGAGAACATTTGGAGAATGAAGGTAGATGAGGAGAGACAACCCAGAGAGGAAAGACCACCTGAGCAAAAAGCAGAGAAGCTGTGTAGGCGACACCTGGAGAAGCTCCATTAATGCTTCAAAGGATGACCAGCAGATGGTGTATGTGATGCGTTGGAGTCCCGAGAACACAAGCACCATGCTGCTGTTCTCCTAGAAAAGGCTGCACAGCCTCGTCGGGTAAGAATCGTGTTGGACCCCAGCTCTGTTCTTTTAGCCAGAAAGTTCTATGGTACCTTCAGGATAAGGTGCAGGTTTTTTGCATTACTTTATTGAGGTATGATTGACATGTAAAAGCTATACATATTTAATGTATACCAATTAATGAGTTTGTAGATGAGTATACACCTCTGAAACCATCATCACAGCAAAAACACGTCTATCACTTTCCAAACTTTCCACACACCCTCTTTATTGTTATTAGTTTGTGTGTGTGATAAGAACACTTAGCCAAAGATCTATTCTTTTAGTAAATTTGAAGTATACAATACAGTGTTTTTAGCTATAGGCATTATGCTATATAGTAGGTCTCTAGAACTTCTTTATCTTGCATAACTGAAACTTTGTAACTTTGACCATCAACCCTCCATTCCCCGTCCCCACCAGTCCCTGGCAACCACCATTCTACTCTGTTTATGTAAGTTTGACTGTTTTAGATTCCACATATAAGTGAGGTCGCACAGTATGTATCTGGCATATTCACTTAGCATAATGTTCTCAAGGTCCATCCATGTTGTTACCAATGGCAGAATTTCCTTCTTTTTAAGGCTGAATAATATTGCATTGTATGTATATACCACATTTTCTTTATTCATCCATCAGTGAACATTTAGGGTTTTTTAAATCTTGGTTATTGTGAATAGTGCTGCAAAGAACATGGGAAGTATATGGGCTATAAATACCCAGAAGTGAAATTGCTGGATCATATGGTAGTTCTGTTTTTAATTATTTGAGGAGCTTCTTACTGTTTTTATAATGGCTGTACCAGTTTGCATTTCCACCAACAGCGTATCAGGGTTCCCCTTTCTCCACATCCTCACCAACGCTTCTTATCTTTTAAAAAATATAATAGCATTTCTAAGAGGTGTAAGACAGTTCAAATTCTTTAGCATGAAAGATTCTTGGTAAAGTACTACCCTTTGCATTTGGATAATAAAGCTGGTTTGGTTTTATATCTTTTATGGAAGTAAGTCTATCACATTGCCTTGATGGTTTCATCTCTGAGGTTCAGATCAAGTCTTATCAGCTATACAGAATACCAGCACTCCTGATAGCTCTCGTAGTATATAGCTTCAAGTGGTATGTACACAGTTGTTATAAAAATATTTTTGAGGTCGGGTGCGGTGGCTCACGCCTGTAATCCCAGCACTTTTGGAGGCCGAGGCGGGCGGATCACAGGGTCAGGAGATCGAGACCATCCTGGTACACACAGTGAAATCCTGTCTCTACTAAAAATACAAAAAATTAGCCGGGCGTGGTGGTGGGCGCCTGTAGTCCCAGCTACTCGGGAGGCTGAGGCAAGAGAATCGCTTGAACCCAGGAAGCGGAGCTTGCAGTGAGCCAAGATTGTGCCATTGCACTCCAGCCTGGGCAGCAGTGTGAGACTTTGTCTCAAAAAAAAAAAAAAAAAAAGAAAAGAAAAGAAAAAAGAAACATCAGGCAGTTCATTGTTTCCCTTTTCTCTTTGCCTGCCAATTTAGTCATCCTCTTAATAATCTGGAGTTGCTGCCAGGTGTGGTGGCTCATGCCTGTAATCCCAACACTTTGGGAAGCCAAGGCAGGAGGATAGCTTGAGAACAGGAGACCAGCCTGGGCTATAGCAAGACCCCATCTCTACAATAATAATAATAATAGTTATTATTATTATTATTTGGAGTTGGCATATATACTTTCCTTGACTTTTTGTGTTAATTTTTTGTTTCTATTTTTTTTTCTTTTTACAAGACAGGGTCTCACTATGTTGCCAAGGTATGCCCTCAAAGACTTGGGCTCAAGAGATACTTCACCCTTATTTTCCCAAATAGCTGGGACTACAGGCACATACCACTGCACCCACCTTCTATTTTTGTTTTATTAATTAATTTTAATTTTAATTGTCTGTATTTTTGGTAGAAAAGGATAGTGTAAATATAAATTAGAAACTATACCATAAGTCTTGTTAGTTATAATGATAATACGATATTATTTTGTCTTACTTCTAAGAAATTGCTCTAGGCCATTGTATCACTCAATGGATCTTCCTTATTAACTAGAATGGAAATTGTTCCACACAACCATTATTAAACTACACATGGTCAAATGCAGTTGGATTTCACTCTGGAATCACTTTGCATCTCCCTTTTGTCATTTAGGTCATTTTCATCTTGATCTTGAGACTATCCAAGTTTATTTTCTTTTTCTTTTTCTTTTTTTTTCTTTTCTTGAGACAGAGTTTTGCTCTTGTTGCCCAGGCTGGAGTGCAGTGGCGCGATCCCGACTCACTGCAACCTCCGCCTCCAAGGTTCAACTGATTCTCCTGCCTCAGCCTCCCAAGTAGTTGGAATTACAGGTGCTCACCACCATACCCAGCTAATTTTTGTATTTTTTAGTAGAGACAGGGTTTCACCATGTTGGCCAGGCTGGTCTTTAACTCCTGACCTCAGGTAATCCACCTGCCTCGACCTCCCAAAGTACTGGGATTACAGGCATGAGCCACCACGCCCAGCCCGAGACTATCCTTGTTTATTTTCATAGGGCAAAATTCTAAACCATCGGAAGATTCTGAAGGGATACAGGGATAGCATTCAGAATTCTCAGTCTATGGGAGAAGATGAGATTCAGGCCCTGGTGGTAAGAGAGGTCTCTAGTAAATGTTCTGTATGAATGTGTGTATGTGTGTAGGGCAGGGGTGTGTGTGTAGGTAGTAGCGGGGCATAGGTTAAGGAGAGGAAGGGGTATGTGTGTGGGGGAAGTATTGAGGAATGGGGAGGGGGAGAGTGATCAAAGAGATTTCTGTTCTGAACTCATCCTCAGAAGATCTCACACATGTTCTGGTGTTCCCTAGCCTCTCAAAAAGGTCACTTTTCTCTTTCTGCATTTACTGGAGACAACATTTCAGAACCACAGGCAAGACATTGTATCAGTGTTTGAATAGGGCCATCGGTTTTTGAGAGAAAGGGAACAGTACCTGTTGGAGCAGCTGGTAGGGCTAGAGCAAGAACTCACCAAAAGGAGGAACAGCCGTGTCATCAAGGATTCTGAGGAGGTGGTCCAGCTTGGGACCCTGATCACTGAGTTGGAGAAGTCTCGGCAGCCAGCACTTGAACTTTTGAAGGTAAAGGACCAACCAAACTGTATCTGAGTCCTCTTGCTCTATGACTACGGTGTGGCCTATTTGCAAGAGATTTGGACCAAGAGTCAAGAGAGACAAGGTGTTATTCTCATTTACTGAATTCTTTAATAACTGAATTAGCCAACCAATAGGTTTTAAGCCCCAAAGTGCAGTGGGCAGGGGTCTATAATATGCACAGACCATATAATGGAATATTAAGATCTGTACATTTATAATTACAACAAATAATCTGATGTTAAATCTTCCAGTCAGATTGGATGCCACAAGAATTCTGGAAACAGCTAGTGTTTAGTCAGAGAAGCCTTCAAAGAAGAGGCTTTTGATGTTGGCCTTGAAGGAAACGTAAAGATTTATTTTATTTTATATTTATTTATTTATTTGAGATGGCATCTCCCTCTGTCACCCAGGCTGGAGTGCAGTGGCGCGATCTCAACTCACTGCAACCTTCACCTCCTGGGTTCAAGTGATTCTCCTGCCTCAGCCTCCTGAGTAGCTGGGACTACAGGCACCCATCACCACGCCCAGCTAAGTAAGATTTAGATTGTCAGAAAGGAGCTAAACATTCCACTTGGTAGGGGGTGGGGACACACTAGTTACAATTAGATAAATGAATGTAATAATAAACTTGGTATATGTGTTGGCAGGTGGGCATAGGTGCTGGGGAAGATAGGAGTAGGAAGACTGATAAGAAGGGGACATAGAATGAAGGTAGCTACCTTTCTGGAAGAGTCAGATTAAGTGAGGGAGAAGTGAAAAGTATGATGGGGCCAACTGAGTTGAGGCCTTCCAAAGCAGGCTGAAATTTGAGCCTTAACTGAATAGACAATGGGATTCTTAACAGATTTTTATCTGTCTATAAATCAAGAAAGGTTTCTGAAGAGGATAGTCTAGAACTCGAATGAAAGACATGAAGGGGAAGCATTTGTCCTTATAAATTGAAACTGCAGGCCGGGCACAGTGGTTCACACCTGTAATCCCAGCACTTTGGGAGGCCAAGGCAGGCAGATCATGAGGTCAGGAGATCGAGACCATCCTGGCTAACACAGTGAAACCGCGTCTCTACTAAAAAATACAAAAATGAAGCCGGGTGTGGTGGTGGGTGCCTGTAGTCCCAGCTACTCCGGAGGCTGAGTCGGGAGAATGGCGTGAACCCGGGAGGCGGAGTTTGCAGTGAGCCGAGATTGTGCCACTGCACTCCAGCCTGGGCGACAGAGCCAGACTCCATCTCAAAAAAAAAAGAAAGAAACTGCAGGTTGGGAGTAGTGGCTCATGCCTATAATCCCAGCACTGTGGGAGGCTGAGGCAGGCAGATAACGAGGTCAGGAGTTCGAGACCATCCTGGCCAACATAGTGAAATCCCATCTCTACTAAAAATACAAAAATTAGCCGGACATGGTGGCAGGTGCCTGTAATCTCAGCTACTCTGGAGGCTGAGTCAGGAGAATCACTTGAACCCGGGAGACAGAGGTTGCAGTGAGCCAAGATCACACCACTGCACTCCAGCCTGGGTGACAGAGTGAGACTCCATCTCAAATGAAAAAAAAATAAAAATAAATAAAAAAATAAAAAAAAAAAACAAGAAAAGAAAAGAAAAAAAGAAACTGCAGCAGAGGGAGGACAGGTCCGGGTCCATCAGAATAATTCTCTGTTCAGTCCTGGTGTATACCCATTTCTCAATGATCCCACAGTAGAGAATGATGATGGCTCCTGAGAACTATTTTTATGACAGTGTCTGTGTTCTGTTTTTTTCCAGGACCCAAGTGACATAATATGCAGGTAAGTGCTGCTTGCTTTTTTTCTTTTAAATTTTAACCACTTATGTCTCCTTATTGTTTTCTCTGTCTATCATGTTACTGAAATTTGACAAGTGCTGGAAAGGGATTGTTTAGAAGGGAGAGAGGTTATTCTGGTTAGTGTATGTTGAAAGGTATTCTATGGAATAGAGGAGGGAGTTCTAGAAAAAAATATTGTCATGGAACTTACGATGGTAATGGGCTGAGAAAAATAAAATGAGAGGAGATTATAGAAAAGTATTGGAGAAAATTTAGAATCCATGTTCATTTCTAAAACTAGTTTCCTTTCATTCTTCCCCTTCCTACATGGTTCCCAGCCTCCACTCCTGGCCACAGTTTCTCCCATATTCTGTAGAGCACATTTCATTATCAGATTGTCCTCTGCCTGATAGTGAGGTTTCCTGCATTCTGGTTGTCCATAGAAAGCAAACACTTCTATGGCTCACAGGGATAATGATTTCTTCCTCATGTCTTTCATTTGAGTTCTAGACTGTCCTCCGCAGGACATTCCTCAGCAGTGGGTCTGAGGAATATGTTAAACATTTAACATTGACAGTTTTCAAAATCATACCCACATGATACAGAGAAGCTTTGAACAGAGAATAAAGTCAGGCATTTTGATAATACACAACTTATCTGCAGAGACACCCAGGACTACTGGCATATACTGAGCATTTCCTGTGGGCAAAACACTGGGTAGAAAGGCGTGTGATGAGATAGGTTACCAGATTATGGCTGGGGATACCAGATAGACACATATGAGAGATGAATAATGATATAAAAAATGAGGTTGACACAGAATGGGTAATACTTCTTGCCTTGAAGTGTTTTGTCCGCTTTAGCAAAATTATTCCAGCTTTATATTGATTAGTGTTCACATGGCATTTCTTTTTCTGTCCTTTAATTCTCAAACTTTCTGTGTTTTTTAAAAATGTCTCTTATAAGCAACATAAATTTTGTTCTGTTTTTTAATAAATCCATTCTGACAATATGCAATGGAATATTTAGTATTTATCCATGGAAAATTACTATTTCATTCACATTTTCAAAATAATTTGCATAGTTGATCAAGATAATGTGCTTAGATTTACTAATTTTTCTTTTTATATCTGAATGTTTTCATTTCTTATTTTGTGTATTTCTACCCTTTTCTTTTTCTTTTGAGCTGGAGTCTCGCACTGTTGCCCTGGCTAGAGTGCAATGGTACAATCTTGGCTCACTGCAACCTCCGCCTCCTGGGTTCAAGAGATTCTCCTGCCTCAGCCTCCCAAGTAGCTGGGATTACAGGTGCCCGCCGCCATGCCCAGCTAATTATTTTTTGTATTTTTAGTAGAAATGGGGTTTCACTATGTTGGCCAGGCTGGTCTCGAACTCCTGACCTTGTGATCTGCTCGCCTCAGCCTCCCAAAGTGCTGGGATTACAGGCATGAGCCACCACGCCCGCCCCCCTCTTTCTTTTCTTTTCTTTTCTTTTCTTTTCTTTTTTTTTTTTTAAGAGACAAGGGTCTCCTTATGTTGCCCAGGCCGGACTCCTGGGCTCCTGGGCTCAAGCGATCCTCTCACTTCAGACTCCCAAGTACCTGGGAATACAGGCACATACTGCCACACTCAGCTGTGTAGTTCTATTTTATCTCTTCTATTTGCCTGTCCCTTTTTTCCCTCCTACTTTTATGGATTGTTGAGCCCTGCTTTTACAAAGTACCATAATTTCTAGCATATGGTATTTTTATTACTGTTTTCTAGATATTTTGAAATTTTGAATTTGATTTTCTATTTAACATAAGATTTGTTTAAGAAAGAAGCTATTTGTCAGTGATATGCTGAGTTTTTTTCTAATAGGTCTTTTTGTTTCATAGTTTTCAAGTCTTGTGATAAGAAAAGTTTGCTATGTCTACTTTTTGGACTTTTTTTGAGGCTTTCTAGGTTATATGTTGTAAATTTTTGGACAGTTTCAGACACTTGAAAAGAAGGTGCACTTTTTCTTGGAATAGAATAGGATTTTGTATATCTCTGTAAGGTTGGCCTTAGTAATTCTGTTATCTAGGTATTTTGTACTAATACTTATTTTCTGACTTCTTGATATGTCATGGACTAAAAGAGGTCAGTCACAGATTCCTACTAACAGTGAGTTTTTGCCTATTTTTTCTTTTTTTTCTGAGATGGAGTCTTGCTCTGTTGTCCAGGCTGGAGTGCAGCGGCACGATCTTGGCTCACTGCAACATCCACCTCCCGGGTTCAAGTGATTCTCCTGCCTCAGCCTCCCAAGTAGCTGGGATTATAGGTGTGCACCACCACACCCAGCTAATTTCTGTATTTTTAGTAGAGACAGGGTTTCACCATGTTGGCCAGGCTGGTCTCGAACTCCTGACGTGATCTGCCCGCCTCAGCCTCCCAAAGTGCTGGGATTACAGGCGTGAGCCACCGTGCCCAGCCTATTTTTTCTTATATTGATATAGTTTTTGCTTTTTACATTTTGATGTTCTTTTTCTACATGACTTTTAAGGAAAGTTGTATCTTAATTGTGAATTATAATCTTGTTTTAAAAAACAGAGACAGAGTTTTAAAAAACCGAGACTCGCTCAGTCACCCAGACTAGATGCAATGGTGCAATCATAGTTCACTATAACCTTGAACTCTTGGGCTCAAGCTACCTCTCCGCCTCAGCCTCCCAAGTAGCTGGGACTACAGGTGCATGTCATCACACCTGGCTAATATTAAAATAATTGTTTTAGAGGGGTTCTCACTGTTACTCAGTCTGATCTTGAACTCCTGGCCTCAAGTGATTCTCCTGCCTTGGACTCCCAAAGTACTGGGATTATAGGCATAAGCCATAGCACTTCGCCTATAATCTTTAAGTAACAAAAAATGTTGTTGTCTTATTTAATATTTTTCTCTCCCAAATTCAATTCTGTCCGATAGTAAGATCAAGATATCAGAATTCTTTCATTTTGGATTTAGTTAATACACCTTTGCCTACCATTATCTTAATTTTAAATTTAAAAAAAATGTAAAGCTTTATCTTAATTTTCTTTTTTTAATTTAATTTTTAAAATATATTTTAAGGTATACAACATGATGCTGTGAGTAAAATGGTTATTACAGTGAAGCAAATTAACACCTCCATCACCTCACATAGTTACCTGCTTCCCTTCCCACTCCCAACCCCTCATTGCAAGAGCAGTTATAATTTACTCATTTAGCAAAAATCCTGAATACAATACACCATTTTTATTATTTTTTTAATTTATTTTTTTGAGACAAGGTCTCACTCTGTCACCCAGGCTGGAGTGTAGTGGCGCGATCTTGGCTCACTGCAACCTCCACCTCCCAGGCTCAAGAGATCCTCTCACCTGAGCCTTGCGAGTAGCTGGGACTACAGGCACGGGCACCACATTTGGCTAATTTTTGTAGAGACAGGGTTTCACCATGCTGCTCAGGCTGGTCTCGAACTCCTTGGCCTTAAGTGATCTGCCCACCTCGGCCTCCCAAAGTGCTGGGATAACAGGCGTGAGCCGTCATGCCTGGCCTACAATGCCCTGATATTAGCTATAGTTGGCAGGTTGGGCATTAGATCTCCAGACCTGTTCATCCTACATATTTCCTACTTTGTATCCCTTGAGGTACATCTCCCCATTTCTTCCACCCACCCTACCTCTGGTAATCACTATTTTATTCTCTATTTCTGTATATTTGACTTTTTAAAAAATTCTACATATATGTAAAATAATGCAATAGTTTTCATTTTGTATCTGGCAAGTTTTATCTTAATTTTCATTTAATCTGATATATATCCCCAAATAATTCCTTTAGAGGTTGTAACAGCGAGGAAGGAGCCAAGATGGCCGAATAGGAACAGCTCCGGTCTACAGCTCCCAGCGTGAGCAATGCAGAAGATGGGTGATTTCTGCATTTCCGTCTGAGCTTTGAAGAGAGCAGTGGTTCTCCCAGCACGCAGCTGGAGATCTGAGAACGGGCAGACTGCCTCCTCAAGTGGGTCCCTGACCCCTGACCCCCAAGCAGCCTAACTGGGAGGCACTACCCAGCAGGGGCAGACTGAAACCTCACACGGCCGGGTACTCCAACAGACCTGCAGCTGAGGGTCCTGTCTGTTAGAAGGAAAACTAACAAACAGAAAGGACATCCACACCAAAAACCCATCTGTACATCACCATCATCAAAGACCAAAAGTAGATAAAACCACAAAGATGGGGAAAAAACAGAGCAGAAAAACTGGAAAATCTAAAAAGCAGAGCGCCTCTCCTCCTCCAAAGGAATGCAGTTCCTCACCAGCAACGGAACAAACCTGGACGGAGAATGACTTTGACGAGCTGAGAGAAGAAGGCTTCAGACGATCAAATTACTCCGAACTATGGGAGGACATTCAAACGAAAGGCAAAGAAGTTGAAAACTTCGAAAAAAATTTAGAAGAATGCATAACTAGAATAACCAATACAGAGAAGTGCTTAAAGGAGCTGATGGAGCTGAAAACCAAGGCTCGAGAACTACGTGAAGAATGCAGAAGCCTCAGGAGCCGATGCGATCAACTGGAAGAAAGGGTATCAGCGATGGAAGATGAAATGAATGAAATGAAGCGAGAAGGGAAGTTTAGAGAAAAAAGAATAAAAAGAAACGAGCAAAGCCTCCAAGAAATATGGGACTATGTGAAAAGACCAAATCTACGTCTGATTGGTGTACCTGAAAGTGACGGGGAGAATGGAAATAAGCTGGAAAACACTCTGCAGGATATTATCCAGGAGAACTTCCCCAGTCTAGCAAGGCAGGCCAACATTCAGATTGAGGAAATACAGAGAACGCCACAAAGATACTCCTCGAGAAGAGCAACTCGAAGACACATAATTGTCAGATTCACCAAAGTTGAAATGAAGGAAAAAATGTTAAGGGCAGCCAGAGAGAAAGGTCGGGTTACCCTCAAAGGGAAGCCGATCAGACTAACAGCGGATCTCTCGGCAGAAACTCTACAAGCCAGAAGAGGGTGGGGGCCAATATTCAACATTCTTAAAGAAAAGAATTTTCAACCCAGAATTTCATATCCAGCCAAACTAAGCTTCATAAGTGAAGGAGAAATAAAATCCTTTAGAGACAAGCAAACGCTGAGAGATTTTGTCACCACCAGGCCTGCCCTAAAAGAGCTCCTGAAGGAAGCACTAAATATGGAAAGGAACAACCAGTACCAGCCGCTGCAAAATCATGCCAAAATGTAAAGACCATCGAGACTAGGAAGAAACTGCATCAACTAACGAGCAAAATAACCAGCTAACATCATAATGACAGGATCAAATTCACACATAACAATATTAACTTTAAATGTAAATGGACTAAATGCTCCATTTAAAAGACACAGACTGGCAAATTGGATCAAGAGTCAAGACTCATCAGTATGCTGTATTCAGGAAACCCATCTCACGGGCAGAGACACACATAGGCTCAAAATAAAAGGATGGAGGAAGATCTACCAAGCCAATGGAAAACAAAAAAAGGCAGGGGTTGCAATCCTAGTCTCTGATAAAACAGACTTTAAACCAACAAAGATCAAAAGAGACAAAGAAGGCCATTACATAATGGTAAAGGGATCAATTCAATAAGAAGAGCTAACTATCCTAAATATATATGCACCCAATACAGGAGCACCCAGATTCATAAAGCAAGTCCTGAGTGACCTACAAAGAGACTTAGACTCCCACACATTAATAATGGGAGACTTTAACACCCCACTGTCAACATTAGACAGATCAACAAGACAGAAAGTCAACAAGGATACCCAGGAATTGAACTCAGCTCTGCACCAAGCGGACCTAATAGACATCTACAGAACTCTCCACCCCAAATCAACAGAATATACATTTTTTTCAGCACCACACCACACCTATTCCAAAATTGACCACATAGTTGGAAGTAAAGCTCTCCTCAGCAAATGTAAAAGAACAGAAATTATAACAAACTATCTCTCAGACCACAGTGCAATCAAACTAGAACTCAGGATTAAGAATCTCACTCAGAACCACTCAACTACATGGAAACTGAACAACCTGCTCCTGAATGACTACTTGGTACATAACGAAATGAAGGCAGAAATAAAGATGTTCTTTGAAACCAACAAGAACAAAGACACAACATACCAGAATCTCTGGGACACATTCAAAGCAGTGTGTAGAGGGAAATTTATAGCACTAAATTCCCACAAGAGAAAGCAGGAAAGATCCAAAATTGACACCCTAACATCACAATTAAAGGAACTAGAAAAGCAAGAGCAAACACATTCAAAAGCTAGCAGAAGGCAAGAAATAACTAAAATCAGAGCAGAACTGAAGGAAATAGAGACACAAAAAAACCCTTCAAAAAATTAATGAATCCAGGAGCTGGTTTTTTGAAAGGATCAACAAAATTGATAGACCGCTAGCAAGACTAATAAAGAAAAAAAGAGAGAAGAATCAAATAGATGCAATAAAAAATGATAAAGGGGATATCACCACCGATCCCACAGAAATACAAACTAGTATCAGAGAATACTACAAACACCTCTACGCAAATAAACTAGAAAATCTAGAAGAAATGGATAAATTCCTGGACACATACACTCTCCCAAGACTAAACCAGGAAGAAGTTGAATCTCTGAATAGACCAATAACAGGATCTGAAATTGTGGCAATAATCAATAGCTTACCAACCAAAAGAGTCCAGGACCAGATGGATTCACAGCCGAATTCTACCAGAGGTACAAGGAGGAACTGGTACCATTCCTTCTGAAACTATTCCAATCAATAGAAAAAGAGGGAATCCTCCCTAACTCATTTTATGAGGCCAGCATCATTCTGATACCAAAGCCTGGCAGAGACACAACCAAAAAAGAGAATTTTAGACCAATATCCCTGATGAACATCGACGCAAAAATCCTCAATAAAATACTGGCAAACCGAATCCAGCAGCACATCAAAAAGCTTATCCACCATGATCAGGTGGGCTTCATCCCTGGGATGCAAGGCTGGCTCAACATACGCGAATCAATAAACATAATCCAGCATATAAACAGAACCAAAGACAAAAACCACATGATTATCTCAATAGATGTAGAAAAGGCCTTTGACAAAATTCAACAGCCCTTCATGCTAAAAACTCTCAATAAATTAGGTATTGATGGGATGTATCTCAAAATAATAAGAGCTATTTATGACAAACCCGCAGCCAATATCATACTGAATGGGCAAAAACTGGAAGCATTCCCTTTGAAAACGGGCACAAGACAGGGATGCCCTCTCTCACCACTCCTATTCAACATAGTGTTGGAAGTTCTGGCCAGGGCAATCAGGCAGGAGAAGGAAATAAAGGGTATTCAATTAGGAAAAGAGGAAGTCAGATTGTCTCTGTTTGCAGATGGCATGATTGTATACCTAGAAAACCCCGTTGTCTCAGCCCAAAATCTCCTTAAGCTGCTAAGCAACTTCGGCAAAGTCTCAGGATACAAAATCAATGTGCAAAAATCACAAGCATTCTCATACACCAATAACAGACAGAGAGCCAAATCATGAGTGAACTCATTCACAATTGTTTCAAAGAGAAAAAAACACCTAGGAATCCAACTTACAAGGGATGTGAAGGACTTCTTCAAGGAGAACTACAAACCACTGCTCAACGAAATAAAAAAAGGATACAAACAAATGGAAGAACATTCCATGCTCATGGGTAGGAAGAATCAATATCGTGAAAATGGCCATACTGCCCAAGCTAATTTATAGATTCAATGCCATCCCCATCAAGCTACCAATGACTTTCTTCATAGAACTGGAAAAAACTACTTTAAAGTTCATATGGAACCAAAAAAGAGCCTGCATCGCCAAGTCAATCCTAAGCCAAAAGAACAAAGCTGGAGGCATCACGCTACCTGACTTCAAACTATGCTACAAGGCTACAGTAACCAAAACAGCATGGTACTGGTACCAAAACAGAGATATAGACCAATGGAACAGAATAGAGCCCTCAGAAATAATGCCACACATCTACAACCATCTGATCTTTGACAAACCTGACAAAAACAAGAAATGAGGAAAGGATTCCCTATTTAATAAATGGTGCTGGGAAAACTGGCTAGCCATATGTAGAAAGCTGAAACTGGATCCCTTCCTTACACCTTATACAAAAATTAATTCAAGACGGATTAGAGACTTAAATGTTAGACCTGAAACCATAAAAACCCTAGAAGAAAACCTAGGCAATACCATTCAGGACATAGGCATGGGCAAGGACTTCATGACTAAAACACCAAAAGCAATGGCAACAAAAGCCAAAATTGACAAATGGGATCTAATTAAACTGAAGAGCTTCTGCACGGCAAAAGAAACTACCATCAGAGTGAACAGGCAACCTACAGAATGGGAGAAAATTTTTTCAATCTACTCATCTGACAAAGGGCTAATATCCAGAATCTACAAGGAACTCAAATTTACAAGAAAAAACAAACAACCCCATCAACAAATGGGCAAAGATATGAACAGGCACTTCTCAAAAGAAGACATTTATGCAGCCAACAGACACATGAAAACATGCTCATCATCACTGGCCATCAGAGAAAAGGAAATCAAAACCACAATGAGATACCATCTCACACCAGTTAGAATCATGATCATTAAAAAGTCAGGAAACAACAGGTGCTGGAGAGGATGTGGAGAAATAGGAACACTTACACTGTTGGTGGGACTGTAAACTAGTTCAAACATTGTGGAAGACAGTGTGGCGATTCCTCAGGGATCTAGAACTAGGAATACCATATGACCCAGCCATCCCATTACTGGGTATATACCCAAAGGATTATAAGTCATGCTGCTATAAAGACACATGCACACGTATGTTTATTGTGGCGCTATTCACAATAGCAAAGACTTGGAACCGACCCAAATGTCCATCAATGATAGACTGGATCAAGAAAATGTGGCACATATACACCATGGAATACTACGCAGCCATAAAAAAGGATGAGTTCATGTCCTTTGTAGGGACACAGATGAAGCTGGAAACCATTATTCTCAGCAAACTATCCCAAGGACAAAAAACCAAACAACGCATGGTCTCACTCACAGGTGGGAATTGAACAATGAGAACACCTGGACACAGGAAGGGGAATATCACACACCGGGGCCTGTTGTGGGGTGGGGGGAGGGCGGAGGGATAGCACTAGGAGATATACCTCATGTAAATGACGAGTTAATGGTTGCAGCACACCAACATGGCACATGTATACATATGTAACAAACCTGCACATTGTGCACATGTACCCTAGAACTTAAAGTATAATAAAAATATATAGACATTAAAAAAAATAACTTAAAAAAAAGAAATCTGTAACAATAAGATGATCCTGTGGGACTGAATGCTTTTGTCATCCTTAAACTCATAATTGAAACCTAATCTCTAATGTGATGGTGTTTGGAGGTGGAGCCATTAGGAAGTGATCATGCAATGAAGGCAAAACCCTCATTAATGAAATGAATGCCCTTATAAAAGGGACCCCAGAGAGCTCCTTGCCCCTTCCACCATGTGAGGACACCAAGGAAAAGCAACATCCATGAATCAGGAAGCAGCCCTTACCATACACGGACTCTTCCCAGGCCTTGATCTTTGACTTTCCAGCCTCCAGAATTGTGAGAAATAGATTTCTGTTGTTTGCAAGCCACATAGTCTATGGTATTCTTTTATAACTGCCCAGATTGACTAAGACAGATGATGATGAAAATACTACCAAGTATTGGAAATTAACATCAAAATTCTAAATGACAATTTATTCAAAGAGGAAATCTAGAGAAATTAGAAAGTCTTCTGTATTCTGAAGAATAATGAAACATACATATCAAATGTATGGGATGCAGCTGAAGTAGTACTAGAGAAAAAACCAATACCCTTAAATGCCTATATTAAGAAAGAAGGTAGGTCTCAAATTAGTAAATTAGCTTCTGCTATAAGAAACAAAGAAAAACAAATTAAACCAAAGCATGGAGAAGGAAGAAAATAATAATTAAATGGAAAAAATGAAGCAGAAAGACAGAGAAAATTAATGAACCCAAATATTGGTTCTATGGGGAAAAATCAGTACACTTTATAAATTTCTAGCTAGACTGATCAAGACAAAAAGATGCACATTAACAATGTCAAGAAAAAACGAACATCAGTGCACACTCTCTAGATCTCAAAAAGAAATATTGATAATCTCATGTCAATAAGTTTGACAAGCAAATGAAATGAACAATTTCCTTGAGAGAGAAAACTTATGAAAACTGACCTGAGAAGAGATAGAAAATGTGGCCAGTCATATATTGATTGTAGAAATTGAATGTGTAATCAAAATCCTTCTCATATAGGAAACTCCAGGTCCAGAAGGCTTCATTGATGAAATGTATCTAACAAATAATTTAGAAATAACATCAATTTTACACATACCTTTTAGAAATTAAAGGAGGCAACAACTTTCAATTTAATCTATGCAGCCAGCTTTCACAGTCAGGCGTGAGTATCTGGCTTTTCCAGGTGCACAGTGCAAGCTGTTGGTCAATCTACCATTCTGAGATTTGGAGCACCGTGGCCCTCTTCTCACAGCTCCACTGGGCAGTGCCCTAATAGGAACTCTGTGTGGGGGCTCCAGCCCCCTATTTCCCCTCCACACTGCCCTAGCAGAGGTTCTCCGTGAGGGCCCTGCCCCTGCAGCAAACTTTTGCCTGGGCATCCTAGCATTTCCATACATCTTCTGAAATCTAGGTGGAGGTTCCCAAACCTCCATTCTTGACTTCTGTGCACCTGCAGGCTCAAAACCATGTGGAAGCTGTCAAGGCTTAAAGCTTGCACCCTCTGGAGCCATGGGCCAAGCTGTACCAAGCTTGGCCCCTTTTAGCAGCCGTGGGAGCAGTTGGGACCCAGGGCACCAAGTCCCTAAGCTGCACACAGCATGGGAACCCTGGGCCTGGACCAGGAGACCATTTTTTCCTCCTGTGCTTCTGGGTCTGTGATGGGAGGGGCTGCCATGAAGACCTATGGCATGCCCTGGAGACATTTTCCCCATTGTCTTGGGGGGATCAACGTTTGGCTCTTTGTTACTTACGCAAATTTCTGCAGCCAGCTTGAGTTTCTCCTCAAAAAAATTGGTTTTTCTTTCTATTGCATCGTCAGGCTGTAAATTTTCTGAACTTTTATCCTCTGTTTCCCTTTTAAAATGGAATGCTTTTAACAGCACCCAAGTCACATTTTAAATGCTTTGCTGCTTAGAAATTTTATCTGCCAGATACCCTAAATCATCTCTCTCAAGTTCAGAGTGCCACAGATCTCTAGGGCAGGGGCAAAATGCCACCAGTCTCTTTGCTAAAACGTAACAAGAGTCACCTTTGCTCCAGTTCCCAACAAGTTCCTCATCTCCATCTGAGACCACCTCAGCCTGGACCTTATTGTTCATATCACCATCAGCATTTTTGTCAAAGGCATTCAACAAGTCTTTAGGAGGTTCCAAACTTTCCCACATTTTTCTGTCTTGTTCTGAGCCCTCCAAACTGTTCCAACCTCTGCCTAATACCCAGTTCCAAAGTCAATTCCACATTTTTGGGTGTCTTTTCAGTAGCACCCACTCTACTGGTACTAATTTACTGTATTAGTGCGTTTTCATGCTGCTCATAAAGAAATACCCAAGACTGAGATGAAAAAGAGGTTTAACTGGACTTAGAATTCCACATGGTTGGGGAGGCCTCAGAATCATGGCGGGAGGTGAAAGGCACTTCTTACATGGCGGTAACAAGAGAAAATGAGGAAGATGCAAAAGCAGAAACCCCTGATAAAACCATCAGATCTCATGAGACTTATTCACTACCACGAGAACAGTATGGGGGAAACCAACCTCATGATTCAAATTATCTCCCACTGGGTCCCCTGGGTCCCTCCCACAACACATGGGAATTATGGGAGTACAATTCAAGATAATATTTGGGTGGGGACATAGAGCCAAACCATATCACCAGCATTACCCAAATAAAAATCCCAGACAAGAACATCACAAGAAAAAGAATCAAGAACAAATATTCTTCTTGAACACAGACTCACAATTCAATACAAAACGTTATCCAATTAAGATATACATAAAATGAATAATATGCCATGCCATATTGGTTTTTTTAAAGGGAAAGTAAGGTTGGTTTAACATCTGAAAATTAAACAATACAATTCACCCAATTAATAGAACAAAGAACAAATGTTGCACAATTATTATAGTCAATGCAGAAAAAGCACTTGCAAAATCAAGACCATTTCATGACAAAATAGCTCAGCAAACAAAATCGAAAGGAATATCTTCAATGTGGTTAAGGACACCCACGAAAAGTTTACAGCTACCCTCATATTCAATTATGAAAGGCCAGATTCTTACTTCCTAAGATTAGCAACAAAGCAAAGATGTGGCTCTCCTCATTTTTGTTTAAAACACCTTACGAGCATCCTAACTAGTGCAATATGGCAAGAAAATGAAATAAAAGACCAATAAGAGGACCAAGTGTGGTGCCTCATGCCTGTAATCTCAGCACTTTGGGAGGCCAAGGTGGGAGGATCACTTTAGTTCAAGAGTTTGAGACTAGCTTGAGCAACATAGTTAGACCCCTGTCTTTACTAAATATAAATAATTTTTAAAAGAAAAAAAACAATAGATAGGAAAGGAAGAAATAAAATCTTTCTTTCTCAGCTTAATTACATATGTAGAAAACAATAAGGAATTCTGAAAAAGTCTCTGGAAGTAATAATTAAATTTGCAAAATTGTTCACAAAAGATATGTAATAAGTCTCTTAGACAAACATGACAAGATAGCAACAATACTAGTCATCAAAGAAGTGCAAGTTAAAACCACAATGAGAAACCATCACACATCACCTAGAATAAGTAAAGTTCAAAAGACATATGATAATTCTAAATACTGGTATGAATATGGAAAAAATAAAAATCTCTTATATTGTTGGTAGGAACGCAAAAAAAAGTTGCAGTCAGTTTGTAAAATAATATGGCAATTTCTTAAACAGCTACCCATCCATTTACCATATCACCCAACAATTCCACAAATATTTATTTATCCAAAGGAAATGAAAATTTAAGGCCATGCAAAGACTTGTAGTCAGTTATTTATAGTGGTTTCATTAATTACAGACCCTAACCGGAAATAACCCACATGTTTATCAGCTGGAGAATAGAGAAACCAACGAATAAACTGGAATTCCAACAATACTCAGCAGCTACTCAGTGACAAAAATGAATGAAATATTATTACTCTTAACTACATGGAAAAATCTCAAATATTGTTATGACAAGTGAGAGACCAAAGGACTACATAACATATGATTGCATGTCCATGAAATTCTAGAAATTTCATTATTACAGTAACAGAAAGCACAGCAGTGGTTGAGTGAAGAGAAGGGGGTGAGGGTGGGAGGCAAGGATTAAATAGAAAAGGGGCATAAGGAAAGTTTTTAGGGAAAAGAAACTGTCCTCTATCTGGGCAATGTGGTAGTTACATGACTATAAATAATTACCAATATTCATAAAACATTGTAGCTAAAACTGGTGAGTTTTATTATACACAAACGCCCCAATTAGGAAAAAAAAAGGTGGGGGAAGAAGGCAAAAATGAAGACACTTTTACATAATCCAAATCAGAAAATTCATTTCCTAGGGATCTTGTACTACGTATAATTTTGAAGGAAGTTCTTCAGGCTGAAGGGAAATGATACTAGATGGTGACCTAGATATATAGAAAGGGATAATTAACAACAGAAATTATGCACATACACAGATCACATACACACTCATTTTCTTAATGACAATATGAATGCTTAAAACAAAAAGTATTACTGTATTATTGAGTTTATAAAGTATATTGATGTAATATATACAACAAGAATAGCACAATGGTAGGTTACATGAAACTACACTCTTACAAGTGTCCTTTATTTTGCTGGATGCAGCTTAATATTACCTGAACTTCACCATGAAAAGTCAAGGAATCGGGTTTCAATTCTTACAACAATAAAAAATTAGTGTAAAGAAATATACCTAAAAGCCACTAGAATTAAAACCATAAACTAAAAAATGTTTACTTAACACATAAGAAAGTAGGAAAGGAGGAATAGAAACAAAAAGATACGAGACAAATTGAAAACATACAGCAAAATGGTAGACCAAAACCCAACCATTGTAAGTGAAGAAATGACACGACCTGAGTCACATTAGCAGAACTGCTGAGCACTGTGGGGAGAACAGACATGGGCAGGAAGTGAGGGACAGTGTTAGTGCCACAATTCAGGGGTGACAGGGTGGCAGGGACTAAGGGGAGGGGAGGGTGTGAGGGATGAGAGGGGCAGAGAGAAGGGCTGGAGAGACAGGAAGTGAGGAAAAGGAGCAAGGGAAAGGACTCTAAAGCAGTGGAGGAGCCTAGCAGGGGGTTCTTGGCATGCATTCGGTATTTAATACATTTTGTGGGACTGCCAAAAACTAATGGCCTCCTCATGATTAAAAACATAAGAGTAAAAAAATACCAAGTATGCAAATAAAATGTGCACACTGCTTAGATGTGCATAATTCATAAAAACAAGCAGTGCTTAAGCATTGATGATAGGCATTTTGACTTCAGTGCAATTTTGAGGCTCCTTGTTACAATATACAGTAACAAATCCTGCTTCTTTGTATTGAGATGTCCTGGACTCACACAGGGAAACTCGGGCTATGGAATGAAGATAATTTTAAATGCAACAACCCAGAGTCATGGATCCACAGTCTGGGAAAGTAAACTTAGAAGCTTTGTGACTCGAATTGCAATGCTGTTTGGATACACTTATATATGAAGCAGGCAAAATCAGGTCTTTTACAGATTAGAATCCTGATCATTCAGGGGTTAGATTGTGCTAACCACTGTATTAATAAACAAACAAACAAAAAAACCTGGTCACTATGAGAATGTCTATCTTGTGCCTTCAGCCACAACTTCACCAGGTTTAAAGAGAAAACCCCTTTCTCTACACCGCCATTCCCAAGGCGAGCTCACTCTCTGGCATCAAAGTTCCCTGGGGTGAGTTTTCTTCTAGGATAGTCCAAGGGGAGAGGTAAGGAGTCGGAAGTCCAGTTCAGGGACGAGGATTCCAGGATGAGCGTGAATGGGAAGGGGCTGGGCCCAGCCTGGGGGTTCTCTCCCTAGTTTCCACAGACAGATCCTTGACCAGGACTCAGGCAGTCAGTGTGACAAAGAGGCTGGCGTAGGAAAAGAGAGGTCAGGACAAAGTCCCAGGCCCCAGGCGTGGCTCTCTGGGTCTCAGGCCCCAAGAGCGATGACTGCACTGGGGAGTCACAGGGTTGGGGATTGCCCACTCCCCTGAGTTTTGGTTCTCCCAACCTTCATCCTGGATACTTGTGACATAATCCCACTTCTCACTCCCATTGGGTGCCGGGTTTTTAGAGAAGCCAATCAGCTTCGCCGCGATCCCGGCACTACGATCCCGGCACTACAGTCCCGGCGCAACCACCCGCACTCAGATTCTCCCCAAACGCCAGGGATGGGGGTCATGGCTCCCCGAACCCTCCTCCTGCTGCTCTTGGGGGCCCTGGCCCTGACCGAGACCTGGGCCGGTGAGTGCGGGGTCGGGAGGGAAAGGGCCTCTGCGGGGAGAAGCGAGTGGCCCGCCCGGCCCGGGGAGCCGCGCCGGGAGGAGGGTCGGGCGGGTCTCAGCCTCTCCTCGCCTCCAGGCTCCCACTCCTTGAGGTATTTCAGCACCGCAGTGTCCCAGCCCGGCCGCGGGGAGCCCCGGTTCATCGCCGTGGGCTACGTGGACGACACAGAGTTCGTGCGGTTCGACAGCGACTCCGTGAGTCCGAGGATGGAGCGGCGGGCGCCGTGGGTGGAGCAGGAGGGGCTGGAGTATTGGGACCAGGAGACACGGAACGCCAAGGGCCACGCGCAGATTTACCGAGTGAACCTGCGGACCCTGCTCCGCTATTACAACCAGAGCGAGGCCGGTGAGTGACCCTGGCCCGGGGCGCAGGTCACGATCCCTCCCCATCCCCCACGGACAGCCCAGGTCCCGGGTCTGAGTCTCCGGTCTGAGATCCACCCCGAGGCTGCGGGACCTGCCCAGACCCTCGACCAGGGAAGAAACTCGGGCGCCTTTACCCGGTTTAATTTCAGTTTAGGCCAAAATCCCCGCGGGTTGGTCGGGGCGGGAGCGGGGCTCGGTGTTCGGGGCTGACGGCGGGGGCGAGGCCATGGTTCTCACACCATCCAGAGGAAGCATGACTGCGACGTGGGCCCGACAGGCGCCTCCTCCGCAGGTATGAACAGTTCGCCTACGATGGCAAGGATTACATCGCCCTGAACGAGGACCTGCCCTCCTGGACCGCCGCGAACACAGCGGCTCAGATCTCCCAGCACAAGTGGGAAGCGGACAAATACTCAGAGCAGGTCAGGGCCTACCTGAGGGCAAGTGCATGGAGTGGCTCCGCAGACACCTGGAGAACGGGAAGGAGACGCTGCAGCGCGCGGGTACCAGGGGCCACGGGGCGCCTCCCTCATCTCCTGTAGATTTCCCGGGCTGGCCTCCCACCAGGAGAGTAGGAAAATGGGACCAATGCTAGAATATCGCCCTCCCACTGGTCCTGAATGGGAAGAATCCTGGGTTTCCAGATCCTGTACCAGAGAGTAACTCTGAGAGCCCACCCTGCTCTCTGGGACAATTAAGGGATGAAGTCCCTGAGGAAATGGAGGAGAAGACAGTCCCTGGAATACTGATCCGTGGTCCCCTTTGACCCCTGCAGCAGCCTGGGGCACCAGGAATTTTCCTCTCAGGCCTTGTTCTCTCCCTCACACTCATGTGTCCATGGCTCCGATTCCAGCTCTTCTGAGTGCCTTGGCCTCCACTCAGGTCAGGACCAGAAGTCCCTGCTCCCCCATCAGAGACTCGAACTTTCCAAGGAATAGGAGATTATCCCAGATTCCTGTGTCCAGGCTGGTGTCTGGGTTCTGTGCTCCCTTCCCTACCCCAGGTGTCCTGTCCATTCTCAGGATGGTCACATGTATGCTGCTGGAGTGTCCTACGAGGAATGCAAAGTGCCTGAATTTTCTGACTCTTCCCCTCAGATCCCCCAAAGGCACATGTGACCCAGCACCCCGTCTCTGACCATGAGGCCACCCTTGAGGTGCTGGGCCCTGGGCCTCTACCCTGCGGAGATCACACTGACCTGGCAGCAGGATGGGGAGGACCAGACCCAGGACACGGAGCTTGTGGAGACCAGGCCTGCAGGGGACGGAACCTTCCAGAAGTGGGTGGCTGTAGTGGTGCCTTCCGGAGAGGAGCAGAGATACATGTGCCATGTGCAGCATGAGGGGCTGCCAGAGCCCCTCACCCTGAGATGGGGTAAGGAGGGGTGTAAGTTGTCTATTCTCAGGGAAAGCAGGAGACCTTCGGCAGGGCAGGGCTGAGGCCTGGGGGTCAGAACCCCTCACCTCCCTCTCCTTTCCCAGAGCCGTCTTCTCAGCCCACCATCCCCATCGTGGGCATCGTTGCTGGCCTGTTTCTCCTTGGAGCTGTGGTCACTGGAGCTGTGGTTGCTGCTGTGATGTAGAGGAAGAAAAGCTCAGGTAGGGAAGGGGTGAGAGGTGGGATCTGGGTTTTCTTGTTCCACTGTGGGTTTCAAGCCACAGGTAGAATTGTGACTTGCTTCATCACTGGGAAGCACCGTCCACACACAGGCCGACCTAGCCTGGGGCCCTGTGTGCCAACACTTGCTCTTTTGTGAAGCACATGTGAAAACGAAGGACAAATTTATCACCTTGATGATTGTGGTGATGGGGCCCTCCCAGCAGTCACAGGTCACAAGGGAAGATCCCTACTGAGGACAGACCTCAGGAGGGCAGTTGGTCCAGTCCCCACACCTGCTTTCCTCATGTTTCCTGATCCTGCCCTGGGTCTGCAGTCACAGTTCTGGAAGTTTTCCTGGGGTCCAGGATTTGCTGTTTCCTTAAGGACCTCATGCCCCATGTCCTCCCTGACCTCTCACAGGTTGTTTTTTTCTCACAGATGGAACAAGGAGCTATGCTCGGGCTGCCTGTTAGTATGGGGGATTAGAGGGCTGCTCCCTGAGATCATTGGGACAGTGTAGACAAGATTCCTCCTTTAGCCACATCTCCTGTGGGCTCTGACCAGTTCCTATTTTTGTTCTACCCCAGGCAGCAATTGTGCCCAGTACTCTGATGCATCTCATGATACTTGTAAAGGTGAGACACGGGGGGGCCTGAAGTGGGTGGGGGTGAGGCAGAGGGGACATGATTCTGTTGAGGGGTTCTCTGGATTTAGACATCTTGACCATGTGGTAGGCTGTTCAGAGTGTCACCAGGTACAGTGACTGCCCTGGATTTGTTTATGATTATTTTCTCCTGTAGCTTGAGACAACTGCCTTGAGTGGGACTGAGAGATACAAAATTTCTTCAGGTCCTTCCTCTGACACACACCATTGTAATTTCAAGAGCTCCTGACTTCTATATCTGCACTTGACACGTGAATATATCTATGTGTCTGTGTTCCAGTTAGCATAATGTGAGGAAATGGGCGACTGGTCCACCACTGCCACCAGGACCACCACCCCACACTAACCTGTCCTCTCTTCCCCGGTCAAATTTTTTTTCAACAGAGGTGAGGCTGGGACATTTCTATTCATGTCTTAACTTTTAAGTTTCACTGAGCTGCCACTTACTCCACTATTCAAAATAAGAACCTGGATATGAATTTTTCAAATTCTTGCCATGAGGTTGGGTTGATCGTTCAATGAAAGGAGAGCAAGACTCTTAAAACTTGAGAGAGGAAGTAAAACCTGAGAGCCTTCCAGAATCCATTTTTGCTGTGCTGGGCCTGTTGTAGGTGGAGACAGGAGAGAGAGGGCTGTGAGGAGCTGAGTGTGGACAGCCTATGCTCAGTTCATCATGGAATTTGACGTGGTCATTCATTGGGTTGGTCATCTTCACTGCTCCATTGTTTGTGTCCCTTCAGTAGAACCTTGTTTCACCAGGACCTGTGATCACAGGCACACAAACATTGCCTGGGCCTTGTCCTGTCTCTAGGACCGTGGACAGCAAGGGCTTCATGGGCTGGGTCAGTCTATGGTCTGGCCCTAATATTTTGTATCATTATTTTTGGTTTCTTTGTTTCTGTAGAGGACTATGCCTGTTCCTATTCTGGTGTCTGCGTTCTGATCTCTTTCTCCCCTGGTTGTCCCTCATCTCTGACAGCAGCAGGAGTCATTTTTCCTGTCATTAACCCCACAAGGTGGAAGGCAGCCCCTGCACACAGAAGTCTGTGGTATTAAGAGATGAATTTTCAAGCCCGTGCAGCTTTTACCCTATTTCCAGGGCTCTTTCTTGGATTGTATTTTCTATCTTTTCCCCAACCTTTTTAAAGGAACTAGATTCTGAAATTAGCAGAGAAGAGGGATGCCACAAGTTCTCATCTTAGGTAACTTTCTAGTGGAACTCCTCTTCTGCTCAGCTCTCCTACCCACTCTCCCTTCCCTGAGTTGTAGTAATCCTAGCACTGGCTCTAATGCAAACTCATGGATCTATAAAGCAAAGTCTAACTTAGATTTATATTTGTTTGGAAATTGGGATTCATAGTCAAAGATTGTTCTTTCCTAAGAGGGAAATATAATTGCATGCTGCAGTGTGCAGAGGGTTGGTGTGAAGGAGGGATGCAGGGAGGAAGGGAGGGAGGACACACAAGCAGCACTGCTGGGAAAAGCACAGGCGGCCTGGATGTCAGTGTGAGGGGACCTTGTGCTGTCGTTGCTGCAAAACCGCATTTGGCCTGAGGCTATGTTAATAAAGATACTGCCTTTAGAATAGGAGGTGCTCTACAGTGATGATTCATTCAGCCGACATTTGCTGTCTGCCAGACATATGACAGAATGTTTTTGCATCTGGGGAAAGTCATTGAAGTAAAATCAGAAAAATCTCTAGCCTTGTGGAGCATGTGTTCCAGTGGGAAGAGGCAGACGGTACATACACTCTAATATATGCAGAGTAAATGAGGAAAGTGTTAGAAGGTGATAAGTGCTGTGGAACAGGTGATCAGAGTATGGGTTGTGGGACAGAGAAGGTAGCTATTGTGCCGGGGTTGTCAGCGTGGGCCTTGTTGGGAAGGTGACCTTTGATGAAATATTTGAAGGACATAAAGGAATTTGTCATGAGGGTATCTGGAAGAAGTTTTTTCTAGGGAGTAGGAACCTTCAGTGTCAGTGTACCAGGGCAGGATCATGTCTGTGTGTTCTGGGAAGAACACGGGATCGGGTATGGCTAGAGCAGAGAGTCACTGAGATAAGGTCAGGGGTTTGGTCAGATCATGTGGGCATAGGGCTCAAGTATGTGGGAAGGATTTTGATTTTGAATGAGATAGTTTTAAGCAGAATAAAGACATGCCACAACTTCTCTTTTAAAAGGATCACTGTAGCTGCTCTGCTGAGAACAGAATCCAAAGGCCGGCAATGAGCAAGGCAGGTGGGAAAACTGTAGGAAATGAGTGCAGTATTTCAGGCTGGAGATGTCGGTTACTTCAACTGGGGTGTGAGCAGTGGAAATAGTGGGACGTGATTGGATTCCTACTATTTCCAATCACTTTATACCACATTTTCTAATGGACTAAATCTGGGGTATGAGAAAGAAGAGTAAAGGATACCAAAAATGTCAGACTGTGACTAAAAAGAGTTGCCATCAGCTGAGAATGAGAAGACTAGCAGGAGCATATGAGAGGAGGGGACGTCGCAGGCAGTCACTATGGGAGACGTGGGATCTGAGATGCCGCTGAGAAATACCAGTGAGGTAGTCGGGTTGGCAGTTGGACAGATGAATCTGGAGACATTTAGGAGAAATAGACTTGGGAGGTGATGTCATATAACAGTTATTTAAAGCCTTGAGTCTGAATGACGTCTCCAAGGGAGTGATTGGCTGTAGAAGAGAACAGGAACAAGGACTGAACACTAGGCCTCTGTTGCTAAAGGATCTGATCAGACAACACACCTAGATCAGACTGCACAGTCCTGACCCCACATCTAGAAGGTACATAGACCAGGGAGTTCTAGACTTTCCTGTGGACAGGAATCACCTGGACATCACCTTAAGTCTAAGCTGATCTGGAATCGAGAATGAGATTTCCTACTTATATAATGTTGCTGTTGGCGCTGATGCTGCTGGTCTTCAGATCCCACTTTTGGTAGCAAGAACACAGACCAGGATTCCTAGGCTATGCATCAGCCTCGCCTGTGAGGCTTGTTAATAAGCAATTCCTGCACTCCATGCGCAACATTCTGACACAGGGGCATCTGTGGAGAGGCCTGAGTATTCTACAACAAGCCCACAGCAAACCTGGTGCTCAGCCAGATTTGATATCACTGAGATCAGTAGTTGGAGAATGCCCAGGATGGGGAGGGGTCTCAGACCCACATTTAAGTGTTGCTTTATTCTGGGTTTTTTATTTATTTATTTATTTATTTTTAAGGAGGATGTGTTTCTTTAATTATAAGACAGGATGCTGAGAGATAAATGTCATTTTCTCTATCATGGGGTATAGCCAGATGGAAGATTGAGAAGTGGCTCACAGCTCAGCAGAATGAAAAAATATCTGAATGCTGCTTTCTGAAACTACTCTCCAGAATGATTTCACACTCACTCCTTGGAGCAAACAATGACTTGCAAATTTTTCTAATTTAAACATAAAGGAGTGTACATATTGGTATTAGTATTCATTTTATTTTGGGGAAGGGCACTGTATTAGTCCATAGTCCGTTTTCACACTGCCGATAAAGACATACCCAACATTGGGAAGAAAAAGAGGTTTAATTGGACTTACAGTTCCATTTGGCTGGGGAGGCCTCAGAATCATGGTGGGAGGCGAAAGGCACTTCTTACATGGTGGTGGCAAGAGAAAATGAGGAAGAAGCAAATGCCAAAACCCCTGATAAACACATTGGATCTCAGGAGACTTATTCATTATCATGAGAATAGCATGGGAAAGACTGGCCCCCATGATTCAATTACCTCCCCCTGGGTCCCTCCCACAACATGTGGGAATTCTGGGAGATACAATTCAAGTTGAGATTTGGGTGGGGACACAGCCAAACCACATTGGACACAGAACCAGGTTTGAAGCTACACAGCCAGGAACATAATCCACAGCCACCCTAATTCAGATCTCTCATAGGAACCACTGTCCCTGCTCCTGAGCACAGATGCTACTGCATATACCTCTGATACCCTGATGGCCGACACTGGGCCCTGTGGCAAAGACTGCTATCACTGCTGCTCCTGAGAACTGCTCCACTACTGCTCCTCAGCCATCTTTACCAAAATGCAGTATTTACTGTCCCAGCCTCTCTGTGTCATCTCATCCTGATTAGAAGCCCACATGTGGTTATCTAAATTGTGCAGCCAAAGCCTCTTGCAGTGTTTAACTGCAATAATGTTGGGGAAAGTGAATTTTTCTCCTTTGTAGAAGGAGGTAGTCCCTGCCTTCTAATAAGACTCTTCAACATAGGAAGAGAATTCAGTTGCTGGAGGTAGAGGGGTGAGGGATGGAAAAAGAATGACAAATTTCAATTCCTAGAATCACGTTCTGAGACTAGAACTTTATCTAGTACATTGCAGGCACCTGGGTTTGGTTGAGTGTATAATAAATGACATAGTTCAACTTATTCCCTTGACAGTTTGTTTTGGGGTCCAGCTTTTGTCTACCCCAGTTTTCACACACAGATACGTGGAGAAGCATTGTGTGATGGTAAAATGATTACTTGAAAGCCTTTTTCCCTATCTTTGTCTCTTGCTAGGATTAAAAACCCGTATCTGTAAGACATCAGAGGATCCATGTATACACTGACATTTTATATAAATTTTTAATATTTTGTTCTATCTGCACATGCTCCTAGGGAGAGTTATCTATACATTCACCAGTTTTAATGTGACTGCTCACAGAAGCCTAAAAAACCATCCTAATTTAGATGCCATTTTACTCAAACTATTGTATGAACAGCTGATAACCATACTGTTTTTAGAAGACCCAGTGACATGGTATAAATGCTCATCTTTTGCTTGACTGTTACTAGTCTGGGATGAGATAAAGTAGAGGTTTACTTGCATAGTTCACTCACAATTTCTATATGTATATTATTGTGGGCTGCTAACAAACAGTCCACAGACCAGTGCTAGCCCACAGACTGCACTTTGAGAGTAGCATTGGTCTAGATGTACTTGTATTCCAGCATCTACCTCGGTGTCAGATTAATGGCAGGAATTAATCAGTAGTGAATGGGGATTCCATTTCCGGTAATAGGGTGAACTAGGTTTTAAAGCTGCCTCTTCTACCAAAAACAACTAAAAAAGAGATGAAATGTGAAAATCACCCAAAAGTATAGAAATATAAAAAAGGGAATAATCTTTTTGGTCAAAATATAAATGTGGGCAGGATTTAGAAAAAGGGAAGTTGCTTTTATCTTGAGGGCGTTTGCCAAATCTGGAAAAATCTTAGCTTTGGTTTTCTCAGCTTCATATGGTATAGTGCAAAGGAGGTAATTCTCAGAACTTGTTTGTATAGGGAGTATAAGAGGAGACACTTTTGTGTACCCCATGAAATATGGGAAACAAAAGATGTGTTTCCTCAGAGTAAGAAAAGAAAATCTGTTTCATCCCCCAGCACAAGAGTATTCTAAAGAAATTTGCCTTTGAGTCAGCAAAACCTGTTTTTGAGAATTTACAACCACCAGCCAGCACTCCTGCAGATTTGTTGCCCAAACTAGCTTTACCGTTTTGGGCCAAAATAACCTCAAAGCATGATTTTGATTAATAATTGTCCTGGATTAGCGATGATCCAAAAATTGGAAGAAGGAAACAAAAATCTTTATAGGAATGCATATTTAACCCATATGTCAAAGAATTTGCCCAAATAATTCTACAAGGAAAAAGCTGCTCAGAGCATGAACTGTATAAAGTACAAGTGGAGAAAAGTCAGTCTGATTGAGAACCAGTGGAAACAATAGATAAGAGGCTCATAAAGCTTCAATATTTGAATTATGAAACAAAATAACGTAACTAGTATTACATTTAAAATAATTATGAGCTGGGCACGGTGGCTCATGCCTGTTATCCCAGCACTTTGGGAGGCTGAGGCAGGCGGATCACCTGAGGCTGGGAGTTTGAGACCAGCCTGACCAACATAGAAAAACCCCGTCTCTACTAAAAATAGAAAATTAGCTGGGCGTGGTGGCACATGCCTGTAATCCCCGCTACATGGGAGGCTGAGGCAGGTGAATCACTTGAAACTGGGAAGTGGGCATTGTGGTAAGCCGAGATTGTGCCACTGCACTCCAGCCTGGGCAACAAGATCAAAACTCTGTATCAAAATAATAATAATAATAATAATAATAATAATAATAATAATAATGACAAGCTTGAAAATGCCTACAGAATGTATTAACCTAAAAATGACCTGTTTTTCAAAAGAACTAAAGTTAGTTTTTAGGAAGTAAAATTAACTTTGATTTTAAAATTTTTAACTTAGTTGAATTAAAAATTGAAAAGTCATGATCTATTGACTTTTGCTTTGGATTATGATGGAATAACAAGGACCAGATTTACTCTCATGCCTTAAGCACAACAAACTCAAAATAATATATGAAAAAATAGCTATGTACTCAGATACTAGACAGCAGGTATCCCAGAGACTGTGATCTCTGGGAGAAGGGGAATGGAAAAGGTAAGGTCTACAGTTGTCCAGCTTCCTTCCTGGACAGAGTTTCCAAGGCAGAGTGCAGAGAGGCAGAGCCCTAACCAGGAGGTTCACTGAGGTGAGGGGACAGAGTTGTGAACTTGGAGACTCCAGGACATCCAGAATATGCAAAGATGAAGGCACATAGAAAAGACAGCTGATGATAAAAAGCACTGTAAGTCTGCAGGAGGTACCCCTCAAATTTTCAGTTAATCAGCATATTATATAAGGGAACTACCCAAAGACAGGGAAAGAATTATCCGAAAGGACTTCAGAGAATAGTACCCAGTGATATACAGGGCTGGAAATAATGCCTGTTCCCACTAGCCAGACTGGAAAACCTCATAATTTGCTGAGCATTGGATAGAGTATTCTGAAGGGTCTTATGTCAGCAGTGGTAAATAATTAGCCCTGGACTAAACACTTTTTGTTTTTTTGCTAAAAGATATTAAAAGACTTAAAATGATCAAACAGCTCCTGAATAACTTAATTTGTCCCAGTAAAAATAAAAAGCTCAGCCGGGCACGGTGGCTCATGCCTGTAATCCTAGCACTTTGGGAGGCCAAGGTGGGCAGATCACCTGAGGTTGGGAGTTCGAGACCAGCCTGACCAACATGGAGAAATCCCGTCTCTACTAAAAATACAAAATTAGCTGGGCATGGTGGCGCATGCCTATAATCCCAGCTACTCGGGAGGCTGAGACAGGAGAATTGCTTGAACCCAGGAGGCAGAGGTTGCAGTGAGCCAAGTTCTCACCATTGCACTCCAGGCAACAAGAGGGAAACTCTGTCTCAAAATAATAATAATAGTAATAAAGCTCATGAATACTTATAGAATGCAAAAATATCTGGCACCTAACCTGGTAAAGTCATGTCTGGCATTAAATAAAAACAATCACCAGGCATATAATAAAAACAAGAAAATACAACTCAGAAGGCAGAGAAAACCATCAGTCTAAAGTTACCTAGAACTGACATAGATGTCAGAATTAGCAGGCAATAACATAAAACGGTTATTGTAAATGTATTCCATATGTTCAAAAAGTTACACAGAGACATGAAAGATACATAAAACATCAAAATCAAACTTCCAAAGATGAAAATGTCAGACATAAAATACACTGGATGTGAGGTGAGATTAATGGTAAACTTTATGCTGTAGATTAAACAGTGACTTTGAAGACATAGAAATAGAAACTTTCTGGGCCAGGTGCGGCGGCTCAAGCCTATAATCCTAGCACTTTGGGAGGCTTAGATATAGAAGGAATGTATCTTACCAGGATAAAGGCTATGACAAACTCACAACTAACATCATACTCAATGGCGAAAGTTGCATACTTTTCCTGTAAGATCAGGAACAAGACAATGATGCCCACTCTGGCCACATCTATTCAACATTGTACTGATAATTCTAGGCAGAGTAATTAGGGAAGAAAAAGAAAAGGGATCTAAACTGGAAAAAAAGAAGTCAAATTGCCTCTGTTTGTAGATCACAAGATCTTATATATGGAAACCCCAAACACTCCACCAAAATACTACTGGCACTGAAAAAAAAAATCAGTGAAGTTGCAGCATACAAAATCAGCATACAAAAATTAGTGGTACTTTTATATACTTACCAAAAACTGTCTGAAAAAGAAATCAAGAAAATAATCTCAGTTATAACAGTATCAAAAAGAATAAATTAGGAATAAATTTGATCAAGGAGCTGAAAGATCTGCACACTGAAAGCCATAACAGTGACAAAAAAAATTGAAGAAGCCACAAATAATTGGAAAGATATCCTTGTTCTTGGATCAGAAGAATCAATATTGCGAAAATGTCCATACTACCCAAAGCAATCAACAGATTTAATGTAACCCCTATCAAAATTCCAATGGGATTTTTAACTGAATTAGACAATCTCAAAAGTCGTATGGAACCACAAAAGAACTGCAATAGCTAAAGCAATCTTCAACAAGAACAAAGCTGGAGGCATCACACTTCCTGATTTAACATGATACTACAAAGCTATATTAATGAAAACAGTATGGTACTGGCATAAAAACAGCACATAGAATAATGGAATAGAACAGAAAGCTCAGAAATAAATCCATGCATATACAATTAACTAATCTTTGAAAAGGTGTCAATAATATATAATAGGGAAAGGATACTCTCCTACATATATAGTGATGGAAAAACTGGATATCCACATGGAAAAAAATAAAACTGCATCCCGATCTTACACCATATGCAAAGTCAACTCCGAATAGATTAAAGATGTAAATGTAAGACCTGAAACCACAAAACTTGGAGAAGAAAGCAGGTGAAAAGCTCCGAGACATTGGCCTTGGCAATGATTTTTTTGGGGGTATTACCTCAAAAACATATGCCAAAAAAGCAAAATTAAACAAGTGAGACTACATTAAAGTTTTTGCACAGCAACACAACAATAAACAAAATGAAAAGGCAAACCACAGAATGAGAGAAAATATTTGCAAACCTTATATTCACTAATGGGTTAATATGTAAAGTCTATAGACTCCATAGAACTTAATAGCAAAAAACAGATAACCCAGTTCAAATATGGGCAAAAGACCCGAATAGACATTTTTCAAAAAAGACATACAAATGACCAAGAAGTATATGAAAAGGTGCTCAACATCATTAATCATCAGAGAGCTGCAAATCAAAACTGCATTGACATATCACCTTACATCAGTAAGAATAGCCATTAACAAAAAGACAAGAGATAATCAGTGTTGGTAAACTGTAGAGAAAGGGAACCCTTATACATGGTTGGTAGGAATGTGAATTGGTAAAAGCATAATGGAATACAATATAGATGTTCTTCAAAAAATTAAAAACATAACTACCATATGATACAGTAATCCTACTTCTGGGCATATATAAAAAATGAAATCAGTAAAGAAATTTCTGTACCCCCATATTAATTGCAGCACTATTCACAATGGCCAAGATATAGAAACAAAGTAAGTGTTTATTGATTAATGGATGAATAAAGACATTGTGATACACACACATACACACACACACGAATATTATTCAGACATGAAAAGGAAGGAAATACTGCCATTTGTAACAACATGGATAAATCTGAAGGACATTATGCTAAGTGAAATAAGACAAACACAGAAATAAAAATACTGTATGATCTCATTTATATGTGTAATCTATAAAGTGGAATTCAGAGAAACAGAGGTAGAAACAGTCAGTTGAATTAACTTAACTTTGACCTGAGGCTGCCTGTGTACCTAAGTAAGTAGGTAAACAAATCAAAACCTAAGTTAGGAGTATAACTGTTAGCTGGGGTTCACCCAATCACAAGCAGCCAGCTCATCACACCATGCCCAAATAAGGCAAATGCCTAGCTGTAGCCAATCAGGTGATTTTTCTTCTTCTGTGTCTGGCACATAAAGGCTTGCTGCGCACACTCCTGGGTGGAGCTTTCTGACCCTCTCCTGGTTCTGAGTGCTGCCAAATTTGTAAATTATTTTTTGCTTAAATAAACTCTTCTAAATTTAGTTTGTCTAAAGTTGATGGAATTTTTTTTTTTTTTTTTTTTTTTTAGGGGTTACTAGGAGTCATGGTTAGGGGAAATGGGGAGATGTTGGTAAAAGTTTACCAACTTGCAGTTATAGGGTGAATAAGTTCTGGAAACCTAATGTACAGTGTGAAAGGAAAAATAATCTCAGGTCCCCAAAATCACTAAGCCAAAGTGATTTGGGCTTACAACAGGATGGCAACTATTGGTATACTTGAAATTTACTAAGAGAATAGATCTTAAGTATTCTCACCACACACAAAAATATTAACTATGTGTCATAGATATGTTAATTAGCTTGATTGTGGTAATCATTTCACAATATATATGCATTTTAAAAATCATGTTGTACAACTTGAATGTATATAATTCTTGTTTGTCAATTATGCTTCAATAAAGCTAGGGAAAAATAAAATACTTAGAAATAAATGTAATAAAAGAAGTACGAAATTTATACTACAAAAAAACCGACAATATTTTTACAGAAATCAAAGAACTAAATAAATAAAAAGATGTTCTATTTTTATGGATCAGAAGACAATATTATTAAGATGGCAGTATATCAAAATTGGTCTACAAATTCAATGCAGTTCTATCAAAATCCCAGCTGACTGCTTTGCAGAAACTGACAAGATGATATTAAAATTTATATGGAAATTCAGTGAACTACAAAAGTTACAAAACTTTTGACAAAGAACAGAGTTTGAGGAACTATACTTGCTCATGGAAAAAGTTACTACAAAGCTGCAATAATCAATACAGAGTGATACTGACATAAGGATAGACATACAGATCAATAGAATAGAGAGGCTAGAAATAAAAGTTTATAATTATGGTCAATTAAATTTCAAAAATACTGCCAAGGCAATTCAGTGGGGGAAAGAAAAATCTTTTCGAGAAATTATACACAACTCAATAGCAATAAAACAAATAACCTAATTCAAAAATGGACAAAGGACCTGAATAGACATCTTTCCAAAGAAGACATACAAATGACCAACAGGTATATGAGATGGTGCTGAACGTAACTAATCAGAAAAATGCAAATCAAAATTGCAATGAAGTGTTACCTCACACCTGTCAGAATAGTTATTATCAAAAAGATAAGAGGTAATAAGTGTTAATGAGGGTGTAGAGGAAAGGGAATCCTTATACATGGTTGGTGGGAATGTAAATTGGTATAAGCATTATGGAAAACAGTATGGTTTTTCCTCAAAAAATTAAAACGATCTTTCCTTAAAAAAATTAAAAACAGAACTACCAGTATATGATCCAGCAGTTTTACTTCTGGGCATGTATCCAAGGAAAATGAAATCAGTATCTCAAAGAAATATTTGCACCCATATGTTTATCACAGCATTATTTCCTGGAAATAACCTGAATGTCTGTCAACTGATGAATGGATTAAACATATGTTTTACTCTATTTTATGCTGCTATAACACAATATCACAGACTGGGTAATCTATAACAAATAGAAATGTATTTTCTCTCGGTTCAGGAGGCTATGAATCCAAGATCAAGGCACTGGCTAATGGTGAGAGCCATCTTGCTGCATCATCACATGGCTGAAGGTAGAAGGGCAAGTAAAGTACAGAGAACACACTCCTGGAAGCCCTTTTATAAAGGCATTAAAACCACCCCCAAGGGTGGAACCCTCATGGTCCAATCACCTCTCAAAAGTCTCACCTCCTAATAATGTTACAATAGCAATTAAATTTCAATATGCAGCTGGGTGCAGTGGCTCACTCCTGTAATCCCAGCACTTTGGGAGGCTGAGGTGGGAGGACTGCTTGAGTCCAGGAGTTCAAGACCAGCCTGGGCAACATAGTGAGACCCCATCTCTACAAATATATATATACTTCAACCCATGTTGAAATATAAATGGGTTGAAACAACATGGGTTTTGGAGGGGACAAAAATTCAAACCATAGCAATATGGTGTGTATGTATACACACACACACAAAATGGAATAATAGCCACAGAAAAAGGAAGTACTGACATTTGCAACAACATGGATGAACCTGGAGGATATTATATTAAATGAAATAAGCCAGACACAGAAAGACAAATATTATATAACCTCATATTTGCAATCTAAAACAAGTGAAACTCCTAGAAACAGAGGTAGAACGGTGGTTACCAGGGGCTTGAGTGGGAGAAATGGGGAGATGTTGGTCAAAGGGTGCAAATTCTCAGTTATATAATGAACAAGTTCTAGAAATCTAATGTTCAGTATGGGCAGTAATGGATTTGTTAATTTGGTTGCAATAATAATCATACAATGTATATGTGTATTAAATTATCATGATGTATGCCATGCACAACTTTGTCAATTAAATGTTTTTTAAATATGAAATGGCCAATGGTTAAAAAAAATTGTGCTGATGTAACTGTATATCCACCTGCAAAAGAATGAAGTTTGACCCTACCTCATATCATATACATAAATGACTTAACATGGACCAAAGACCTAAATGTTAGTGCTAAAACTATAAAACTTACAAACAAAAATGTATGCAAAAACCTTCATGACCTCGGATTAAGCAGTGTTTTTTAAATATGACACCAAAACACAAGTAACAATAAACCAAACAGATAAATTCTATCTCAACAAAGTTTAAAACTCTGTGTTCCAAAGAATACAATCAAAAAAGTAAAAATACCACCCTCAGGCTAGGAGAAAGTATATATAAATCTTATATGTGAGAAAGAATTAGTATATAGAACACACAAACTCTTACAAGTCAAAAATTAAAAGACAAATAATACAAGTAAAAAATGAACAAAGGGCTGAATAGATACTTCTCCACAGGAGATAGAAAGATGGCTAATAAGAATATGAAAAGATGCTTGGCACTATTAATCATCAGGGAAATGCAAATTAAAAGCACAGTGATATACCCCTGCACGGTCACTGGAATAGCTAGAATAAATAAGACAGATATCAATAAGCAGTGGTGAGGATGTGGAGAAATTGGAATTCTTGCACACTGCTGGTAAGAATGTAAAATGGTGCAGCCTCTTAAAGAATAGTCTGGCAGTTCCTCAAAGTTTGAATGTAGAATGAGTATTTGACCCAGCAATTCCATTCCCAGGTATATACCCAAGAGAAATGAAAACATGTCCATGCAAAAATTTGTACATAATGGTCAAGCAGCATTATTCTCAATGGCTGAAGAGTGGAAACAATACAGATGCCCAGGAACAAATGAATGAATAAGATATGGTCAATCTATGGAACGGAATATTTGGCCATAAAAAGAAATGCAGTACTAATAAATGCTGCAATGTGGATGAACCTTGAAAACATTATGCTATGTGAAAGACGCCAGTCACAAAAGACCATCCATTATATTATTTCATTTATATGAAATGTCTATAAGAAATAAATTTGTAGAGAGAAAGTAGATTAGTGGTTGCCTAGGACTGAGGAAATGTTGGAGGGAAAAATGGGGATGACTGCCTGAGAATAAATATACATGGGTGATGAAAATGTTCTAAAAATAGTTTTGGAGTGATGAACATGTTCTACAATTGATTGTGGTGATGGTTGCACTATAAATATGCTAAAAACCATTGAGTTTAAATGGTTGAATAATATATGAATTTTATCTTAATGAAACTGTTCTAATGAAAAATGATGGCTCACATGAAATAAAATCGATGTGCCAGAGCTGCCATGGCAGATTGTGGAGAAAGAGACCAAAAGGCTCAGAGCAGTGAGCATGCTGGCATAGATAGATACACTCTATAAAACTGGATCATGCACTGGGTGACTGTTTATTTGGAAGGGCCCAAAGGAAACTCTGTTTATCAGGCAGCAAGTCATGGGCAGGTGAACGGGGTATTAACCTAATTTTGTCCTTTGTGGGCTGGAGCTGACTCTATGAGATGATATTGGAGAACTTGGTGCCCTAGCAACAATAGGACAGTAGGATTCCAGAAAGCTAGAGGCCAGCTGGCAGCAAGGCAGAATCAAAATGGACAAAATCCCCAAAATAGTGAGTAATGTTAGAATGGAAGCCAGGAAATCCTGACTGCAAGGGATTTAGGGAAATTATTAAGACTATGGTGTTTCTAGTTGGGCAGCCTATAAGACTGTTGTTTAATATTAGAATCAATAGATGAAAAATAGATGAGCTGAAGTCTGAGATTAATTTCTCCAATAGAAGTTTAAAATCCCTTGCCCAGTTTCCAGACCTGAGCCAGTGCTTAGATCCAGAATCCATTCATTGAAGGAGAGTCACGTCCCCTGATGAAGTATCTGCAACACCATAAGTGTGTACAGTAGACACTTTCTACACCCTTCCCTAAAGGGATCAATGGCCATTTACTCAGGTATCAAGACACTGATAAAGGGGAATGTCCAGATATTTTTAGGTCTATTGGATACAGGGTCCAATTTCACACTGATACCTGGGGAACCAAAGCACCCTCATGGACTTCTATTAGAGGAGAGCCACACAGGGAACTGAAAATAATTTCCTGTCTCAGGTCCACCCGTATCTCAGTGGATTCTCTGTGTCCACACATCTGCTTGGTGGTTATTTTTCTGGTTTCCAAATATGTAATTGATGGATTTATTTTGTACATTAGTTATTTCACTCACACTTTAGTCATTTCACCTGTGGAATAAAGGATTTGTAGTAAGAAAGGCCAAGTGGATGCCCCTAAGAGAGCTTCTAATATCGACCAAGATAGAAATTTTAAAACAATGTAGTATTTGAGGGGCAATGAAATAAACTGTCACTCAAAGACATAAAAGATGCAGGGGTTGTGGTTTCATCATCAACTATTGAATTTACCACTCCAGTTCTAGCAAAAATTGGATAGATGATAACAGATGACAGTGGATTAATGAAAATGTAACCTATAATTAGCCCCAACTTCAGCAGCTGTGCTGAATGTGATATGTTTAAAAAAAAAAAGATTTATTGTTTTTGTATATTATATAATGCCATTGATCTGCCTAAATGCATTCTTTTAAATACCTATAAAAAGGAGGGCCAGAAGCGAGTTTTATTCACAGAGGACAAATAATAATACATTTTAAAAAATATTTTATTTTTGATTTTCAATTTTTGTGGGTACATAATAGCTGCATATATTTATGGGGTACATGAGATGTTTTGATACAGGTATGCAATGTGAAATAAGCACATCATGGAGAATGGGGTATCCATTCCCTCAAGCATTTATCCTTTGAGTTACAAACCATTCAATTACACTATTTTTAAATGTGCATTATTGACTATAGTCCCCCTATTGTGCTATCAAATAGTAGGTCTTATTCTTCTAAAATTTTTTTTACCGATTAAACATCCCCACCTTCCCTTCAGCCCCCCACTACCATTCCTAGCCTCTGGTAACCATTCTTCTACTCTTTATGTCCATTAGTTCAATTGTTTTGAATTTAGGTCCCACAAATAAGTGAGAACATGCCATGTTTGCCTTTCTGTGCCTGGCTTATTTCATTTAACATAATGATCTCCACTTCCATCCATGCTGTTGCAAATGACTGGATCTCATTCCTTTTTATGGCTGAATAGTACTTCATTGTGTATACATACCAAATTTTCCTTATCCATTCATCTGCTGTTAGACATTTAGGTTGCTTCCAAATCTTAGCTATTGTAAACAGTGTTGTAAAAAACATAGGAGTGCAGATATCTCTTCCATATACTGATTTTCTTTTTTGAGACAGGGTCACACTTTGTCACCCAGGCTGGAGTGCAGTGGCATGATCTTGGCTCACTGCAACCTCCACCTCCTAGGTTCAAGTGATCCTACCTCAGCCTCCACAGTAGCTAGGACTATAGGTGTGAACCACTACAACTGCCTAATTTTTTTTTTGTATTTTGTAGAAATCAGGTTTTGCCATGTTGCTCGGGCTGGTCTTGAACTTCTGGGCTCAAGTGATCTGCCCTCCTCGGCCTCCCATAGTGCTGGGATTACAGGTGTGAGCCACCATGCAAAACGCTGGTTTTGTCTTTTGTGGGGTATATACCCAGAAGTAGGATTGTTGCATCATATCGCAACTCAATTTTTAGTTTTCTGAGGAACCTCTAAACTGTTATCCATAGTGGTTGTACTAATTTACATTCCCATCAACAGTGTACGAGGGTTCCCTTTTATCCACATCCTCACCAGCATTTGTTATTGCCTGTCTTTTGGATATAAGCCATTTTAACTGGGGTGAGATTATATCTCATTGCAGTTTTGATTTGCATTTCTCTGAGGATCAATAATCATCAGCACCTTTTCATATGCCTGTTTGTCATTTTTATGTCCTTTCTTTTTTTTCTTTTTCTTTCTTTTTTTTGAGACAATGTCTCTCACTCTGTCGCCCAGGCTGGAGTGCATTGGTGCAATTATGATTCACTGCAGGCTCAAGTGATCCTCCCATCTCAGCTTCCTAAGTAGCTGGGACTACAGGTGTGCACCACCACTCCCAGCTATTTTTTATTTTTGTATTTTGCAGAATTGGGGTTTGACCATATTGCTCAGTCTGGTCTCAAACTTCTGGGCTCAATTCCATCTGCCTTGGCCTCCTAAAGTGCTAGGATTAGAGGCATAAGCCACTGTACCTGGCTTTGTATGTCTTCTTCCTTTTTCTTTTCTTTTTTTTTTTTTTTTTTTGTGAGACGGAGTCTCACTTTGTTGCCCAGGCTGGAGTGCAGTGTTGTGATCTCGGCTTACTGCAACCTCTGTCTCCCAGGTTTAAGCGATTCTCCTGCCTCAGCCTCCTGAGTAGCTGGGATTACAGGTGTGCGCCACCATGCCTGGCTTATTTTTGTATTTTTAGTAGAGACGGAGTTTCACAATGTTGGTCAGGCTGATCTCGAACTCCTGACCTCAAGTGATCCACCCGCCTGGGCCTCCCAAAGTGCTGGGATTACAGGCATGAGCCACCACGCATGGCCTGTATGTCTTCTTTTGAGAAATGTCTATTCAAATCTTTTGCCCATTTTTTTACTTAGACTTTTAGAATTTTTTTTTTTTTTTTTTTTTTTTTTTTTTTTTTTTTTTTTTACTATAGAGTTGTTTGAGCTTCTTATATACTCTGGTTATTATTTCTTTGTCAGATGGGTAGTTTGCAAATATTTTCTCCCATTCTGTGGGTTGTCTCTTTATTGATTGTATCCTTTGCTTTGTAGAAGCTTTTAAACTTGATGTGATACTATTTGTCCAGTTTTATTTTGGTTGCCTGTGCTTGTGGGGTATTGCTCAAGAAATTTTTGGCCAGACTACTGTCCTGGAGGTTTTCCCCAATGTTTTCTTATAGTAGTTTCATGTTTGAGGTCTTAGATTTAAGTCTTTATTACATTTTGAATTTATTTTTTATTTTTTGAGATGGAGTCTTGCTCTGTCGCCAGGCTGGAGTGCAGTGGCACAATCTCAGCTCACTGCAACCTCCACTTCCTGGGTTCAAGCGATTCTCCTGCCCCAGCCTCCTGAGTAGCTAGGACTGCAGGCACATGCCATCACGCCCAGCTAATTTTTGTATTTTTAGTGGGGGGGGGGTGAGTTTCACCATGTTGGTCAGGATGGTCTCAATCTCTTCACCTCGTGATACGCCTGCCTCAGCCTCCCAAAGTGCTGAGATTACAGGTGTAAGCCACCATGCCTAGCCTTGATTTGACTTTTGTCTACAGTGAGAGGTAGGGGTCTAGTTTCATTCTTCTGCATATGGATATCCAGTTTTCCCAGCACCATTTCATTGAAGAGACTGTCTTTTCTTTTCTCCAGTATAAGTACTTGGCAACTCTGTCAAAAATGAGTTCCCTGTGAGTGTGTGGATTTGTTTCTAGGTTCTCTATTCTGTTCTGTTGGACTATGTGTCTGTTTTTATGTCAGTACCATGCTGTTTTGGTGATTATAGCTCTGTAGCATAATTTGAAGTCAGGTAATGTGATTCCTCCAGTTTTGATCTTTTTGCTTAATATAATTTTGGCTATTCTGGGCATTCTGTGTTTTCATATAAATTTTGGGATTTTTTTTTCTATTTCTCTGAAGACTATTATTGGTATTTTGATAGGGATTGCATTAAATCTGTAGATTGCTTTGGGTAGTATGGACATTTTAACAATATTGATTCTTCCAATCCATAAAGATGGAATTTTTTCCATTTTTTTTGTGTCCTCTTCAATTTCTTTCATCAATGTTTTATAATTCTCCTCATAGATATCTTGCACATTTTTGGTTAATTCCTAGGTATTTAATTTTATGTGTGGCTATTGTAAATGAAATTACCTTCTTAAATTTAAAATTTTTCAAATTGTTCACTGTTGACATATAGAAATGCTACTGGTTTTTATATGTTGATTTTGTGTCCTGCAACTTTACTGAATTTATTGATTCTAATAGTTTTCCTGTGGAGCCTTTAGGTTTTTTCCAAATATAAGTTCATATCATCTGCAAACTAGGGTAATTTAACTTCTCCCTTTCCAGTTTGGATGGCCTTTATATCTTCTCTTGTCTGATCGCTCTAGCTAGAACATCCAGTACTTTGTTGAATAACAGTGGTGACAGTGAACATCCCTGTTGTGTTCCAGATCTTATAGGAAAGTCTTTCACTTTTTCCCCATTCAGTATGATACTAGCTGTGGGTCTGTCATATCTGGCTATTACGTTGAGGTATATTTCTTTTATACAGTTTTTTGAGGGTTTTTATCATGAAGGGATGTTGGATTTTATAAACTACTTTTTCAGCATCAATAGAAATAATCATATGGTTTTAATCATTCTTTTTGATATGATGTATTACATTGATTGATTTGCATGTGTTGAACCATCCTTGCATTCCAGGGATAAATCCCACTTGGTCATGATAAATGATTTTTTTTTTAATGGAGTCTCACTCTGTCACCAAGGCTGGAGTGCAGTGCCACAATCTCAGCTCACTGCAACCTCCACCTCCTGGGTTCAAGTGATTCTCCTGCCTCAGTCTCCTGAGTAGCTGGGATTACAGGCATGCACCACCACACTCGGCTAATTTTGTATTTTCAGTAGAGACGAGGTTTCACCATGTTGGTCAGGCTGGTCTTGAACTCCTGACCTCAGGTGATCTGCCCACCTCGGCCTCCCAAAGTGCTGGGATTAGAGGCTTAAGCCACTGCACCCGACCCTGATGAATGATCTTTTTAATGTATTGTTGAATTTAGTTTGCTAATATTTTGCTGAGGATTCTGGCATCAATATTCATCAGAGAAATTGGCCAGCAGTTTTCTTTTTTTGATGTGTCTTTGTCTGGTTTTGGTATCAGGGTGATACTGGTCTCCTAGAATGACTTTGGAAATATTCTCTCCTCCTCTATTTTTCAATAGCTTGAGTGGGATTGGTATTAGTTCTTCTTTAAATGTTTGGTAGAATTCAACAGTGAAGCCATCGGGTCCTTGGTTTTCTTTAGTGGGAGACTTTTTATTACGGCTTCAACCTTGTTACTTGTTATTAGTCTGTTCAGGTTTTGGATTTCTTCCTGGTCCAGTCTCAGTAGGTTGTATGTGTCTAGGAATTGTCAATTTCTTCTAGATTTTCCAATTTATTGGCATAGAGTTGCTCATAGTAGCCCCTAATGATCCTTTGAATTTCTGCAGTGTCAGTTGTAATGTCTTTTTCATTTCTGATTTGTATCTTGTCTCTTTTTTCTCAGTCTTGCTAAAGGCTTGTCAGTTTTGTTTAACTTTTGAAAAAAAGCAACTTTTTGTTTCATTGTTCTTTTGCATTGATTTTTATTTCAATTTTATTTATTTATGCTCTAATTTTTATTATTTGTTTTCTTCTAATTTTGTGTTTGTTTTGCTCTTGCTTTTCTGGTTAAGGTTCATTGTTAAATTGCTTATTTGAAGTTTTTCCTCTTTTTTCATGTAGGCACTTATAGCTATCAATTTGCCTCTTAGTACTGCTTTTGCCGTATCCCATAGGTTTTGGTATGTTGTGTTTCCTTTATCATTTGTTTCAAGAAATTGTTCAATTTCCTTCTTAATTTCTTCATTGACTCAATGGTCATTCAGGAGCATATTGTTTAATTTTCATGTATTTGTAGTTTCAAAAATTCCTCTTGTTATTAGTTTCTAGTTGTATTCCACTGTGGTCAGAGAAGATGCTTGATGGTATTCAACTTTTTTAATGTTTTAAGACTTGTGACCTAACATATGGTCTATCCTTGAGAATGATACATGTGCTAAAAAAGAATGTGTATTCTGCAGCCATTGGATAAAATGTTCTGCAAGTATGTATTAGATCCATTTGATCTACAGTGCAGATTAAGTCTGATGTTTCTTTTTTATTTTCTGTCTGGAAGATCTGTCCAGTGCTGAAAATGTGGTGTTGAAGTCTCCAGCTATTATTGTATTGGGGTCACTCTCTCTCTTTAGCTCTAATCGTATTTGCTTTATATATCTGGGTGCTGCAGTGTTGAGTGCATATATATTTATATTTGTTATATCCTCTTGCTGAATTGAACCCTGTATTAGTCTATTCTTGCACTGCTATAAAGAAATACCCGAGACTGGGTAATATATAGAGAAAAGAGGTTTAATTGGCTCACAGTTCTGCAGGCTGTACAGGAAGCATGGCTGGGGAGGCCTCAGAACACTTACAATCATGACAAAAGGTGAAGGGGAGGCAAGCCTGTCTTACATGGCTGGAGCAGGAGGAAAGTGGGAGGAGGTGGCACACACTTTTAAACAATCAGATCTCACAATAACTCACTCACTGTCATGAGAACAGCACCCAGGGGGATGGTGTTAAACCATGAGAAACCACCCCCATTATCCAATCCTCTTCCACCAGGCTCAACCTCCAAAATTTAGGATTACAATTGAACATGAGATTTTGGTGGGGATGCAGATCCAAATCATATTATTCCACCTCTGGTGTCTCCCAAATCTCATGTCCTTCTCATACTGCAAAATACAGTTATATCTTCCCAACAGTCCCTCAAAGTCTTAACTCATTCCAGCATTAATTCAAAAGTCCAAAGTCCAGAGTCTCAACCTGAGACAAGGCAAGTCTCTCCCACCTGTGAGCTTACAAAATAAAAAAACAGTTAGTTACTTCCAACATACAGTGGGGGTACAGGAATTGGGTAAACACTCCCATTCCAAAAGTGAGAAATTGGCCAAAGGAAAGGGGCTACTGGACCCATGCAAGTCTGAAACCCAGCAGGTAGTCATTAAATCTTAAAGCTCCAAAATAGTCTCCTTTGACTCCATATCTCACATCCAGGGCACACTGGTGCAAGGGGTGGGCTCCCAAGGCCTTGGGCAGCTCAGCCCCTGGGACTTTGCAGGGTAAGCCACTGTCACTGCTTTCACGGGCTGGCATTGACTGCCTGTGGCTTTTCCAGTTGTACAGTGCAAGCTGTCATTGGCAGATCTATCATCCTGGAATCTGGAGGACAGTGGCTGTCTTCTCACAGCTCCACTAGGCAGTACACCAGAGGGGAAGCTGTGTGGGAACTCCAACCCCAAATTTCCCCTCCACACTACCCTAGTAGAGGTTCTCCATGAGGGCTCTGTCCCTGCAGCTGGCTTCTGCCTGGACATCCAGGCTTTCCCACACATACTCTGAAATCTAGTTGGAGGCTCCCAAGCCTCAATTCTTGCACTCTGTGCACCTACAGGCTTAATTTAACACCACACGGGAGCCACTAAGGCTTATAACTTGCATCCTATGGAGCAGCAGCCTGAGCTATACCTGGGGCCCTTTGAGCTGAAGCTGGAGCTGGAGCAGCTGGGATTTGGAGAGCAGTTTCCTGAGGTTGTGCAGGGCAGCAGGACCCTGAGCCTGGCCCAGGAAACCATCCTTCCCTCCTAGGCCTTTGGGCCTGTGATGGGAGAGGCTGCCCCCAAGGTATCTGAAATGCCTTCAAGGTGTTTTTCCCACTATCTTGGCTATCAACATTTTGCTCCTTGTTACTTGCAATTTTCTGCAGCTAGCTTGAATTCCTCTCCAGAAAATGGTTTTTTTCTTTTCTACAACATGGCCAGGCTGCAAATTCTCCAAACTTTTACACTCTGCTTCCTTTTTAAATATAAGTTCCAGTTTCTTGTCATGTCTTTGCTCACAAATATGAGCACAGACTACCAGAAGCAGCCAGGCCACGTCTTGAACGCTTTGCTGCTTAGAAATTTCTTCTGCCAGATACCCTAAATCTTCGCTCTCAAGTTCAAAGTTCCACAGATTCCTAGGGCAGGGGCACAATGTCTCCAACCACAATGTCCTAACAAAAGTGACCTTCACTCCAGGTCCCAATAAGTCCCTCATCTCCATCTGAGACCTCCTCAGCCTGGACTTCATTGTCCATATCACTATCAGTATTTTGGTCAAAACAATTTAACAAATCTCTAAGAAATTCCAAACTTCCCCTCATCTTCCTATCTTCGGAGCCCTCCACACTCTTCCAACCTCTGTCTATTTCCCAGTTCCACTGCTGTTTCCACATTTTCAGGTATCTTTCTAGCAATGCCTCACTCCTCTTTACCAATTTTCTGTATTATTCTGTTCTCACACTGCTATAAAGAAATACCCAAGACTTGTTAATTTATGAAGAAAAGAGGTTGAATTGGCTCATAGTTCCACAGGCTGTTCAGGAAGCATAGCGGCATCTGATTCTGGGAAGGCCTGAGGGAGCTTTTACTCATGGAATAATGCAAAGTGGGAGCAAGCATCTACATAGCAGGAGTAGACCAAGGCAAGCGGGTGGTGTGGAGAGGTGCTACACACTTTTAAGCAACCAGATTTCAGAAGAACTCACTATCATGAGAACAGCACTAAGAAGATGGTGCTGAATTAGTCATGAAAGATCCACCCCCATGATCCAATCACGTCCCACCAGGCCCCACCTCCAACATTGAGGATTACAATAGAACACGAAATTTGGGTGGGGCACAAATGGAAACCATATTAACCCCTTTATCATTGTATAGTGACTTTATTTGTCTCATAGTTTTTGTATCAAAATCAATACTCCTTCTCTTTTTCCTGGTTTCCATTGGCATGGAATAACTCTTTCCAACTCTTTACTTTCAGCCTATGTGTGTCTTTATAGTTTAAGTGTGTTTCTTGTAGGCAACAGATCAATGGGTCTTGTTTTCTCCATTCATTCAGCCAGTCTATGTCTTTTGATTGGAGAGTTTAGTCCATATTGCCATTCAATGTATTATCGATAAGTAAAGACTTACTCCTGCCTTGTTATTTATTTGTTTTCTGGTTGTTTTGTGGTCTTCTTCTTTCTTTTCTTCCTGTCTTCCTTTAGGGAAGGTAGTTTGCTCTGGTGATATGATTTAGGTTTTTGCTTTTTATTTTTTATGTATCCAGTGTATGTTTTTAGGTTTGAGGTTACCATAAGGATTACAAATACTATTTTGTAACCCATTATTTTAACCTGGTAACACTGTTTGCATTAACAAACAAAAAACTAATAAAAACTCTACATCTTAACTTCATCCCCCCACTTTTTAACTTTTTGTTGTTTCTAATTTTATCTTATTTTTCTGACTGGTCTTGAAAAGTTGTAGTTACTATTTTTGATTGGTTTATCATTTATTCTTTCTACTTACACACCACAGTTACAATGTTATCACACTTTGGGTTTTTCTGTGTACTTACTCTTAACAGTGAGTTTTTTACCTTTAGATGATTCTTTGTTGCTCATTAATGTCTGTTTCTTTCTGACCAAAGTACTCCCTTAAGCGTTTCTTATGGGACCAGTCTAGTGTTGATGAAATCCCTCAGCTTTTGTTTGTCTGGGGAAGTCTTTGTTTATTCTTCATGTTTGAAGGATATTTTTGCTGGATATACTATTCTAGGGTAAAAGGTTTTTTCCCTTCAGCACTTTAACATATGTCATGTCACTCTCTCCTGGCTTGTAAGGTTTCCACTGAAAAATATACTGCCAGATGTATTGGAGCTCCATTGTATGTTATCTGTTTCTTTTCTCTTGCTGCTTTTAGGATCCTTTCTTTACCCTTGTCCTGTGGGAGTTTGATTATTAAATGCCTTGAGGTAATCTTTGGGTTAAATTGGCCTGGTGTTCTATAACCTTCTTGTACTTGGATATAAATATCTTTCTGTAGGTTTAGGAAGTTCTATGTTATTATCCCTTTCAACAAACTTTCTATTCCTATCTCTTTCTCTATCTCTTCTTTAAGGCCAATAACTCCTAGATTTGCCCTTAAGAAGTTATTTTCTAGATCCTGTGGGCATGCATCATTGTTTTTTATTTTTTGTCTCCTCTGAATGTGTATTTTTCTTTCTTTCTTTTTTTTTTTTTTTTTTTTTTTTTTGAGATGGAGTCTTGCTCCTTCACCAGGCTAGAGTGCAATGGTGTGATCTCGGCTCACTGCAACCTCTGCCTCCTGGGTTCAAGCAATTCTCCTGCCTTGGCCTCCCAAGTAGCTGGGATTACAGGCATGAGCCACCACACCTGGCTAATTTTGTATTTTTAGTAGAGATGGGGTCTCTCCATGTTGGTCAGGCTGGTCTCAAACTGCCGACCTCAGGTGATCCGCCTACCTCAGCCTCCCAAAGTGCTGGGATTACAGTCGTGAGGTGAGCCACTGTGCCCAGCTTTGTTACTGTTAATAGTGCTGCAATGAACATACACTTGCATGTGTCTTTATGGTGGAATGATTTATATTCCTTTAGGTAAATATCCAGTAATGGGATTGGTGAGTCAAATGGTAGTTCTGTTTTTAGCTCTCTGAGGAATCACCACACTGCTGTCCACAGTGATTGAACTAATTTACACTCCTAACAAGTGTATAAGTTCCTTTTCTCCATAACCTCACCAACATCTATTATTTTTTTACTTTTTTGTAGCCATCCTGACTGGCAGATGATATCTCATCATGGTTTTGATTTTGCATTTCTCTAATGATCAGTGATAATTGAGGTTTTCTTTAACATGCTAGTTGGCTGTATGTATGTCTTTTTTGAAAAGTGTCTGTTCATGTCCTTTGCCCATTTTTTAATGGAGTGGGTTTTTTTTTTCCTGTAACTGTGTTTAAATTCCTTATAGATGCTAGATATTAGCCCCTTGTCAGATGCATAGTTTGCAAAAATTTTCTGTCATTTGGTAGATTGTCTGCCCTGTTGTTTATTTTGCTATGAAAAAGCTCTTAAATCCAATTTGTCCATTTTTGCTTTTGTTACAATTGCTTTTGGTGTCTTCATCATGAAATCTTTGCCAGTTCCTATGTCCAGAATGGTATTGCCTAAGTTATCTTCAGGATTTTTATAATTTTGGGTTTTAACTCTTTAAACCATCTTAATTTTTGTACATAGTAAAAGGGGTCCAGTTACGATCTTCTGCATATGGCCAGCCAGTTATCCCAGCACCATTTATTGAATAGGGAGACCTTTCCCCATTGCTTGTTTTTGTCAACTTTGTTGAAGATCAGATGGCTGTAGGTTTGTGGCCTTATTTTTGGGCTCTCTATTCTGTCCCACTGGTCTGTGTGTCTGCTTTTGTACCAGTACCATGCTGTTTTGGTCATGGTAGCCCTGTAGTTTGAAGTTAGGTAATGTGATGCCTCCACCTTTGTTCTTTTTGTTTAGGATTGCCTTGACTACTCAGGCTTTTTGGTTCCATATGAATTTTAAGTTTTTTCTAGTTCTGTGAAAAATGTAATTGTTTGATAGGAATAGCATTGAATCTATAAATTGCTTTGGGTAGTATGGCCACTTTAATGATATTGATTCTTCCTAGCCATGAGCATGGAAAGTTTTTCCATTTGTTTGTGTCATCTCTGATTTCTTTGAGCAGCGTTTGTGATTCTCATTGTAGAGATCCTTTACTTCCTTGGTTAGCTGCATTCCTGGGTATTTTATTCTTTTTTGTGGCAATTATGAATGGGATTGTGCTCCTGATTTGGCTCTTGGCTTGGCGACTGTGTATAGGAATGTTAGTGATTTTTGTACACTGATTTTGTCTCCTGAAACTTTGCTGAAATTATCAGATGAAGGACCTTTTGGGCTGAGGCTATGGGGTTTTCTAGATATAGAATCATACTGTCTGCAAACAAGGATAGTTTGACTTCCTCTCTTCCTATTTGGATGCCCTTTATTATTTCTGTTGCCTGACTGCTGTGATCAGGACTTTCAACACTATATTGAATAGGAGTGGTGAGAAAGGGCTTCCTTATCCTGTGCCACTTTTCAAGGGGAATGCCTGCAGCTTTTGCCCATTCAGTATGATGTTGGCTGTGGGTTTGTTATAGTTGGCTCTTATTATTCTGAGTTATGTTCCTTCAACACAAGATGGGAAGCTCCCCAAATCCACATCTCTTGCTTGTGGGGGAGCCATCCTCAGCACATCGGCCCTACCCAACCCACAGTAGATACCAACATCCCTATGATGGATGAGCTATGGTGGAGTCCCCCCAACCCCAGAGTGAGAATTGGCCCCCGATGGGGACTTAGGGAGGGCTGAGTTGGCGAGCTGTGGGAGGTCATCATCAGTGGGGCTCAAGCTCTCCCCTCCAAGCTCCAAGGATCTCTGCAGCCACAGGACGCATTCCTTCTCCACTTAGATCTTGTCTGTGAAGTATCCAATTGCCTTCCATTTCTACTTGGTGTAGAATGTAGGGGGCAATGAATGAAACTGCCGCATATTGCAGAGGGTCCATGTCCAAGCACAGGCAGTTGTAACGGTAGTAGCCACACCACCAGTACCTGTGGTTCCTGCTAGCCCCTCCACTGCCCAGGCCAGACAGTGTCAGTCTGGCAGATGTACCCCCAAGGACTCTCCCTCATGGTGTCTGCTCCTCTGCCCCACCCTTCTGATCTCACAGCTTCTCCTTAGGTGACATTCACACTTTAGACAAAGTTGTTTGGTCCCCTGATTATGATCTCCTTTACTTGCTGTCAGCTCTGCCTGGGAAGAGGTCTATGCTCAGTTCCAGGATACATGGAAAAGGCAGTGGATGGGCAGGTACAGTCTTGGGCTTTACCATGAACTGTGTTGTTTAGTCAAGTTGTTTAACCTCCACTCTGTTCATCTTGTATATATGGGTGGGGGGTGAAGACTATGAGCCCACAGGTCTGCTTCTGTGCTCACTGTAACAGATTCCTAAGTGCAAGTCCCTGAAACAGGATCACAGTACACAACATTAACATAAGAGGGTACATTATGCACGGTACAGCTTTCCTTGAGGTTCTAGAGAATGCAAACCTTAACATTAACAAGTACCAAACCTCTGCTGAAAAATCCTCTAATGAATTTCAAGGTTAAATATAAATAAACTGTGGGATTGTTCTGCCTAGAGTAGCCACACCCTCCTCGGGGGTCCCACAGTCCACAGGCTCAAACTCCTCATCCAACAGTTACATGCTCCACCAACTTTCAGACTGTCTCTCCCAGTAGGCAGTGAGCCCCTAGAAGGCAGGGACTATGTAACGGTGACCTGGCAACTTTGTTGAACAGCTGCTCCTATCAGGATCAGTTCGTAAAAAGCCAAGCACTGCTCAGCCTTTTATTATGCCTCTTACTGATTTATGCCTTCATTTGGCATTCAAGAACTTGCTCCAATAGTGCCAAACAGTTGGGAGATATTTACTACAAATTATTAAAACTGCAGTCTATCCTCTGAACCAACTGTGCTCAATCCCACCACACATCTTGCTGCTCCCTAACTTCTAGCTGCTTGGAAAGTCTCATTTTCTTCATCTACTCAAATCATACACATCCCTCGGGTTCCATGCAAAGTTCCATCTCATTCATGAAACTCCCTGACCACTGGGATATCTGGCCCATGAACTTGAGCAAACTATTTCTTCTGCATCTCATTTGGCATTTGAGGAGGGACTGTTCTCTGACGTCTCCTGGTATGCCTCACAGAGTCAGTAAAGTGTTTCCAGACCTATAGGTACCACCCCATATTGTTAGCTCTTTGAGGATACACACTAGGTTATACTTTTCTGGTTCTCCACCCTAAGCACCCAAAAGGCAGATGGTAGGTACATCTCAGCTCCAAAGAGACTGCTGAAGACTGAATGAATTAATGACACACAGAGAAACTGACCCTGGTGACCAGCCTGGGCCAGTTCACTCACGTGACTGTGGGGGCTGGCAAGTACATAATTTTCAGGTTAGACTGGCAGGCTGGAGACCCAGGGAAGAGCTGACACTGCAGCCTGAGGCCACAGGTAGCAGTGTTGCTGGGTTGCTGCATTCTTTACTGTGAGATTTAGAAAAACTGTCATTATCATTATCCTAATATTGTCAAAACTTGTAGGCAGCCTATTTGCTGTTTTTGGTTCTTATTGTTAGTGTGTTGTTATTCCTGTGGAAATCATAATTGTGCAGCGTTTTGATATCTATGAATTCAAAAACTTAAACAGAATATTAAGAACAAACTAATAATAAAGTGACAAACTTTGGATACCTTTTTAACATTGTTTCTAAATATTGTAAACATGAATCTTCTGGACCTCAGAGGGAACAAGGAAGCAATGATATTAATAATGAATCATAATCTGGAACACCTGATATTGTACACAAACTATAACAACTGGAAATGCCTTTGCAACTGCATAAGAGTTAGTTCAAAGAAACAATAATTTGCATTTCTAAAATTTAAAAAATCCCCAATAACTTTTGACAAAACTCACAGATGGCTTATTATTGCTAGCAATGTAAATATTGGATGCAAATCATGCTCAAAAGCTGTGTGAATAGCCAAAAGTGCTAAGCACATTCTGTCAGTGCTCATAATTCAAGGAAAACATTAGCAAAATTCAAAGAAAAAAACTTGAAAAATATTAAGAACAGCTTTGTACAATAAAGTATTTGAAAAAAGCAACAAACAGTGGAAAAATGCCATCAGATGTTAGTATACAGTTTACCCAAATGTGTAATTAAATAGAGCATTTTACATCATTAAGTAGAGGCTTTTAAACAATTATACATAGTGCATATCATTGCAGTATAGATTAATGGTTCTGCTGGTTGCAAACCATATTCTACATAAGACAACTTTTGGAAAATTTATTAATCCAAGCAATAAATCATTATCAGTGAAGTGTCAACCATTTCACAAAATGTATTTAAGTTTTAGTTCCTTAAATACTAAATGTAAGACTTACAGGAAAATGGGTTTTTGTTGATCTGAGGAACTCAAACATACCAACCTTACTCATCAGTGCCCAAGAAAAATAGCTTTAATGTGAGACGGTTGTATGATGGTACAGATAGTGCCAGTATATGCAACGAAGAAAGTTCAGGTTTCACCAAAATTTTGCAAAATTTCGGGGTTTAAAAATCTGTTTATCGCAGAAGTCACATTGACTGTCTCACATTTACTCTTCCTCGTGTCCTGATCCTGCTGACTTGTCCACATGGGCAACTACGAAGCTGGCACAACTATACTTCTTTGTTCACTTTGGTCACCACCATTTGTTCTGCTGTTGGGCTGCCCATGTGTAGGCAGGTTTCACGAAAATATCAGGTTCCCTAAGCAACATGAACTGGGAGTCTCAGAGAGGGATTTCCCTAGTCACTGACTTACTGAGGGATTGACTCAAGATTCCCAGGCACTAGACAGAAGCAGTCGGGAAAGGAATCATTTCCTGATTGCCTGTGGGGGAAAAAGAAACTTTTTTGGATAGAACAGTCTGGATGGACTCTAACACAGTAAAAAGTGAAGGCAGTGCATTCTTCAGAAGGGCGGCAGATGGGGCACCACGCATCCCCACAGAGGGGCTGTCCTGCGGTCCTTGCAGGAGTTGCCAGGCTCCCAAAATCTCCTCCTGCTGCTATCCCCACCCTGCCTGAAAAGAGGTGAGGAGGATGATGGGGAGGGAGTCAAACAGACTTGGGATAGGAGGAGTGAGTGCCCTGGTAAAACCAATTACTTAGCTAAACCTTTGGCTAAAACTCTAGGAAGGGAGGCACAAAATGGGAAAGTGTGGGTTTTTTTTTTTGCTTCTCTAGGTGAAGGTTTAAATTAACTTCAGCATGGGTAAAACTATTCTTTCCTTCTTTTTTCTCTCCCAGAGTTCTCACCACCTCCTCCCAGGCTAAATCCTTCATGTTGCAGGAGACAGAGAATCCCAGGTGAGACCCGGACTTTTTCTCCTCCCTCCCTTCCTTTTTTCACCGTGTTCAGGATAAATTATCTTGGTTTTGTTTCTGGAGGGAAAAGGGCAGAGAGGCCCTGACTTGAATCTCAATCACATTTCTGCACACAGTACCTGAGGAGACAGAATAGCAGAGGGGTGGGAACAATTAACATTGCTTTATGGGCTTTAGAATGGAGAAAAAATAATTCCCACTCTTTTTTCTTTTACCCAAATCCAACTTCAGTTTTCTCTCCAACTCTCTAAAACCACCACCAATACTATTATCACATCATGTGTAGCTACTTGGGGGGTGGTGAAAGGCTGAGTACGCATCATGTTCAGGTAGTAGGGTGTTAAACGAAATAGTTCCTCACAGCAATGCCCAAAGTCATCCTTGGTCACAATAAAGGAGAATAAAGGGAAAAAAGTATGATTATTGTATTAGATTGTGGGGTTGCAGGTGAGTTTTTTTTTTCCATTTTAAAAATTATTTTGTGGTTATAATGATGATGTCAATTTTTAAAAAAATAAAAGAATGGAAAAAGTTGACTTGGGATTTCATAATGCAAAGAAAAAAGCAAAACAAAAAAGAACAACAAAAAGCAAACAAAACAGATTTACATGTAATACCTAATTTAATCCCTTCATAACTCTGTGAAGTGGGTCAGTATTGACGGGTCAGCTTAACTAACAGATATTAGGAATGAGATCCAAAACAACCAGCCATGGTCGCACAGCTTGTGGAACCCAGGTTCTTTGACACTCAGCCCAGTGTTCCACCTGCAATGGCAACCTAAGTGAGGAGGGGGCCTCAGAGATGAGGTGGTCGACCCTTACAATGTTGATATTCTCCATGCTTTCTCAGAGCAAGTGGCTGAATCTCTTTCGTGACAGAGAACTCACCACCTACCAAGGCAGCCCATTTTATTAAGTCTAACTTTTAAAAAAGATACTTATGATGAGCACAATTCTGTCTCTCTCATACTCTATGGAAACGACCAATTTCTGACCTCTATGTCACAAAGAGTAAGTTTAGTTCTTCACATAATAGCCCTCCAAATATTTGAAATCTCTAGTCATAGCCAGATATATTGCATCAAAATAAATGGCTATTTTCTGCAGGAGGGTTGGTCCAAATGTCCTAGCCTACCATTACCTGAAGCAAGAAGTCCTCCCTATTTTTTGAAGAACTATATTTATTTGCTCAAATCATATTTATTAGGGGCCTGCTATCTGCCAGGCAGTGGGGATGCAGCGATACACAGGTCAAATAGGCATTTGGAGTGTGGAAGTGGGTGCCCACCCTAGTCGGGGAGCATCTCAGGATGTCCTCCTCAAGGAGATGACATGTCAACTGAGCCCAGAGGACAACAGGAGTTGACAGGGAAGAGTATTTCCTAGAGCGAGAAACTGGAGGCAGCTGTAGTGAGGTGCTGATGGGTTCTGGCCACCACCTGGACCACCTAGATTTGATGTTTCTCCACCCCCACTTAGTTGTGTGACCCTGGACAAGTTCCTCACCCACTACGTGCTTTAGAACCCTCACTGTGAAATGGGAGATGTGATAGGAATGTTGTGAGGATTGTTTGAGTGAATACATGCAAAGGACTTAGGACAAGCCTGGCACATAGTTAATGCTCAATCAATGTTTTCTCTCGCAACTGGAGGGAAACAAGGTAGTGGGCAGGAAGGGGGAGTGCGCAGACAGTTCCTGCTAAGCCTTGTAAGTTACCCATGGCCCAGCACTGTAACCAGAGAAGTGAGGATGAGACTTCCACTTTGAGAAAGGCCTCTCTGGCCGCAGCATGTAAAGGAATGGGAGGGGATTAGAATGTGTGTGCACGGACTAGGTGGGAGCTAACTGCAGGGCCAGCATCTGTGGCACAGATTATCTCTCTTCATCCTGAACCCCTCCCTCTTCCCGTCTCGAATCCTTTTCCCACTCCTGACCACATCCTCCACCTGTCAGAAAGTCACAGTTAAGGAAGAGATTTCCGAGCACACCTTGGACAGAAGTCATGATGATGGGGCCCATGACTGGCAACCTGCTGGGAGAGGTGGCCTGCAGTGTGTCTGGAGTACATGGGGGACCCCGGGAGCATCTTCTGTGTCTGTGGCCCCTGGCAGGCCTGCATCACTTGGTGCTATGCCACTATCAGATCCACCACAGGAGCCATGTGCTATTCATTCCACAAGGAGCCCTTTCAACAGGGAGACATCAGGCCCAACTGGATTCTAGCCACCTTGGTCTCCAGTCTCCTACTCTCAGGCCCATGAGTGACAATTCAGCACAGGAAATTTGGTTCTGTGAGCAGCATCTATTGGCAGGATGACCAGCAATTCTTGTGTGTGGTTTGCAAAGATCTTAACGGAGAACAAATGTTACTTAGTGCTGCAGAAGGAGAACAATGCTAGGTTCCACAAGGTAGTCTGTCCTTTTGCTGTCTTGTCTACACCAGAGAACCTTTGGTTGACTTGCTTTAATATTGGCTTCAGTCCTATTACAAAACAACAACAAATTATTGTATTCTAAACACAGTTCTAAATGCAACAATAGTTTATCTTTTAATCCTGGATTATACAGTTTACAATTACTTGCAAATGCATAGTACCTCACTCCAAAAAACCTCAGGCATCCAGGCATCACAATTTCTCTATCTGCATGACACAGAAACTTCCATGTCACTAGAGGATTTCACAATCCATATATGAATCCCCTGAAGACTTCTTGGTGTGAAGGAAACATCACTGGACACAACACTGAAAATGGCAATAGTCCAGGCATGGTGGTTCATGCCTGTAATCCCAGCACTTTGGGAGGCTTAGGCGGGTAGATCACCTGAGGTCAGGAGTTTGAGACTAGCCTGGCCAACACAGTGAAACCCCGTTTCTACTAAAAATACAAAAATTAGCCAGGTGTGGTGGTGCATGCCTGTAGTCCCAGCTACCAGCGAGGCTGAGGCAGGAGAATCACTTGAATCCCGTAGGCTGAGGTTCTGGTGAGCTGAGATCACGCCACTGCACTCCAGCCTGGGCAACAGAACGAGACTCCGTCTCAAAAAAAAAAAAAAAGGCAACAAAAGCCCTGGATAGATAGGGTTTTTTTAGGTGAGCTATAACATCTGGGCAAATAAAAACACTATGTTATTCCTAGAAAAATTATAGAAATCTAACTTAACCTTGTCAACATGGGGATTCATTATCTTATTTAGCAAACTAAAGGAACAATAATGTAACTGCACCTCAGGTACAACTGGAACCAGGGATTTGAATGCAACTAAGACTTCCCATCTTTTATTTTCTCTTCTCTAGATTAGCTCAATTTTTTGCAACACATTTCCTGTATGAACTATAACTATAGCCATTTCTAGATTAATACCTCTTGTCAGCAAAGCAAGACAGAGGTATTCTCTGGTCATGAAGAAAATTCCAGAAAAGAGCTCTGAATCAAAGGCCAAAATCCTGGCATATCTGGTGCTGTGCAGAGCTGAGAGACTGGCTGAAGAGTGTGCCAGCAGTAAGCTATCCTAGGCATAGGGCCTGACTAGAAATCAAAGACCCTAATGTAGCAGTATTGCATCATCTATAGCCTAGATTATGCTGCAATGATATACAACTCCCGTATCTCACTGGTATAAACCAAAAAGATTTCTTTTACATGCTACCTGTTCATCAGGAGTTGCTGAGGGGGTCACTTGGAGATCCAGGCTCGCCAAGCAGCCACTGTCTTCAGCACCAGCTAATGCCCTGCTAGTGGGCAAAGAGGGAGCTCTGGAAGAACATAAACCAGCAGTTAAATTCCCAGTCCAGAAGAAATACATATCACCCCTACTAACACCTCATTACAGGGCACAGATGATGACAATAATGACCTCTCAGGCTTAAGGACCCTTCAACTCTGAGAGAGGGTATCTAGTGGTCACCTAGCTACTATCCTGTCTTTCCCTCAGGCAGAAGTGGGTGTGGTTTCCAACACCCCCAGCTGTGTCCCGGTCCGTGACAACAAAATCTTTGTAATCTAAAGTTTGAAGCATTTCAGAGGTCAGAAGGGTGTTTGCTGTTATGACTCTTGCTCTCACTTCTACCTGACAAGAGAGAAGAATTTGTATAGACTGTTAGACATGTTACTATTTTTTGAAAGCACTAGGTATTTGGGACAAGGTCAACATGTTTCCCTATCAGAAATCACTCATAGATATGTTCTTTGAGGTCAGGAATTCTATGAAATAAAAATAAAGAAAATTATTGAGCCTCTCTTGGATGCCAGCACCATGCTCAGTGCTTTCATTTTTTTCAGTATACTCACATTACTGATTATCCTTCATTTTACTTATGATCAAAGCAAGAGTTGAAGGAATGTCCTTGGTTCAAGGCTACACCCTAGGAGACACAGTCAGAATTTAAATCCAGCTTTCTTTCATTTGAAAGACTGTGCTCTGTGCTGGACCACACTGTACAGTTTTTAAAGTGATCTAACAACGACAGCATCCATCAGTGAACTCTGAGTCTACCAAACAGAAATTGCTCTTAATGGGTTCATCTAATGGCAGGGCCGGCTCAAGGCAAAATTTTTTGCCCCCATCCCTCTTTTTCATTCGACACGATTTTGCTGTATCATCCAGGCTGGACTGCAGTGGCGTGGTCACAGCTCACTGCAGCCTCAAACTCCTGGCTCAAATGATCCTCCCTTCTTATCTTCCTGAGTAGCTGGGACTATGGGCGCATGCCACCATACCTGCTAATGTTTAAAATTTTTGTAAAGATGGGGTCTCACTATGTTCCCTAAGATGGTCTCAAATTCCTGGCCTCAAGCAATCCTCCTGCCGCAAATCTCCTGAAGTGCTGGGATTATAGGTAGAAGCCACAATGCCCAGTCCCCTTCTCCCTGATTAAAAATATATTTTTTTATTTTTTTTCACTATTCAACTTCCATTTTAGGTTCAAGGGGTACATGTGTAGGTTCGTTATATGGGTAAATTACAATGTTGTGGGGGTTGTGTATACAGATAATTTTGTCGCCCAGGTAATCAGCATAATACCCAAAAGGTAGTTTTTAAGTCTTCACCCTCCTTTCACCCTCCACCCTCAAGTAGGTCCTGGTGTCTGTTGCTCCCTTGTGTCCATGTGTACTCGATGTTTAGCTCCCATTTAAAAGTGACAACATACAGTATTTGGTTTTCTGTTCCTGCATTAATTGTCTTAAGGAATGGCCTCCAGCTCCATCCATGCTGCTGCAAAGGACATTATGTCATTCTTCGTGGTTGTGTAGTATTCTATTCCACGGTGTATATGTACATTTTCTTTTTTTTTTTTTTTTTTGAGACAGAGTCTCGCCCTGTCACCTAGGCTGGAGTGCAATGGCGCGATCTCGGCTCACTGCAACCTCTGCTTCCCAGGTTCAAACGATTCTCCTGCCTTGAGTAGCTGGGATTACAGGCACCTGCCACCATGTCCAGCTAATTTTTGTATTTTTAGTAGAGACAAGGTTTCACCATGTTGGCCAGGCTGGTCTCAAACTCCTGACCTCGCCGAACTCCACCCGAATCGGTCTCCCAAAGTGCTAGGATTACAGGCGTGAGCCACCGAACCTGGGCATCTAGGTTGATTCCGTATCTTTGCCATTGCGAATAGTGCCGCAGTGAACATACATGTGCGTGTGTCTTTAGGTAGAACTATTTATATTCCTTTGGGGATATACCCAGTAAAGGGATTGCTGGGTTAAACGGTAGTTTTAAGTTCTCTGAGAAATTTCCAGACTGCTTTCCACAATGGCTGAACTAATTTACATTCCCATTTGCAGTGTATAAGCATTCTCTTTTTTCTGCAACCTCATCAGCATCAGTTAGTTTTTGACTTTTTTAATAATAGCCTTTCTGACTGGTGTAAGATGGTATCTCATTGTGGTTTTGATTTGCATTCCCCTAATTAGGGATATTAAGCATTTTTTTTCTTATGTTTCTTTTGAAAAGTGTTCATGTCCTTTGCCCATTTTTTAATGGGGTTCTTTTTTGCTTACTAAGTTCCTTATAGATTCTGGTTATTAAACCTTTGTCAGATGCACAGTTTGCAGATGTTTTCTCCCATTCTGTAGGCTGTTTACTCTGTTGACAGTTCCATTTTCTGTGCAGGAGTTCTTTAGTTTAATTAAGGCTTATTTGGCAATTTTTGGTTTTGTTGCAGTTGCTTTTGGAGTCTTCATCATGAAGTCTTTGCCAGGGCTGATGCTCAAAATGGTATTTCCTAGGTTTTCTTCTAGTATTTTCATAGTTTTAGGTTTTACATTTAAGTCTTTAATCCACTTTGAGTTGATTTTTATATATGGCGAAAGATAGGGGTTCAGTGTCATTCTTCTGCCTATGGCTATCCAGTTATCCCAGCACCATTTATTGAATAGGGAGTTCTTTCCCCATTGCTTGTTATTGTCAATTTTGTCAAAGATCAGATGGTTTTAGGTATGTGGCTTTATTTCTGAGTTCTCTAATCTGCTCCATTAGTCTATGTGTCTGTTTTTGTACCAGTGCCATGCTGTCTTAGTTACTGTAACCTCATAATTTGAAGACAGGTAGTGTGATGCCTCCAGCTTTGTTCTTTTTGCTTAGGATTGCTTTGGCTATTTGGGCTCCTTCTTGGTTCCATATGAATTTTTGAATTTTTTTTCCTAACTCTGTGAAAAATGTCATTGGTAGTTTGACACTGAATCTGTAAATTGCTTTGACTAGTATGGCAGTTTTAACAACAATATTAATTCTTCCTATCCAGGAGCATGGAATGTTTTCCCATTGGTGTAATCTGATTTCTTTGGGCAGTGTCTTGTAAAATTCTCATTGCAGAGATTGTTTACCTCTTTGGCTAGCTGTATTCCTAGGTATTTTATTCTTCTTGAGGCTACTGTGAATGAAACTGCATTCTTCACTTGGTTCTCGGTTTAGATGTTATTGGTGTATAGAAATGCTACTGATTTTTGTAAACTTATTTTGTATCCTGAAACTCTGCTGAAGTTCTTTTTCAGATCTAGAAGCCCTCAGGAAGAGACCATGGAGTTTTCTAGGTATAGAATCATTATCTATGAAGAGAGATAATTTGACTTCCTCTCTTCCTATTTGGATGCCTTTTATTTCTTTCTCTCACTTGACTGCTCCAAATAGAACTTCCAGTACTATGTTGAATAGGAGTAGTGAGAGTGGGCATCCTTGTCTTGTTCCAGTTCCTAAAGAGAATACTTCTAGCTTTTGCCAATTCAGTATTATGTTGGCTTTGGGTTTGTCAGAGATAGCTTTTATTATTTTGAGGACTATAACTTCAAACCTAGTTTGTTGAGGGTTTTTAACATGAATGAATGTTTAATTTTACCAAAAGCCTTTTCTGCATCTATTAAGGTATCATGTGGTTTTTGTTTTTAGTTCCCTTTATGTGATGAATCACATTTATTGATTTGGGTAAGTTGAGCCAACTCTGCACTCCAGGGATAAAGCCTACTTGATCACAATGGATTAGCTTTTTGGTGTGTTGCTGGATTTCATTTGGTAGTATTTTGTGGAGGATTTTTGCGTATATGTTCATCAGGGATATTGGCCTGAAGTTCTTTTTTTCTGTTGTGTCTCTGCCAGGTTCTGGTATCAGAATGATGCTGGTCTCACAGACTGAGTTAGGGAGGTGTCCCTCTTTCTCAATTTTTTGGAATAGTTTCGGTAGGAATGATACCAGTTCTTCTTTATATGTCTGGTAGAATTTGGCTGTGAATCCATCTGGTCCAGGACTTTTTCTGGTTAGTAGGCTTTTTATTACTGATTCAATTTTGGAACTTGTTATTGGTCTGTTTGGGGTTTCAATTTCTGGTTCAATCTTGGGAGGTTGTATGTTCCCAGGAATTTATCCATTCTTCTAGGTTTTCTAGTTTGTGTGCAGAGGTGTTCATAATAGTCTCCAAGCGGTTTTTGTATTTTTGTGTGGTCAGTGACAACGTCCCCTTTGTCATTCCTGATTGTGTTTATTTAGATTATCTCCCCCCTCCTTTTTTTATTAGTCTAGTTAGTGCCTATCAACCTTATTTATTCTTTCAAAGAACCAACTTTTGCTTTCTTTGATTTTTTGTACGGTTTTTCTCATCTCCATTTTGTTCAGTTCAGCTCTGATTTTGGGTATTCTCTTCTGCTAGCTTTGGGGTTGGTTTGCTCTTGTTTATTTAGTTCCTCTAGATGTGATGTTAGGTTGAGATCTATCTTTTTGATGTGGGCATTTAGCACTATAGTTTTCCCTTAACACTGCTTTAGCTGTGTCCCAGATTCTGGTATGTTTTTATCTTTGTTTTCATTAGTTGTAAACAATTTCTTGATTTCTGCCTTAATTTCTCTTTGTTTACCCAAGTCATTCAGGAGTAGATTAATTTCCACTTAATTATATGGTTTTGAGAGATCTTCTTGGTATTTATTTTTATGGCACTGTGGTCCAAGAGTGTGGTTGGTATTTCAGGGTTTTTTTGTTTTTTTGAGATGAGTCTCACTCTGTCAACCAGACTGGAGTGCAATGGCGTGATCTCAGCTCACTGCAACCTCCTCCTCCCAGGTTCAAGCAATTCTCGTGACTCAACCTCCGAAGTAGCTGGGACTACAGGCGCATGCCACCATGCACGGCTAATTTTTATATTTTTTAGAAGAGATGGGTTTTTGCCATGTTGGCCAGGCTGGTCTCAAACTCTTGACCTCAAGTGATTTGCCCACCTCAGCCTTCCAAAGTGTTGGGATTACAGGTGTGAGCCACTACACCTGGCCGGTATTTCAGGTTTCTTGAATTTGTTGAGAATTGCTTTCTGGCCAATAAAGCAATTGTGGTCGATTTTAAGAGTATGTACCATGTGCAGCTGAAAAGAATGTATATTCTGTTTTTGTTGGACAGAGAGTGCTGTTTTTTGTTTTCCATTTGCTTGATAGATCTTTCTCCATCCCTTACTTTGAGGCTATTGGTGTCCCTGCATATGAGATGGGTCTCTTGAAGACATACAGTTGGGTCTTGCTTCTCTGTCCAACTTGCCACTCTCTGCCTATTAATTGAGGCATTTAGCTCATTTACATTCAAGGTTAATATTGATATGTGCAGATTTGATCCTATCATCATGTTGTTATTTGGCTGTTATGTAGACTTCATTGTTTACTTGCTTTATAGTGTCAATGGTCTATGTACTCGAGTATATTTTTGTGATGGCCAGTATTGGTCTGTACATCTCAGGGTGGCTTAAAGCACTAGGAGAAAGCATGCAAAACAGCCCAAGGTGAAGCTCACTTGGCAGCTGAGAGTGAGTTCACACCTTGTACTCTAAAATGAGGAGGTGCTCTTTTCTTCTCACTCTAATTAAAGAAGACTGAGAAGCCCTTCAGCACTTCACTGTGCCCCCTGCTGCCCTGCACCTCCCGGCTACTTTGTGGTAGATTCCTGGCACTTGAACTCTCTACAGGCCCAGGAGAGAACAGCTTTCTTGAGGTCCTAAGGATACCTGAGAATCATTCTCAGAGTTAATGGAATCTTCTATATTTTCTGTGGATTTTGATTATCTACTTTTTTTCTAACTTCTGTGAGATTAGAGAATTGAAAGCCTGTCATATCACTGGAACTCAGTTAAAATGTGGTGTCTTCTCCAATATTGTCCAACTAGAAGATGTGGGAATCCCAACTGATATAAGAACTAAGAAATATGACTACAAACTAAAGGGAAAATAAGAGAAGAACTTAAAGAATATTTGGGAGTTTTAGGGAGGTCATAACTGTAATGAGCTAATGTCATCCATATGTCCAAGGGAAAGTGAATCTGAATTTACAGGGCAACTTCCATGGGCCAGGTTCCTTCACACATAATTTCAAGTCATGCTAAAATGAATGCATCCAAGGAAAATTTTATCATACATAACTTATGATAAGGAAACTTATGCTTAGGAAGATTAATTAGGAGGTTAAGGTCACCAAGCCTCTAGACTGTTTCGCCAGGACCCAACCCAGGTCTGGCTTCTGTTTGGTTTTGGAGTATGTGTTATCCCCACTCCATCATGCTGCCTCTCCAACCTGCAGCCCAGTGCCCAGGGCACAGGGGTCAGGCCAAGATCAGAAGGGACACTAACACCAACAGGCCTGGCGAGGTGGGAAGTACAGGGAAGGGGTGACTCCAGCTTACTCTTCTCTCCCTCCCAGAGGGACCATCAGGGCCATTGGCACTGTTGGGTGATAGAAGTTGTAAATACGGGGTAAGGTACATGGATGACACCATCTCCATATGTGTATGTGATAGAGTGGCAGGCCAGAAGTTAATAGCCACATCCAGGGAGCCAAGGATATAGTTCCCAGTAACGGCGCTTGCGTTCTGCTTTCAGGGCTGATGAAAGAGGATGGAAGTTGTACTCTGTTCCTCTACTTCAATAGAAAGTAAGCTAAAAGGAGAAATTGGGAGACAGAGGTTTACAAAAGGAAATTTATAATGGGGTCATATCAAGATAATTCAAGAGGGAAAATAAGACAAGGTGGCTCCTTCCCTGAATTGGTGACACAACACTAATCACTGTCCCCACAGAGTGGCTGGGCCTGACCCCAACTACAGGAGCTCAGCTGTCTCTACCCTCTGAGGGTAGACAGGAAGCAGTGGTCATGCTACTGCAGCCTAATGACTTGAGATTAGAATTGGCCATTGCCCCACTGCAGGGTGTGTGCCCAGCACACTTTGACAGCTTCCCTCTCTGTTCAGTCTTGAGAAAAAAATAACACTAAATAAGGAAGGTGAAGCTACAGAAAGTCCTGACTATCAAAAAATGTTAACATTCAGGGCGAGGAAAGACTTTAGAAATCATTCCAAATTTCATGAGGGTAAATCAATTGTAAGGGCCATTAAGGTTGGCAAGTGGCAGAACATGGATGCAAACCTAGGGCCCTTCACTCCTCCTCCAGTGCACTTTCCACCATGCCAGGAGGAAGGGCGAAGAGTAAAGGTGCCAGGGGAAGGGCTGAGGCTTGTCTCCTTCCACTTCTTTACCTCACAGAAAATGAAGGATACAAATGGAGCCGAAAATTTAGGCCTCTGGAAGCTACAGGTCTGTTTCAGATGGATCTATTCTTTTTCCTGGGTTCAGTGAAGTTATTTGGCCATAAAGCCCTAAGCCATGTATGATCATAACATTTTAAGAAATAGAAGCCAGGTATTAGAAGGTTCCGTTTTCTCTATAAATAGTTCAAAGTATCTCAATGAAGTTTAGGTATCCAAAAAAAAAATACCCCAACTTTAGGAGCATTAAGTATTATGAGTAATAAAATAAATACTTATAGCAATGGGGGTTTCAGGACAATTTACCTCTTGAACATAAGTAGATATGCTCAAGAAAGCTATCCCAAGGACAGGGTTGCATGCACGAAGAGACGAGACCAAGTTAAGTTCCACAGTCAAAACAGACATCCCTATTTCCTTCCTAGTAGCATCTGTACAGCATAAATAGGTATTTGTGAATGAAGTCATGAAAAGATCCTCAAAGGTCTGTGTTAGAGCAACTGTGGTTAAAATACGAGAGTAGGAAAAGTGAGATTCTCCAGTTAAGTTACTAATAATTCAGACTTAAGACTTTTTAGAAAGATGATCATCTTTTATTTCTTTCAGGAGCCATGGCTATCAACCTGGAGAGAGGCCAAAAGACACCTAGGCTTTTTGTAAACCAAAGATTGAGGTATCCACATCAGTCAGCAGTGGCTTCTGCAGCAGCAGCCACAGAAAGTGAGTAATGGAAACAAAAGGATAGAGATATACAGGAAGTCCTCTTTCCTCACCTGGAGAAGAAAGAAGACAGCAAAAAAAATTAGGTCAACCCCACAATCAAGGTAGAGCTGCTCTAAAATCTGAGGTAGCCAATGACCAACACAAACCACCTCACCTTTCTGAGACTCGGCTCTCCTGTAAAGGAGAAACCACACTGACCCTGGATCAAAATCCCCAGACAGTAGACGTGACCTTGGATTTCAAGAAGGAGCAAATTACCTCTGCTAATGCAGATAAAGACGCCACCATTTTTGGTTTTCAGGATTTCACAGGGAAAATAGTCCCATTATTTGGCCTCTATTAGCCAGAGGCCCAGATGACCCTGTGTCCCTGAGATAGGACATGGCTTTCCCATGGCCTCTTATGAGAACCTGCCCAGCAATAAGTGTTTTTGTTGTTGTTGTTGTTGTTTGTTTTTTAGACAGTTTCACTCTTGTTGCCCAGGCTGGAGTGCAATGATGCGATCTCAGCTTACTGCAACCTCCACCTCCTGGGTTCAAGTGTTTCTCCTGTCTTAGCCTCCTGAGTAGCTGGAATTATAGGCAACCCCACCACGCCCAGCTAATTTTGTATTTTTAGTAGAGATGGGGTTTCACCATGTTGGCCAGGCTGGTCTTGAACTCCTGACCTCAGGTGATCTGCCCACCTTTGCCTCCCAAAGTGCTGGGATTTCAGGCGTGAGCCACTGTGCCCGGCCACAATAAGTTTTTAATTACCAGAGTCAGTGGTTCCTGTCATTGATTGAGCTTACTGACTGGACAATGAGAGGGTCATATGTGGCTGTCTCCAGCCATTACATTAAGGTGACACTTGAGCATGACACGAGGTCTGCATTCTCTACAATCAACTGGATCTGTCCCACTGCTTCCCACCAGGAGCAGAAGCATGCTTGTGCCAGTTCCTAAACATCATCATTTCATTTTCAGCCCACAGCCCTCCCCTGCTCAGATTTCCCACCATCTAAGGCAGCAATCCTCAAATGCTAGTGTGCACAAGGATCTAAGGCACTTGCCGAAAATGTAGATTCCTGCACCAACCCCAGAGAACCAGAAGCAATCCCTCTAGGGTAGAGCTTGAGAATTTGCTTTGAAAAAAGATCTTACATGTTTTTGGATAACACTTAAAGATGGTCCTAGAACAGTGCTTCTGGAAATTTTAATACGTAAGCAAATTAAGAGCAGCTTGTTAAAATGCAGACGTTTAAAAACTTGGTGCAGGCCTGAAATTCTGCACTCATATGTTCTCCCAGAGAAGCTAAAGCTGCTGGTCCTTTTGGCCACACTTTGAGTCACCAGAACCCAAAGGATTTCCGGCCTGTATCTGGGCCCAAGAAAGCAAAAGTGTCACAAACACACACAGTTTTAACCTTCCCTGATTCTCTGTGGAGTAGAATCTTCTCCCTTACTTCCAGTCAGACAGGTCCCCATGGATAAGGGGGTACTGCTCTGCCTTGTGTGCCCTCAGTTTCCCTTTATGGAACTCTGTTCTGATCTCAAGCTTCCACTAGACCTGCTATTAGAAGTGCTGAACACTGATTTTCTGTGAGTATAAAGTAGTTAAAAGAAAAAAGAAATATATGTAAGGCTGTAGAGTTTCCATCTGTAGATATCAAGAAATGAGTATGAACTGTTAGGCATTCCCCAAGATTGTTGTTCAAAGATCCTCCCAAGTTTGAGACCTCAAATTCTTTCAGGTGATATTCATATCATTTACTCTTTTTTTTTTTTAAACTTAGAAAGTGAGTTGCAGCAAATTTTCTCCTGAAAGAATTGCAAAGATGAACCGTGGCCTCTTTCTATATTCATAATTTTTGTCTTAGGGTTAAAAAGACTCCCCCAAGGACAGAAAATTGTACCTAATGATACAGCCTAGAGCGCATGTTGTTCCTTTTGTCTACAGTACCTTCTACCTCTGGCTCAAATGCACTCTGGTCACTGATGCACCTCCAGTTCTCACAGCTTAGTAAATTATGGTGTAGTGATCACGTCTATGTCCCTACTTCCCCAACCAAATTTTCTGAGCTATGCCAGGGTGAGGATGTGGCCCTTTTCATCTTGTAATTCCCAAAAGTCTGTGGTGGAGTGCAGAGATGACCACTAAATGAAAGAATCACTCGTACTGGTTGAAACAATACCAATAAATACCTTAGGTTCTGTGGTGAACACAGATCAGTAAATAAATGTTGGGCAATCTTCCAGTCTCTCAGTGTCCCACGGTATATCTGTTCCCCCATAGGGAGCACAGCTAGAGCTCCTTTACCTACGCTGCGGGGACACTGATTTGCATGGGGAGGCCTGGTGCAAGGCCTCTGCTGGGTATGAGCAGCAGTACAAGCCTTTGAAGGCTGTGTGCTGTTCAGAACTTGGAGCTGGTTGGGGGCCTCCGATGCCCTGTGCTGACAAGCTGGCCTGGGGCTTCTCCCCGCTAGAGTCTTCTCTATATCTCAAGGTATGCACATCTCTTCCTGGGCACACAGGCAATGGGCTAGACAAGCATCTCTCTCCTCTAAGGCTTGTCACCAAGCATTCCTTCCTTCCAGGGGGTGGGGTTTGGAAATTCCCACTTAATATAGCCCACCTTCTGTCATTTGACATTTTCTAACACTGGAGTGGTGGTTCCCAATCTCTTCACCATCAAGGAGGCTTAATTTCTTCCCTCTCTATTTTAATACGGTTTTAACTACCAAACAGAATCCTCTAAGTGATCATTTGTTTTCTTATACTGTTCATCAGAGAGATGTTTAAGATCAACATGAAGATGACAAAGTTACATCATTTGCTATTCAATATTGGAAAATACATCTCACCCCATATTGAGATCCTAGTCTGGGCTAGCTGAGTTACGGCGGCTGCTAAAACTCTAGTAATAGCAACAGCTGTCTGCCTTCCATTCTCCTGCTATGGCACACACTTCTTTCCTTCAGAATCACACCCCCGAGATATATGATTCATAACCTTATGGCTAGAAAAAAGAGGACATGATCATTCTACAGGTCCCTTGCTCCCTTGAATTACCTCTCCTGGGCCCATTAAGAACAGGCACATGAAGAAAGAAACCCAGGGTTGTGCCACAATCGCACAAAAATCGGTCCACAGATAACACCTCAAGGAGGTAGGGCCTGCCCACCTGAATCACTGTTGTCTACATAATGCAACTTAACCATCCTGTTCTGCGTTTAGCTATTCAAGACTTTTGTAACCAGTCCCTGTGGTATGGGTTGTTTTCCCAATTGTACCCTGACTGAATCACTGGGTATCATGTCAGAGGAGGGGGACCTATTTAACCTCTTTTCCCTGGTGTCCTGGAGCCCAGGGGCTCCTACGTGGCAATGGGTGCCAGATACCCTTCCTCAGCTAGGATATAGGGGTCCAGATTTCCATAATATCTATAGATTGATTTACTTAAAACTTATTTGTTGTCAAAATACAAATACCCTGGGCTTAGGAAGAAATTAATACTTATCAAGACTATGTCAAATAAAAACAACTACCACTAACTGAAACCACTTAGTTATCAGATATATTATACATATCACTCCATGTAATCCTCCCAACAAAATGATGTCATCTAAGAGATGAGAAACTGGGACCCAGACCAGTGAAGCCCCATGGCATAAGTCACACAGGCAAGAAATGGTAAAGCAAAAATTCACACCTACGTCTTCCTGGGCTTTGCCATAACGCACACTGGCTTCTTCACTGTGGCTATTGCCTGACAGAATGAGACTCAAGTAATTACAAGGATTCATCAGAAGGGAAAAGCTGACATGACCAGAACTAGAACACAGCCCAGGGAATGCAAGTCTGGGTAGATCATGGTACTCGAAGCCCAAGGATCATTTGAAAGAGGTTTAAAAAAATAAAAAAAGGAGTAAAATGCACAAGTGAAATGGAGGTGAAACTTAACTATAGCTTAATTTTTACTTCAAAGACTGCTCAGCTCATTTTGGGAATGTGAGGGGAATTAAGAAGATTCTGGATAGGTTTGTAGGAGAGGCAAGGTGTGTAGGGTATATGTGGGGACAAAGGGAGCAATTGTATCCTAGACTGTATCCAATAATTTTCTGGGACAAAAGAGAGCAAATGTAGACGTGGGGAAGTAGTAGCTTGAGTGGTATCAGGTGCCAGAAAGAAGACCAAGGGAAAAACCTCTGATGACCATGGGGATAGTGTAAATTGAGTAGCAAGAGGAAGGAGGACTGCAGAAGTTCAAGAATGATGAGAACTGAGGAAACGAAGATAAACACAGAGATAAACACAGACAACTTCACTGCAGCGAAAGAGAAGATGGTGTTACACAGGTAAGCAGGATCAAGAAATGGCTTTTTTGTTGTTGCTGTTGTTTGTTTTTTTTTTTTTGATTCGGAGTCTCGCTCTGTAGCCAGGCTGGAGTGCAGTGGCATGATCTCGGTTCACTGCAACCCCCGACTGCCTGGTTCAAGTCTCCTGCCTCAGCCTCCCGAGTAGCTGGGATTACATGCACGCGCCACCATGCCTGGCTAATTTTTGTATTTTTAGTAGAGATGGGGTTTTGCCACCTTGGCTAGGATGGTCTCGATCTCCTGACCTCGTGATCTGCCCGCCTCAGCCTCCCAAAGTGCTGGGATTACAGGCATGAGCTACCGCACCTGGCCTGGCTTTTTTTTTTTTTTTTTTAATGGAGTGTAGCTCTATTGCTCAGGCTGGAGTACAGCGATGCGATCTCGGCTCACTGCAATCTCTGCCTCCCAGGTTCAAGCAATTCTCCTGCCTCAGCCTCCTGAGTAGCTGGGACTACAGGCATACACCACCGCACCAGCTAATTTTTGTATATTTAGTAGAGATGGGGGTTTCGCCATGTTGGCCAGGATGGTATCGAACTCCTGACCTCAGGTGATCCACCCGCCTTGGCTTCCCAAAGTGCTGGGATTACAGACATAAGCCATCGTGCCAGGCCAAGAAATGGCTTTTAAAAATGCTGATTTGAAAGCAAAAGAGAAGGAAGTAGAGGAGAGATTTATGATTTTAAGAAAAAGGAGGAATATGAAGGATCAACTTTGCTCTTTTCACCAGCCAAAGGGCATATTCTAGAAAGATGGTTTTAAACCTTCTCTTCCTGCATTTGTAAGTGTGCAAAGATGCCATGCCTTTATTTCTCTAGAACTGGTTTTTCTTCCTCACAAGTCTCTCATCCATAACCTTAGTCCAGCCCAATGGACAAAACCATGAGGAACCTCAAACACCCTTCCAAAAAGATTTAGATTTTACTCAAGAGGTGAAGGAGAATCATTAAAGATGACTGAGTAGGGGAATACTATAGTCAGAGTTTTTTGTTAGAAATATCACTGAGGCCATACAGGGGAAAGACTGGGAGTGTGGCAAGAGAGTGAGACCAAATGCTCAGATAAAGGTAGGGAGGCAATTGTTATAGTCCAGAACTGAAATAGGACAGTGGAAGTGGAAATGGAGGGAGGGGACAACAAAGACATGTTTAGAGATATCAGAAATTGACCATTAAAATAGGCATACAGGAAGGGAAAATGTATCTCATTAATTAAGAAAGCAATGGCATACTGGATACCAACAGCAAATAGCAAAGAAATGGTTGTGTGGGTGTGTGTGTTTTTTTTTAAGGGAAAAAAATGAGGATAAAGGGAAGAGAAAGTGATGTTACTAACCCTCCATGTAATGATAATCTCCAAATAGCTCTTCCCAGCAGTTCCATACTTAAGGGTCAGGATCTCCATTCAGGGATCTTTCTGTGGTGCTCTAAAGGGGCAGACTGAGGACTTTAAGGGCTATCACTTTCAGGTGGCTTTCTAAGCAGCAGAATTCGTGGGATGAGGAGGACATGCTTGTTCTTTACAGATTCACTGAAGTGAATCTGGGGGCTGATCGATGATAACACTGTGTTGATCCCAGAGATGACAAAGGGGCTGAGTGTGAGATAATGGAGTTCCTGAAACCCCTACGATGAATATGTCCACCCTTCCTTTTCATCAGCTGCTAGTCCCTATCTCATCCTTCTCCTGTCCCAACCCCATTATTCCTAAATCTGAGCTCAGGCTTGCCAGCACCTCTAGGAGTAAATCACAAGACTGAGACCAGAGCAACAAGAAAAGCAGAGACAAATGACTCAACAAGACAGCCACAGGAGGCAGGGCAAGGTGGCTCACGCTTGTAATCCCAGCACTTTGGAAGGCCGAGGCAGGCAGATCACGAGGTCGAGATTGAGACCATCCTGGCCAACGTGGTGAAACCCTGTCTCTACTAAAAATACAAAAATTAGCTGGGCATGGTGGCATGTGCCTGTAGTCCCAGCTACTGGGAGGCTGAGGCAGGAGAATCACTTGAACCTATGATGCGGAGGTTGCAGTGAGCCGAGATCATGCCACTGCACTCCAGCCTGGCGATAGAGCAAGACAATGTCAAAAAAAAAAAAAAAAAAAAAAAAAAGACAGCCAAAGGAAAGGGACTAGAAGAGAGAGGAATGCAAAAGAATAGAAAATCTGGGCCAGGTGTAGTGGCTCATGCCTGTAATCCTAGCACTTTGGAAGGCCGAGGCAGGCAGATTGCCTGAACTCAGGAGTTCGAGACCAGCCCAGGCAACATGGCAAAACCCCATACAAATACAAATACAAAACGTTAGCTGGGCATGTTGGTGCATGCCTATAGTCCTAGCTACTTGGGAGGCTGAGGCATTAGAATTACTTGAACGCGGGAGGCGGCAGAGATTGCAGTGAGCTGAGAATTCGCCACTGCACCACTGCATTCGAGTCTGGGCAACAGAACAAGGCTCTGTCTCAAAAAAAAAAAAAAAAAAAAAAAGAACAGAAAATCAAACTCTAACACCATCACCTGGGTAGTTCCCTCCATTCTCCTATGACTTCCAATAAGTCATTAGCAGATCACCTATCATCTCTTTAATTTCTTCAAAAACAAATAAAATCTCAAACTTGCATTTGGGAAACTGAGAAACTTTCAGGAAACACAGAAACACATCTTCAGGACCTTGGACAGCAGAAAAAGGACCACCCCGCACACACCCCCACCCCACCCCGGCCTCCCCACAACACATGACACCCACGCCAGCAAGACTGCTGAGGAAATGTGACACCTCAACATGCTGATGAGGGAAAGGATAAATAAAGGGCTATATAGTCATCAATGGAGAGTGTTCAGGGAAGGTATGAAGACTCAGGCTACAATAGTCAAGAGGAGCCCTGGGCCCTACAGAATGCCTAGTCCAACTTCCTAATACTCTGAGCCAGAGAAGGACATTCTCTACACCTACATTACAACTTCCCTCTTCAGACATTGATTTTTAAAAGAATATATAGAATAGAATATTGATATTGAGACTTTTTCCAATTCCTTGGGGAAAAATGCATAAAAATATAACTTGCAGTTCACGGATCTAGAAATAGCCTTACAAATGATAAAGAAAATTTCACAAAGGTAAAATATCTCATCAAGGTAGAGTAACACAAGAGCTGTTGACCCAGTATTAGTCCTTGGACATCCTGACTTCTGTGCAGTGTTTTTCTCTTTGTAGTTGGTAAGTGGCTAAAGATCTGGATTCTTCTTCTAGCTCTGCCATACACCAGATGTGTGACCTTTGGCAAATTACTCAATCATGCTGAGCCTTGGGTTCCTTCTTTGAACTGAGCCCCCACCCCCACCCCACACGTCAGGCACTATTAGGGAATGAAAAACAAAACCAATCTCCATGCTAAAGTAGCTCTCCAGTGTAGCACAGTTCAGATATGAAAATATCAATAATCCAACAATACTAGTTAAACATATAAAAGTAGTACAGAGAAAAACATTAATAACCTGACATTTAGAGCAAGATTAGGAGGGCTTCACAATATAAGCAAAGGGAAATCCAGGAAGAAGAAACAGTAAAAGCATCAAGCGGTGCAACAAGACATTAGATTTAGGAAACCATCAATAATTTAGTTTTGATGGATGGCAATGGTGGTGGGGAGAGACATGGGGTAATGAAACCTATCATATACTGATGTTGTGGAAGTCCAATGAGTCACTATAGATAATCATTAGCTACTATTATGCCAACAGCTATCCCTATGAGAAAAAAATTCCTTAATTTAACATTTATAGAAAACCTCTGTTTGCTCCCTATACTAGGGGCAGCTCCTTTTGGTCCCTTCCTAAAGAAATAGAGCCAGTTTGAGAAACAGGAAAATCAAGTTCCATACTTTCCTAGCCTATGAAATACCAGTCAAGAGGTAAAAGTGCTTCCTCTGTCAATATCCTGATTCTTCCACTGAAATGTCACTTAGCAGAGCACATCTTTTACTTGTGCGATTTGAAAACAAGGCTTTGCCTAAAGACCAGGGTATGCAAGGGATCACCTCTGGGACGATCTCATGGCACTGAGCACTCAAGCAAGGTGGTAACATAAGAGTCAGACTTGATAAAAGTCCATTTCCCAGGACCACTTGACAATAAGGGCACAGAAAAGTGCTCTGAGGAATAATCTTCATGCTATTACCATTTTCAACCTCTTGTACTTAATACTAATTTTCTTAGCTTCCTATAATTAGATATGTACATATGAGCTAGTAGCAGCCACAGTCCTACAATCTGACTAGTTCATGCCCAACTGCATGCCTGCATCAGGGACATCTGGCTATTGTAGTGTCATGGAAACTCTCCTCTCTGGTGAAGAGTATCTAGAGACACCCATGAGTTTTATTATCTATACCCTGTACTGGTTTGAACAGTGTCCCCCAAACTCATGTCCACCCAGAACCTCAGAATGTAATCTTATTTGGAAATAGGGTCTTTGAAAATATAATCAAGTTAAGATGAGGTCATACTGAATTAAGGGTGGACCCTTAATTCAATGACTAGTTTCCTTGTAAGAGGGAAACTTGGATGCAAAGAGACCCACCCATAGAGAATGTGATGTGATGATGGAGGGAGAGATTGTAGTGACAAGCCTACAAGCCAAAGAATGCCAAAGATTGCCGGCAAATGCCAAAAGCTAGGAGAGAGGCATGAAATAGATGCTCCCTTAGACCCTCCAGGAGGAACCAACCTGGCTGACACTTGGATTTCAGACTTCTGGCCTCCAGAATTTTGACCAAATAAATTTCTGTTGTTTTAAACCACCCAGTTTTTGGTAGCTTGTTAAAGCAGCCCTAGGAAATAAATGCATACCACCACCACTCCATCTATTTACCTTCTATGTGCCCAACATTTATCTTCTCAGAGGATGATTATAAACCCTAGTTATTGTATCAACACACGGGAAGGGACACTGAGCAGAACAGCAGGAGAATGAACAATTAGTATCAGATTAGCAACTTCACAGGTAAGGTAAAGGGCATGGGAATTTACTTCTCAAGGCTCTATAATATGAGACTCTTTAAAAACCCTGTGGTGTTTTTATATACATCTACAAGTTCTGTGATATGCTTCCTTTGAAAAAGGCAGAGCCTAATTCCCCTCCCTTTGAGTGTGGTCAGTGCTCGATGACTTGCTTTTAACAAACAGAAGTGACAGATGTGACTTCTGAAATTAGGCCATTAAAAACAATGTAGCTTTCTCCCTGCTCTCGCTCTCAAATCACTTGCTCTGGGGGATGCTAGCAGCCATGCCATGAAGACACTCTAAAAGGAGACTTATGTGACAGGAAACACACCTTCTGCCTCAGGCACACCCAGCACACCCTGCCAGGCACATGAGTGAGCTACCTTGGAAGAGGATCCTCCAGCCCTGCTCACACTTTCAGAACTGCAGCCCCAGCTGATATCGACTGGAACCACATTAGACTCTGAGCCAGAGCCACTCAGCTATGCCATTTCCAGATTCCTAACCACGCAAACTGTGAGACAATACAAGTTTATTGTTTTCAACCATTAATCTTTGGAGAAAAACAGGGCAATAGATAATTAACATAAGAACCTTTAACATAGTCTTCAAGTCCTAGTAAGTACTCTTCCTGCCTACAAGACACCCGCTATGTGATTTCTTCCTGCCTCTAACATACCTCTGAAACAAGTGCAATTCCAAATCCCTTAACCCAAGCTAGAGCATAGAATTCACAGGACCGCTGCCTTTGTCCTCCTCCAGCTCAGAGACTGATGTCTATATCATGAATGCGCTAAGAAAGGGAGAATCACGAGTGGAATCCAGTATCAGTAGCTGGGAGCAAAAGACACTTGCGGTAAGGGTCCTCGGGTTTTTCACTGCAAGACTTTTACCTGTCAAAAAAATTAAAATGGAAAAGAAAATTTAATCATTTGAAACAAACATTCATTGAGTACCTTCAATGGCAAGCATAGTACCAGACAGCAGGCATAAAAATGGTCCCTGCTTAGAAATTCACAGGAATGACAAATAGGTTTTGTAACAGAAGCTACTGCTGTACCATTTATATTCCCTTAGACCAAGATCTGGCTACAGAATTTGTGAATCCCTGTGCAAAACAAAAACGTGGGGTCCCTTGTTCAAGAATTTCAAGAGGACAGCAGCAGACCAGTAAACCAACTCCATAGGTATATGTCCATGAAGCTAGCCCTGCCTCAGGCATTCACCTCTGTGTGAAGGCTACTAACTGCTCTTTCAGTAAGCTTTTTTCTGGCTGAATTGGATGCTTAATTTGCACCAAGGGAAAGCTTAATATCCCTGAAAGCAGCACTCAACCAACGGCAAAATGGCAGTTGGTAGATAAATGCTCCAGCTTCTTCCCCCCTTGGGTGGTATAACTGAGAACTATTCTAGTGTTGAGTTTTCCAGTGGGATTGAGATGCAAGTGTCCACAGTGTAATTGGGAGATTCCTTAAGATTACCTCTAAAATAAACTACTTATACTCACATTCTTATCTCACAGTCTGCTTCTTGGTAAACCCAAACCATGACATCTTTCATCTTTCAAGCCAACTCTAACTTGGAATACAGTAAAATGAAAAAAATCTAAAGCTGCATCTCATTCAACAGGAATGAATGTAATATAGTAACGCTGGCCCTCACCATGGCAAGGAAAGTGGTGGCTCTTTAAATCTGAATGGTGAAAGACCTTGTGTTTGGACTTTGAGACAAAAAGCTGTTAATGAAGGCTGTTAAGCAGCAGTTACAGGGTCTTATTTTAGAGCTACTTCTTTCCGTAATGTACAAGTGGATCAAAGTGTGGCAAGGCTGAAGGTAGGAAAACCAATTAGGAAATGAGAAACTCGCAACTGGTAAATAGGACAGGATATCTACCTGGATGACTACCCACATCATTGACCAAAATGGAGAAAGCACACTAAGTTGTCAAGAATAAATCAATCTGTGTCACATAAGTGGCCACAAGTACTGGGATCACCTACCCATTGAGCCCCTGAATTTAACTAGCAAGGAGTGGGAAATGAAGAAGGCCAAGGGGCCGATGATGAGCACTGGGAACTGATGGCTCTTTTTGATACTAAGACCAAATTAGGAACACGAAGCACTAACAATGCTGCCGCATCCACCACTGATTTTCACCACGGAGTGCTTAGCAAAATCAAAACAAGAACTTGTATCCTAAAGATGATATCACATGGGCCTACTGAACACTAATCTTACGACTTTTTAGGAATTTAGAGATGATCACTCCATGAGACACTGAAATGGTGTCTAGCTTGGCAAGGTAGAAGTCTGTTTCTCTGACATGTGATGGCCTTGTTGTAGGTAGTCTTGGACTAAAATGCTGTCAGCAACATAGACTTCCTCAGTGTTCCTGCTCTGGAACTCCCAAGGCAGTGGTTCCCAAAGTCTGCTGCACACTGGAATCACTTGATTTTTTTAAACAATGATGTCTGGCTTCCACCCTGAGACATTCTCATTTGATTGGTACACATGGTGTGACCTGGGAACCGGGATTTTTAAAAGTTCCCCAGCTAATTCTAATGTGCAGCAAAGTTTGGAGGTGACTACCCTAAGGAACTGGGCCCACCACAGGGTCTGACAGGGCTTACCGCCATACCTGTACTGCACTCCAAACAGTGGGACAAAGCAAGGGGCATGAACCACAAGCTGCACACACCATCTCTGCTCACCCTTACTGGCCAGTCACATGGCCATACCTGGTTGCATAAGATGCTGAAAAATGTAACTTGTATTCAGCCAGCCATGTGCCCAGCTAAAATTTTTTATTCAGGAAGAAGAGGAAGACAGGTACTGGAAGATAACCAGCAATCTCTCCCACCCCCACGCTTGTCTTTTTCAAACAGAAGCAGCCCAATCTGGCAAAAGTACCGATCCTTAGATCTGGAGACAAAACTCAACAACGGGCTTCTCTGACTTTTGTCAGACATCTTGCACATCACATGTAGATAGAGCCAGAGACTGTAACGAATCATTGTCAGCGGGAAGAAGATACAAGCTTGGAGATATGCATCAGAATGACTACCCATGCAAATTCTTGAATTTTCACCTGAGGGAGGTGTTGGAGGAATAAATTGTTCTACGGGACAAAATCAGGTGCAATATCAAAATTCCATGTACCCACTCTAGTTGACTGAATACAGTGAAGCATTTCCAGTACAACAATATAGGAAAACTTCAAATAAAGGGGTATTCTCTAAATTCCACTAAATACATCATCTTTGGCCTGAAACTATCTTGTTAAGCTACTTGTTGAGACTCTTCACTCTAGATATGCTTGGTGCTGCCTTTGCATTCAAGTCCTGTTTTCCAGACGAAATACAGACATAATCCAATTGTAATTTCATCACCATGCATCTTGGATGCTGCAGTTAGCCTAAATGAAATAAAATATACTAATCATGAGTGACAGTGATTTTTTTAATCGTAAAACGTATTATCAAGCTATTTATAAGTAAATTTCACATTACAAATAAGGCATTAACTAAACCACTGCTTTACAGAAAATCACTTAATGACACTCTAGTATTATATACTGTTTACAGATTAAAAACTTAAGTTTAAAAAGGTAATTTGTTTGAAGTCACATAGCTAGTAAACTACTAGTTATAACTTAATTAAGAGTACATTGAATTAAGTTATAACTAGTAAAGGACTAAACTTCTAGACTTGAACTTCTGATGGTCTGACTTCAAAAATATCTTATTTTTAAAATTATAGCACGGAGCACCTTGTATATCATGATATAGCTATATTACTTTGCAGGGTTTTTATGTCTAAGTTATTTTCTCCTCCTGTTCCACTTCCACCCTCCCATTCACTCTCTTCTCTCCTAGTAGACAAAGTCCTTACCTGTCTGCCAGTCCCCAACCCCATGCATGCAATTACCTCATGGAAGGACGGAAGGGGGGCAGGGAAGAGGGGACCTCCTAGCCCACCACCTTCCAACACACCTCTGCAGAGCCCAGGCCCTTTCAGGCACCCCAGTCACAGCCACACAAAGCTTCTAGCTACTGCTCAGCACACACTTACCACCTGGTTTCCCTGTGCTTCTCATTTGTAATTTTGGATTTTAGTCTAGTTCAGACATTCCTTCAATTCACATTAAGCATCCATTTCCTCTCTGATATTCTTGTCTCTGGTCCCTTTTTTGTCTTATCCATTTGGACATCTATTCCTAAGCAAAACATTCTAAATTCTATTTTCATTATCTTACTCCTTAGCCCAGATCACCAGAAGCTCCCTACTATCAACACAAATTGGAAAATCTCTGGTGTGATTATGAGGAGACCATTCAGTATTTTCTTTGACACTATTAAACAACATTGAGTTTGCCTAATGTCAGTACTAAAGGCCAGGTTGTAAAATAGTAAAACCTGCAGTGGTCTCTAAGGCAACTAGCTGTTTATTATAGTAGTTGGGGAAAGGAAGATATAAAAAATCTTCTAAGGAACTTTATTATAGATCTGTTTACTTAAGTAAAGCATATACAGGAAGATGCGGGAATCATAATAAATGCTTATGAAGCAAAACTAAATGCACCTGTACTACTACATCCAGATTCACATACAAACGACAAAGAGCTTATATCCAGACTGCATGTGTCTGTTTTTGCACTGCTATAAAGAAATACCTGAGACTGGGTAGTTCAGTTTATAAAGAAAAGAGGTTTAACTGGCTCACGGTTCTGCAGCCCGTACAGGAAGCACAGTGGCTTCTGCTTCTGAGGAGGCCTCAGGAAATTTACAATCATGGCCGAAGGTGAACAGAAAGCAGGCACATCTTAAATGACAGGAGTAGGAGCAAGAGAGAGAGTGGGGAGGTGCTATACATTTAAACAACCAGATCTCACAAGAACTCACTACCATAAGAACAGCATCCAGGGGGAAATCCACCCCCAGGACTCAATCACCTCCCACCAGGCCCCACTTCCAACATTGGGGATTTTCATTCGACATGAGATTTGGGAAGGGACACAAATCCATATCACAGACTGTATAAAGAACCCCTCCAGTCCAGGCGTAGTGGCTCATGCCTGTAATCCCAGGGCTCTGGGAGGCCAAGGTGGGAAGAGTGCTTGAGGCCAGGAGTTTGAGACCAGCCTGGGCAACACAGTAAGACTCTGTCTCTACAACAGAAAAAAAAAAAAAAAAAAAAGGAATTCCTCCAGGTACGGGGGATGCTGAATATAGAGTCAAGGGTGATTATTCCCCAGCTTTGAGATTTAATGTCTGCCCTCTTAGGCTTTGGACTTGCTTGGGGCTTATTAACCCTTTCTTTTGGCCTACTTTTCCCTTTTCAAATGGGAATGTCTATCCTATGCCCGTCCTGCCGTTGTACCTTAGAAGTAGATAACTTGTTTTGATTTCACAGATGGAATTTTGGACTTCTGAGTTGATGCTGAAACAAGTTAGGACCTTGGGGATATGGGGATTAAGTATAGTTGTATGTGAGAAGAACATGGGTTTGGGGGACCACAGGCAGAATGCAATGGTTTGAATGTTTGTCCCCTCCAAAACTCATGTTGAAACTTAACCTTCAATGTGGCAGTATTGACAGGTGGGGCCTTTAAGAGATGTTCATGGATTAATGGGTTATCATGGGAGTTAGACTAGTGGCTTTATAAGAGGAAAAGAGGCTTCAGCTAGCATGCTCTGCTCCTTTGCCATGTGATGCCCCATACCACCTCAGGATTCTGCAGAGTTCCCATGAGTAAGGAGGCTCTGACCAGATGCATCCCCTTGACCTTGGACTTCCCAGCCTCTGGAACTGTCAGAAATGAATGTTATTTTTTTTCTAAAAAATAAACAAAAAACTCCTTCATAAGAAAAAGATTGATGACTCAATGGAAAAATGTGAGCAGAACAGATGTTTCAGAATAGAGAATACCAAATGGCCTATAAACATAGGACAATATATACTATCTGATTTGTAATCATGGAAAATACTCAGTAAAAATGGCCAAAATTCAAAAGTCTGAAAATACCAAGTACTGAGAGAATGTGAAGCAATAGGGACTCTGCACTGCTTGGTGGAGCTGCTGTGAGCTGATACTAGGGAGAATGAATGGATCTGGGAACAGAGATTAACATGTAAATAGTTCTCTTTGACAGTGAAAGGGTCTGTTCAGGTGCGAGTACACTCTGGGTCTAACAAGGGAGGGCAAGAAAAAACAACAGTTCTCTTTGGTGGGTGTAGATCTTAGGCAGATAAAGAAACTTCAACTTATTTGAGAGAGGAGGTAGGGGATGGGGAGGTCACAGAGAACTCTGGGTTTCTTCAGTTTACTATGCCACAGCACCATATTTTCGGGTATGAGTTCTGAGCCCCACAATGGCCATAAGCACTTAACCACAGACCTAGTGACGTATGTATAAAATATACACTAGATTCCAAAGACTTAGTATACAAAAGAACATAAAATATCTTATTTGTAATTGTTTAAAACTGATTACATGTTAAAATGATAATATTTTAAATATAATGGGTTAGGTTGGTAAAATAAAATATATTATTAAAGTTAATTTTAACTGTTTCTCTTTACCTTTTTTAATGCAGCTATAATTAGAAAACCACAAATCATATAAGCGGCTTGCATTATATTTCCTTTTTTGAGACAGAGTCTTGCTGTCACCCAGTTTGGAGTACAGTCGCGCGATCTGGGCTTACTGCAACCTCTGCCTCCCGGGTTCAAGCGATTCTCCTGCCTCAGCCTCCCAAGTAGCTGGAATGAATTACAGGCATGAGCCACCAGGCCTGGCTAATTTTTTTGTATTTTTAGTAGAGATGAGGTTTTGCCATGTTGGCTAGGCTGGTCTCAAACCCCTGACCTCAAGTGATTAACCTGCCTTGGCCTCCCAAAGTACTGGCATTACAGACGTGAGCCACCGCACCTGGCTCGCTTCCATTATATTTCTATTGGACAGCACTGCTCTGGAGAAAAATTAAGATTCTCCTTTTACAGGATATTTTTAAAAAATATTTAAATGTAAGGAATAAAAAATATTGTAAGAAACCGAAGAAAGCAAATTAGAATCTGGAGGTCAGGATGGATTTCTTAATGAGGACAGGTAGGGGTGTGTGTGTGTGTGTGTGCGTTTGCATGCATGGACACACGGATAGGGCAAGCACACATACATGTGTGCATATGTATGAGACTGATAAAACAAACAATCCAATAGGAAAAATGGGCAAAGGATAGAATTGAAAATGCACAGAAAATCTGAATGGCAAACAGTAACATAATCAAAATTACTAAAGGAAGAGAAAATTAAAAGTAACTAAGACTTCTCTTTATTGGCTGGGAAAAAAATAAAAACATAAATAATATGTATCTTTGCTGGGCAAGTGGGAAGGGAGCAGGATCATACATTGTTGTAAGGAAATGTAAAGGTTAACAGCCTACTGAGAAAGCAATATGGCAACATCCATCAAATTAGAAACATGCCATATCCTTCGACCCAGAAACCTTTCTCACAAAAATCTACCAGCACATGACATGTGTTCAGAAAGTTATTATTGTAATACCGTGTAGCAGAAAAAAAGAGGAAACTAAGTATCAATAGGAAATGAAGTAAATGCCTATCTACTGACAAAAGGTTAAAAACATTACCTGCAAAACAAGACCTGTTATGGAATTATTAAGGATTATAAATAAAAATATCAGCAAATTTTTAAAAATATGAAAATATCAGGAATGGCACCACTGTAGGAAAACAGACTACAGTAGTTCCCTCTTATTCTTGGGAGATATGTTCCAAGATCCCCGGTGGATGTCTGAAACCACTGATAGTACTGAACCCGATTGCTGTTAATAGGAAGTTTTTTTTGGTGATGTTTCCCACCCACAATTTTAATGACTTTTCTATCTTAACTAAGTGCTTAACATGCACTGTGGCTGCAACTTTTCCATTTTGAAGTGTGACAGTAAAACTAGCAAAAATTTCTTTTTCCTCCTTTATAATTTCAGGGATAGAAGATTTGTTCTGACCATGGATCTTAGCAAACTCAGCATTTAAAAAATTTCCTTAAGTCAAGAACTTTTACCTTTTCACTTAAAAGAAGCACTTTATGGCTTCTCTTTTGTATATCCAAGTTGCCATCATTAGTACTCCTGCACTTTGGGGCCACTGTCATGTAAAATAAGGGTTCCATGAATATAAGCACTGTGATACTTAGGCAGTAAAATTGATAAGAAGGCTATTAAGTGACTAATAGGCAGGCTGCATATACACTGTGGATACTGGGCAAAGGGATGATGCAAATCCTGGGGAGGGATGGAGTGGTATGGCATGAGATTTCATCATGTTCATCAGAATGGTGCAGCGCCCAATTTAAAACAGGAATTGTTTAGGTGCCAATTTAAAACTTAGGAATTATTTCTGATATTTTCCACTTAAAATATTCAGACTGTGGTTGCCAAGAGTAATGAAACCTTGAGAAATGAAACCGAGGATAAGGGGAGGACTACTGTATTTCATGATATGCTGGTGTGGATAAAAATAGGTGCAACCTTACTGAAGTTGACCATGAGGTTGATCACCTGTTGACCACTGAATAGGCCCCACAGACAAAAGCTCCTGATCTGAGGAATTTCGAAGGGAACAAAGACCACCTGGTGACCACCAAACGGGCCAGACGGAGGCGAAACTCCTTTTCTGGGAATTCAGAAGTAATTAAACTTTCCTAGTATCTAAAGTCTGGTTCCAGGCCTCTTTCAACTTTTACAAGTAACTAAAATTTATATACATCTCTGAAATGCCATGCCGAAACTCTTTTTACTATCCTAAGCTCCTGCCTTAAGGTCCATAAATACCTCTAAAGAAAAATCCATGGCAGCACACTTAGTCCTCTTGCTGAGGCGCCCCACTGCACTCTTCTGCAGTGTTCTGTTACCGCCTAAGGGGTTCACCTTGCCCCTGCCTAGACAGAGTCAATTCATCGAGACAGGGGAATTGTGATAGAGAAAGAGTACTTCAAGCAGAACCAGCTGTGTGGGAGATCAGTCTCCCCGAGCACGGGGGAGCAGAGTTTTAAAAGATAACTTCGTGGGTGGGGGGAAGCCAGTGAGCCAGAAGTGCTGATTGGTCAGGGATGAAACTGTAGGGAATCAAAACCGTCTTCCTGCACTGAGTCAGTTCCTGGGTGGGGGCCACATAATCAGATGAGCCACTTTGGGCAGCCAAAGTGAGTGGATCACCGGAGGTCGGGAATTGGAAACCAGCCTGGCCAACATTGTAAAACCCTGTCTCTACTAAAAAACAAAAAAAAAAAAAACAAACAGAAAAAGCCAGGCGTGATGGCAGGTGCCTGTAATCCCAGCTACTCGAGAGGCTGAGACAGGAGAATCACTTGAATCCGGGAGGCGGAGGTTGCAGTGAGCCGAGATCGTGCCATTTGCACTCCAGCCTGGGCGACAAGAGCAAGACTCCGTCTCCAAAAAAAAAAAAAAAAAAAAAAAAAAAAGAGCCAGTTTATTGATGTGGGTAGTGCCAGCTGACCCATCAAGTACGGGGTCTGCAAAATACCTCAAGCACTGATCACAGGAGCAGTTTAGGGAGGGTCAGAATCTTGCAGCCTCCAGCTGCATGACTACTAAACCAAAAATTCTAATCCTGTGGCTAATGTTAGTCTAGTCCTCAGACAAGAAGGAAGTCTGCTTTGGGAAAGGGCTGTTACCCTCTTTGTTTATAAACTAAGTTTCTCCCAAAGTTAGTTCAGCCTACGCCCAGGAATGAACAAGAACAGCTTGGAGCTTAGAAACAAGATGGAGTCGGTTACGTTAGATTTCTTTCACTGTCTCAGTCATCATTTTGCAAAGGCTGTTTCAGTTCTTCCTTTCTAATAAACTTTCCTTTTTTCAAACCTATACTGTTTGTAGGTATGGTAAATTCATTTTACCAACCTGCGAGTTGACCACTTCCCGGTGCCAGGGCTCTGACACCTTGCCAGGCACTTACGGAAAGATAATTGTAAAAATCTAATAGAATTTTAAATTTCCATGCCTTCGAACCCAGCAGCCAAACTTCCAGAAATTTATCCTACTAATATAATGGCACGACGATCTAAAGAGATATGTACAAGGATGTTCTCGACAGCCTTTATTTAATAAGATGTGGAAAGAACCTTAAATGTCTACTCAAAATTGTTGAATAAATCACATGTCTACAAAATGAATAATGCAGACTTTAAAAAGAGTGAGGTAGCTCTATGTCACCAAACTGGAACAATAAAAGCCACTATAAAGTATAAAAAGCAAGCTGAAGACTGTCTCTATGTTTGAAATTTTTCATAATAAAAAATGAAAAAAATGGAGGGGGATTAGATATATTGCCTTTTCATGAGTAAGAATCTCACAAGTCTTGGACAATTAAACCCCGCCTTCATCCCTCCCATCTCATCATATCTGACCTCAACCAGTTTCCTACCTACACTGCTTATATGCCCATTTGCTCTATATGACTCAGTCATTTCAAGATTGCTTCTGTTTTCCCTTATTGATATAAAAATATTAAAAATGTATATTTAAAATTTGTTTAATTACATCCCATTATTACAGTTCATTTTTGCATATTCCTGTGTTGAAAATCCTTTGGTATAAATCAACATCAAAACTCGGTGTTATTCCACTTTTCTTGAACTGTAATCCTTTTTAAACAAGGAATATACCTTTTCTTGTTTAGAGAATATACGTACATTCATAAATCTTGGCAACTTTCAAAGGCCATAACAAATTTGTGTTAAGAATTCAGATCCCTTTTATTATTGTGGTAAACAGACAGATGAAATTAAGAGATTATAGCTTGTTTTCACTCTCTCCCAATTACTATCGCTTGAAAAATACCGGATATTTCATTATTATCCTGTCCGGAGTCGGCAAACTACGGTCTACTATCTGTCTTCGTATACGTCAAAAGCTAAGAATGGTTTTTACATTTTTAAATGATTGGGGAGGGAGGGCCAGAATCCAAGGGGAGTATTTAATGACACTTGAAAATGTTATTAAATTCAAATTTTAGCATCCATAATAAAGTTTCATTGGAACACAGCCATGCTCATTTAGCTTTTGTTTGTTTTTGGAGACAGAGTCTCGCTCTGTCGCCCAGGCTGGAGTGCAGTGGCGAGATCTCGGCTCACTGCAACCTCTGCCTCCTGCTTTCAAGCCATTCTCCTGCCTCCGCCTTCCAGGTAGCTGGGATTACAGGTGCGCGCCACACGCCCGGCTAATTTTTGTATTTTTAGTAGAGACAGGGTTTCGCTATGTTGGCCAGGCTGGTCTCAAACTCCTGACCTCAGGTGATCCACCCGCCTCGGCCTCCCAAAGTGATAGGATTACAGGCGTGAGCCACCGCGCCCAGCCTTCATTTAGTACTGTCTAATGATGTTTTCATACTGCAAGGAGAAAGCTGAGTATGGACCACAAGGCCAAAAAGATGTCCTCTCTGGCTCTCTACAGCAAAGATTTGCCAAGCCCTGTTATATGTCATACTACTTGCGCTTCATAATTTTATAGTTTTACCTAGACAGTCTCCCTTTTTTCCTTCCATATTCAGCATAAAATCCCCTTAATATCAGTCTCTAGGCAAGCACATTCTTCACAGTCCTTAGAACTGGACCTCCTCTTGTTAATTTCCTTAGTCTAATCACATTCCTCCTGGTTATCTACAAACAGAAAGCCAGAAAGGAGGGCTATCAACATCTTAAGCGCCACAAATTAACAAATCAAAACCAAATCTCTCTCTCCCTCCGAAGCCACGGCTAAGGAGGCTCACTGCCCAGTTAATGGCTTTCAAACTACCCTTACAAGTGAGACATCTTGTGAATTAGAACAAGTGCTGCTGCTAAAATCCCTAACGGCTACATAGCAATGTGAAAAAAGGTATCAAATGTAATTTTCTCAAATTTAATCTTCTTCAATTCTTGGCACAAAAAAAGGAACAGTAAAGGTAGACAACTGTAATTAGCATGTGTGATCCCAAATCTTTATACCTTAGATACTGGATTATATTTTCAGCAAGTAAATAGTTTCTGGCTCCCAAGATGAGAGGTTAAATAATGCAGGGTGTTTGTAAACAGCAGCACAATTTACACCGGAAATTAGGGCCCTTTCTCACCGAGGAGAGTACAGCAAAATCTGCTCATCTCTTTCAATGAATATTCTCCATGACTAGTGCTGGCGGCGGGGAGGCGGAGCAAGCTATCTTTTCTACCAGCCGTGTCACACCCCTCCTAGCACTAACCCCTCCTCCTCAGCCTTTTCACACCTCTACCCACTACTAGCCCCTCCCCAGCCCCATCACCTCTTCCCGGGCCCCTCACACCTCTCCCAGCATACTCTTCCCCAGCCTCATCACCTCACCCACTTCCTCCAAAATCACTGACCTGTTAAGCTTCCAGCAGCAGGCGGGCAAAGCAGGGAGGCTGTAATGCAAAAGTCCGCAGTCCCTACACAAACACTATCTGCTCCTGCGGAGAAACTCAAGTCACAGCCCCAGAAGTGGAAAGAACAGGCCTTGGCTCTCACCCAGTTAACAAGCGTTTATCCAGCGCACGTGTTGCGGTCGGACCCCATGCGAAGGAGCTAAGGACACAAAGGTGAGCAGCAGAGACGCGGTTCCAGCTCTCCCCCGGCTCCCACTCCAGCGGGATAGGTAGATAATTTCGGTAAATTTCGCCAAGCAGGGGCAGGACAAAGAGTATTTGAAGTCTACCGCGGGGAGAACTTACCTAATCCTTGAATGTTAAAAGGCTAAAAACTCCACTAGTCGGAAGTGACGTGCCAGCTTAGCCCCGCAGGTCCGCCACGTAATTGGCCGCCGCCACAGCTAGCCACCCTCTCCCCAGACTGGCCCGAAGAGAGGAAAAGTGTGGAAGTCCACAAGCCGCCCCCGCCCCGCCCTCTTCGTCGACTTTCAGCTGCACCGGGAGGCGGCGGCGCCTGGCCAGAGCCGGGGCCTGGAGCCTGGACTAGACAGCCTCGCCGGCCGGGGCGCCAGTCCAGCGCCCTGCGGGCAATGGGCTTCAGCGCTCGAGCACGCGCATGCGCGGGCCTGTATCTCCAGAGGATTCCTCGGGTCACCTGGACGCCAGCATCTCAGCCACCTGCCCCTCTGGGTCCCTTCTTGCCCTTGATTCCCCCTGCTGCTTCTCATCGCCAGCCCTCCTCCTCCTTCTTCCGCAGGCACCGCTAGACCCGGCCGCGGCCGCCCGCCGACACCCCAGCTTCCACTGACACGAGCCTCGGCGCGGCTTCCGCTTCCGGCGAGTATTGTGTGTCGCGCCGCGGGGCGGGGGCGAGGGGAGGAGGAAGGAGGGAGGCAGCGCTCCGGCGGCTCCGCGCCCCGCACTCCCGGACCCGAAGCCGGGAAGGTAGGTGCTGTCCCGCCGCCGCGCCCGAGCCTGGGGCCTGCGCTCGCCGGCCGGCTCCGCAAGCCGCGTCCCAGCGCCCCGCGACTGCGTCACCGGCCCCCCGCACGTAACCACAGCTGCCTCCGCCCGCCTCGGGCCCGGGCGGACGTTTTGCCGCCCCGGCGACGTCAGCGCGTCCGGCGTTGCTTGGCTACCCCGCCGTTCCCCCGTCCCGCTGCTGCTCACCTCCCCGGGTGAAACTCTGACGCAGTCACCGCGGGTCTCGGCAGCGTCATAGCGGCGGGCATCCCATCTGCACGTCACACCTCTTTCTCACCTGGACACGCATCCCTTCCTACCCTGCCAGCCACGACGTTTCCTCTTTCCCCTCTCCAATGCCCCAGCCCCAGATCTGGCGGAAGAAGATGGAGAACGGGGGTGGGACAGAGTTGTGGACAACCTCTCAGGAGAGGGTCGCAAGGTGGGACCCTGAACAGTGGTAGAAACAAAATGAGATTGTCCCTGAAGTTTGCCCTTCAGCTGAGACACAAGGAGTAGAGGAAGAGGAAGGACTAACGCAGAGGCACTCAAGGTCTCACTATGACTGTAGTTGAGAGTCCTCTCCCTTCTTCCCTAACCCTTTCCCCATTTCTCTCACCACTTCTTTGCCAGTCTAGATCCGTCCTGGTGCCTTACTGTGCATACAGTTCTACTCGTCTCAGGTGAGGAGGCCACTTAATTTGTAAAAGACTGAGGAAGGGGTAGGATCACCACAAGTCAAAGTTGGATTCCCACAGATAGAAATCATCTGACTGAACTTCTCTCCTATTGCTGACAGAAGAAATTCAAATCCAAAGAAGTTATCAGTTCCTACTCCAAATCAAACACATTTGTGTGTGCCAACAATATATACAGGAACAATTGTTGTTAACCTACCTCATTACATGGCCACTTATCTCTCAGCACATAGATCTACCAAATTTCCTTCCTTCCAGTAGGTCCCTGGAGAAGGATGGGGGTCGGGAGGAGAAAAGGTTATGGGGATAGTTAAATCAACTTACCCATGGCTAAAAGTATGGATGTTTTAAGGATGGAGTAGGGGGCCAGCCTTGTGTTTTATAAATCTCTCCTATGCATTTCCAATTCTTCTGAGGCTGCGCTTGAGGGAGATCTCATTGCCTCTTTTGTGTCTCTTAATTCGCAACCACTCCAGGACCTATAAGTTGGAGACACACTATGCCCAGGGTGTTAGTTATCAATAGCTATATTGAAAGATTCCAGTCACTACAAATAGACTCGTTGCTCTCTTTTCAAGAAGTTGTTGGCCTGAGCTCAGCAATATTTAATATGGTTGCCATAATTTATCAGTTTTCAGCAGTTCTGAGTGTCCAGATGAACACAAGAGAAATGGAATGTTGCGTGAAATGTCATTCCAAGAAGAGAGCAGATTTCCTTTAGGCTAGTCTGATGGATAAAAGGAAGAATAATTTCAGATTTTCCTGAAAAGAGGAGGTTGCCTTTGCCTCATTCATTCCATTTGTTAGCCTTTAGAGCAGTGGTATCTAACCCTTTCAATATGAGGACTCTCTTTGCTTATCTGTGGTGGCTGATAAAAATTATGCATGGACCTTCTGTGGTGGTGATAGAACAAAAGTTATGCATGGACTTTTTTTTTTTTAAGCTTATCAGCTGTCATTAGTGTCAATGTATTTTATGTCTGGCCCAAGACACTTCTTCCAGTGGGCCCAGGGAAGCCAAAAGGTTGGATATTGTGATTTAGAAGAATGAGAGAACAGTGTCAGAGAATCAAGCTTAGACTCCAGTGGATTAATCATAAAGCTCTTATAACATTAAACTTTAAAATATGGTTAATTTAAGAAATGTTAATATTTTTATGACATTTTTTACTTCTCAGATTCCTTTCTTGTCTGTTAGAAACGTATGTCAAACGAGGATACAGTGTCTGGAACTATTGGTTCTAAGATATAAGTGGAATGAGCCTGGATCAGGAGAAGTATGCTGAGCTAGAGTTGAAGGAAGCTTCTCTTTCTAACAAGAGAAAGCAGAGGTAAGAGACAAGATAGATCAATTGGGGGTTGTGTGTCAGTTTACTAACAAGAAAAAAAAGGTTGATGGCTGGGAGTCACAAGTTTTGAAAATGGAGAAACAAAGAGGTTGAATTGATTGGAAGAGAAGATGGAGAATAACAAGAAGGGGCAAATCTGGAGTTAGGACTTAACATAGGGATAAATGTCGGGTCAGGGATGCAAAAAAAAAAAAAAGAAAAAACCTCCAATTAATATTTTTATTTTCTCTGTCCTCTTCCCCACTCCCAAGTTAAATTATGGCAGAGACAAGTCTGTTAGAGGCTGGGGCCTCTGCAGCCTCTACAGCTGCGGCTTTGGAGAACTTACAGGTGGAGGCGAGCTGCTCTGTGTGCCTGGAGTATCTGAAGGAACCTGTCATCATTGAGTGTGGGCACAACTTCTGCAAAGCTTGCATCACCCGCTGGTGGGAGGACCTAGAGAGGGACTTCCCTTGTCCTGTCTGTCGAAAGACATCCCGCTACCGCAGTCTCCGACCTAATCGGCAACTAGGCAGTATGGTGGAAATTGCCAAGCAGCTCCAGGCCGTCAAGCGGAAGATCCGGGATGAGAGCCTCTGCCCCCAACACCATGAGGCCCTCAGCCTTTTCTGTTATGAGGACCAGGAGGCTGTATGCTTGATATGTGCAATTTCCCACACCCACCGGGCCCACACCGTTGTGCCACTGGACGACGCTACACAGGAGTACAAGGTGGGGAAGCAGACACACGATGTCAGTGTGGGTAAAAAGGGAGAAGCGGCAGAGGATGAGATACTCCCTAGGTAGAGATCGTAAGCTCCTACTACTCACTTTGTATTCTCAGAGCTGCATATGCAGGGGCACACAGTATGTGTGATCAGTTGTCCTCTAGCCTGAAAAAGAGCAATGGTGAGAAGTGCCCTAAAATTTCTCTCTGACTTTTGCAATACATGTGAGTCTTATGGGTGAATATTGGTATGTGTGGTCATATTTTTCATAAATGAATGAAACCACATGGAAAAGATTAAACTTAGGAAGAACTGAAAAGTAGTCTGGTTTCTTCATTCTGCCTGCCTGCTCAGAATGCTCCTTGTTTTCACACTGGTTATTGGGCATAGGTAATATCGCTTGAGACTGATACCTACCGGACTAAGCTGAACCATTCAATTGTTTGCAGCTTCTCTAGGTAATGGGTAACATGGCATATCATTTAACTTACTGCTGAGACAAAGGAAAATGTTTGAATAAAGGGAACAGAGATATGAATGTGTTAGCATTTTATCATATACTTTGCTTAGTTATGTTACTCTTGAAAACAAGATTTCAGGTAACTTACAGTATAATAACCATGTTTTTATTGTAGGTGGACAGAGGTGGATGGGAGGACAGGTTTAAAGAGAGATATTAGGGTACAGAAGGTTGCTTGGATGGTAATAGGCAGTTGCCTCAGTAAGAAAATGGAAAGAGTTGAGAAAGGACACAGAGTTGATGACAGCTATCTCAGATTCAGTAAAAGGACAGTTGGGTGAGCAGAGAAGGTGATGTGGACAGGCTAGTGGCAGGAGGAGGGACTGTAGAAAGTTGACATCCCAAATGACAGGCAAGGAAGGAAGTCAGATCAAGAGGCAGTAAGATGGCTAGGAAGCAAATAAATGGTTTAAAACAAATGGTTTAATCTCTGAATGGTAGGTATACCAGTCAACCCCAAATGTCACCTCTCCCACTTCCTCCCTACCCCTCAGGAAAAACTGCAGAAGTGTCTGGAGCCCCTGGAACAGAAGCTGCAGGAGATCACTCGCTGCAAGTCCTCTGAGGAGAAGAAGCCTGGTGAGCTCAAGGTAAAGGCAGGCAATCCCATGTAGGCTGCTCTGAAGGGTATTTGCCTATGAGGGAATTAACTGTACACTATTTAATCCACCAGTTCCGGTTCATTAGAAAAATGCAGTTCTCGCCGGACATGGTGGCTCACACCTGTAATCCCAGCAATTCTGGAGGCCAAGGTGGGCAGATTGCTTGAGCTCAGGAGTTTGAGACCACCTTGGGCAACATGGTGAAACCCTGTCTTTACTAAAAACAAAAAATTAGCCGGGCATGGTGGCACATGCCTGTAGTCCCAGCGACTTGGGCGGCTGAGGCAGGAGAATTGCTTGAACCTGGGAGGCGGAGGTTGCAGTGAGCCAAGATCACACCATTGTACTCCAGCCTGGGCAACAGAGCAAGGCTCTGTCTCAAACAAACAAAAAAAACAACAAAAAAAAAAGAAAGAACAATGTAGTTCTCTCAAAAATGATGGCATTTTATTAGGCTTGATTGTCATTAAACATTGTACTTAAATTACTTGTCATGAATTAAGTATTAAGAGGGATTTAAGAGATGAAGAACAGACAGAATATCTTACATCTGGTGAGCTGAGAGAGTTCGTGCCTCTTGGTCTCCTTTTTTTGTTAAAGCAGCAAAGGAGGCTTTCTGCTGAGAAGGCAGGGATGGGAGTTTCTTAGAGGACTTGAAGAGAGGAGAATATGGAAGATTCACTGGGGAGAAAGGGAAAAGGAGCTGACCAAGAGTCTCAGAAGAACTATCTAATGACATTAGGACCACATTCTTAAAACTCAAGTAAGCTTACATATGCTAGAATGTTCTCCCCCTCCCCATCCTCCACCATAGGATCTTATTCATCTCTCAGGCGGGATGAAAGCCACTTCCTATGCAGCCTTTCCTGACCCTTCAGAAATTAACATTCTTAATTTTCATACAATTTTGCACCTCTTTTATAGCATTGCCTTATTTGTAGCATGGTATTTTGGTGTCTGTCTGTCTTCCATTGAACAGTGAACAATTATCATTTGTAGCAAAAATAACTAGAATTGAGTCCTATGCATTAATTCATTAGGTATCCGTAACATTCCAGATTTATAGGGTTGTTAGGGTCTTAGAGTTCAGGCCAAATTGGGATAAGTGAGACATAGAAAAGCTACGAGAAAGAGACAGAAGGAAATCCTGAGGCCATCTTTAGTAAGATGTAGGGGTAAACCTAGATATTCTTTAAGGTAGGTATTATTACCTTCAGCTTACACAGAAGGAAATGGACCTTGGGTAAGTGACTAGTCCAAGATCATAAAGCCAGTAAGTGGCAAAACCAGGAATACTAGTTCTTCGTGAATCAGTAAATATTTGTTAAGCTCCTGGTTTAGGCCAAACCCGGTATTTGACACTGGGGAACAATGATGAGCAAAAACACAGTTCCTGCCCTCCTTGAGCTTAAAGTTAAGTGGAGAAAATAAGTAATGGCACAAAATGCACAGCTGCAAGTTCATAAGAAGACAACATAGAAATTTGGCCTCATTAAAGGTTTCCCGAAGAAGTAATGAGTTTTTAAGAGTTGACATGTAGAGATCACCAGAAGCTAAATCCAAGTTTTGATTCATAGAAACATGAATTTTTAAATGAATGATAACATTTCATCAGAAAGCAAGTATTATTACCTTAGTGCCTTATACATTTTAGCAAAGTAAGCATTTGAAATTTTAAAATTTGAACCAATTTTGGTTAGAAATGTGAACTTTTAAAGTTTTTTGTTCTTTTAGAGGCCTTCCAAGAAACCTAAAAATATGAAAATGGTGCTTATTGCTAGTCATTAACTTTCTTCTTCATGTTGATCACCTTCTTGAAGGTAAAGGATGGAGAGAGAAATATACCTTTTTAAAACCTTCTAAATGCTTGAACAGAACTGTCCTGTTTTTTAAACTGTAAATTGTCATTTCAGTGGTCTCCAAAACTACCACCAACATTCCTCTTGTGACCATTTGAATTCTCCCTCCTTCTCCCTCATCAGACTCAATGCCCCTTTAAAAAATAATTTGTAATTATGCTGAACTGAAAATTACAGGTAATATAACCTATGTGCATAATGTTAAATTTTAAAGAGTCTATCATGTCCAAATATAATATAATGAAACATAATTGATGATAAAATGTGGTATGTAATATTTGGGCATGACTACCCTGAACGACTTTACAGTGTAGCTGGTTATATGCTTGCCCCTATATGTGTCATTATCAGCAACGCCATAAATACAAATTCAGACTGAGATGGATGTGTGCCAATATGATTGAAATACCATAAGTAGCTTAGCTCTTGGTGATATGATTTTTCATAGTAATAACTTTTGGTAAAGTTCTAAGTATAACAATATAATCTTGGGTTTTATTCAGCTATTGCTGAAAAATTCACGTATAGTAAAACCATGTAAGAATTACTCTGTGTTTATACTATATAAAATGGCATTCAAGCCCAGGCCTATGTTTTTGTTTTTGTGGTTTTTTTTTTTTTTTTTTTTTGAGACGGCGTCTCGCTCTGTCATCCAGGCTGGAGTGCAGTGGTGCCATCTTGGCTCACTGCAAGCTCTGCCTCCCGGGTTCATGCCATTCTCCTGCCTCAGCCTCCCAAGTACCTGGGACTACAGGCGCCCACCACCACACCCAGCTGATTTTTTTTTTCTATTTTTAGTAGAGACAGGGTTTCACCGTGTTATCCAGGATGGTCTCGATCTCCTGACCTTGTGATCTGCCCACCTCGGCCTCCCAAAGTGCTGGGATTACAGGCGTGAGCCACCGTGCCTGGCCGCCCAGGCCTGTGTTTTTGAATATCCAGCAGAACATTAGAAAATGTTGCAGGTCAGTTCACTATGCCGGATTGTCTCACACATTGGAGGAGTGCTTGCGTCATTGTCAGGAACTTCCCCAACCATGGAAAACAAGAAGATGTGCCTATTTCCAAAATATCCTCAGAGTGTGTTAACAGCTTCATCAAGAACCACTGCCCTAAAATATAGAGTGAAAAAAAGAGAAAAGATTACCGGTTTATAAGAGGAAGGGCCTTTTTGCTTCCTATTTATCACAGTCATGAATGTTAAACTTACACCCATACCTAAACAAACACACATGCATGCACACACATGTGCAAACACACACACACAAAGGCTGTGTTTTATTGAGGGCAAATGTGAGAATATATTTTGTTCAGATGTACACTGAGAAGGCAGTGGTGGAAAGTGAAGCAGCAAGTGGCCCTAAACTAGAAGAGCTAGTCAGCCTCTGCCAGGAACTAGCTTGAATCCACAAATGCCACGCTTGTCAGGCCCATCCTGGCTTTGCATCCCCACTCTCTCTCCACCCTCAAGCCTGCCTTTCATTCCCTATCCACTTCCTTCTAGAGTCCCAGTCTCTGCTTCTCACTTTGCTTCATCATCAGTCACATGATGCTTGGGGAATTCTTTCTTTAGGGAGATCACTATTTGTTGTAGTGGAGATGCAGAAGAGAGGATGTGCTGATAATTCTCAGAAAGTGTTATGGCTGGTGTTTGAGTCCTATATTATCAAATTTCAGGAATGTTAGAGGCTTAAGTCTGTGTGCTGGCTTAAAGAAAGCATGTTTCAAATTTCAAGAAACTAAATTACTAACAAACTTCTGTAACCTGTTCCTGGGGTAGGAATTGCCAGTTCTCTGAAGTGACTTGAAACAATTTAACAAGTTCAGCCCTGAAATCTACATATGTATATTTTATAATAACCCATATAACTCTTACTGATTCTTACACTTTCCCAGTTCTCTGGTTTTTATCTGGTGCATGTGTTGCAATATGCAAAGGATGACAATCTTATTTTTAACTTTTTATTATTTGTACTTTCCTTTTTGTTTCGTTGTTTTTTGTTTGCTTGTTTTGAGACAGAATCTCACTCACCCAGGCTGGAGGGCAGTAGTGATCACAGCACACTAACTCAAACTCCAGGGTTCAGGCCATCCATCCTCTTGATTCTTTTTGAGTAGCTAGGACTGCAGATGTGCATTGCCATGCCCGACTAATTTTTTTTTCTTTTTAGTTGAAACAAGGTCTCACTATGTTTCCTAGGTTGGTCTTGGCCTCAAGTGATCCTCTCACCTGGGCCTCCTAAGCACTAAGTTTACAGGCATGAGCCACCATGCTGAGCCTATACTTTCCTTTTCTCGACAGATTGAATTAACTAGAACTTTACAGTTGATAATAACACAGATATCTCTGATATCTGTAATAGTTAATGTCATCATATTATTGAGTTCTTTATCTTAAATTAAAACAAATATATATATCCGCAGTGGTCTTCACTACCAAGTCATCAGTAGGGGGGTGATAGTGATGGAGCCATTCTTTACAGAAGGAAATTCCAATGGAATAAAAAATGAGTGTTCTGTTAAACCATTTTCTCTCATTTTCTTTCTTTCTTTTCTTTCTGTCTTTGTCTTTCTGTCTTTCTTTCCTGTCTGTCTGTCTTTCATCTCGATCTGTTGCCCAAGCTGGAGTGCAATGGTGCAACAATTTCAGCTTACTCCAACCTCTGCCTTCTTTGCTCAAGCCATCATCCCACCTCAGCCTCTCCAGTAGCTGGGACTACAGGCATGCACCACCAGACTCAGCTAATTTTTTGTATTTTTTGTAGAGTTGGGGTTTCACCATGTTACCTAGGCTGGTCTCAAACTTCTCATCCCAAGCAATCCACCTCCCTCGGCCTCCCAAAGTCCTGGGATTACAGTCATGTGTCACCACACCCAGCCTTTGTTAAACCATTTTCAATGAAACTGGAAGTCTGTGTTAATTCATACATATGGTGGGTGAGAGAAAGGCTTCCTTATACCACACTGACCCTGCTGATACAACATCTTCCCTCTCTTCTCAGAGACTAGTGGAAAGTCGCCGACAGCAGATCTTGAGGGAGTTTGAAGAGCTTCATAGGCGGCTGGATGAAGAGCAGCAGGTGTTGCTTTCACGACTGGAAGAAGAGGAACAGGACATTCTGCAGCGACTCCGAGAAAATGCTGCTCACCTTGGGGACAAGCGCCGGGACCTGGCCCACTTGGCTGCCGAGGTGGAGGGCAAGTGCTTACAGTCAGGCTTCGAGATGCTTAAGGTTCGACCTTTGCCCCTGCATAGCCCCTCAGGCTGAGTGCAGCGTAGCTTTGCGTAGCCTGGGATTTGTCAGCCTGGGATACTCATTCTTCTGCTCTCCTTCTCTAAATCCAGTTCTTTCTGCCAGGTGTACTCAAAGGGTCTTTGCTACGGAAAAGTGATTTCTCCCATCCCCTTCTAACCATTTTTGTGTTCTTATCTCTGGTCAGCAATTATGTGCTTAATCTGTTCCAAAGAAAAGATTCATTCTTTTGAAAGGAGGGAAGTCTAGCCTGAGTTAGTGAAAAACTATGCATTAAAAATTTTGTAAATGCAGTTACCATTACTTTTAAGTCCTGAAATTTGATTTATGTACTGCTGAAAAAGGACAGAAACATAGTTTAAAGGATACAGGCATACCTCAGAGATATTGTGGGTTCAGTTCCATACCACTTCAATAAAGCGAGTATCTTGATAAAGCAAGTCACATTAATTGTTGGGTTTCCTAGTGGAATCATATTTTTGCTGGTGGAGGGTCTTGTGTTAGTATTGACTGATCGAGGTGGTGGTTGCTGAAGATTGGGGTGACTGTGGTAATTTCTTAAAATAAGACAACGACGAAGTTTACTTTCAACTCTTCCTTTTATGAAAGATATCTCTGAGCATGTGATGCTGTTTAATAGCATTTTACTCACCAGTAGAACTTCTTTGAAAATCTTTGAAAACCCACATTTGCAGTTACTTACAACATGGGAGTCTTGAACCCCTAAAAGTCATCCATAAGGGTTGGAATAGACTTCTTCTAAATGCCTGTTAATATTGATATTTTGGCTTCCTTTCACAAATCACAAATGTTCTTAATGGCATCTAGAATGGTGAATCCTTACCAGAAAGCCTTCAATTTACTTTGCCTAGATCTATCAGAAAAATCACTATTTATAGCAGCTTTATGAAATACATTTATTAAGACTTGAAAGTCCAAATTACTTCTTGATCCATGGGCTGCCGATTGGATGTTGTGTTAGCGGACGTGAAAACAACATGAATCTCATTTTACATCTCTATCAGAACTTTTGGGTGATCAAATGCATTGTCAGTGAGCAGTAATATTTTGAAAGGAATCTTTTTTTCTGAGCAGTAGGTCTCAACTTAAAATTTTCAGTAAAGGGTTGGGCACGGTGGCTTACACCTGTAATCCTATCACTTTGGGAGGCCAAGGCAGCTGGATCACCTGAGGTCAGGAGTTTGAGACCAGCCTGGCCAACATGGTGAAGCCCAATCTCTACTAAAAATACAAAAAAATTAGCTGGGCATGGTGGTGGGCGCCTGTAATCCCAGCTACTCGGGAGGCTGAGGGAGGAGAATCGCTTGAACCCGAGAGGCAGAGGTTGCAGTGAGCCAAGATCATGCAGTTGCACTCCTGCCTGGGTGACAAGAGTGAAACTCCATCCCCCCAAAAAAAACTTCAGTAAAGGCTAGGCACGTTGGCTCACATCTGTAATCCCAGCACTCTGAGAGATCAAGCCAGGAGGACTGCTTAAGGCCAGGAATTCAAGACCAGTCTGGGCAATATAGCAGGACCCCATCTCTACAAAAGGTAATTTTTTTTAATTAAAAACATTCAGTATACCATGCTGTATACAGGTGTACTGTCATGTAGGCTTTGTTATTCCATTTCTAGAGCACAAGGAAAGTAGATTTAGCATAATTCTTAAGAGCCCTAGGATTTTTGAAATGGTAAGTGAGCACTGGTTTCAACTTAAAGTCACCAGCTGCCCTTGCTTCTAATAAGAAAGTCATCCTGTCCTTTGAAGCTTTAAAGCCAGGCATTGACTTCTCTCGAACTGTGAAAGCCCTGGATAGCACCTTCTTCAATAGAAGGCTGTTTGTTGACATTGAAAATGTGTTGTTTAGTGTAGCCACCTTCATCAGTAATCTTGGCAAGATCTTCTGGATAACTTGCTGCAACTTCTGCATCAGCACTTGCTGCTTCTCCTTGCACATTTTTGTTACAGAGATGGCTTCTTTTCTTAAAACAACCTACCTAACTTTAAACTTTTCTTCTGCAGCTTCCTTACCTCTCTCAGCTTTCATAGAACTGAAGGAGTTAACAGCCTTGCTCTGGATTGGGCTTTGGCTTAAGGGAATCATGTGATCTTATATCCAGATCACTAAAATTTTCTCCATCTCAGCAATAAAGCTGTTTCACTTTCTTATCATTCATGTGTTCACTGGAGTAGCACTTTTAATTTTCTTCAATAACTTTTCCTTAGCATTCACAGCCTGGCTTGGTGTTTGGCACAAGAGGCCTAGCTTTCAGCCCATCTTGGCTTTCAATGTGCCTTTCTCACTAAGCTTAAACATTTTTAGGTTTTGATTTAAAGTGAGAGACATGTGATTCTTCTTTCACATGAACACTTAGAGGCCATTGCAGGATTATTAATTGATATAATTTTAATATCGTTGTGTCTCGGAATAGGGAGGCCAGAGGAGATGGAGAAAGATGAGGGAATAGCTGGTAGTGGATCAGTTAGAACACATAAAATATATTTATCGATTAAGTTGTTCGTCTTATATGGATGCAGTTCACAGTGCCCCCATAACGATTACAATAGTAACATCAAAGATCACTGATCACAGATCATACTAGATATAATAATGAAAAAGTGTGAAATATTGTGAGAATTACCAAAATGTGACACAGAGACATGAAGTGAACACATGCTGTTGGAAAACATGGTGCCAGTAGACTTGCTCAACACAGGTTGCCACAAACCATCTATCTGAAAAACATACAATGTCAACAAAACACAATAAAGCGAAGTGCAATAAAATGAGGTATGCCTGAAATTGTTTAAATAATATATTGCTTTTGATATGTATATATTAATAATACCTCTAAAGTGTTTGAAATATTTTGTTCTCTTACGTAAATGAATGGTGTTAGCAAAACTAGGGAACATATTTTTTATCTTAGAGATTAGATTACCAGCATTTGAAGCAGTGAGGCTTCATTGTACATTTATTTTTATGTTACGTATTGCTTGGTATTTGTTCCTATGGCCTTTCATGTATGTGTGTTCTGCCTTCCATATTAAACTGGGAAATCCTTGTGGGACAGAGATTTGTCTTCTTTGTCTTCTGGACCCCAAGTATTCACAAATCAGTATTAGCACACAGTTATTAATGTGTTTATTCTTCCTTTTTTTTTTTTCTGAGAGAGTCTTGCTCTGTCGCCCAGGCTGGAGTGCAGTGCATGATCTCGGCTCACTGCAACCTTTGCCTCCTGCGTTCAAGCGATTCTCCTGCCTCAGCCTCCTGAGTAGCTGGGGTTACAGGCGCACACCACCACACCTGGCTAATTTTTGTATTTTTAGTAAAGACAGGGTTTCACCATGTTGGCTAGGCTGGTCTTGAACTCCTGACCTCAAGTGATCCACCCGTCTTGGCCTCCCAAAGCGCTCAGATTACAGGCGTGAGCTACTGTGCCCAGCCAGTTATTGATGTTTATTAACTAATGCAAGACAGGGGATACCAAACCGTAACAGGAATGTGTGATTTGTTCCTATGCCACCAGTCTGGAACTCTCTGTACTTATCCTCAAGGAGAGTGAGATATGTGGTTGGTACTTGGGGGACAGAGTAAAGAATTGATACAATCCCTGTCCCTTATAGGGAGCTCCCAGCATCCTTGAGGAGCAAAGACAAGCATAAAAGAAATCATTGGGAAGTGATATAAATGACCAAGCTTCATGATGACCAGAAGTTGAAAGTAGGGATTAGGTTGGGAGAAGTGCATTCAGGTCCCGCTGGAGCTCTTCTTGCACTGTGTGACCCTCAGTTTATCCTATCCCTATTTTATAGCTGTGGAACTTTGGGGAGGAGGGGGAACCTTTTGCCTTCAGGACCACTGAATACCAGGACCAATATTGCTTTCTTTTCTCCTTCCTTCTAGGATGTCAAAAGTACCCTGGAAAAGTAAGTGATTGTTGTATCTCTCTGAGTGAGTTAGGTCTTGGCTTAGAGAGGAGGGGTACAGTCAGGAGTTTGGGTTGGGGGTGAGGTTGGGAAAGTCATGTAGTGTGTCTGGGCAGGGTATGGGAGAATGTTCATTGTGCCCATGAAGCCAGTTAGAGAACAAATTATTGGGAATAATAATCCCTTTTCCCCTTTGAACATCAGGACTTCTTGAGAAGGAGAATGATAAGGTAGAATCAGATTCTACTTGTGCCAGTGGGTGGAATTGTGTCCAAACAAGATGGCAGGAGGAAGGGGTTGGGAGAGCAGGGAGGGCAATCATCCATTTGCATGAAATACAGGAATATTCCTAGAAAGTTCGGAGGCTCACTCTCAACGATCTGTCCACGGGATCATAAGGCTCTCCTTGGATTAGTAAAAGAAATCAACAGGTGAGCTTTTCAGGGAGGAGGAAGAAAGTGGGAAGATGGAGAATTTTAATTTCTCCCTAAAAATGTTAACATCTGAATAGTCACTTGGCTGGAGCTTCTCCCTAACCCTGCCCTTTCTTCCCCTATCTCCCTATCCCTCCTAGATGTGAAAAGGTGAAGACCATGGAGGTGACTTCAGTATCCATAGAGCTGGAAAAGAACTTCAGCAATTTTCCCCGACAGTACTTTGCCCTAAGGAAAATCCTTAAACAGCTAATTGGTGAGTTGTTCCCAAAAGGAAACTAGAAGAAACCACTAGAGAGAAGAAAGTTTTTAGGTCCTACCTTATATGGGTTTCAGTTATCCTATGTCTCACTTTTCTTACTCCCACACACACCTACCCCTTTATCTGGCTTTTAGTCTCACCCTGAGTCACAGAACTTGGAGTGAGAGGAAGCCTTAAGCGTTATCTACTCTTAGGTCCATTCTTTTCTAAATAGAGACCCAGAAAGGTTAAATAATTTGCCAAAGTCATCGGGTAGAGTGGTTATATAATTTACCATGTAAACTTGCATAACCTTCAAAGGCCGGGTGCGGTGGCTCACATCTGTAATCCTAGCACTTTGGGAGGCCAAGGCTGGTGGATCACTTGAGGTCAGGAGTTCGACATCAGCCTGGCCAACACGGTGAAACCCCATCTCTACTAAAAATATAAAAATTAGCCAGATGTGGTGTTGGGCGCCTGTAATCCCAGCTCCTCTGGAGGCTGAGGCAGGAGAACTGCTTGAACCTGGGAAGCGGAGGTTGCAGTGAGCTGAGATCACACCACTGCACTCCAGCCTGAGGGACAGAGTGAGATTCCATCTCAAAAAAAAAAAAAAAGAAAGAAACTGAAAGGGAGTGTCATTATATTAATGTGAATATGCAGGGAAAATAGTCATAAACCAGGCCAGTTCCTGGAAAACACACATGGTCACCCTATCCCTAGACCATATGCTGTCTTGCTCGGCATCCTTCTTAACACTTTCCGTTTTTTTCTGCCCCTCAGACTACACCTTGTACTTCTCTACATAGTGAGATAAATGATAATGTCAGAGGGAGATGAAGAGAGGACCAGGCGGGAACCTAGATTACCAGCCACTGCAGACTCAAGAGATTATTATCTGTTTACTTTAGGGTCAGGGTGAGAAGTGAGCCATTGCTTTCTCCCCTTCCTTAGGTGACACCATGGATTGAGAAAGTTAACCAAACCAGGTTGTTCTGGGGACCTTTAAGGGACCAGGCTCTGTAAAGGCAGGCTGGAAGAGTGAGGCAGGGGCATTTAGCTATTCCCATCCTCATCTAGCTCCCCACTCTGGCTTCTCCCGCCAGCGGATGTGACCCTGGACCCCGAGACAGCTCATCCTAACCTAGTCCTGTCAGAGGATCGTAAGAGCGTCAAGTTCGTGGAGACAAGACTCCGGGATCTCCCTGACACACCAAGGCGTTTCACCTTCTACCCTTGCGTCCTGGCTACTGAGGGTTTCACCTCAGGTCGACACTACTGGGAGGTGGAGGTGGGCGACAAGACCCACTGGGCAGTGGGTGTATGCCGGGACTCCGTGAGCCGAAAGGGCGAGTTGACTCCACTCCCTGAGACTGGCTACTGGCGGGTGCGGCTATGGAATGGGGACAAATATGCAGCCACCACCACACCTTTTACCCCTTTGCACATCAAGGTGAAACCCAAGCGGGTAGGCATATTCCTAGACTATGAGGCCGGCACACTGTCTTTCTACAATGTCACAGACCGCTCTCATATCTACACCTTCACTGATACTTTTACTGAGAAACTTTGGCCCCTCTTCTACCCAGGCATCCGGGCTGGACGGAAGAATGCTGCACCACTTACCATCAGGCCCCCAACAGATTGGGAGTGACAGGTTGGGATGTGGGAATGACTGGGGTGAGGCAGGGTCAAGTGCTACGGGCCTCCTTCCCGTGTCCTGCTGGAACGTCTTCGTGTCCACCTGGGTCCAGTCCTGAATCATCTTGGAGAAACACCTTGGTTTCTAGGATGGTTTTGTGTGGAGGGGGAGGTAGGACTGGGCTGGATGAGAGAGCACAGCTGTGACTTCCTCCTAACTGTCAGGGTGGGGAGCTGGTTCCCAGAGGATTGTCTACCCTGAAGTCCATCAGGTTTTCTGTTGCACAAGGACGGGTCAGGAAGGAAGGAGAGGCTTTTCCAGAAACAAAAAATCTGTGAGGGTCTGACTTGCTCAAACCAGAGGAGGAAACAGAAACCCCTGCACATCTTTTTAGGGGGTTCTTTGACCCAGGATAGTCTTGCTTCTTGAGGTAGATCACAGGGGTCTGTGTACCTCTGAATTCATGAGAGATGAATGACAGATGCTCTCATGGGTCTAGATATTGAGGAGTTTTTCTGAGGGCAGAGATTGGACATCAACAAGGCTAGAAGGGTCAGGGAAGTGGGCTAAAGGAACAGATTCCTAGAGATTAATGAAGAGGAGGGAGGTTTCTTTGGTCTTCTATTCCAAGGGTAAGGTTGCGATTATGGGTAAGATTGGCCAGAGGTAGGAATGTGGGGAGAAGGAGAGGCTGAAAAGAAAGCAGAGGAGAACCCAGGTCCCTGCCTCAGCCTTCAGCAGAGTTGGCTTATTGCCTGCCTCTATACCAATAAGTCAGTCACCTTGCTCCTCTCCAGAGGCAAAGTGGAAGAGATCCTGCAAGACACATCTATCCTTTCACAGTGTTCCCAAGGGAACTTGGAAAGGAGAGTCAGGTATTAGAGGAAAGAGAAGGGTATTTGTATACAAAGCCCTGGCCTTAAAGAATGTTACTTAGTAGCTACTCCCAAATTGTCAGCCTTCTTACCTGGCCAAGGTGTCCAAGCCAGAAAGGAAAAAAGGTTATGGAGTCTTTCTCACCCTAAGGACAGGGTGGAAGAGGGTGGTATATAGGGAAGGGCCAGATAGGCAACTTCATTTGGCTTGTGTGCATCTGGCCTGGAACTGGTGTTAAGCCAGGCTTTTGCTTGTTTGTTGCCATCCCTCACCCTTTGCCATTTCCCTTTTCAGAGAATGTAAATGATTTTCATGTTAGGCCAAAATAAACAACTTATAGGGTACATATGTTGTCATAAAAGGTAAAAGTGATGCATGCCAAACCAAACTAAACCAATTTGGATTATCTGCTATTCGGGTAATCTTCACAGAAATGACTGAGAGAAGAATCTGCAGTTTACTGAGGGCATTTCAGTTCCTCCTACCACCTCAACAGGACTTTGTCCAGACTCTCCTCCTCTTACCTTTGTGCCTTGACTGTGGTTCTTTGTGGCAAGATACTTTGGTTGGTTAAAATAATATGGAACAAAGGATCCACTGAAGTGATCTCTGTGTTGTGTGGTAATTTGGTGACAGCCTTGTACTGATGTGTAAGAATCACTGGGTGTTAGACATGCATGTTCCTGGGTCTCACCCTTAGTGGTTAGTCAAGGTCTGGGGTGGGCCGGACATCTACATTTTATTTATGAGACAAGAGTCTCGTTCTGTCGCCCAGGCTGGAGTACAGTGGTGATCTCAGCTCACTGCAACCTCCGCCTCCCAGGTTCAAGCAATTCTCCTGCCTCAGCCTCCAGAGTAGCTGGGATTACTATGGACTATAGCCATGCACCACCACACCCGGCTAATTTTAGTGGAGACAGGGTTTTGCCATGTTGGACAGGCTGGTCTCGAACTCCTGAACTCAAGTAATCTACCTGCCTCAGCCACTCAAAGTGCTAGGATTACAGGTGTGAGCCACCGTGCCCAGCCTACATCTACATTTTAAACACACCACTCTCATTTGAGTCCGAAAACCCTTGTGAAACTAGTTCCAGAGGAGGTTTCAGCCATGTCCTTCCTCCCAGCTGGAGCCCTGCTTGTCTGTCCCCGCCTGGCACTGGGTCTGAAATTGGAGAGAAGTCATCCTCTCCTGACTTATGCTGCCCTCCCCATCTCAGGGTTCATTGATCTTCTACCCCTCCAATTCATGTCCCTCTGCTTCTGACTTCAGTAACTGATAGTCACTATGAGTCACAGGACACCAGACAGAAGAACTGGAAGATAGAAGAGGTCAGAGGGAGGGGTGTGAGGTGAATGTCAGTGTGGGGAGTGGGGTGAAGTTTCAGGGGCAGGGGATGCTGTTGACAGATTTCTGTGCTGTACCTAAGCCTAGGAGTTAGAAACCATTCACTCAGAAAGTGAGGATCACCTACTGTGTGTCCAGCACTGCATAACAGGAAGTGTGTTTCTTTGGTAGGTGGAATAGTAGGAGTAAACTGTGCTTTCTGAGGACCGGGAGTCCTTTTCCCTCCCTCCAGCACCCTCATGATCCTTCCCACTTTCACCCCCACTGGCACCAGTGCTTTTTTTTAATGTATTACCTCTGTGCCTTCCGTCTGTAGATCTTACAGGCATCTGCCTCGGACCTCAGGAGAGTAGGGCAGAAGCTCTAGCTGGGTATAAATTGCACATAACCATCTCCCCAACGTAGCTACATAAAGAGACCAGCCTTCTGTCCTGAAAATGGCCGATTTAAGATCCTCACCTGCTCCACTAGGTCTCTAGGTGATATAATTGGTCATGAGCTTGAGGAAGACAAAAGCACTGAAAATTCATAAAGGGACCCTGGGCATGGATTGCTGGGGTTGTGTTTAGAAACCGATGAGTTTGTGAGGCCTCCGGGAGGCTCCCGAGGGCGCGGGGACTACGTTTCCCAGGAGGCCTCGCGCGGACGCCCGGGCGGGGCTGTGCGAGGGGTGGGGCGCTGCGGGAGGCCCTGGAGCGCGGCGGTGATGGCGGGGCCGGTGAAGGACCGCGAGGCCTTCCAGAGGCTCAACTTCCTGTACCAGGTGAGTCTGCGACAAGGGCCCCACGGGGACGGTGCTCGGCGTCCCAGAGTGACTGCTCCCCTCCCGCAGGCCGCCCATTGTGTCCTTGCCCAGGACCCCGAGAACCAGGCGCTGGCGAGGTTTTACTGCTACACTGAGAGGACCATTGCGAAGCGGCTCGTCTTGCGGCGGTGAGACAGCCACGGGGCGGGCGGCGGGCGGGACGCGGGAGGAACGCGAGAGGGAGCGCGGGCGCCAGACCACTATCCTCCTCCGCCCCCAGGGATCCCTCGGTGAAGAGGACTCTCTGTCGAGGCTGCTCTTCCCTCCTCGTCCCGGGCCTCACCTGCACCCAGCGCCAGAGACGTGAGTGCTCCAACGGAGGTGGAAGACTGCGGAGCATTGGGGGCGCGGAGGGGGGCGGGGTGGGGGGCGGGCACTGGAGGCCAACAGCGCCTTTCTCACTGTAGATGGATGTTGGGTGTGGGATTCGCAGGAGTCTTCCTTCTTCGGGTTTGGATTAAGTTCCTAACGCCACTTGCACAAACTAGGGTTTGGGCTCGGCTTTTTTTTTTTTTTTTCTTCCAGTGTGGGCAATAAATAATAACTTTTAAGAGGCAACCCCACCCATGCACAATAATAGATGTTGTTCGGCTTTGTGGAGGACGATTCCCATCACCATTCATTTATTAAGCAAATACTTATTTTCTAAAATGTGTCAGGTACTGTGCTAGATTCATTATTCTCATTGAAATTACGGTCTGATGGGACAGACTAAGAAACAAAATGGTGTAGAAAAAGATTAACTGGGGGAGTAGAATGCTCACTTACTCATGCCAGTGGTGGCGAAGTTTATGATAAGCAAAGGGAGTGAGAGATGGAAATTCTAGGCATGTGTGCAGACTCTGAGACAAGAGAGCTTGTGGTGCTGTCAAAGAAATGAGAGTTCAGGAGGCTGGAGTTTGAGGTAGGAGGGCAAAACATGAGACTGGAGGGGGAAACAGGCCAGTTCTTGAAGTCTTGTTAGGGAGTTTGAACTTTATCTTAAAGAGTTCCAGGAAATCGATGGAGCTTATGCCGAGGCCTGACACCATCAAATGTGCATTCAAATTGGGGGTGTGGTGGGGGAGCGGGGATACCTACTGAAAAACACTGGAGGCAAAACTGGCAGCAAGAGACCGTTACTTCTAAACGTGGACAGTCTTTTTCCCATGTTCACCCTAGGCTGCAGGGGACAGCGCTGGACCGTACAGACCTGCCTAACATGCCAGCGCAGCCAACGCTTCCTCAATGATCCCGGGCATTTACTCTGGGGAGACAGGCCTGAGGCCCAGCTCGGGAGCCAAGCAGGTGAGAGGTGAGGGAGAAAATGGAGGACACCCCAGAGGATAGGGGCAATGGAGAACGTAGAGTGAAGAGGACACATGGACAGGTTCTGGGTTGGTGTGAGAAGTACCACAGTCAGAAAACTAATTCTGTTTCTCTGATTCTGCTCATTTACTCAGATTCCAAACCACTACAACCCTTGCCAAACACAGCCCACTCCATTTCAGACCGCCTTCCTGAGGAGAAAATGCAGACGAAGGGTTCCAGTAACCAGTGATGGATTCACCTCATCTCCCAAATAAAGTTTACTTGTTTTACATTCCATGATTCTGTTCTGTGGGTATTTCAACTCTTAATTCCATTTTCTTCTGTTTCTGTCTGTGTTTCTTGGTCACCTTTGTAATCCCACCATGCAGGGAGATCGTGATTTCCATAGACCACTTGGCCTCACTCAGCAGCTTGCATTTCCAAGGCCATGGCCCCAGTTCCCTATCAATGTCCTGAGCCACCTTAGGGCATTCCATGTTTGGGCAGCCATAATTGCTGACTGAAGAGCTGGAGAGAATGATGCCACTGCTGCTGTTTTTAAACAAGGGGAGAAATATGGGGCAGCGGAGAGTGTTTGTATCCTCTAGGCCCACTCATAGTCAGAAAAGACTCAGGTCTTTTCCCAGTCTCAAAGTTGTCTTTAATAAAATTCTGATAAAGGAAATGGCGCAAACCTGAACTAACAAAGTCAAAGATGCTAACAAAGGACACCGACAGACATTTTGCAATTATGTCCCATAGGTAAACTCTCAGAGTTTTCTTAAGAATAAACAACTAAAATGTTTTCTTCGATATCCCTAGAAAGCCTACTGAAGTACAGAATTCTTAGACTGACCTTTTTGCTAAATGCCGGCTAATAAGGTTATACCAAAAGCATACAAACAAAATTTACTACTTCCAGAATGCAGTTTTCTTTTATTTCTCTTATAAACCCTGTGTTTGCTTATCGATAGCTGTATAAAAAAATCACTTCATCATGTTGGAGCTTAAAACATAATGATTTATTATTTCCTCTGGTTCTGTGAACTAGGAATTCTGAAAGACTTTGGCTGGGTGGTTCTCCTGTTACATATGAAATCAGCTTAAATAGCTGCACTTAGCTGCTATCTCGTAGGTGGTCTGGAAGACCCAAGAAATTTCACTCACGTGTTTAGCACCTCATTGCTTCTCCAAGTAGCCTTGCTCCCTCGCTAGCTTTGATGTTCCCACAGCATGGCTGACTCAGGGTAGTTGTATTTCTTACATCCCCTCTGGCTTCTACAAAAGCATCCCAATATGTAAGTGTTTGGCTGGATGCTGTGGCTCACACCTGTGATCCCAGCACTTTGTGAGGCCGAGGCAGGTGGATCACTTGAGTTCAGGAGTTTGAGACCAGCCCGGACAACATGGTGGAACCCTGTCTGTACTTAAAATACAAAAAAATTAGCAGGGCGTGGTAGCAGGCACCTGTAATTCCAGCTACTCGGGAGGCTGAGGCAGGAGAATCACCTGAACCCAGGAGGCAGAGTTGCAGTGGGCCAAGATCGCGCCACTGCATTCCAGCCTGTGTGACAGAGTGAGACTGTCTCAAAAAAAAAAAGTGTTTATCGAGCCTCTGTTGGGGTCACACTTGCTAATGTTCCCTTGGCCAAAGCAAGGCACAGTGCCAATGCCAGATTCAATGTGGAAGGGGCTACACTGGAGTTTGAACGCTGGGAGGTTCATTAGTTCCCTGGGGATCACCAGTGTAACAATCTACCACAGGGGTCCCCAACCCCCAGGCCCTGTGGACTGGTACTGGGCTGTGTCCTGTTAGGAACCAGGCTGCCTAGTAGGAGGTGAGCAGTGGTGGAAGGGAGGGATGGGCCAGCATTACTGCCTGAGTAATCAGTGGCAGCATTAGATTCACATAGGAGCATGAACCCTACTGTGAACTGCGCATGCAAGGGATCTGGGTTGCATGCTCCTTATCATAATCTAATTGCTGATGATCTGGGGTGAAATAGTTTCATCCCAGAACCATACCCTTCCTGCTCCATGGAAAAATTGCCTTTCACAAAACCAGTCCCTGGTTAACCTGTCCCTAGTGCCAAAAAGGTTGGGGATCACTCATCTACCACATTCTTGTTTTGCCTTTGTCCCTGACTTGGTCTCTCCACTGCCTCCTTCACATGTCAGTAAATTATTTGCGTAGAAAATACTAAACAGTGTACATGTAAGTAAATGTTTCTGAGTCATCCTTTGACATTTTATTTCTGGAAATAGTGCCTACCTGGGTCAACTTTCAGTCCAACAAAAATGTGTAGCCTGAAAGTAACACCTCGTGCATACCTGGGTCCTTTGCATCCTCAGCTCACCTTCCATGGCTCCTCCAGTAAGTTTAATTTGGGATGACTGAGCTTGACTCTTGCACACTTAATCTGATCTTTGGCTAAGTTTGTCTTGAGTGTGTTATGATTGCATGTGACTGAACATGTCTACAGTGGGATAGCAGTGGGGAAACTGAGTTTCGATTTCATGGCTCAGTCACTAAGTGATTCCTCTCATGTGGGAGATCATGGGAATCAGGTCCCAGTCAGGATGAGCGGCAGACAAAACAGTATCTGGAATCTGGTTCACTTGTGAGTCTTTGTGGTTTCTTTATTTGTTGTGGGTTTCTATCAATATATAACTCTAAAGATCACAGCCCTCTTCCTCTTTCCACAGCCCTCTTCCTCTTTCCTTTTTCATGTTTAATTATAAATATATGATTACATATATAACATTTATATTCTATACATTGATACATGATTCTATGTATTAATACAGATACATCATAAAGATATATAATGTGATAGTGGCATATTATATGCAAAAATGGATTTCCTAGATGAAAGATGAAAATAAACTGAATCCCTGGAATGCAGTAGCTTTCTCAAGTGTTTCTAGAAGTTCAATAACTCAAAATTTATGCCCTTTTAGGACTCTAAATAAAATTAAAGGAGAGAGAAGAAACTTAGGTTATTCAAATCGAATCAAGAAATGAGGTCTTCCAGTAACCATAGAAACTATGCCTTAGTCACTCCCTGAACATTAAGTTCATTTAGCACTTTCAAAACTAGTGAAAACCAGTATCGTTATTGTCAGGAGGCAAAAGAGAGAAGGATTGAGAGACTGTTATTTTGAATTCAAGTAGCAAAAACGTTAGAAAAGACAGGTCTTGAACATTGAGGAATCTGAGTTATTGTCACCATAATAAATCAGTGTGTATCTCTAATTTAAAACAATTATATCACTATGAAGATAGTGCCTATGCTTAGTAACTGCTTAATAAATTTTCAAAACTATTTTGAAATATAGATTCACTGGAAGCTGCAAAGAGCATACTGAAATGTCCCCTACATCCTCACCCAGTGCCCCCCAGTGGTTCCTCTTTTTATTGTGGTAAAATATACTTAACTTAAAATGTATCATTTTAGCCATTTTAAAGTGTACAATTCAGTGGCATTAAGTACATTTGCAATATTATACAATCACCACCACTATTTAGTTCCAGATCTTTTTCATCATCCCAAACAGAAACCTGTTTCCATTAAACAGTCACTTCCAATTTTTCCCTATTCCAGCCCTTAGCAACCACTAATCTGTTTCTGCCTTTACGGATTTGTCTATTCTGTATATTTCATATAAATGGAATCATACAATTTGTAGCTTATTGTGTCTGATTTCTTTCACTTAGCATAATGTTTTCAGGGTTCATCCGTGCTGTAGCAAATGTCAGTATTTCATTCCTTTCTATGGCTGAATAGTAGCCGATTATATGGATATACCACATTTTGTTTATCCATTCAGCCATCAATGGACACTTCCGTTATTTCTGCTTTTTGGCTATTGTGAACAGTGCTGCTATGAACATTTGTGTACAAGGTTCTGTTTCAGTATCTGTTTTTAGTTTTTTTGTTGGAGGATATAGGTGCGGTTCGTTTGATAGTTTTATATTTTAACTTTTTGAGGAACTACCAAACTGCTCTTCATGGCTGCTGCACCATTTTGCACTCCCACCAGCAATGCACATGGTTCTAATTTCTCTCCATCCTAATCTACACTTACTTTCAGTTTGTTTTGTTGTTTATTATAGCCATCCTATAATAACATTCTAGTGGGTATAAAACCGCTAGAAGTCAATCCAAAACACTAGACAAAAACCACAAAACCTCTTTGTGGTTTTGATATACAGTTCTCTAATGAGTAATGATGTTGAGCATCTTATGTGTTTGTTGGCTATTTGTATATTTTCTTTGGAAAAAGGTCCTTTCAAGACCTTTGCCCATTTAAAAAAAATAGGTTGCCTTTATGTTTTGAGTTTTAGGAATTCTTTATATATTCTGAATACTAGACCCTTATCAGATATATGATTTGCAAACATTTTCTTTCATTCCGTGGATTGTCTTTTCACTCTCTTGATAGTATATTTTGATGTATAAAAGCTTTTAATTTTCATGATCTTGCAGCTACTTCCTCAAGAACCAAACTGTCTCTCTCAGACCTTATCTTCTGCCTCCATCCTGATTCTTTTTGGAGCTTGTTCTAACCCTGGCCCTGCCCACTGTGACCTTGACACTACTTAATTAGGACCCCCTCACCTCCTTTCAGACCTGGTGCCTCCAACTATATCCTGCCTCACTCTGCTTTGAAACAGGAAAGTGTTCCCCCTGGACTCTTAGAGTAGATGTGGGTATCTGAGTTTCTCTTCCTAAAATCCTTTCCTTCTTAGAGCGATCAATGAGCCCTGTTGAATGGCCTATGGAAGGGAAATGAATGTTCTAAATTTCCTCTGACCCTTTTCTTCGGACCCCCAAAGGCATTCCCCACCAGCACCCACTATGACCCCATCTCTGACTGTAATACCACCCTGAGGTGCTGGGCCCTGGGCTTCCACCCTGAAGAGATCACATTGATCTGGCAGCAGGATGGGGAGGACTATACCTAGGACATGGAGCTTGCAGAGACCATTTTATCTTTTTGACAACTTTTTTTTTTTTTTTTTTTTTTTGAGACGGAGTCTCACTCTTGCCCAAGCTGGAGTGCAGTGGCGCGATCTTGGCTCACTGCAAGCTCCGCCTCCCAGGTTGATGCCATTCTCCTGCCTCAGCCTCCTGAATAGCTGGGACTACAGGCACCCGCCACCATGCCCGGCTAATTTTTTGTAGTTTTAGTAGAGATGGGGTTTCACCGTGTTAACCAGGATGGGCTCGATCTCCTGACCTCGTGATCCACCCGCCTCGGCCTCCCAAAGTGCTGGGATTACAGGCGTGAGCCACCGCACCCGGCTGACAACGTTTTTTAAGCTCTCTGTACTGTATATACATCTAATTCAGTGTTTTGGACTGCCATAGATTATGCTTTTAAAACATTTTGTTTATCCCTTTTCTTATGGATAGTCAACTAGTTTGCTTCCAACTATATGTTACCATATATATCTCTGTAGTAGAATTCTAGACCATGGACCTATGAGAGTGGGCCTCTGGAGTACTTAGCCACAATTACAAATTGGATTCTAGGTTTGTGTGTATGGAAATTACCTGAGGAAAGTCAAATTTTCCTTCAGCTTCCAAAGTCTATACTCCCTAGCAATATACCAAGTTCATCTTTCTTTACATGCTCAGTTGATTTTAACTGACTTCTTAATCTTTGTCACAATCTAATCAGTATCAACTCTTTCCCTTTCTTGTTGTAACTTGAGTTTCTCTTATTGCCAGTGATACTGTGTAGCTTCAAATAAGTCATCATCATTCATTTTTCTCTTTCTTTGAACTGCCTATTCAAATGTTTCCCCCTATTTTTCCACTAGATTTCATGGTGTTCTTTTCTTTTTGCTTTGAAGGGTGTTATGGGCTAAATGTTTGTGTTCCCCCAAAATTCATATGTTGAAGCCCTAACCCCCAGTGTGGTGGTATCTGGAGGTGGGACCCTGGGGAGGTAATTAAGTTTAGATGAGGTCAGGAGGGGGGGGCCTCCGTGATGGGATTAGTGCTCTTTTAAGAAGAGGGAGATTGGAGCTCTCTTTCCCTACCTTGTGAGGACACCGAAAGAAGGCAGTCATCTGTATGCCAGGAAGAGGATCCTCACTGGAACTGAATCTGCTGTCACCTCCAAAACTGTGAGAGATAAATGTCTGTTGTATAAGCCACCCAGTCTGTGGTATTTGTTATAGCAGCCATGGCTGACTAAGACCTAAGGTTTTGGTTGTTTTGTTTGTTTGTTTGTTTGTTTTCTTGTAATGGAAAAGAATTCTTTTAGAGTTTTACCTGGTACATTTGTGCCTTTAATACATTTTGAGTTGATTTCTACAGATTGTGTGAAGTAATCTGCTGGTTCTCTAAGGCTTCAGTGAATGCCTCCTCTCCAAGCTGCACTTGAGTCCTCCCATCTGCCTGGGCCTGGAGCTTCTTATGAAGCCTCAGCTGCAAGCAGTGGTCAGTGGCAATTTCTTTCAGGAGAGAGCCTGCCTTCAGCCAGTCTCCTGACAAACAGCATGCTGGAAGCATCAGCCCTTCCCACTGCCTTTGCTTTCTGTTGATGACCCATTCTTCATGGAGAGTGGTGTTTCTCTTGTCCTTAACTCAACTATAACTTTTCTCTTTTTACATTTTTCTTATTGCCATGTAATTTGGGGCAGAGAGTCTTTGCCTAAGCATGAACTTATTGTGCCATCCTGACCAAAGCCTGTCATTTAGGGATGTGTCCTGCTTTGTGGTGGGTCATTCTGAAATTACCCGTTTCAGCCCAGTGGAATTTAACCAGAACTGTGGGATTGAAACTGTCTCTTGAAGAGGAACTGTGGGGAAAATGAACAAACCAACATTCAGGCTCAGTTGGAGTATGCTTTTAGGCTTTCCCAGGTTATGGAGTATAAAGCTAATTGTTGATTCATTCCTTCTTGGCTTTACAGTTGTAGAAAGAGATCTGGCCTAAAATCCCTATAACTGGGACAGGCTGAGTCCAGGCTCTGACATTGGCCAGCTGTGCGACTGGGCAATATTTTGTTTCACTCTCTAGCCTCATTTTCAATAGGTAATACATGCAAGTAGCAGGAAATTCAGAAAGTATGCAAATAGATAGGGGAATTAATTTTCCAGCTACCCATTTTATCTTCCAGAGGAGAATACGGTAAAAATATTCTGGATATTTTTGTAAATATATATAAACAAGTTGGTATTGATTTAAATTTTTCTTTCATACAAATGGTAGAATACTATTCTATGGGTCATATACTGCTTTTTATTTAGCAAAAAAACTTAGTGCTCTTACCATTTTAGTATCTAACATCAGCTTCATTATTTTTCATCACTGCATAATATTCTATTGTGTGGGTATACCATAATTTATTTAGTCTGCTCCCTGTTGAGTATTTACCTTCTTTCAAATGTTCTGCCCATAAACAATATGTAAAGCTTAGGTATGGCTATACATCCAGCATGGATGAGTCTTCAAAACATACTATTCAGTGGCTGGGTGTGGTGCCTCACGCCTGTAATCCCAACACTTTGGGAAGCTGAGGCTGGTGGATCACCTGAGGTCAGGAGTTCGAGACCCACCTGACTAACATGGAGAAACCCCATCTCTACTAAAAATACAAAATTAGCCTGGCTTGGTGGCACATGCCTGTAATCCTAGCTACTCAGGAGGCTGAGGCAGGAGAATCGCTTGAACCCGGGAGGCAGAGGTTGCAGTGAGCCGAGATCACGCCATTGCTCTCCAGCCTGGGCAACAAGAGCGAACTGTCTCAAAACAAAAAAAAAAAAAGAAAAAAATCAAACCAAAAAAAACATACTATTCAGCAAAACTCCAGATACAAAAGAACACATATTGTATGATTCCATTTATGTACTGTTCAAAAACAATAAAATATGAATATACATACAGACATATAATTTATTATTTAGTGATTTCTTCTTAGGTGGGAAAACTTTGAAAATAAAGCAAGAAAACATCGCCTGAAAATTCAGGGTAGTAGCCAATTGGGAGGGGATGTGATTGCTGGAGTAGAGGCACCTGGGCTGCCAGCAACGTTTAATTTCTCAAGTAAGATAGTAGGTACATTGCATGTATGCTTCATTTAGCTGTACTTTTTTGCATTTATGTCATGTTATTGTTCACGATAAAAACGACTTTAAAGTGAAGTGAAAAGAGTACTATGCTTAAGCTTTTTGCTCACATTTTATTTTACACCTGGGTCTTTATCCACATGATAAATTTCTAAAGGTTAAGTTGCCAGATCAAATACTTTTGCAGTTAAATTTTGATGGAAAATACCAGTTGCCTTTCACAGAAATTACATCAATTTACTCCCCATACAAAACAAGACACAAAATAGTGTCTGATTACCTTACCTTCACCAGCACAATAAGGCATCATCAAATCTTTGGGTTTTGATCACCTGATAAATAACGGTTTCTGTGTATGTGTGTGTGTGTGTGTTTCTGTTATAGGGCCCTAATAATGATTTATGTAAATGTGTACAGAAGTAACTCTTTCAAGTGGTCAGGCTCCAGTGGGTGGGAAACACCTTTATAAAAAAATTGAGAAATTTTGTAGTCTTATTCCAGCCTAATGTAAAAAAAAAAAAATCAAGAACTGCACAAATGTGATTTATGGGTATTGTATCCCAAACGGTCCCATCTCTACTTAACAAATGGATTGACCCATCCTGATATGTCTATTTTTTCATTTCCTAAAACAAATGAGGCTTAACTTCTCTGACCCAAATTGTCCTTGCTGTGCTTCAAGGGGGACCTAGGCAAGGATGTGGGTCAGGGGCAGATGGACTGAAAACGTGTGCAGTGAGTGAGCCAATCATGTTTTAGGAAGATTAAAGCTCCTGAGACAGAGGACTCCTAGGCAGAGATGGCAGCGAGCTCCCCAGCTCAGGCTTTTAGCACCGCCAACTCTCTGGTAAAAGCAGCTGCACCCACCTCTTCCCTTCACTCTCACCTCCTATGTTCTTGGGCATCAAACGTAATTTTGCTTCAGAGCTCAAGGGCAGTGCAGCCTAAGGAAAACTTGTAAGAATTCCTCAGTCTTGAAGTCCTTTGCCTGAAACCAAGGAGAGATCAAGGCCTAGGGAGAAGAAGGGGAACATTCTCTTTGGAATGCTGGGTATTTCTAAGCAGGAGTAGGGGGCCCTGCCCTGGAGGGAAGGTTTGCCTTGAACTGCTCTGCCTGCACCCTGCCCCAAACTCTGCACTCTCCAGGTCCTAATCCAAACAAGTACAACAGGAGGCTGAGTTTGCAGTGGAGAGTGAAATAGCATGATAGTTACAAAATTGTCAGGACTTGTATGTGGTTGGATGCTATTGTTTTTATCTTCTTTCATTCACTGTTTTCTGCAGTATCACTTTTGCCCAAATATATTTAAAGAAAAGAATTGTATCTCTACTTTCAATTTAAAACTAGTATTTTTCTAATACATTAAAATAACAAAGGAACCAATTATATATTAATATAAACAAAAAACTAAATTAAAAACTAACTTGGGCCATGTGTGTCTATAATCCTAGCACTTTGGGGGGCTGAGGCTAAAGAATCGCTTGAGGCCAGGAGTTTAGAACCAATCTGGGCAACATATTGAGGCGCTATCTCTATAAAAATTAAAAAAAAAATCAGCCGGGCCTAGTGACATGCATAGTCCCAGCTACTTGGGAGGCTGAGGCAGGAGGATCGCTTGAGCCCAGGAGTTCCAGGTTACAGTGAGCTATGATCTCGCCACTGCACTCCAGCCTGGGCAACAGAGTGAAATCCCGTCTTTAAAAATAAGAAAAACTAATCTGTCATTCTGCCAAATAAAGATGCCTCTGGGAAATCCAACTCTGAGTGATGTCTCAGCTATCTTCTACACATCAGTTCTCAAGTGAACCCCCTTCCCTCAGGACATGTGGCAATGTCTGGATATATTTTGATGTTGTCACAATCAGGAAGGTGTTGGTGTTACAGGCATCTAGTGGGTAGAGGCTAGGAATGTTGCTAAACATCCTACAATTTACAGGACAACCTCCACAATAAAGAGTTATGTGGCCTGAAACATCAAGTACTCACTGTAACGCTGAGGTTGAGAATCCCTGCTCTACACAGATCCTCTGAGCCTGATGCTCCAGGCAGGCTTCCTCCCCTGTAATACCCACAACACCTGCATAAATTGCTGTGTTAGCTCTTATCACACTGCAAGGTCATTGCATTTATTGTCTCCTCTTTACAACTGTGGGTTCCTGGAAAGCAGGGGCTCTGTCTGATAGCTATGTTTTGTAACTATGTGTTTTATGCCTTATATTTTTCTCAGCACTTGAACATTGCCTGGCACATAATATTTGCTCCACAAATAACTGCCAGAGGCATGAGTTTAGTTTTGAGACACCTAGGAAACAGCAGAAATTAGCAATGATTAGTGAGATAAAGAGAAGGTTATTAATAAAGCCCTCCCTTTATTACATCGGTCCTTCCTAAAACCCCAGTGTGGATGGTAACATGATTACATCCATTTTATACATAAGTTAATTAATGCTTAGATAATTTACATGACGTGTCTAAGATCTCATGACTGGACAGCGGACTAGTTGAGACTCTCGCACAACTTATCTGACTTTAAAACTTCAATTCTCCTATTATTATGCAAAGACTGCCCCTTAAATATACTCCTACTAAAAGACTATGAGTGGCCGGGTGCGGTGGTTTGTGCCTGTAATCCCAGCACTTTGGAAGGCCAAGGAGGCCGGATCACTTGAGGTCAGGAGTTCGAGACTAGCCTGGCCAACATGATGAAACCCCGTCTCTACTAAAAACACAAAAATCAGCCGGGCGTGGTGGCGCATACCTGTAGTCCCAGTTACCTGAGAGGCTGAGGTGGGAGAATCGCTTGAACCCGGGAGGCAGAGATTGCAGTGAGCCGAGATGGCGCCACTGCACCACAGCCTGGGCGACAGAGCGAGACCCTTTCTCAAGAAAAAAGAGAAAAAGAAAGACCATGACAGACGCCTCTGCCTTCAAGGTGGCCAACTGGGCACAAAATCTTTCCTCCTTGACTCTTAAGATATTGTTAAAACGTTATTAGGGGAACTGAAATCCAAATTGTAAAGAAGGATGAGTCCAGTGGTGAAAATTTTCCACAAATATTAGAAATAGAAAAAAACCCTTACTGACCTATGAAAGAAGGCAGAAGTCCTAGCGCATAAGAAACGCTAGAGGGGGCTGTAGCCCAGAGAAAACCAATCAACCTACCAAATAGAGCCCCAGAAAGAAACCTCCTCCTCGCCCCTCCGCCTTCCTCTGTGTTCCTGCCGCTCCTCCATTCCTTCTTTGGAAGACGCAGCTCCTGCATTCCTTCTTTGGAAGACTCCCCCCTTCACCGAGGTTACCTACCAAATCCGCCATAGGGTGTGGTCCAGGGTCGAGTTATCACAGACCTGTCTCCCCAAGGTCCCCGCGTCGCGTTATCTAGGCAGAAGCGCTGACCCCGCATCCCTCCCGTCGGGACCCCACGCGCTGCCCCAGTGAAATGAAATCCTGGTGCTTGTGGCGTGCGCTGCGCGGTTCCACTCCGCTGTGCCTTCCTTTCCGCCCGCCCCCGACGGCTGGACGCCCCTCTGTCGATTGGAGCGGTCCTTAGTGCTACGTGTCCTGGGATCCCCAAAGTTGACCGCCCCCACAGGGTGTGCCAAAGCTCATCAAGCGCCATTCCAGTCTCAACCTTTATCTTTTACAATTTAAAATTTATTTATTATCCATGTAAGGAGAATAACTGGTACACTCAGCGCAGTTCTGCATATATATAGGCCATAAAAGGAAATGAAGCTTGCGTGACACTTTCCGTGAAAGCAATAGTACCGAACTACAAATCAAACTGCATCTTAGCCGATCTCCTGAAGAAGAGGAAAAGCCTTGCCAAATGCGTCTTCCCAGCAGGATGCAAACCTCCTTCAGCAAACACTGAGTAAATCTGGGAGTGCTGAGACATAGTACAATGCGAGTTTTCAGTGTAATTGAAAAAATTGAAAAAATTGAAAAAAAAATAACTAAATTAAGATTTTCGACTGTTTTCAAGGACAGTACTGAGGCAGCACGTTTGCAGAGTGATATTTTTCAAAAATGCTGTAAGAAACTATAAAATCAGCTGGAGATATTCTGTTGAAATGTGTTTTTCTACAAAGCAGAGTCAAAAATCACACGCTATGTAGTACACAAATAAAGTGGAAGCTGTCGATACACGTATAAATATAAAGGATTTTTGCTTACACAAAAAATATTCCAATGTCCCAATATGCAACATTGCTGAACAAATATGGAGCTAAACAAGTGGCTTCTAATGAATTATTCTAATAAATTTTACTCCGATAAATTACATACTTAAAATATTATATTTAAAAACAAACTGGAGAGCTGTAGAAGAAACCCTATTTATCCTCATGTGAAGTTTGAGATTTGTTTGTAATTTTTTTTAAATTAATGCAGGAGAGAAGTGCGTCGTTGAAACAACCACCTCGAGTAAAACAGCATTTCTTCTCACCACACAACAAAACAAAAACCCCACTTGCTGCATTTCAGTTTAGAATTTATTGTGTTCACTTTAAGCAGGGAATGTATCAAAACTCAAAATTTAGCAGACGTTTTAATGATTTAAGAACTATTATAGAAAATACTTTTTTTCCAGGAATAAGTTGCTATATCTTAATTACTAAGTAACCCCAATTCCTATTGCTTTTAGAACTTCCCAGTTTGCTTCAGAGTTCAACGGCCCAGTGTGCAAAACTGACTCGTGAATTTTGTAGGTGATGTGGATTCACCCTGTCTAGCAGGAGTCTGCAGCACTGGCTGAAAAAACTGTTTCTGTGGTGCCTGATGAGAGACTTATGCTTTTGGCAATTGCATACTTAGATACGTCACCCTGTAGAGCCTTCACTGCTTCCCAATCCACCCCTCACTCCCACCTAATCTCTGACCAGGAGTAAACCCTAAGATGAGCTTAGAGGCTCCTGTGGCTAAGGGCAGTGAAATCCACTAAAGTGTGTCAGGGCTGAGAGAATATCGGAATTCTGCAACTGTGCCCCAAATTCAGGATTCTCTACTTTCAGTTCATCGTGGCTTTTGTGGAGCAGGGCTACACATTGTGGGTAATCTGTGGGGTTTCAGTTACCTATTGCAAGACATTGTTTACTCTTCTCACTCCATGTCCTTTATATGGTGCAGTAAAACTCTAGTGGGGGCTGCTGGTGCTGGGTGTTGGCGGGGGCCTCCTACCCAGCAGCTGCTGCTGCTGAGCTCTGGAAGTTTGCTATGGGCCATGGATTGGGTAATGTGTGTCTAGGTTCTATGTAGGAAGGCTGACCACTTCCACCTGGAGCCATAGCTCAGGAAGGAGGCAGATGAAGCAGATGAATAATCACCAGCGTGTCTGGAAAGAGTGAGACACTCTGGAGACTCAAGGGACAGTGTTGGCGATTTATTGGAGGTTTGCAGTGTCACAATAGGAGGGTGTTTCAATAGGAGGAAAACATGGTCCAATTGAAGAAAGGGCCAGAAGGAAGAAAAGAGGAAGATGGGCTCCAGTGCTAGAAAAGAGAGACCAAATACAGTCGAAAAAGCAGAGAAATGTATTTTTCCTCAAGTTCTTCTGCTGTCACTTTCACTGCAGATCTCAGCTTTGCTCTTCCAGAGTCCCTCCTTTGGCACTGCACTGCAGCCCTCTAGCCGACCGAGGGCGGCTCCTGTTCTCTCTGCAGACTGCACATCCCTGTCCTCGCTCAGCGCTCCCCATCTGCTGTCGCTCCTTCCAAGTGCACGAATACTTAGAGCTTAATCCCCGCAAACCTAGTTTGCGTGACAGTGCCCCAAGCCGGGAGACCCACAGCTCCTTTCCCTCTGGACCTCTAACTGACCTGCAGCAGCGGGCTTAGTACTCAGCTCAGCACGCTTCTGGTCTCTGGTTCAGCCTTCTCTCCCACCTAGGCCTATGGAGCTACTCCATCTCAGGCTTCTGCTCTTGTCTGGGGTGCGAATCGTAGTGTGTGGCCACTTCCCCAGCTCAGATCATCATTGCCTGTCCCTGGGATTTCTGCCAAAATTTCCCAACACATTTCTTTGCCTTCAGTCTTGTTCTCCTCCAAAGACTGCCTGCAACCAGAGAGGTCTTTGTAAAGGAAAATGTCATCTGTCTCTCTCCTACTTCAAAACTTTCATGGTCCACATAATCATCTCGATTGACACAGAAAAGCATTTAACAGAATTCAACACCCTTTCTGATAAAAACATTCAACAACCTAGGAATAGAAGGAAACTACCTCAACACAATAAAGGCGATATATGAGCAGCCCATCACTAACATCATATTCAAGGAGAAAGAATGAGGAAGGCTTTTTCTCTACCATCAGAAACAAGACAAATATACCTATTCACCACATCTGTTCAACTTAGTATTGGAAGTTCTAGCCAGAGTAACTAGGCAAGAAAAATAAAGTAAAACACCCAAAATGGAAAGGAAGAAGTAGAATTATCTTTGTTAGAAGACAGCATGATCATATATGCAGAAAACCCTAAGGATTACACACACACACACACACACACACACACACACACACAGAGGAAGAGAGAGAGAGAGCACTAATAAACAAATTCAGCAAAGTTGCAGGATACAAAATCAATATGTAGCAGTCAGTTGTATTTCTATACCATGCCTTGCAACATGGTGTTTCTTCTAGTCCTGAAGAGGCAAGTTGACCCAGTCCAGGTAGAGCACCGACTTAGAAAGAGAAAGAAGGAAACAGCTGAAAAAATCTGAGAAGGCATATCAACTTGTGAGCCAAATATAAATCATAATGTGTGTTAGATTAACGAAATGTACTTTCTCATAGTAATACAGTATTTCTAAGTTCTGCTCAGATACTGTTACTGTGTATGTTTCTAGAAAACACAGCCCCAAATGTGCATAGTCTTGAATACAAAAGAATCAAAAGCCATCAATATGTGGTATAAATCCTTAAAGCATTTTAATTGCTAAAAATACATGCCAAAGTCACAGTAAACAACATTGCTCTGCAAACTATAAGATATAAATAATTTGCCTCTCTATAATAATTTTACTCACAAATTACTACCTGAGTAATCTCGTTAATCGTCCCTAATCTCATCCTAATCCCCAGAAACTGTGAGTGTTGCCTTATTTGGGAAAAAGGACTTTGTAAATGTGATTAAGAATCTTGAGAGAGATTATCTTGGATTTGCTGGGTGGGCCCAATATAATCACAGTGGTCCTTATCAGAGGAGGCAGGAAGTGTCAGAGTCAGAGGAGAAGGGAATGTGATGATGCCAGGAGAGACTGAAGTGATTCATTTTGAAGGTGGAGGAAGGGCTTACAAGCCAAGTAACATAAACAGCCTTAGAAGCTGGACAGGATTGGGGAATGGGTTCTCCCCTAGAGCCTACAGAAGGAACCAGCCCATCTGACATCTTGATTTTAGTCCACTGAAAGTAATTTTGAGTGAACTGAAGTCCACTCAAAATTATTTTAATTTGCTGATTTCAAGAGCGGTAAGTGAATACATATGTTTTATATTAAGTCACCAAATTTGTGGTAATTTGTTATAACAGCCATAGGAAACTAATGTACTACTTTGGTAGTCTGGAAGACAACCCTTCCAAGGATATCCATGTCAAATCCTTGGAACATGTAACTATTACTTTATATGACAAAAGAGTGAATATTACTTTGTATGGCAAAAGATATGATTAATTTAAGAATGTTGAGAGGATGAGCTAGCCTGGAGTATCTGGGTGAGCCCTAAATGCAATGACATGTATTTTTATAAAAGACAAGGAGAGGGAATTTTTAAAAACTTTTATTTTAGGTTTGAGGGTACACGTTGAAGGTTTGTTACATAGGTGAACCTGTGTCACAGGGGTTTGTTGTACAAATTATTTCATCACCCAAGTATTAAGCCCAGTACCCATAGGGAATTTGAGGTTCACAGACACACAGAGGAGAAGGTGATGTGAAGACAGAGGCAGAGATTGGAGTGATGCAGCCACAAGCCAAGGAATGCCTGCAGCCACCAGAATATGACAGATGCAAGGAACTGATTCTCCCCTAGATCCTCTGGAAGGGGCATAGCCCTACTGAGATCTTGATTTGGGGCTCCTGGCCTCCAAGGTTGTGAGAAGATAGATTTCTGTTGTTTTAAACCATCAAGTTTATGGCAATTTGTTGCAGCAACCACAGGAAACTAATACAACTATCACAATCTAATGTTTAAAAAGCAATTAATTGGATGGTTGTAAGGCAAAATTATGTATCTCAAATTTAAAAGTTGATACCTGTTTGCAAGAAACTCATTAAATGCCAAAGAAGTACTTGATTCAAACAAGTTCCTTGAATTCAAAATCAATTATTTGTATCTAAAAGTATAAATTGCGTTCTATCTGCATCACCATATGTTAACAAGACAATGCAAAGCTCAAAATGTAATTTTGTATTATTTTAAGTATTTGTGAAACATTATACAAATTAAATAACTTTGTTTTAAAAAAACAGAAACATCGCTGTGCTACAGTATTCCAAAACTTCCAAAGATCCTACTACCCACTTATGTTGTTATTAGACATTATAAATTTGCTTTTTGATTCAAAAATTTCACTGTAGTAAACAGAGCTATTTGTTCCTGAAAACTAACTTTTAGGGTTTGTACCGGTGAGAACTTTCTCCTTCAGGAGCCTGCAGTATGTGTGGGCAAAATCAGATTCTATGATGCCTGGTATGGAACTTCTGTTTCCTTCAGGGTGACAGAGGGTCATATTGTTCTCTGCAGAGCTCCAATGCATCCCCATCTTCAATCCCGCCAGGCCAAAAGCAATCCCTAAGATAAGTCTGGGTCTTTGTGGCTGATGTTTGTAAACTGTGTTGAACCTGTAATGAGGCCTTCATTTCCCTTTAGGCTTTGGTTAAAAGTGTGTCACAATTGTGGATCAATGATTAAGTTAAACTTCTCATGAAGTGGCAGATTATATGCTGTGCCTGGTGGTGAGGTTTCAGGTTTCAGGTTCCTGCTGCTAAAGCTCTGCATCCCTTCCACTGCAGGCCCTTACTTGGGGCAACAGTACTTGTCCTGTGAGGACCTGTCAGTGTCACCCCCAGTGCTGGTGGTGCTCAATGGTTGTTATGGAAACCAGGGATTAGGTAATGTTCTCTAGTTTCTACATAGGAAAACTGATCACATTCAACTGAGGAAACATTGCTCACTAAGGAAACGGATGGATCCCCACCAAACTTTCTTGAACGGCACTCAACATTGGTCCCTCAATGTCAGACTACATGTTCAACAGAGTAAAATATGCCCCTGGGATTCTCTCAAGATTGCTCAAGGCTTTGCTTTGGTATGTCATCATTTTATGCATCATTGTTGGAAGCGAGAAAAGTTTTAACAATTGTCATGTTATATCCAGAGGATAAAGCTGAATCTAATATCTAGATTTCTATGTATCAACTGGCAATGTTTGGGAACCGGCAATACTTAAGAACCTTATAAAGTCAGGGCTTTGAAGTGTACTTTAAAATAGATTTCCCATCCTCTGAAGTACACAAACATCTTTCCAAAGGCACCTAACCCACAAGGATTCCTCTTGATAGAACCAGATGTGAAGTTGCTACAAAGAAATGATGGTGTATGAGAAACCATGACTTCCCAGGGTCTGCGTTTGCTGAAGTCACTGATTATGAAGTCATTTTCTCTGTGGGTTTGGGTGTTAGGAAGAATCCACTGTGACTCCATTGTGGATCCATCCTCACTCAACATTCAGAAAATCAGCAGCACATTTGGTCAACACGGCATCTTTCCCTTGCACTGCTGGATGGAGCTAGTCCAGGCGACATGAACTTCTTTCTCTCACTCTCTCTCTCTTTTTTTTTTTTTTTTATACAAAGTCTTGCTCTGTTGCCAGGCTGGAGTGCAGTGGCATGATCTTGGCTCACTGCAACCTCTGCCTCCCAGGTTCAAGTGATTCTTCTGCCTCAGCCTCCTGAGTAGCCCATCTAATTTTGTATTTTTAGTGGAGACGGGGTTTCACCATGCTGGCCAGGATGGTCTCGATCTCCTGACCTCCTGATCCACCCTCCTCACCCTCCCAAAGTGCTGGCCTTTTCCCTTTTGTAGTCTTCACAGTGTCTTTTGATCTTGGGCTCCACAGAGTGGCATCTACAGGTCATAGTTGTCAGTGACTCAGGGAGACCAGGAGGTGGCAGGCAAGTGAGGGGAACCCAGAAGTAGCCAGTACCTGTTCAATGCCAGAAAAACCTGGCCAGGACATGCCCTTCAGTATTGAGGGACACAGTGGCAGCTGTGGTGAGAACTGTGGAAACCAGCATAAAGCTGAATTATAAATCAGTATATGTGGTCCAGTACAGACTGCTTCCAGGCTCTCTGTGGTCACAATCACAATTAGAATTGGATTATAATTAAATCCAAGTCTCTCTGAGCATTATATTGTCACAGTCTATCACTGTCTCTAGAGGAGATTAAATAAATATTTTTGGATCTATCATTGATGCATTATCAATGATTTTGTAAAGTAAATTATGAAAACCTAAAAAAATGTCTCCTGGCTATTTATCCTTCACTTGCCAGTCACTATGATTGTCTCTTCCCATTTTCCTGTTCTTCTCAGGGTGTTTCTGGGACCTTCAGTAGAAATTCTCAACTCCAGGTTTTCAGCTGTTTCTGCACAGAGGACATAGTCCTGTCCCAAACTCTCTAGTGTCACACACACACACACACACACACCCCGTCCTGAGACCCCTTCCTTTCTCTCAAGTTTCTGGGATCACATCACATGTCCCAGTGGTTGTACCTCCAGGATTTTGAAGTGTCTCATCTCCTCCTGCTTTCCTAAGGAGAAAGGATGGAGGAAAGGAGCCTGGTCTCTTCAGGATTTTTTTCATATTTAGGCCCTTCTAGCCTGGGAATGAAAGGACACCACACATTAGTGAGCAATTATGGAGGCACCAAGAGACGTCATCCAGCAACTGTGCATGGGAGGGAGGTTCAACAGGAGGACCAAAGAGCCAGATCATAGAAAGGATCACGAGAAAGGAGTGGGGGAGCTAGCAGGTTCCCAGTGGCAAATCAATTACAGAGTAGACCAAATGCCTGCAAGTGTGCAGAGGTTCTGAGCCAGGGGTTATTGTCTTGTGCATCTTCTAGCTACTTTGGATTTACCTTCCCCTACATGACTCCCACAACCTTTAGCTGCTGCACATCTTGTTGAGTGACAACCTGCAATTCTACTCTACTCTGGGCTCCACACTGTGTTGCCCACCCCGTCCTAGTGCCAGAAACATGGAAAATCCCAGCCCAGGGGCTCCCTTGTTCACTCCCATTCTGCCCCTTCACTGGGGTGTGCAGGTGTTAGACCTCTCCTCTGCTCCACAAGTGGGAGCTTCAGGCTTTCCCGACCCTGCCCCCGAGCCTTTGTAGCTGCACCATCTCTAGTGCCTGTCCTCCTGGATCCCAGCGTAGTCTCCACAGCCCTAGATCTTGTCACTCTTTCTGTTGTTCAGAGTTCTTCAAAATCTCCCAACTCATTTTATTGCCTCCAGTCTTGCTCTGACCCAAGCAAGACTTGGGTCAGTGCCCTACAATTGCAGGAATCCTGCTGAAACAAAAATCCACTTTTGTTTCTTTCTTACTTAAAATATTTTAATGACTCACTATTAACCTCAGGATAACACCCAAATTCTTAACCAATTTTCCCAACCCTGTGTGAACAGGACCTTGCACACTTTTCCAATTTTCTCTCTCTCTCCTCTTGCACTAGCCAGTGATTCTGCTTACAGTTTCACAAACATGCTGCAAAGCCTTTCATTTTTTGGTCGGACTAGGTGTTCCCTTTGCTTGGGTCTGCCTAATTCCTGCTTTTTTTTTTTTTTTTTTATACTTGGATTCCTGTTGGAAGTTTAGCCTGCTTTCCTGAAACTGGCTTTGCTCTTCCTCCTTTCTTTTCTCACAGATCCTTTCCTTCCTTCTCAAAGCACTTTTTGTAGTAGCTTCTATTCATCTGGCTCATGTATTTCTTTCTCACTACACTGTAACTTCAGAACATAAATGCCTATGTTTATGCTCCTCACTGTTCTATTTTCAAGGAGGAGCACAGAAGCTGGCATATTCTGGGCCTTCAAGCTGTATTTGTTGGATAGATGAAAAATAGGGATTCTTACAGTAACAATGCACACTGAGAGTGTCTCTCCATAGTGAGAGTTCAAGAGACAACACATACAAATTTAAAAAAAATTTACTTTTAAAATGTGTAACATTAGGTATGACACTAAAAAAGGTGTCCATCTCCCCTACTGGACACCAGGATCAATGAAGACAGCTACACTGGCTTACTTACTTTTCCCTCAAACAGTCTACGTTTGATCCCTGTTTGTTGAAATAGTGATTCACATAAAATGGATGAGAAAATGGAGACACAGAGAAGTGAAGGACTCTGTCTAGAATCACACAGCTGTCAAACTCTCGGGCTTAAGCCATTTCCATGCCTCTGCCTTCCAAAATGCTAGGATTACAAATGTAAGTCACCACACCAGCCAGCATCATATAACTAATTTGTTATTGCTTAAAAAGGAAAAAATGGAAAGTGAGCTGATGGAGAATGAAATATGGACAGAGGAAGATGATGGGAAGCTTTGAAGGGCTGCCCTTGACTCTGTGTGTGTGTGCGTGTGTGTGTGCGTGTGTGTGTGTGTGTGTGCATGTGCGTGCCCCTTATTCTCTCTTAAGCTACGTCTAACCTCATAGGGATCACTGGGGTCCCTGTCAGCCACAGCCACACACATCCACAGAAACCTTGACCTATTGACAGATGTAAGAGGGTGGCCTTTGAGAGTTCTGAATCCCTACCTCATAGGATTCTGGATATCTGGACACTTTCTTCTTACGCTGTTTCTGCATCGACCTTAGGGACTGTGTTTGGGGTGTTTCCTGCACTCATCTTGTGACAGAGTTCTATTTGCTCCTCAGATGGCCTCTTTTCCCTTGGAGTGGAACCGTGGCTATCAGGGTCTTGGGCCGAGCATCCATGAGTGACTGTGTGAGTTGCTAGAAGCAATCTTATACTTTCATAGCCACCCCACACTTCACAGTGATACTCATCTCTAAGAAATTATTCAAATTAAGAGAGAAAGCTACACATATAAACAATTGATGGACTTGATTGATTAACATGGAAAAGCATTAACTTTCCAGTTTTCTGCCTCTCACTGGAATTTTATCCCTACACTTTGAACTCATTTCAAACTTCTGGCTTAACTAGGAATTGCTATAGTCAGGCTATTCTAGACAGCTCCTGTGAGCCACTAGGATTCAGAGAATACAACACATCTTTTCCAATTTAAATATGTAGTTCTAGAAAAAAACTATTTTAAGGTCAGGCTTGGTGGCTCATGTCTGTAATCCCAGCACTTTGGGAGGCCGAGGCGGGCAGATCACTTGAGGTCAGGAGTTCGAGACCAGCCTGGCCAACATGGTGAAACCCAGTCTCTACTAAAAATACAAAAAATAAAAATAAAATTACCCAGGTGTGGTGACACATGCCTGTAATCTCAGCTACTTGGGAGGCTGAGGCATAAGAATTGCTTGAACCTGGGAGGTGGAGTTTACAGTGAGCCCAGATCATGCCACTGCACTCCAGCCTGGTGACACAGCAAGACTCCATCTAAAATAATAATAATAAATAAACAAATAAAAAGAAAAAGAAAAAACTATTCTAAAATTCATATGGAACCAAAAATAGCTAAGGCCATCCTAAGCAAAAAGAACAAAGCTGGAGGCATTATGCTATCTGACTTCAAACTATACTGCAGTGCTACAATAACCAAAACAGCATGGTATTGGTACATAAACAGACACATAGACCAATGGAACAGAAAGAGAACTCAGAAATGAGGCTGCACACCTACAGCTATTTTATGTTTGACAAACTTGACAAAAACAAGCAATGGGGAAAGAATTCCTTATTCAATAAATGGTGCTAGGATAACTGGCTAGTCATATGCAAAGATTGAAACGGGGCCCCCTTCCTTACACCATATACAAAAATTAACTCAAGATAGATTAAAGACTTAAATGTAAAACCCAAAACTATAAAAACTCTAGAAGACAACATAGGCAATACCATTCAGGACATAGGAATGGGAAGAGATTTCATGATGAGGACACCAAAAGCAATGACAACAAAAGCAAAAATTGACAAATGGGATCTAGTTAATCTAAAGAGCTTCTGCACAGCAAAGAAAACTAGCAACAGAGTAAATAGACAACCTACCCAATGGGAGAAAAGTTTTGCAAACTATGCATCTGACAGAGATCTAATATCCAGCATCTATAAGGAACTTAAAGAAATTTACAAGAAACAACCCCATTAACAAGTGGGCAAAGGAAATGAACAGACACTTCTCAAAAGAAGAAATACATACAACCAACAATCATATGAAAAAAGCTCATCATTGATTATTAGAAATGCAAATCAAAACCACAATGAAATACCATCTCACACCAGTCATAATGGTTATTATTAAAAAGTCAAAAAATAACAGGTGCTGGCCAGGTTGCTGAGAAAAAGGAACGCTTATACACTGTTGGTGGGAGTGTAAATTAGTTTAACCATTGTGGAATACAGTGTGGCAATTCCTCAAAGACCTAAAAACAGAAATACCATTCAGCCCAGCAATCCCATTACTGGGTATATACCCAAAGGAATAGAAATCATTCTGTTATAAAGACATATACATGTGTATGTTCATTGCAGCACTATTCACAACAGCAAAGACGTGGAATCAACCTAAATGCCTACCAATGGTAGACTAGATAAAGAAAATGTGGTACATATACATCATGGAATATTATGCAGCCATAAAAAAGAACAACATCATGTCCTTTGCAGGAACATGAATGGAGCTGGAGGTCATTATCCTTAGAAAACTAAGGCAGGAATGGAAAACCAAATACCACATATTCTCACTTATAAGTGGAAGTTAGATTATAACACATGGACACAAAGAGGGGAACAACAGAGACTGGGGCCTATTGGAGGCTGGGAGGAGGGCAAGGATTAGGAAAAATAACTAATGGGTACTAGGCTTAATACTTGAGTAATGAAATAATGTATACAATAAATCCCCATGATACAAGTTTACCTATATAACAAACCTGCACACGGACCCCTGAACTTAAAATAAAAGTTAAAAAAACATAAAGGTCTAGCTGGATCAGTGGGCTTCTAGGATCCTTCTTCAGTAATACTGAGGTAAATAGCACAAACCATGAGTTTACTCTTTTCATAATCCATGACACATCACACTTAATATTTGCTGAGTTTAAACAAGTCTCTTAAACACATCACTAGTTTACATCAGCTGTGGAATCTTTGCTTTGTCAATCAGGGGTCAACAAGCCCATCTACACTTGCCATCATTAACTAATGTGCAGGATTGTGTCTTATCAAATCAGCAGCCACCTTCTCTGCCGAGAAGCAAGGAGTATGTCTCCCAGAATCCCCTTCCCTGTGTAGTTCCGATTCACATTTTCCAATCAGAGAAACTTGCATGAGATATGGTGCCCAGAAGAGATGGAGAGACAGGCCTCTACCCATCAGTCGTGGCTGCAGGCAGAAGAGTAGGCAGATGTCAGGTTCTCAGTGGCTTCTGTGCTAGGCCAAAGACCCATCTGCTTTGCCTGTGCAGACCGAGATGAATGGTGGGAGCTTTCTCAGAGGTTCTGGAGAATGACAGCAATCTCCCAGCAGGGTTCTAGGAACCTCCCACCTGTGCTTCAGGCTAAGTTCTTCAGCACATGCTTCCCTGACCTCCCAGCTGCAGCCTCCAAGAGCTACAATGGTGACTGGTATTAGTATTCTGTTTCTGCTGTAACAAATTACTGCTATGAAGTGGCTTAAAACAACGCAAATTTATTATCTTACAGTTCTGGAGGTCAGAAGTCTGATATGGGTCTCTCTGGCCTAAAATAAGGGGTCATCAGGGCTGCATTCCTATGGCGGCTCTGAGGGAAAATCTGTTTCCTCACCTTCTCCACTTCTTAAGGCTGCCTGCATTCTTTGGCTCGTGGTTCCTTCCTCCATCTTCTAAAGTCAGCAGTCCCATCACTTTGACCTCTGATTCTGTTGTCACATCTCCCTCTCCAATTCTCACTCTGCTGCTACCTTTTTCACTTATAACGACCATTGTGATTGTATTGGACCTGCCTGAATAATACAGGATAATCTTCCCATCTCATGAGCCTCAACTTAATCACATCTGAAAACTTCCTTTTGTCATATTAGGTGACATTTTCACAAGTTCCAGGGGTTAGGACATAGGCATCTTGGGAGACCTTTATTTTGCCTACAACATGACTTCACCAATATTTGCTCTCCTAGATTTTCCAACATTAGTATAGGCTCTAATTCCTATATTGAACACGTTATTCCTAAAATGTTATACTAGAGTGTGGTGGTTTTCCTGGAAAAAGCTACACTAATACACTTCCTTACCTCAGAAGAGCTCAAAAGTTACCTTTCTATTATCTTTTTTTTTTTTTTTTTTTTTTGAGGGGAGTGTCGCTCTGTTGCCCAGGCTGGAGTGCAGCGGCGCGATCTCGGCTCACTGCAAGCTCCACCTCCTGGGTTCACTCCATTCTCCTGCCTCAGCCTCCCAAGTAGCTGGGACTACAGGCGCCCGCCACCATGCCTGGCTAATTTTTTTTTTTTTTTTTTTTTTGTATTTTTAGTAGAGATGGGGTTTCACCGTGTTAGCCAGGATGGTCTCCATCTCCTGACCTCGTGAACCGCCTGCCTCGGCTTCCCAAAGTGCTGGGATTACAGGCGTGAGCCACCGCGCCCGGCCTACCTTTCTATTATCTTAAAGTCTCCAAATGGTACCACCATCTCAAGGTGCAATGGCTGTAATTTAAGCAACGACTTTGCGGGGGTGATGGAGGGAGACAAAAAGAAATGACTGGAAAGCACTTCTGATTCCATGCCCTGTCCCTGGTGTCTGGCCGTCTTGGACTCTAGGCTGCAGTTTCTCTCCTACATAAACCCAGTCATTTCTGAGTCTCCAAGAGTGTTTTATAGGATTCATGTCCACTTCTTGGCTCTGTCATCTTCTCTCTACCTTGTCTTATAGCTCCGCGCTTACATTTTCTTCTCACCTACTGCTATAGTCCTGCCTTGATTCTTCAGCCATTGTCCTCTTTTTACCTTGTGTATGCTTAAGCCAATTCTCCAAGAAGAAATTCCAGATGGCTCTTTATTGCTGTTTGTTTGTTACTATTTTTTATTTGGCTGAAGAGTTTTCAAGATTCTTAACTTTCTATTTTTAAAATTTTAGTGTACAAATAATACATGCTCAGAGTTGGAAATGAAATCATCACAATATGTATAAATATATTTTAAAATATCTTCTATCTCTAAATCTATGCCCACTTTACTAAGGTAATTTATGTTATCAATCTACTCTCTATGTGTCTACTTTCTCCATTTTCATACAAACATAGGCACCTATATTAAGTGTTGAGTGTTTTTACTTTGTAGCTTTTTTTTAGCAAAAGTCCTCAAATTTTATTTGTAGTTTAATCATTTTACAACAACTTGAGATATAATTTACATATCATAAAATTCACACATTCATTATATACAAGTCAGTGGTTTTTAGTATATTCACATAGTTGTGCCAACATTATCATTATCAATTCCAGAACATTTTCATCACCCCACAAAAAACCCCATACCCATTGGCAGCCACTCCTCATTTCCTCTCAACTCCCCTAGCCCTAGGCAGCCACTAACCTGTGTTCCATATCTACAGATTTGCCTATTCTGGAAATTTCACGTAAGGGAAATTATACGATATGTGGCCTTTCGTGTCTGGCTTCTTTCACTTACCGTAACATTTTCATGGTTCGTCTGGGTTGTAGCATGTGGCAGTACTTCACGTCTTTTTTATTACTGAATAATATTTCATTGTATGGATATATCACAATTTGCCTATTCATTTATTAGTTGATGGACATTTGGGTTCTTTCTATTTTGTGCTATTATTAATAATGCAGCCGTAAGCATTTGCGTATAGGTGTTTGTGTGGACAGATGTTTTTGTTTCTCTTGGGTATGCTGTATACCTAGGAGGGGATAGCTGGGTCATATGCTAACTTAGTGTTTGACATTTTGAGGAAGTGCTGGCCTGTTTTCTAAAGGGGCTTCACCTCTTTATATTCCCACCAGCAGTATATGAAGCTTCCAGTTTCTCTGCATCCTCATCGGTGTTCATTATTATCTTTTTATTGTAGCCATTCTAGTGGGTGGTTACAACTAAGGGAAAAAATCAAACTTTAAAGAATTAACTTAGTTTTATTTGGAAATCTTACTGAGGACTATAGACGGAGGCCTACAACCCAAGAACAGCCCTTTAGAGAGGCTCTATCAGACTGTACCAGCTCAGTATTTCAGCCCACTGCTTATATTATAGGTGTTCTGTATTGCAACATCACATCACACTTGGTAAGAAGTTACATTAAAGCAGAATCACATCAAAGTTTGGAAGCAGGAATACGTCCAGTGTAGATTACAGAAGCATGATCACTATGCCCGTCAGACATTATCTTATGTGCAGGGAAAAGCAAGGGCATTCATCTTTTAAGGAATATAGTGGCTTAGGCAAGAGACGTTGGGGGCTGTGTGCTTTATCCTGTTTTGTCCTCAAAGCATCTTTCCAGAGAGTTGCACATCCTCACGATGAACTAGGAGGATGTGCAACTCTCACAGGGACTTTGTGAAATTATGCTGGCAAGTAAAAGTCAGCTTCTGACATTTACTACTTTGTCTCACAGTGTGAAATACTATCGCATTGTAGGGCCGATTTGCATTTTCCTGATGGTTAATGATGTTGAACATGTTTCCACGTGCTTATTGGCCTTTTGTATATTTTCACTGGAGAACTGTAAATCCAAATCCTTTATTTTTAAATTTGATTATTTGCCTTTTTACTATTGAGTTATAACCGGTTTTATATATTATAGACAAAATTTTCTCTTTTACCATATGTATGATTTGCAAAAATTTTCTCCCATTCTGTGGGGTTTTTTTTTTTCACTTTCTTGATGGCATCTGTAAACATACAAAAGTTTTTAAATGCGATGACGTCCAGTTTATCTTTTTCTTCTTTTTTTGCTTATGCTTTTGGTGTCACATTTAAGATTAGGTGCCTTTACTTAATCCAAAGCCATGAAGATTTATGCCTATGTTTTATTTTCTTTCTTTCTTTCTTTTTTCTTCTTCCTCTCTTCCTCCCTTCCTTCCTCCCTCCCTTCCTTCCTTCTTTCCTTCCTTCCTTCCTTACTTTCTTTCCTTTTTTTTCCTTGAGACACAGTCTCACTCTGTCACCCAGGCTGGAGTGCAGTGGTGCAATCACGGTTCATTGCAGCCTCAACTTCCTCAGGCTCAAGTGATTCTCCCACCTCAGCCTCCTGAGTAGGTGAAACTACAGGTGCATGCCACCACACCCGGCTAAATTTTGTATTTTTTGTAGAGACAGGGTTTTGCCATGCTGCCCAGTTTGGTCTACCAACTCCTGGGCTCAAGCAATCTGCCCACTTTGGCCTCCCAAAATGCTGGGATTACAGACATGAGCCATCGTGCCTGGCCTGTTTCCTTCTAAGAGTTTTCTAATGTTAACTCTTTCACTTAGGTCTTTGATACATTTTGAGCTACTTTTTATATATAGTTTCAAGATTTTCATTTTTCATTTTTCATTCATTGATACTGTATAGAAACACAATTGATTTTTATATTTTGATTTTGTATCCTGCCAATGTGATAAAATTCTTTAGTTGTAATGCTTTTTTAAAGTAAATTCTTTTGGATTTCTATGTATAAGATCATATCATCTGTAACGAAGGTAGTTTTACTTCTTTCTTTTCAATTCAGATGAGCTTTATTTTATTTTCTTGTTCATTGTAGCAAAAAATTCAACTATTCTATTTATAATGCCCTGTTACTTGATGTTTTTTATTTATATTGTGAACATCTCACCAATTTCATAGAGAAAGCTTGAGCTCATCATTTTAAACCCTAATTCCATAGTATTTTGCATGCAACTGCTTCTCTAGTGTAAATATTCAGATGGTTTCCTTTAGTTGTCACTACACTGAATGTCCACTGCACAGACATCTTTACACACATATCCTTACAGCCATCCCAGAGTTTTCTGATTTCCCACAGCACTACATGATAGTGGTTAATCTGATGATCTAACTGACTAGCTAGGCAGACTGACTGACTGACAATCCCATTGCTTCTGTATATAAAGTCAGTAACTACATTTGGAACTCAGCTTCTCTAGGCCCAGCCACGCTTACTTTCCTAGTCTTAGAGGTTCCCTCTCTGCCTCTAAATTTCTCTGTCCCTGAAACCACCCTTGTACTCCAGCCCAAGAGCGCTTGCAAACAGGTAGAAGGTATCATCTGGAGAAGGTAAGTAAGAGACTTATCTCCATTCCCTTCATATCTAATTACCAAATCTTCCATCTAGCTCAGTCAGGTTGAGTTGAAAACATCTTGACTTTAGTCATTTAGCCACTGAGCACATCATAGCTCTTTTCATACCTCAGTCTTATTCAAATATTTAATTTATCAAGCTCACTTATAAATGCCAAGCCTCTCATTTGGCCACCTCTGACCCTACAGCTCCAAAGCCCCTCCCATTTTGAGAACATGCTCTTGCCAGGCCAGTCTCCTCATTGCCCCCTGATTATCCATCACTCTGTCCGTTTCTGCGCCTTTGCTCATTCTGAACTTCTTGTCAATTCTCAAGTGTCAGCAGCCACCTCTAGTTGCAACAGAGTGGACTTTGCTTAATCTTATTGCCCTCTCAACCTCTCTAGGGCATTCTATAGGTAGAATCCTCCTTTTTGTGGTCCCTAAGTTGGCCTGGATATTACACTCTAAAGTCTAGAATGCAGTCATGCCAAATCCCACGGAGAACCTTTTATAAGTAACTATTTCTGGCCCTCTCCTAGGCCTACAGAATCAATCTCCGGAAGCAGAACACTTCACTCTTAAAAATTCTTGGGGGATTGTGAGCAGCTAGTCAATGGATCTGGGGTTGGTGTCCACCATACCACACTCCAAGTCCTCCTAGTTTCTGCTTTCCTCAGTCAGTTAATCTGCGAGCTACCTTGCTTCTCATCCTCTCTTCTGTGAGAGGTCAGGCACCATGTTCTGGCAGTTTTCCCAAACATTCCTCTACATTCTTAGCCCCACTGGTCTCCCCTCACTTATGGACCTTTTATCATTTTATCTAACGGATAAAGGTTTGTGTTTATGTTCTTGCTTATGCTTCCTTCCATCCCTTCCAAATTTTAACCTTCGTATATGCATTTATTTAACAAGTATTGACAGCTTACTAATTGGAGGAATTGCATTAGGTGCTATGATTCAATTTCCCCAAACATGTTTTTCATATTCTTATATGTATTTAAAAAACCACTGCATCGGGGTGACAGAATAAGGTTTTAAAATTCTAATATTAGACTGTCCACTACATTGTCTCAGTCTATCTTTCTGTTCAGTCAGTTAATTATTAGGATAAGAAGATACCATCAATCTGATTTTTCCCCCATATTTTTAAAGGAGAGGAGAGAGAACAATTTGGAAGGTCAAGAAGTTGGTATGCCCAGGAGCTCACAACTCTCACCTTTGGGGTTTTATGGAATATTTTTAGGCCTTATTTATTTATTAGTAAAAAAAAAAACAGAATAATGAGTTCTTCTCTGACAACTGTACAGGATTGTAAGGATCAAGTGTGTTTATGTGTATGAAGCACCATGAATATTATATATAATGTAATTGCAATAGAATATATATAGAAGTAGAAATCATATTTTGAAATAACAAGTGGCAGAAATATATATTGAAAAATATTAGTGGAGGATGTCACAAAGTTTGAGTTACTTGTTTTTCATTTCATTTTAAAATAAGCATATCTGAGTATGATGAGTTCTAAGGATTCCTTTCAGGGCAAAAATTGAGGCTACCCCATTGCAGTTGTCCAGTCTTTCCACAGGATGGCAAAGTATAGCCAGTATTTCTTTGAAATGTTTGCTTGCTTATGCCACTAAATTTTGAACTTAGCCTTCTAGAAATGAGTTTATAACTTATCTTTCTTGAAGGTAATCTCAGAGTACCTATGAAAAGACATCTATAAAATACTTTTGCAAAAATACCTAATACATCAAATGTGTGCTCACCACATCTCATCAAAGCAAAGTGTAAAACGTTCTCAGGGACCTGTAGAGCTAAAATGTCACCTTCTATGTTCAAGATATATGTTGAATTCTATGTCCGATTTCTTCTCATTATTGGACTTAATTCTGTAAAACATGAGGCTTGAACTTTTCATGAACTGATTGGTGCATCCTCTGCTTAATTGATTCTTCCCATTTGACTTGGAGGATGGTGTTGGCCAGAGGTCCTTTTTTGCGGAGGCCTTTAAAGATATTTATTCAGAAGAATGTACCACATGAGGCATTTGACTAATAAAAACACTGTTATTAACACTGACAATAAGCAAACACATATTTCTTTAGCTGTCTTGCAATTGGTACATTCTCCTCTTCCCATTGAGGAAGTATCTGCTCTACCCTTGCTTCAGATTAAACATTTTGAAACTCTCAGTTTTAACATTATTGAGCCTTACTATTATTGAAATAATTCTTTTCCCAAAACACCAGACTACACTCAAACTCCAGAAGATGCCCCTAACCAAGACTAATATTCTGACATCAAAGGAAATCTGTGGATAAGATATTGGGAACTTCTGAAAAATTTTAGTAGGGCTATGCCTAGAGAATTTTCATGATCTTAACAAATCTTGCTCATTCAGCAAGTCCTTAGAGAGCCTTCATGGGAACCTATGAAAAAGAAAGTCCTCAATGTATTACATGGAAAATAACGATAGCAACAACTATAATAATAATAGTGGCTGCATTTAAAGGGCACTTGCTGTATTCCAGGCATTGGCTTAAGTACCTACATAAGTTATTTTGTTCAGTATTTATCACAACCATATGAAAAAAATGTTCTTATCCACAATAAAGAAATGAAGTTTAGGCTGGGTGTTGTGGCTCACACCTGTAATCCCAGCACTTTGGGAGGCCGAGGAGGGCGGATCACCTGAGGTCAAGAGTTCGAGACAAGCCTGGCTAACATGGTGAAATCCTGTCTCTACTAAAAATACAAAATTAGCTGGGCTTGGTGGCGGGTGCCTGTAATTCCAGCTACTTGGGAGGCTGAGGCGGGAGAAACACTTGAACCCGGGAGGCAGAGGTTGTGGTGAGCTAAGATTGCACCATTGCACTCCAGTCTGGGCAAAGAGAGCAAAACTCTGTCTCAAAAGAAAGAAAGAAGGAAGGAAGGAGGGAGGGAGGGAAGGAAGGAAGGAAGGAAGGAAGGAAGGAAGGAAGGAAGGAAGGAAGTAAGTCAAGAAGTCTACAAAGTATAGGTAACTTGCTCAAGAAAATTAGGTTCAGAAAGTTTAAGTAACTTGCCCAGGGTAACACAATTATGAAGATTTGAGGCCAGAATTCAGTTCCAGGCAGTTTTGTTCTAGATCTATTGCTCTTCAGCCACTATAGTGTCATGCCAAGACTGGCCTAAAGTCGTGTCTTCTGCTCAAACAGGTCCTTCTATGGCAATGACCATGAAATACATGGCTAATAAAGTATTAGGGGCAGGAAGAGGGGGAAGAAGAATGCAGTATTTGAGACTATGGTTACTGACTATATTTAAAATCACAGTTTCATGACTATTAAGGTTCTTTTTAAACTTTTCTCCCTGATGTATCATGGTATCCAGGTGAAAGAGGATCTGGCTCCCTACATCCCAGGACGTGTAGAACTGTCCATGGTTCTGAAAGACAAACTAGCAGGTCCCACCACCTTTACAAATGGCAATCTTACTGTGGAAAACTGCACTAGTGAAAACTCTACATATGACTTTGTACATGCATCACTTACAAGGATTCAGCAATCCTTGGAAAGATGACATAGAAAGACCCACAGAATATTCCCTTTATATGCCCTATACTAAAATGTACAAAGCAAAATCAAATTAGACAACACTATGATTTAGAAGTTTATCTTGAAATTTTAGATCAGAATGTAAAGAAAAGAAATCCAGCATTATTGTATGGACAAGAGAGAATGGATATAGATTTTAACTAACTATATATTCCCTCAAAACTCATATGCTGTCCTTTTTAACCTCACCTTAATTTAAATTTAACCACACATTTACTTTCATTTTTGATTTTTATTTTGTATTTATGTTTTCTTTTATCTTGTATCTTCCAACCAGGATTTCGCCTTTTGCCTGAAGCATATTCTTTAGAACTCCCTTCAGTAAAAGCGTGTTTGTGTCAAATTGTCTTTGCTTGGAAAAAATCCATTGAGACTTGATTTTTATATTATCATGTATTTCATTTCTAAATGTTTTATATTTGTCTTTTCAATTTTTCCTGAACATTATTTGTAGTTTCTGATTAACTGGAAGTCTTTTAAAGCCTGTTTTTTAATCACAGGAAGCAGGGCTATTTTATGTCTTATTCTTATTATTCTGCTGTATGGTGTTTCTGCTTGATCTTTCATGGTGACTTGTATCTTGTAAATAGTTTTGTTGTTGTTTTCCTGGTAAGTGCTCATTTTGCTTATGGAATAATTTTAGGAAATTTTAAGTGTGGTTGATGACATCTTCCTCCAGAGAGGATTTGTGTTTGTTTTGCGTGTTATTTGCGTTTGTTTTTTGACAGGTTCCTTGGAGCCTGGCCCACTATAAACTGAATTCACAACTTGATGATTGCCAGACAATCCAGGTAGTGAGAACTTGGGCTGCAAATACATGTGTGGGGCCATTGTGTTTACTCCCAGTTCCACTCAGCACCAAGGCAGCTGTTCCTGCAGTCCTTTGAGCATGGGGCATTTCTCTTACACCGAGGAACTGAACTTAGGGGTCCCAGCAAAATGGAGGAGATCATCCTAGGAGATTTCCCACTTTGAGTGCTACTTGAGACTTGCCTCCTATTCCAAATTCCTTATGAGGCCATGGAAACTAAAGCTTAACTTGTCTACATTGAGCAAATGAGCTCAGGATAAAAGTAAATTCAGAGCTTCCTGATATTTATTAGACAGTTTTCACTGATGTGAAAGCCTCTCAGTGCTTTTATGATGTATTTTATCTTTTGATAACCCATTTTTTGTTAGCATGAGAGTAGGCGTAGATACCTAATATGCCACATTAGTGGTTCACACCTTATCCTTAAAGCTCCTTATCACAAACCTTCCCATCTTGTTCCTTTGAAGTCATTGAATACCTGAGCAAACTATTAGTCACTACCCATGCATTGATGAGGATCTAACAATAAGATATTTCTTTAGGCAAAATGAACTTCCAGATGGTCTGATTGAAAATCTTCCTGCTGGAGGTACTTTCCTTTCCACTCTTCTTTATGACAATTCCTGAAAAGGGCTGTAATGCTGCAAAGTACACTTTTGGGTATTCAAAGCATATTCAAATTTCTTCTTCTATAGTCAACAGTCCTTAGGGAACTCCTCAAGACCCCAAGGATGAGACAAGGGAGAGTGGATTTACCGGTGGTAATAAGAATACTAGGAATATAGTACATATTATGAGGCAACTTAGCTGGCCTTGCTAAGGACCAGCTCAGGTCTGATACTGTATGTATATACAGTATATATATCCACTTCCTCCTGAATGCTCACTGAGTGCTGGTGACCATAAGTGAATAAATAAAATCCAGGTCATGGTGGACATCTCAAGTCACTTGGTCATTTGCTGTATCATGATCATGGCATTCAGAATCTACCAGGGCTCAGTAGCAAGCCAGGAACTGTTATTTAGTAGAAGAATAAAGAATAAAGCTTTTCTTCGAAGCCCTGGAACTTGAGCAGTGAGCTCCTATGCCTGTTTCACACACACACACACACACACACACACACGCACACACACACACACACGCGCACACACACACACACACACACACACACACATATCCAAGGAAGCATTTAGGCCAAATGGCAGATATGTTTGATGCCTGCCTGGATCAGAATGACATTTCCATTTCTTATGGAATGTTTTGAACTTGTACTAACTTACCGGATTTTGGTGCAGAGAAATCCCCTCACAAGATAAGAAATCACATTTTTTCTTTGTTGAAATTATTTATCTTCATTAACGTTTAATAACACCGGTGCAGTTATTTTTCAAAGAGCTTGTACTCCAATCTTGGAGGAATTCCTTGAGTTGAAAAGCCCAGGGCCTGAATAATGAGGGAGTCTCATTTCCAACAGCTTCCAATCAGCTGTAGGATTGAATGAAGACACATGTGATTGCATGATTTTAAGAGAGGGTAGGGGAGAGGGGCAGTGCTTGTTTCACACTTAACTGAACTACTTCCTTGGCCTCCACTCAAATTTAACTGCAGCATTGGTGACTTGATTTACAGAGTCAGAAATTTCCTAGGTATGGAATGTGCTGTCTTAAATAGTAATGAGTCCAATCTATGTAGAGTGTCCTTCTTTATCATTGGGGGTCATATGAAGTCAGCGATTCTTTTAGAAATTTGGGGTTACAAACAGAAGGCCTCAACTTACTTCAATTTGAAAAACCTGAACAAGGAATCTCTGGTGTCTGGATCCTTATTTGTCTCACAAAATTGAATTGTGAGCTGTGACATTTTCTCCCAAAAGTCTCTTTTAGGACAGAACTTCTGGTAATGGCAACATGAACAGGTAGATCAGCAAGTCTTCCTCTAAATAGCAATATGAGAACTGGACAAAATCATAAAAATAAATATTTGAAGTCACTGGAAAACAAACAAAGGCGAGCAGAAATGTAATAGTGCTTTGATCTTGAGACTATCTATTGGGTAAAAGCTGCAAGTTGGTGGCCTTTCCTCCTTACCTATGAGTTTGCTCCAAACTCCCAGCAGGTAACTGCAGCCCTAATGGATCAATAGGGCAGTTTATAGAGTTAAAAGCCCAAATAAGCTAAAAATGTTTACATTTTTACATGTTTACATCAGTCAGGCAATTTTGAAAGAGATCTGCTGAAGAATTCAGATTCAAAATCTGAATACAAACTATGCTCACATCCCTGGTTGAACACTAAACTCCCCATGGGTGTGGGACACTCAGGGGAACCTGGGGAAAAATCAGAAAGAACCTAGAGTGAGGTCTACCCTTGAAAGAGTGAAATAATCCTGGCAATATCTGAAAGTCTGCAGTAACATAGACTGCTTGCATTTGTCAACCTGCATACAACACAGGCAGAAGAAAGCAAAAATCTTACTGGACTGAGGGGTGAAAAGGCAGGATGCAGGACAATTTAGAGGGGATTCCAGAAGCAAAACAAACACAGAGAAGCTGAATTGCAAAATCTTAGCAGAAATAGCCCCAGTACTTGTTAGTCCATGTTGTGTTGCTATAAATACCTGAGAGTGGGTAATTTATAAAGAAAAGAGGTTTATTTGGCTCATGGCTATATAGGTTGTACAAACATGGCACCAGCATCTCTTCAGCTTCTGGTGAGACCTCAGGAGCCTTTTACTCCTGGTGGAAGGGGAAGGGGGACCAGGCATGTCACATGGCAAAAGAGGAACAGGGTGGGAGGAGCCAGATTCTTCTAAACAACCAACTCTCTTTCAAAATAATAGAGCAGGGGCCGGATGTGGTGGCTCATGCCTGTAATCCCAGCACTTTGGGAGGCCGAGGCGGGTGGATCACGAGGTCAGGAGTTCGAGACCAGCCTGGCCAATATGGTGAAACCCCATCCTTACTAAAAATACAAAAATTAGCTTGGCATGGTGGCATGTGCCTGTAGTCCCAGCTACTCAGGAGGCTGAGGCAGAAGAATCACTTGAACCCAGGAGGTGGAGGTTGCAGTGAGCCAAGATCGCACCACTGCTCTCCAGGCTGGGCAACAGAGCGAGACTCTGTCTCAAAATAATAATAATAATAATAATAATAATAAAGCGAAGAGAACTTACTTATGACTGTGGGGAGGGCACCAAGCCATTCATGAGGGATCTACCCCCATGACCCAAACAGCTTCCACTAGGCCCCACCTGCAGCATTGGGGATTACATTTCAACATGAGGTTTGGCAGGGACAAATATTACAAAGATGCAGAGTAGACACCCAGAGCCCCCTGCTGAAAATGCAGCAACTGGATATCGGTAAACAGAGCAGAGACATCAGCTGTAGCCAACTGCAGGGGTAACAGATTTCACAGTTACCAGTGCAGGGAAAGTTAACCACGTTCACTGAGGGGCAGGGGTGGTGGTGGTGGGAGAATTGCCATCTTTAGAGAGATTGTTGTAGATTCCAGACTCTCTAAAACAAAACATATAATGTCCACTTTATCAAATAGGATCAGACATAGAAAGAAAAGAAAGAAATGTGTGACTATAATAAGGAGGAAATTAAAAATAAATGGGTTTCAATGGGTCCAGATATTGAAATTATCAGCAAACTCTTTAAGACAGTTTTGAAAAATATGTGGAAAGAAATGAAGGAAATATCATTTCTAAAGAGTGAATAGAAGTAATTGCAGCAGAGAAATGAAAACTATAGATGGTACTAAGTGGAAATTCTCAAACTGGATAGAAAAATAATGACAGTGCTCTGGATGAGGTCAACAGAAGTTTTGAGATGGCAGAATAAAGAATCAGTCAGTGTCCTTGAATATAAATCAACAGAAATTGTCTAATCTAAAAATAAAAAAGAGTGAAATAAGATTAAAGAAAAGTGAAGAAAACTTCACAAACCCTCAGAAAATATAAAGCAGGTAAACAGGTGACCAATTGGAGTCCCAAAAGAAGATAGACACAGGATCAGAAAAAAAATTCAAAAAAATCTATGGCTGAAAGATTCCCAAATTTGATGAAGAATTTTAGCTTATAGATGTAAGACACTCATCAAAGCTGAATACCCACATAGAAAATCATAGGTAGAGTGGCCATGGCCTTGGCTGGCCTGAGGGTGTGTCGCTAGCCCTGCTGCATGTGGTGTGGTGCAGGGTGCCAGTGCCTGGTGGGACCAGAGAGCTCCCAGCACAGCCTTTGGGCAGGTGGGACCGCCGATCATTTTAAAATAATTTTTTATTGATTTAACTTATATTTTGAGTTCAGGCATACATGTGCAGGTTTATTATATAGGTAAACTTGTATCATGGGGTTTGCTGTACAGATTATTTTGTTACCTAGGCATTAAGCCTAGTACCTATTAGTTACTTTTCCTGATCCTCTCCCTCCTCCCAGCCTCCACTCTCTGGTAGGCCCCAGTGTGTGCAGTTCCCTTCTATATGTCCATGTGTTCTCATCATTTAGCTCCCACTTATAAGTGAGAACATGTGGTATTCGGTTTTCTTTTCCCGCATTAATTTGCTAAGGATAATGGCCTCCAGCTCCATCCATGTTCCGCAAAGGACAAGAACTCATTCTTTTTTATGGCCACATAGTATTCCATGATGTATATGCACTACATTTTCTTAAAAGAGAGCAGGAGTGGCTATTCTTATACAAAACAAAAACAGACTTTAAAGCAACAACAGTAAAAAAAAAAAAAAAGACAAAGAAGGACATTATATAATGATAGAATGATAATTCCAACAAGAAGATATCACAGTCCTAAATTTATATGCACCTAACAGTGGAGCTCCCAGCTTTATAAAACAGTTACTACTAGACTTAAGAAATGAGATAGACAGCAAGACAATAATAGCAGGGGACATCAATACTCCACTGATAGCTCTAGACAGATCATCAAGACACAAAGTCAACAAAGAAACAATGATCTTAAACCATATCCTACAACAAATGGACTTAACAGATATTTACAGAACATTTCTTCCCAGTAACTGTAGAATATACATTCTTCTCATCAGCACATGGAACATTCTCCAAGATAGACCATATGATAGACCTCAACACAAGTCTAAACAAATTTAAGAAAACTGAAATCCTATAAAGTATCTTCACAGACCAGAGTGGAATAAAACTGGAAATCAACTCCAAAATGAAACTTAAAAACTGTATGAGTACATGGAAATTAAATAACCTATTCTTGGATGATTTTTCAGTTAACAATGAAATCAAGATGGAAATTTAAAAATTCTCTGAAATGAATGATAATAGTGTCACAAGTAATCAAAATCTCTGGGATATAGCCAAAGCAGTGAAAATAAGAAAGTTCATAGCAATAAGTGCTGACTTAAAAAAGCCTGAAAGAGCCCGGGCACAGTGGCTTATGCCTGTAATCCCAGCACTTTGAGAGGCTGAGGCAGGTGGATCAGTTAAGGTCAGGGGTTTGAGACCAGCCTGACCAACATGGTGAAACCTTGTCTCTACTAAAAATACAAAAATTAGCTAGGCGTGGTGGCACGCGCCTTTAATCCCAGCTACTCAGGAGGCTGAGGAAGGAGAATCACTTGAATCCAGGAGGTCGAGGTTGCAGTGAGCTGAGATTGCGCCACTGCACTCCAGCCTGGGCAACAGAGTGAGACTTCATCTGGGAAGGAAAAAAAAAATCTGAATAAGCACAAATTGAAAACCTAATGTCACACCTCAAGGAACTGGAGAGATAAAAACAAATGAAACCCAAAGCCAGCATAAAAAAGAAATAATAAAGATCAGAGCAGAAATAAATGAAACTGAAACAAAAATAATACAAGAGATAAATGAAAAAAAAGTTGGGTCTTTGAAAAGGTAAACAAAATCAATAGACCATTGGTGAGGTTAACCAAGAAAAGGAGAGAAGATCCAAATAAGCTCAATTAGAAAACAAACTGGAGATATTACAACTAATACCACAGAAACACAAAAGTTAATTCAAGGCTACTATGAACACCTTTACACACACCAGCTAGAAAATCTAAAAACTGATAAATTCCTGGAAACATACAACCCTCCTAGACTAAATCAGGAAGAAATAGAAATCATGAGCAGACCAATAACAAGCAGTGAGACTGAAACAGTAATAAAAAAAACTGTCAACAAAAAAAAGCCTAGGACCAGATGGGTTCCCAGACAAATTCCATTAGACATTCAAAAAATTGGTACCAATCCTACTGAAACTATTCCAAAAGATAGAGAAAAAGGGAATCCTCCCTAAATCATTCTATGAAGACAGTATCACCCTAATGCCAAAAGTAGGAAAGGACATAACAAAAAAGAAAAATACAGACAAATATCCCCAATGAACATACATGCAAAAATGTTCAACACAATACTAGCTAACCAAATCCAGTAGCCTATCAAAAAAATAATACACCATGTTGAAGTGGGTTTCATCCCAGGGATGCAGAGATGGTTTAACATATGCAAGTCAATAAATGTGATACACCACATAAACAGAATTAAAAACAACAATCATATGATTATCTCAATAGATGCAGAAAAAGCATTTGATAAAATCTAGCATTGCTTTATGATAAAAACCTTCAACAAAATAGGCATAGAAGGGACTTACCTCAAAGTCATGAAAGTCATATATGACAAACTCACAGCCAACATCATAGTGAATGGGGAAAAGTTGAAAGCATTCCTCCAAGGACTGAAACAAGGCAAGGATGCCCACGTGCACCACTTCTATTCAACACAGTATTGCAAGTTCTAGCCAGAGCAATCAAGCAAGAGAAAGAAATAATGGGCATCCAAATTAGAAAAGAGGAAGTCAAACTGTCCCTGTTCACTGATGATATGATCGTATACCTAGAAAATACTAAGACTCATCCAAAAGACCCATAGATCTGATAAACAAATTTAGTAAAGTCTCAGGTCACAAAATCAATGTACACAAATCAGGAGCATTGCTATACACCAACAACGACCAAGAGAGAATCAAATCAAGAACTCAATCCCTTTTACAACAGCTGCAAAAACAAACAACAACAACAACAACAAAAACCTCCAAAAAAACAACACCCCCCAAAACCTAGGAATATACTTAACCAAGGAGGTGAAAGATCTCTGCAAGGAAAACTAAAAAACACTGCTGAAAGAAATCATAGATGACACAAACACATGGAAACACATCCCATGCTCATAGATGAATAGAATCAATATTGTGAAAATGACCATACTGCCCAAAGCAATCTATAGATTCAGTGCAATTTTCATCAAAATACCATCATCATTCTTCACAGAACTGGAGCAAACAACCCCAAAATTCATGTGGAACCAAAAAAGAGCCCACGTATCCAAAGCAATACTAAGCAAAAATAACAAATCTGGAAGCGACCCATTAACAGACTTCAAGTTACACTACGAGGCTATCGTTACCAAAACAGCATCATACTGGTATAAAATAGGCACTTCAGCTGGGCACGGTGGCTCACGCCTGTAATCCCAGCACTTCGGGAGGTAGAGGCAGACAAATCACCTGAGGTCAAGAGTTCGAGACTAGCCTAGCCAACATGATAAAACACCATCTCTACTAAAAATACAAAAAAAAATATCTGGGCGTGGTGGTGGGCACCTGTAATCCCAGCTATTTAGGAGGCTGAGGCAGGAGAATCACTTGAACCTGGGAGGCAGAGGTTGCAATGAGCTGAGATCGTGCCATTGCACTCCAGTCTGGGCAACAAGAGTGAAACTCCATCTCAAAATAAGATAAAATAAAAAATAGGCGCTTAGACCAATGGAATGGAATAGACAATCCAGAAATAAAGCCAGATGCCAACAGCTAACTGATCTTTGACAAAGCATACAAAAACATAAATTGGGAAAAGCACATCCTATTCAATAGAGAGTGCTGGGAAAACTGGCAAGCCACATATAGAATGAAACTGTATCTCCATCTCTCACTTTATATAAATGTCAACTCAAAATGGATCAAAGACTTAAACCTAAAACCTAAAACCTAAAACCATAAAAATCTTAGAAGATAACATGATAACATTAAAAAACTCTTCTGGACATTGGCTTAGGCAAAAAATTCATGACTAAGACCCCGAAAACAAACACAACAAAAATAAAAATAAATAAATGAGACCTGGTTGAATGATAAAGCTTCTACACAGCAAAAGAAATAATCAGCAGAGTAAACAGACAACCCACACAGTAGGGGAAAATATTCACAGACTATACATCCAACAAAGGACTAATATCCAGAATCTACAAGGAACGCAAAGAAATCAGCAAGAAAAAAACAAATAATCCCATCAAAAACTGGGCAAAGGACATGAATTGACAGTTCTCAAAAGAAGATATACAAATAGCCAACAATCATGAAAAATTGCTCAAGATAACTAATCATCAGGGAAATGCAAATTATAAGTACAAGATACCACCTTACTCCTGCAAAAATTGCCATAATTAAAAAATTTTTAAAAACCACAGTAGATGTTTGTGTGGATGTGGTGAAAAGGGAACACTTTTGCACTGCTGGTGGGAATGTAGATTAGTAAAACCACTTTGGAAAGCAGTATGGACATTATTTAAAGAACTGCAAGTAGATCTACCATTCAATCCAGCAATCCCACTGCTGGATATCTACCCAAAGGAAGTCATTATATGAAAACGACACATGCACGTGCATGTTTACAGCAGCACACTTCACGATTGCAATGACATGAAAACAAAGTAAGTGTCCATCGACCAACAAGTGGACAAAGAAAATGTGGTATATGTACACCATGGAGTATTACTTAGCCATAACAAGGAACAAAATAATGTGTTTTGCAACAACCTAGATGGAGATGGAGGCCATTATTCTAAGTGAGGTAACTCAGGAATGGAAAACCAAATACTGTATGTTCTCACTTATAAGTGGGAGCTAAGCTAGGAGGATGCAAAGACATATAGAGCGATATAATGGACTTTGGGGACTCAAGGGACAGGCTGAGAGGGGAGTGAGATAAAAGACTACATATTGGGTACAGTGTATATTGCTTGGGTGACAGGTGCACTAAAGTCTCAGAATTCACCACTAAAGAACTCATCCATTAAACCAAAACCCACCTGTACCCCAAAAAACTATTGAAATAAAATAAAACTTCATAGGGCAAACAACAACAAAAACAACAACAACAAAGAAAATAAATAAATCATACAAAAAATATTTAAGATCTCTGAAATCCAAGACACTAGAAATCAAGAGACACTGTGGAAAGAGTACATAGAAGACCTAAATAAATAGATCCCCTGTTCATGGGGAGCAAGATTTAACATTGTTAAAATGCAACACTCCCCAAATTAACCCAGAGATTTAAAAAAAAACTAACAAAATTCTAGGAGGCTTTTTGATAGAAATTTATGAGCTGATTTACAAATTTATATGAAAACATAAAAGGTCTAGAATAACTCATGCAATTTATTTTTTAAAAATTTTAGAGAAAGAGTCTTTCTATATTACCCCATGTTGGCTTCTAACTTCTGGGCTCAAGGGATCCATCCACCTCAGCCCCCAGGTAGCTGAGACTACAGTCATGCACTACCATGTGCAGCTAATTTTTCATTTTTTTTCAGGACAAGTTTTGCTATGTTGTCCGGGTTAGTCTTGAACTCCTGGGCTCAAGGTGTCCTCCCATCTCAGTCTCTTGAGTAGCTGAGACTACAGGCATGTTATCATAGTCAGTACAATTTAAGTAATTTCTAAAAAGATGAACAAAGTTATAGGAGTTATTTTGACTAAAAAAGCTGAGATAATTTATTATGTTAATAAATATTCTTGTACAATTACACCTATTAATTACTTTTAAAATTTCTGCTTCACATCTCTGCAACCTTGGGCTTAGTGGATTTCCCAGGAAAGAAATGCTTCCACCAAATAAGAACCTCAGCTGGCCATTTTATATTTCCATAAAATATAGTGGTATGAGGGTTCTAATTTCTGCTTATCTTTCCTAACATTTATTTTCATTTTAAAAAAATTATTATTATAGCCATATTATTGTGGTTTAATTTGCATTTCTTTAATGGCTAATGATGTTGAGTATCTTTTCCTGTGTATATTGGCGGTTTATGTATCTTCTTTGAAGAAATGACTTTTCAATTTCTTTGCCCATTTTGTAATGGGATTATTTGTCATTTTGTTATTGATGTTTAAAGGGTTCTTTGTGTATCCAAACACTTGACCCATATGAGATATGTAATAGGCAAATATTTTCTGCCATTGTATGGATTGCCTTTTCACTGTATTGATAGTGTTCTCTGATGCATAAAAGTTTTGGTTTGATGAAGTTCAATTTATCTATTCGACTCTATAACCATACCCAGGGCAGGATCAGGAAAACAAGGACAGGAGACGTGCAGGGGCTGGACCACCTTCCCTCTTGGGTGACTGGAGGTCTGTCCTCAGCAGTCTTTCCCTTCTGACCTATGACTTCTGGGAATCGGGTCCCCATCTCTAGAATCATCAAGGTGATGACTGGTCCTTTATTTTCACAAGTGCTTTACGTTACAGAAATTTCAGCAAGCAGGGACTATGACTGGGTAAGCATGAGTGTTTGTGTTTTGTGTGTGTGTGTCTGTGTGTGTGGTGGGGGGCGGGGTATGTGGGGTACATTTTATTATCAATGCAGAATGGAACATGACAATGCAGATCCCAGTCCTTACATACCAGAGCTCTTCTTCCGCTTCATCGCAAGTGTAGCCACCACAGCTCAAGTAACCACATCTCCAATGAAATTTGATAGTGCATACCAGAGTATCTTAGTTTTTAATCTCCCTAAAAGTATACCATGTCACTCATAGATTGAATATATCAAAGTTGTCTTCATATGGAAGCCATGAATTTGTCTATATGGGTCTCAGACATATCATTGAAATATAGCATGCCCAAGAAAGTTTAATTAATGTGTATTTGAACAACTACAGTGTATAGACATCAACCAAAATATGAATTATCAGTTCATAGTATCAAGTCTTCATAAATGCACATCACTGTTGCCAATCCATGTCTATATTTCACTGGAAATCTGGCATAATATTTTCTTTACTTTGGTGAATGTAAGAAGGCAAATAAGTCTTGAGTACTCATCCTAAGTTGTATTTATTGGATACCACATATATTAAGTACCCTACAGACCCAGTAGACACATTTCAAAAATTATAAAATAATTAAACCTTACAATCCCATCGCATTAGTAATCTTTACTTTTCCACAACTTGAAACAATTCTATGTCCTTCAACTCTCGGACCCCTTTCCTCATCGTCTCTTCCTAGGTCAAATATGTATGAAGTTTTCACAACTCTGGAGTGCAGATGTTCTAAGCATGACCAAAATGTGAAAAGTGATGAAGAATGATGATAATCATTTTGACTACTTACAAATTAAAAAAAATCTCTTTGGCATCCACAAACACAGAAATGTACAAACACTTTCCCATAATCAACCTCAAAGACATGTAAACAGTTGATGGACAAAATAGTAACAATGTGTTAATACCCTTCAGCCCAAGGCCACCTGGAGCACATCTGTGGGTGAAGAAGTTGGGTTTATTACTCACTGCAGTGGGAGGGAGAATGCACACCTTGGATAACTACCGAGTATCTTGGTAAGTGCCTTTTAGATAGAGCCTATTATAATATTTGGGCTTCAGCTGGTATTTCAAGTTTCCCTGGGATTTAATTAATTAGTAGTTATGACTGAATGATGACACAGAGAGGTCTATGCCACTGAAAAAAGAGTTTATTACCCACTGACATAGGAAGCACAGCACAACAGGCAGCACCAAGGCTGGTCAAGTGGCAACGGGAGGGGAAAGCATGGGCGAGAGCCTCTAATGTGGTTTTTAGGGGAATGAATGAGCAAGGCAGGGTAAGCAGTGTAGACATGTTCAGTATTGATGAGTCTGAATAATCTTGGTGACTCTGAGGCATAGGGATTGTCTCTAGTTGTCTGATACCTGTCTCTCAGATTATTAAGACAGGAGAATATTGACTGGGAGTATCGGGGCCATGTGACAGCCAGAAAAAAAGAACTCATTCTGAGTTTGGGCTCTGGTTTGGTTAGTTTGCATAAGAAAGGCGCATTTGCGGTCAATCCCTTTAGTATCTGTAGGAATAGACTAGTCTTGGGAGGGGAGTCCTCACAATCAGTGAGGACTCAGATGCCAGAGCATGAGAATAAGGAAAAAAAGAAAATACAGATAACACAGTTGAGAAATTCTATTTTATTTTATTGCTCTAGATTTAGTACTGTCAGTAAGCAGAGGCAATTCTACAATTCGGTATTTCAATAAATCTTACCTTTAGGGAGGGTGGACTAGAGTGCAGATAAAGCTTAATCCGTAGAGAAGCATCAGCCACTCATACTAGCCGGGAGAGGGTTTAGACAAAATTATGAAGTACTTTTGTTTCGCCTCACTTTCTCATGGGCTGAGAGTGATCCAGTGTGGTGTTGGTATTTTGTGATATAATTTATGTCCCAGAGGGACTAATATGGCCCAGTAGTGAAGACCAGACCAGCTCCTGGCAACACTGATGCCCAGCTGTGCCAGACAAGTTCCCAGATATTAGGGGCTGCTTTTTCTTGATTAAATTCAATATTTAAAAATATCAGCATTACGTTTGAGAAATGATTAAGAAATGTCATATAGTTATATTAGTAATAAATATGTGCAAAAAATAAGAATGTAGACTACAAAATGGGAACCAGAATTAAAATCCATCAGCTTGGCAAAGACAGAAGTAAATGATGGTAGTATTGATCAGAGTACAGGGAAAATGTACTGTTACGAAGACTGATGGCATTGAAAAGTGGTACAAAACTTCTAAAGGGCACTTTTGCAAAATGTCTCAATAATTTAAATGTTCTGACGTTTTTGAGACAGAGTCTTGCTCTGTCGCCCAGGCTGGAGTGCAGTGGCACAATCTTGACTTATTGAAGCCTCCACCTCCTGGGTTCAAGCGATTCTCCTGCCTCAGCCTCCCGCGTAGCTGGGACTACAGGTGCGTGCCACCACGCCCAGCTAATTTTTGTAATTTTAGTAGAAATGGGGTTTCACCATGATGGCCAGGCTCATCTCAAATCCTTGACCTCAAGTGATCCACCCGCCTTGGTCTCCCAAAGTGCTGGGATTACAGGGGTGAGGGACTGCGCCGGGCCTAAGTGTTCTGACATTTTGACATGAAAATTTCTCTTTTAGGAATTTATCCCAAGGAAATAATTACATATCTTTCTAAAAACGCATATATAGGCCGGGCGCGGTGGCTCATGCCTGTAATCCCAGCACTTTGGGAGGCCGAGGCAGGTGGATTACGAGGTCAGGAGTTCAAGATCAGCCTGGCCAACATGGTGAAACCCCGTCTCTACTAAAAACTACAAAAATTAGCCGAGCGTGGTGGCAGACACCTGTGGTTCCGGCTACTCGGGAGGCTGAGGCAGAAGAATTGCTTGAACCCGGGAGGTGGAGGTTGCAGTGAGCTGCGATCATGTCACTGCACTTCAGCCTGGGTGACAGGTCGAGACTCTGTCCCAAAACAAAAACAAAAAAACCACATATATAAGAATGTTCCTTGAATTGTGGTTTATAAAAGCAAAATAATGGAAATAACCCAAAGATTGTAATGAATATAGTGATGATAGTTATCAATAATGGAGCATTTAGTATGACTCAGAAAATAATGCCATGGCTTTACATAGAGAGTCAGATTTAATCCTCAATGCAAACCCATGGGGAACTCAATATGTGATCCTTTGTACAGACAGGGAAGGAGAGAGGTAAAGAAGGTGGTGGGGCTAGGGTTGAACCCTGGAGATTTTCTCTCAGAGGCCTTGTTGACTTGTCTTCCATTGATTCTCTCTTCATCTGCACCTTACACAAGTGAACTGTTTTGATGTCCCAGAATGTTCTATGGACAGGAGGCCACTGGCTCAGAGCTCAGGAAGACAAGAAGGGCAATGACTTAACTGCCAAATTCACGCAGAAGTCCGTTCATCCAGGGTGTATTTCCAGTGATCAGGAGATCTGCTAAGCACTTGAGGATATAATGAAGAGCAAGAGTAAAATCTTGGAGATGGGGAGTTTTCAATATTGTAAGGAAGATAAATATTTAGCAAAAATTGCCCCAAGATTGTGAAATTGCTAATGAGCGTAAGGGAAAAGTTTGTGATATCATGAAAGCAGGTTACAAGGAGACCTAATGGGTCCCTACCACTATTACCAATTATGTGTGAAAGATGTAAGAAAACAGCAGTTATGAGATTTGAACAAATTTATAAACAATTTCATGCAGAGAACTAGAAAGAGCTCTGGAATTTTAAAATATGATCATTGAAATAAAGAGTTTAAAAAATGAACTGAAATGAAAGTTGTGTGCTGCAAGGTAGTACAAAATAAAAACGTGATGCCAAGCATGATAGAACTTTAAGAATATTATACTATCAATTAAGGAATTCCAGCAGTCTCATAATATAAGTTCCAATAACCATAGAAAGTAATTAAAAGTAATTCAAGAAAATGTTTTGAAGGCTACTGACAAAAATGTATAGTGTGAATGGCTGCAACAAAGTTCTCAATACAGGAGATGGAAACAGACCCACACCAAGACTCATGACAACAAAATTTCAGAGAGTGAAAGACAGAGCAAGACCAATGGACAAAGGAATGGCAGGAGGTCTGGTCGTGTGTGTGCATTTCCTCCTTCCCGTCTGTCATTGTCCTTCCTCACCAGGCCTGCAGATCACCTGTGATGACTTGGCCTCTTGCCATCCCTAGCTGGGCAAACTCCATCATGGTGACACACGGGATGGCAGAAGTGCAAGGCCTCGTTTCTGCTGGATGAGCCTTCTGGAGACTGTCTCAGGGTTTTCTGAGAACTTCTTTAAAACCTGGTCTACGGGCATGCATTACCCCAGTTATTTTTTCCCTAAGTGAAAAATCAACCAGAGGAGATGATTTATTTTAATAGCCTTATTGCAGGAGAGGAAGGTGAAAAGTGTTTCTATTCATTGGCCCATTAGTTACAATGGGCAGAGGCCACTGAGCGAGCAGCGGGTGGTGGCAGTGATGACCACACGTTCTCACGGCAGCGCAACACTTTTGAGACAAGTTCCCACCTCTCCATTAAACATGTCTTCTCCACGTGCAGAAAATGTGGTCTCGTAGCTTCCCTTCTCAGTGCTGGATTGCTGGCATTTCATTTTCCTTATCAGAGACATGAATATCTTTGTTCTTCTTGGATTTCTAAGACTTCAGGTTTTCTTCAGGGAGAAGCTGCTTAGGGAGGCTCCTGCGTGGACCGAGTCCTTCCTGAGGGTTTGCTTGGTGCCCTAACTGTGGCTGACTGCCTCCCGCGGGGTCCCAACTTTATACCCAGAGGTAAGGACAGATGCTTCCAGCTCCATCTTATAACTTCCACATGAAATTTGAGGTCAGGAACTTCTCTTAACTCGTCTTAAAGGGCCTCATACTTACATTCTTGACTCGGAAAATAATTAAGTGTGCGTTTGAACATGTTTCCTCCGCAATTTACTCTCTGGAGGGGAATACATTGAAAACCCAGTTTATTTTCAGATACTGAGTGGGATTGAAAAGCTGAATTGTCTGTTTTCCTGCAGGGCACACAGAGGAACTGGCTGTCCCACACCACTCTGACATTTCCAGAGAAGCACCGTCCTCTTCCAGTAGGACATGAGTAAGACCAGTGAGGAGCCAACATGCAGCCCCTGGGCATCTCTGGGGTTGAAGGAAAGATATATATGTCCTTCTGATGTGTGGAGCCCTGAGGGCAGTGTTCAAGACCCTGCATTTTCCGAAGTACTTGTTTACTGAGCAAGTGTTTCTGCTTGTTGCATTATGTCAGGGGATATGGAAGCCACTTTTCATCCAGCCAAACACAGATGCAAATGAGATGTTCTGGGAGAAAGCAGAAAAAGCCCTTTTCACAGAGTTCCTTATTTTACTATTCTATTACACTTGTCTGAGGTTACAATCACATCCTTTTTTAACAATCTCTAAATGAGAAAATCATCAAAAGGGTATGTAGTGAGTGACAGACACAGGATAAATGCTGTAAGTCAGTGTTTGATGAAAGATACTGGTGTTCCAGGATGTCAGAGTCTCCTGGGTGCCAGTAGGGAGGTGGTCAGGGACTTTATCCAAGAAGCAGAAAGAAGAGCTTCAGGGACATGAGGATGTCTCATAGCCAAGGACAGGACAGTAAAGGGCCCCGTGTGAGTGCATCACAGAGGTCTGTTACTGTTCAGACCCCAAAGCTCAGCACCCAGTGTGGCATGTGGCAAGACCTCAGCAAACACATCAGTTGGCTGGATGAAGGAGGGCAGGTGTGAGCCGACAAGGAAAATCTTGTGATTTTTGTTGGGAAATGAATGTAAAAGTGTTGATGTACCTCCCTTGTAAGGAGATAGAAAGGTAGAGAGCAGACAGATGCATGCATGGATGAATGCATGGATGGATGGATGGTTGGATGGACGGATGGATGTTCATTTTCTGTGTGTGTTTCTATCTCTGTTCTGCCTTTCTGTTTTGTCTCTGGCTCTGTCTGTATCTGCCATTGTCCCTTCACAACCATGCCTTCACTATTATCAGTAACATCTTTTACCTGGTCTTATAGGATCTTGCCTGTGTTGTATTAGTGGTCAAGGACAGAAAAAAGAAAGAAGTCTGTGGAAAACAAAATAAAGGAAACAGATGCTTCTGACATGCGGCAGTGGAAGGATGTGTGGACCTGAGGCCCCCAGGGAGACAGGGGCTGCGCCTCACTGCAAAGTCGATCCTGCTGAACACAGAGGGGAAACGCGCTCAGACAGCCCTGCCCGTGCTGATCAGAAGGGAGGGTTGCGCCTCCAGATCCTTCTCCCTGTGTTTCTTCAGGGCCCAGCCCTGAGAGTTCCAGGGTCCCATTTTCTTAGTTAGGACCTTAAGACCCTATCAGAGTCCAGCCCCAGGAAGCCTGCAGTCATAGCACTGGGCTAGACCAAGTTGCTGCTATGAAAAGGGATTTGAAAATTCCCAGAGGAGCCTTTCAGCCTCTTTCCATGGCTCTTTATGCCCTTTCAAAGGCACAGCCAGAGACATCAGAAATGAAATTGTATATAATTATATGGACTTTTCGACAATCATTGAAATTTCTGTAAGTGCCAGTTATATTTTGGCAACCCCATCAAAGCCAGGTGTGCCCAGGGCAGTCAGCTCAGGCCCTGGCCTCTCTTTCAGGTTGGATTCTATAAGAACCGCATTCGCGGTGAGAATTCTAGAGCCAGATCTTGCTGCTCCACAATTGCCTCACGTTGCAAGACAAGCAAATCTAGCCTGAGTCTGTGGATTCCAGGGCTGCTTAGGAGGAACCTGCATTCCCGCGTGGATGACCTCAGGCTCCGCCCCTTCTGCCCCACTCAGCCCTCACCCAGTGCCTGAGAGCGCTCAATCAGAATGCGAGAGCAGCGCGGCGGCGCCCCCGTGTGGCCACAGGGACGAGGACAGAGGACCGGACCCCGCTCCCCTTTCTCACCAACCAGGACCTCCGAGGCTCTCCCTCTGCTCCCAGCACCTGGACAGGGCTCTGCACTCAAGGAGCCTCCGGGTCTCAAGTCAGGCTCTGAGTCCATTCAGCTTCCCAAAATCCATGTTGACAATGACATTTCCTCTCACCACTGAGTGACTGGACTTTTGCCTCAGAGCAGAGAGAGGCCTCCAGGGCAAAACAGTGGGATCAGATGTGGGGATGACACACCCCCAAATCCTTGCTGCCACAGGACCCAGTCCCTCAGCCTCCAGATGGGGCCTTGGCCTCCCGTCCCCTCCTTTGTTCCTGCTGCTAGAGGCTGCTCATCCCAGGAATCAGCCTGTTAGCCTCCAACCCTGGGGTCCAGGGACAGCAGCTCCTAGTGCCTCGGTCCAGGAAGAAGGGAACCTCCAGAGAGCAGAAGAGAGAAGAAATGGACCATAAGAGAAGGGGGCAAGGGGGGAGAAAGAGAGTGAAAGGAGCCAGGGAGGAGAGAAAAATGGAAAACATCCTGTTAGGAATGTGTGTGTTTGTGTTGATGTGTGTGCGTGCAGGTGTGTGTAGAGTGGGAGAGAGTTTCTAGGGTTCTGAGGAGAAGAGAGCTGCTATACAGGTGCTAAGGGGCCCAGCCCTGGGAATTTCAGGGTCCCGCTTTCTGAGCTAGGATCTTAAGGCCCTATCAGAGTCCACCCCCAGGAAGCCTGCAGTCATAGCACTGGGCTAGCTGGACGGCTGCCTCTTCTTTGCCTTTGACAGCAGGAGCTGCCATGCCAGGCCCAGGGGCCCTGGGGTCATGGGCAGAGAGCAGGTCCCTCTGCTGGCAGCCAAGGAGATGTTGTTCTTGGAGGGTCAAAGACTTACTTAGCTGGGAGTCTGAAGGTGGTCATGGGTTACAAAGGGGTTACAAAGAGCTCAGCGGTGAGCCTGGCCCAAGCTTCTGACCCCTTTCTTTGGATCTCAAGGGCTGACCATGGATTCTCAATGGATCTCAAGAATTCGCCCATTTACCTCTTGCCCCAGACCCTCCCCACTTCGATACCCTGGGACCCAGGCATCTGCCTCTTTCCTTCTCCTCCGGCCTCCCAAGCACCTCCAGGCCCTGCTCTCTGCCAACCTGAACTCCAGGACCCTGCAGCCCCACCCCAAAATTGCTTGATAATACAGTGATTCTATTTTCAGTGTTTTGAAAACTCTGTATACTGTTTTTTACAGTTGCTGTACTAGTTTTACACACTGTGTGTAAGAGTGCCCTTTTCTCCACATCCTCACAAACATCTATTTGTTTGTTTGTTTTTTTTTGTCTTTTTAGTTGTACCCATTCTATCTGGGGGTAAGATGATATCTCATTGTGGTTTTGATTTGCATTTCCCTGATGATAAGTGATGTTGAGCATTTTTCATGTACCTGCTGGCCATTTGTATGTCTTCTTTTGAGAAATGTCTATTCATGTCGTTTGTCCACTTTTTAATAGAATTTTTTGGTTTTTTTAGCTCTTGAGTTCCTTACATATTCTGGATATTAGTCCCTTGTCAGATAAATTGTTTGAAAATATTTTCTCCCATTCAACAGGTTGTCTGTCTACTCTTTTGATGGTTTTCTTTGCTGCGCAGAAGCGTTTTAGTTTATTATAGTCCCATTTGTCTATTTTGTTTGGGTTGTCTGTGCTTCTGAAGTCTTAGCCATAAAATCGTTACCCAGACCAATGTCCTAGAATGTTTCTCATATGTTTGCTTCCAGTTGTTTTATAGTTTTGGGTCTTACGTCTAAGTATTTAATCCATCTTGAGTTGATATTTATATAGGGTGAGATATAGGGATCTAATTCCATTCTTCTGCATGTGGATATCCAATTTCCCCAGCACCATTTATTGAAGAGGGTGTCCTTTCCCCAAATGTATGTTCTTGGCACCTTTGTCAAGAATCAGTTGGCTGTAAATATATGGATTTATTTCCAGATTCTCTATTATGCTGCATTGATTGACATGTGTTTGTAGAGACGAGGTCTCAGTATGTTTCCCAGGCTGGTCTAGAACCTCTGGGCTCAAGTGGTTCACCCTCCTTGGCCTCCCAAAGTGCTGGGATTACAGGAGTGAGCCACAGTACCTGGCCTTTGTGCTGTGTTTTGATTCATCGTTATCTCCTAAGCCCTTTCCCAGCATTGATATTTTACTAAACACCCTATGATTAAATTATATCTCTACACCTTGAGATAAACAAAAAATTATATAAGCGGTAAAGACAAATATGAAAAAATAAAACTACTACCAATGTTATTAGGAGGATAACCTTAAAACATTTGAGCAAGAAAATTTTTCTTTTTTTCTTTTTTCTTTTTTTTTAGCTGTACCTGCTGGAATGGAAAATATTTCTTAAATGAGACAAATATATGAAAGTGAAAATGCTTAAACTTCAAAGGACTTACATTACATATATAGTCATTCTTTCTTAATGATAAGATAGGTTCTGAGAAATGTGTCCTTAGGTGATTTGGTCTTACGTGAACATCATAAAGTGTCCATACACAAAGCTAGATGATATAGCCTACTGCACACCTACGCTATATCATAAAGCCTATTGCTCCTAGGCTACAAACTTGGATAGCACATTACTATACTGAGTACTGTAGGCAATTGTAACACAATGGTAGGTATTTGTGGATCTAAACATATGTAAACAGAAAAAGTACAGTAAAAATATGGTAAAAAGATTTTTACAATGGCACACCTATATAGGTTACTCATCATGAATGGAGCTTACAGGACTGGAAGTTGCTCTGGGTGAGTCAGCAAGTGAGTGGTGAGTGAACTGAAGGCCTAGGCCATTACTGTGCACTACTGTAGATTTTATAAATGCTGTACACTTAGGTTACACTAAATTGATTTTAAAAATAATTTTCTTTCTTTAATAATAAATTAACCTTAGCTTAATGTAACTTTTTTAACTTTATAAACTTTAATTTTTAAAACTTTTCAGCTTTTGTAATAGCACTTAGCTTAAAAGACCAACATGTTACAAAGCTGTACAAAAATATTGTTCCTTATATTTTCATTCTAGAAACTTATTTCTATTTAATTTTTTTTTTACTTTTAAATCTTTTCTGTTAAAAAAAAAAGACATAAATTAGCCTAGGCTGACACAGGGTTAGGATCAACAATATCACTATCTTTAGCCTTTACATCTTGTCCCACTGGAAGATTTTCAGGTGTAATAACATGCATGGAGCTGCCATCTCCTATGATAACAATGCCTTCTTCTGGAATACCTCCTAAAGGACCTGGCCGAGGCTGTTTCAAGTTTTTTTAATAATTAGAAGGAGCACACTCTAAAATAACAATAAAAAGTATAGTAAATATGTAAACCAGTAACATAGTCATTTATTATCATTATCAAGGATTATGTATTGTACATAACTGTATGTGCTAGACTTTTATAGGATTGACAGTGCAGTAGGTTTGTTTACACCAGCATCACCACAAACATATCATTAATGCATTGTACTATGATGTACAGTGTCACCTACAATGTCACTACAGAGAAGAAACCCCCAAAATCTGCACTCCTAAGCTGCATATGCTTTAGGTGATACTCTAAGAAGCCCACCAGAGAACAGTTGCTTGGAGATTGCATGCTAAGTAGAAATGCCAAAGGCTTCAGAGTATGAGGAGATGTTGGAATTTTAGCCCAGCCAAACCTGGGTTGAGCCAACAGGGTGGTGAAGCACTATGAGTGAGGACCCTTGCCTTGGAGTAAGGACCGCACTGAACTAGACTCATGTTAACAAAGGCTAAAATCAAGCCTAAGCAGAATCAAAGTGGGTCTGATTTTTATGATAATTAATGAACCGTCAAGCAGTTAGCAGTCTTAGCAGGAAGATAGCAAAATCCAGAACCTCTGTAACACATCACCCAGAATATGTGGCATGCCAAGCAGCAGAAAAAATGCAACAAGTGGAGATAAAATAATCAACAGAAGCCGACTCAGATGATCTGGATACTGAAGCCAGCGAGCAAGGACATTCTTCAATATATTTATGATTAATATGTTAAGGATAATAGAGGAAATCATGGGCAAACTATTTCATAATCCCCAGAAAGATCAATCATACAAAGAGAGAAAACACGAATGAACACTGTGAGAAGGGACAACTTATAAAACCACAGATTTTATTAAAATGAAAATAAGAGAATATTAGACACAACTTCATGACAATACCTTTTAAAATTTAGGTGCAATGAAATGAGTTCTTGAAAAACACAGTTGAACAAAGCCAACAGAAAACTAAGTAGAAAATATAAATAGTCCTCTATCCATTAAGAAATTGAATTTTAATTAAATTCCTTCCCACCAGAAAAACTTCTTACCACATTTCCTCCCATCAATTCTTTCAAAAACTTAAAAAAGGAATGTCAGTCCTATATAGTCATCCCTTGGTATCCTTTTGGGCTGGGTTCTAGGACCCCTGTGGATACCAAAATCTGTGGATTCTCTGGTCCCATGTATAAAATGGCCTACTATATGCCTACTACCTATGCATATCATCCCATATACTTTAAATCATCTCTAGATTACTTACAATACCTAGTGCAATGTACATGATTGTAAACAGTAGTTATACTATATTGTTTAGGAAATAACGACAAGAAAATGTCTGTACATCTTCAGTACAGATGTAACCACTGTCAGTAGGCCTAACTACAGAGTACACAACAGCAGCAACATAACATTTCCAATCCTCAGGTAGTTGAATTCACAGATGTGGAACACACAGACATGGAGGACAGACTGTCTTATATTTTATATAATGAAGAGTGGCCAGGCGCGGTGGCTCATGCCTGTAATCCCAGCACTTTGGGAGGCCGAGATGGGCAGATCACCTGAGGTCAGGAGTTCAAGACCAGCCTGGCCAACATGGTGAAACCTCATCTCTACTAAAAATACAAAAAAATTAGCTGGGCGTGATGACAGGTGCCTGTAATCCCAGCTACTCAAGAGACTAAGGCAGGAGAATCGCTTGAACCTGATAATTGCTAGGCTTTGAGTAAAGTAGTTTGACCTTTATAATGTGACCCTCCCTAAACAAGATGGAACTCTGCAGCAGACATCCTGGGATTTGAACTGCAATATCAGTCAACTGACCCACAAAGAGCTGGTTGGTTTGTGTACAGCATTTGCAAGATGAGTGGACAACATCCTGTTTGGAAGTCTACCCCTTTGATCAAAGAAGTTAAAAACAGGACAGTTTTTTTTTTTTTTTTTGGTTGAATTGCATGATGTTTTCTGAGAAGTGATGAAAGAATTGAACAATGACAAAAGTCCCTATGTCTTAGTTTTTACTGACTTATGGGCATTGACTGATGGCCTGGCCATATAATTAAGAGAGCAATGGAAAACTGGCCTATGAAAAGAATACCCGTATAGGACACAGTCCTGTGGAAATCACTATGGTAATTTGAGGGGTGCATTAATGTAAGGCGTGTTGATGTCTGATATAAATTGGGTGTTGTCCCCACCCAAATCTCATGTTGAGATATAATCCCCAGTGTTGGAGGTGAGGCCTCAAGGGAGGTGATTGCATCATGGGGGTGGCTTCTCATGAATCGTTTAGTACCATTCCCTCAGAATAGTTCAATTAGTTCAATGCCCCTCAGAATAACCCTCCTCCAGGTTTGGAAGGTGATTGAAATCAACAAGCATTTATTTCTAAGTGATTTCCAGGTGTACCTGTATTTCCAGCTACAAGAAGAACTGAGGCAGAAGGATCTCTTGAGCCCAGGAGTCTTAGTTTTGCCTGAGCAACTTTTGAGTCCAGGGAAAAATATCAATACCACATCTCAAAAAAATCCACGTTTGCTTGTGGTGATCACCTGGGTCCGTGAAATAAGTAGACACTGAGGGCTGCAGCAATGCAGAGATAGGCTGAATCAAGATATATTCCTTTTACATCCTCCAACTCACAGGCACGAAATACCCATAAGGACTGTTCTGTTTAAGAAGAGACAGAGACAGCATATGGCTATGTAGCAAATTCTCTCATGGGAAGGTCTTGAAAATAGATAGCTGGCAAATTAGACTGATACCAGTACCCCTAGGAGGCAGCAAATGGGTCTTGGCAGGAATAGATACTGACCCTGGAGTAAGCATTGCTTAGCTGGTGGTAGATGTGTTATCAAACTGAACTGGGGCCCACTCACCTGGTGCAATAAAGGCAAACATCCACACTGAGATTTTGTAGTGGGAGAAAGGAAGGCGTTTATTTGCAAGGCACCAAGCAAGGAGAATCGGGCAGCTCACACTTAAGACCTAACCTCCCCAATGGCTTACAAGCAAGAGTTTTTAAGGCAGGAGTAAATTTCAGCAAAGCCGAGTTGCAGGCAACATCAAAAATCAATGCATAGAAATTACACACTGGTTTGGCCTAAAAAGGTGGGATATCCTGATGAGGGATCGTACAGGTCATAGGTGGATTGAAAGATTCTCTGATTTGTGATTGGATAAGGAGCCAAAGCTTTGTCTACACACTTAGGGGCAGTAGGGAGGAATGTTCAGGTCTGCTCTGTGGACCTGACTCTTTCCAGGCCCCTCAGGAAAAAATTTAGAACAAAGAGTCACAGTCAGCATTGAGTCCTCATTTTCCCCTTATCTGAGGTCTCCCTATCAGTGGCTCTGTTTGGTGAGAGTCTGGGTTCCTGAAAAACTACTCAAGGACATATGTTAAGATGTTCTCTTTAGTTTCTATAGAGAATCAAACATCTTGGGACTCTAACTTCCTTGGCTATTGTTTAAGCTATTTTTACCTGCTTGCTTATAAGGTCACTCACTTGCTTTTCAGGGCTGGCTAGGTGCCTGGAATTTCTCTTGAAGGAACTCAACATTTTCCTTTATTTCCATGTTAGGGAGGTCTAGCAGGCTTCTAAGATAAATCCGTACTTCATCTCAGATGCAAATGCTTAGAGCACTATAATAGAACCTGGACGGGAGATATTGCAACCATTTGCATCACTGAGTCACATTTCTTCACACCAGGAAACACATTTGCCCAAAATGTCCAACAATGTTCAGAAAAATATTTTGCTCAGAGGAATAGTTTCATAGAGAATAAAAATAGTCAAATGACACATTACTTGTATAAAGCAGGAGTGGGGAGACATAAGCATGAAGGGCGGGCTTACACACGTTCATGAGTGGGCTCACACCAGACATGAGTGTGGAAAAAGGAGTGTCCCCACTAGAGAGTATCCTCTTTTTTCCTGCTGGATCAGGGAAAGGTGCTAGTATGACCTGACATACGATTTTTCCCATGACAAGAGGACACTGGAATGATGACTAGACTTCACCTCAACTCGCCTTTCTCATACCTGATTCAGTGGTCTTAGGACAAGGGATGCATATAAAAGTGCCAAAACAGGAATTATTCCTAAGCAAGAAAGTGTAAATATATTTTAAAACCATTATGCAAGAATTCCTCAGGGCCTGGAGGAGTAGGTTGTGCCTTCACTGCATCTGGCAAAGTTGGGGCTAACACTGAATGCAGCTATATTGCCTGGGGTCAGATAGCCAACTAGTTCTCTACCTGCATAACCCTACCCTCTATGAACTGGAATGGACCAACGAGAGACACTTGCTAGAACAGTATTGCTCCCTTCAGTCTAGGCCAGCACAGTAGCAGAACTTAATGTTTCTTCCAAAACTGTTAATGTTTGGTATAAATGAAGTAGAAGGAGGAATAGTAGCTGAGGGTAAATGAATGAATAAATGGGTTGTGTAATGAGGAAAATCCAATGTTACATGAACTCCCAAAAAAAAGAGGTATAAGCAAGAGATGATATTGTCTCTTGACAATGATGGTGCACCCCGTCTCCATGGGGACAGAGGGTCGTGTGCTCAGAGTGCTTCCAGATGTCGCCTCCTGCACTTCATCTGCCTGCTCATTTGTATCCTTTACAACTGCTATTGTTTGAATGTTTCCCCAGAAAAGCGTCTGTTGGAAACTTAATCCCCAGTGCAACAATGTTAAGAGATGGGACCTTTGAGAGGTGATTGGACCATCAGAGCTCTGCCTTCATTAATGAACTGATCAAGGCTGCCCTCATTAATGCTGATCATAAAGGACCTGAGCCTGTGAGTTCGACCTCTTACTCCCTCTAGCTCTCACCCTCTCTTGCGCTTCTCCCTTCTGCCAGATACATTCCCTTGATTTTGGAATTCCCATCCTCGACAACCATGAGCCAATTAAATTTGTGTTCATTGTAAGTTATCCAGTCTCAGGTGTTCTGTTATAGTGGCATAATTTAAACCAGGGGTCCCTAACTCCCCTGCAGTGGACCGGTACAGGTTTGTGGCCTGTTGGGAACCAGACCGCACAGCAGGAGGTGAAGGGTGGGCGAGAAAGCATGAGCATGACCGCCTGAGCTCCGCCTCTGGTCAGATCAGTGGTGGCATTAGATTCTCATGGGAGCACGAACCCTATTGTAAACTGTGCATGCGAGGGATTTAGGCTGCACGCTCCTTTATAAGACTCCAGTGCCTGATCATCTGAGGTGGAACAGTTTCATCCCGAAACCCATCCCCGCCTACCTGTGCCGCCTGCCCTGGTCAGTGGAAAAGTTTTATTCCATGAAACCAGTACTTGGTGCCAAATATGTTGAGGTAAGCTATGATTACCGCTGATTTAAGCTATGACAATAATAAACTGCAATACTGAGTGTGAAAGAAAGATAAAATCTTGGGACCCCAAACTCACAGTGCCAAAGGGAAAAGTTAAGTTTGGGAACTGAGTCATGGAAAAACTGCCTTTCTTTTGTTCCTAAACAAATACCTGCAAAGATAGAGGACCACATATCTCCCCAAGTGGCCTCCCTCACAATCTGCTCACAATGTAATTCCTTGTGGGCCCCAACATCTTTACCCTAAAACAGAGTTTTGTTGACTTTTCCCCTGACAATGTAAAGTAACAGCTTATCTTCACAGGTACAGGACAAAGACAAGACTAGAAATCATCCCTTCACCCACCCGGAGACAAACACATATTTTACTACTCTATGTTTACTTTAGCTTATGTAAAATTCAGATTTACTGAGCACAAGATGAATGCATAGTTGACTGTTTTTCCCCTTCTGCCTGCTCTTTCCCCTGTAAGTACTGAAGTCCTCAAAACCCTTTTAGGAAAAAGCGTGGGCCACAGATGCTAGTGATTTTTGTCTCTTTTTCCAAGGTGCATCTTGGAATGGGAGACTGGAGGGACCCATGGATCCCAACCCTGGACCTGGTTCCCCCAGTACAATCCATGAGCCAGTTGAATCTGAATGCGAAGATGGAACGACGACTGACCAGAGTCATGCTGACATCAACCCCCATAACATGGGGACTGATCAAGAAAACCACACAGGAAGCTGAGAAACTGCTGGAGTGCCAGGGTGTCACCTTTTGCTGGAACTCAGAAGTACAATCGATGTTTAACGGACCAGTGCTTTCTGACTCAGCTCCTCTCTACCCTGAATACAAGAGACCCTAATAGTTAGGCAGGAATATCATCGCCCTTATTCTGCATGAAGAAGTTGCAGAAGACAGACCTTCATCCTTCTGCAACCCTTAGGATTAAGCGTCCTCTTGTAAAAAGGGAAGGGGGAGATATGTAAGAAGCATTCAAACCACAGCAACTCTATTTTGAATAAGGGCTAAGAAAAATGAAGCTGGATCACCAACCGGCAATTAAGAGCTGCACAGCCTGCAATTACCTTGCTCAATTAATTTTAAAACAAAAAGGAGTAGATGTTGGAGGCCGCACGAATGTTTCTTATGATTTGCCACAATTGAAGCCTGCCAGTAACAATATGAACCTGTGATCAATTAAGCAGCTGACCAATCATTACCTCCTCCTCCTTGCCCTTATTACCCAGTAAATATGAAGGGCTAAGAAGCTCGGGCGGCGGCCTTTGCTCACTAGAAGCAGGGAGCTCTTTTCTTCTCGTCTCTCTTCTTCTTCCCCATGCTAGCCTTTCCTTAAAATGATGTAGGGTATCTGGCAGATAAAATTTCTAAGCAGCAAAGCATTCAAAGAGTGACTTGGGTGCTCCTAAAAGCATTCCATTTTCAAAGGGAAACAGAGCATAAAAGTTCAGAAAATTTACAGCCTGACAATGCAGTAGAAAAGAAAAACCCATTTTTTGAGGAGAAACTCAAGCTGGCTGCAGAAATTTGCATAAGTAACAACAAGCCAAGTGTTGATCCCCAAGACAAGGGGGAAAATGTCTCCAGGGCATGCCATAGGTCTTCATGGCAGCCCCTCTCATCACAGACCCAGAAGCATAGGAGGAAAAAATGGTTTCATGGGCAGGGCCCAGGGTCCCCATGCTATGTACAGCCTAGGGACTTGGTGCCCTGCATCCCAGATGCTCCCACTGTTGCTAAAAGGGGCCAAGGTACAGCTTGGTCTATGGCTCCAGAGGGTGCAAGCTTTAAGCCTTGACAGCTTCCATGTGGTTTTGAGCCTGCAGGTGCACAGAAGTCAAGAATGGAGGTTTGGGAACCTCCACCTAGATTTCAGAAGATGTATGGAAATGCTAGGATGCCCAGGCAAAAGTTTGCTGCAGGGGCAGGGCCCTCATGGAGAACCTCTGCTAGGGCAATGTGGAAGGGAAACGTGGGGCTGGAGCCCCCACACAGAGTCCCTACTGGGGCACTGCCTAGTGGAGCTGTAAGAAGAGGGCCACCGTGTTCCAGACCCCAAAATGGTAGATCCACCAACAGTTTGCACTGTGCATCTGGAAAAGTCACAGACACTCAGCGCCAGACTGTGAAAGCAGCCAGGAGGGAACATATACCCTGCAAAGCCACAGGGGCAGAGCTGCCCAAGATATGGGGACCTACCTCTTGCATCAGCATGACCTGGATGTGAGACATGGAGTCAAAGGAGATCATCTTGGGGCTTTAGAATTTGACTGCCCCACTGGATTTAGGACTTGCATGGGCCCTGTAACTCCTTTGTTTTGGCCAATTTCTCCCATTTGGAATGGCTGTATTTACCCAATACCTGTACCCCCATTGTATCTCGTAAGTAACTAGCTTGGTTTTGATTTTACAGGTTAATAGGTGGGAGGGACTTGCCTTGTCTCAGATGAGACTTTGGACTGTGGATTTCTGGGTTAATGCTGAAATGAGGAAAGACTTTGGGGGATTGTTGGGAAGGCATGATTGGTTTTGAAATGTGAGGACATGAGATTTGGAGGGGCCAGGGGTGGAATGATATGGTTTGGCTCTGTGTCCCCACCCAAATCTCATCTTGAATTATACTCCCATAATTCTTACATGTTGTAGGAGGGACCCAGTGGGAGATAATATGAATCATGGAGGCAGTTTCCCCCATACTGTTCTTGTGGTATTGAATAAGGCTCACAAGACCTGACGATTTTATCAGGGGTTTCCGCTTTTGTATCTTACTCATTTTCTCTTGCCACTGCTACGTAAAAAAAAAATTCACCTCCTGCCATGATTCTGAGACCATCGAGCCATGTGGAATTGTAAGTCCAATTAAACTTCTTTTTCTTCCCAGTCTTGAGTATGTGTTTATCAGCAGTGTGAAAACGGACTAATATAGCTGGCTTCGTAGACTGAATTGAAAAAAACTGCCTACTTTAATTTCTAAAAGGTATGTGTAAAATTGATGTAATTTCTAAATTATATGTTTGATACAATTCATCAGTGAAGCCTTCTGGACCTAGACTTTCCTATATTAGAAGGATTTTGATTACAAATTCAATTTCTACAATCAATATATGGCTGACCACATTTTCTATCTCTTCTCAGGTCAGTTTTCATAAGTTTTCCCTCTCAAGGAAATTGTTCATTTCATTTGCTTGTCAAACTTATTGACATGAGATTATCAATATTTCTTTTTGAGATCTAGAGTGTGTACTGATGTTCTCTCTTTTATTGCTGACCTTGTTAATGTGTATGTTTTTGTCTTGATCAGTCTGGCTAGAAATTTATAAGGTGTACGATTTTTCCCTATAGAACCAATATTTGGATTCATTAATTTTCTCTTTCTGCTTCAGTTTTTTATTTTATTATTATTTCCTTCCTTCTGCATGCATTGGTTTAATTTGTTCTTCTTTGCTTCTTACAGGAGAAACTAATTTACTAATTTGAGACCTACCTTCTTTCTTAATATAGGCATTTAAGGATATCAGTTTTTTCTTCAGTACTGCTTGTTGGGAACAAATGCTCAGTGTTGTAAAGAAAGATCAGCACTGAGACAAAGGATCTCTCAGCAAGGCAATTGACTTCTGCAGAAAGGATGCTACTTATGATGGAACGATGGCGAGTGCACACCTGAACAAAGGAGAGCAGGGGTTTTTTATAATCTCTTAATGCAGCTTGTCCCTGTAACTGTGTCTTGTCTCCATTGGCTGGAGCTGGACTGCACAATCTAAGCTGAACCTGGCTGGCTAACTTGAAAAGTGCAGGAATGTGGTTATACCAACAGAGAGTGCAGTCTTGGCGGGAGGAGCTGTTGCAACAGGAGGGTTAATCTATAGAGTGGGTAGCAGATGTGGGATGTGGTCTCCATAGATAAGGACTGGCGGGAAATTTGTTTACCAGGGCAGGGGATACAGAGCGTAAGGAAGTCTGGCCTTGAAAGCAGGGAACAAAGAGCCAGGATGCTGAGCAAGTTAACCCTTAAAGAGGAACTCTTTTTATATCTAACACTACTTCAACTGCATCCCATACATTTGATATGTTGTGCTTCAGTATTCTTCAGAAAACAGAAGACTTTCTAATTTCTCCTGTGATTTCCTCTTTGAATAAGTTGTTATTCAGAATTTTGATGTTTAATTTCCAATCCTTGGTATTTTCATGATCGTCCGTCTTAGTCAATCTGGGCAGTTATAAAAGAATTCCATAGTCTATGTGGCTTGCATACAACAGAAATCTATTTCTCACAGTTCCGGAGGCTGGGAAGTCAAAGATCAAGGCCTGGGAAGAGTCAGTGTATGGTGAGGGCTGCTTCCTGATTCATGGATGTTGCCTTTTCTTGGTGTCCCCACGTGGTGGAAGGAGCAAGCAATCTGGGGTCCCTTTTATAAGGGCATTCATTTTATTAATGAGGGTTTTGCCTTCACTGCATGATCACTTTCTAATGGCACAACCTCCAAACACCATCACATTAGAGATTAGGTTTCAATTATGAGTTTAAGGATGACAAAAGCATTCAGTCCCACAAGATCATCTTATTGTTACAGATTTCTAATGTATTTCCATTATGGCCAGAAAATATATTCTGTATGATTTCAATGTTTTCAAATTTATTGTTTTATGGCCTGAAATATGGTTTCTCCTGGTAAATGTATCATTCATACTTCAGATAATTTGTGTTTTTCATTGATGTGCATATGCATATAAATAAATTAAGTCTGGGTGCTTGATAATGCTTTTCAATTTTCTATGTCTTTGCTAAATTTTTCTTAGTTTTTGTATTTATAGCTGAAAGAAAGCTTTAAAATGTCTAACCATGTTTGTAGAATTCTCTACTTCTCTCTGTAATTTTGTCAATTTTTCTTCATGAACTCTAAAGATTTGCTATTGGATCCATTTCTGGTTGCATGTCTTTCTGTTGATTTTACCCTTTTGTTATTATGAAGCGCCTCTTTTTCTCTCTGGTAATACATATTATTTGAAAATCTTTTACTGGTAGTAAAATAACCATTTCAATCCTCTGTGCTTAATGTTTGTATGGCATTGCTTTTTTCATCAATTTTTATTTATCTGTGCCTTCATATTGAAATTGCATGTTTTGCATGCAGATGTATGTTCATTGCAGCACTTGTCACAATAGAAAAGACATGGAATCAACCTAAATGCCCATCAATGGTGAACTGGATAAAGAAAATGTGGCACATATGCACCATGGAACATTATGCAGCCATAAAAAAGAACGAGATCATGTACTTTGCAGGAACATGGATGGAGCTAGAGGCCATTATCCTTTGCTAACTAATGCAGAAAAAGAAAACCAATTGCCACATGTTCTCACTTATGAGTGGGAGCTAAATGATGAGAACATATGGACATATAGAAGGGAACAACACACACCGGGGCCTACTTGAAGGCAACGGGTGGAAGGAGGGAGAGGATCAAGAAAAATAATGAATGGGTGCTAGGCTTAATACCTGGGTGGGTACTAATAGGTACAGAAACTATATGACTGTGGGCAGCAAGCCACCCAGGTGCCGAGGCAAGAGACTGAAGGCACAAGCTCTTCCAGTATAATAAAGAAAATACTTAAAATAAAAATAGTTGTATTAGACATAAAATATAGATATGGTTATGTATAAATATTACTAATCATTAGTTTATGACATTACTCTTTATTCCAATATTATAATAATCTTTGTTCTACAATTATAACCTAGAAAAAACCAGGCCATACAGAGATAGGAGCTGAAGGGACACGGTGAGAAGTGAACAGAAGACAAGAGTGTGAGCCCTCTGTCATGCCTGGACAGGGCCACTAGAGGGCTCCTTGGTCTGGCGGTAACGCCAGTGCCTGAGAAGGCACCCATCACTCAGCAGATCGGGAAAGGGAGTCTCCCTTTGCCCGGGGGAGTTAGAGAAGCCTCTGCTCCACCACCTCTTGTGGAAGGCCCGACATCAGTCAAGCCCGCCCACAGCCATCTGGAGGACTAAACGTCTCCCTGTGATGCTGTGCTTCAGTGGTCACGCTCCTGTTTGACTCTCATGTTCCACCCTCTACACCTGGCTCAGCCTTCTAAATAGCAGTAGCAAAAATTAGTGAAAGTACTAAAGTCTTTGAAATACATAGAAGAAATAATGACATAAACTGTCCCCTCTCTCTCTCCGCCTCGGCTACCGAACAGGGAAGGGCCCCCTGTCTGGTGGACACGTGACTCACGTGACCTTACCTATCATTGGAGATGGCTCACACTCCTTACCCTGCCCCCTTGTCTTGTATCCAATAAATAACAGCGCAGCCTGGCATTCGAGGCCACTATCAGTCTCCGTGCCTTGGTGGTAGTGGTCCCCTGGGCCCAACTCTCTTTTCTTCTCTTTGTCTTGTGTCTTTATTTCTACACTCTCTCATCTCCACACACAAAGAGAAAAACCCACAGGTCCTGTAGGGCTGGAGCCTACATATGACAAACTCTCATGATACAAATTTACCTATACAAAAACCTGCACATGTACCCTGAACTAAAAATAAAAGTTAAATTAAAAAAAATAAAGTTCATGTCTTGAAAAGAGCATATGGTTGGGTTATTTTTTTTAATCCAGTCACAGAATCTCTGCCCTTAATTGGAGTGCTGATTTATGTAGGTTTTTGTCATTATTGATATGATAGGTTTTAGGTTTGTCATGTTATTTGCTCAGTTTTTCTTTCTCTGTTTCTCTTTTCCTGACCAATGATTTCTCATCAGAAACCAGAGAAACAAAATAAACTAGAATAACATCTTTAAAGTTCTGGAAGAAATAAAAGGTCAACTAAGAATTCTATATCCAGTACAGATGTCCTTCAAGATAAATGCAAAATAAGGAGATATTTCAGGTAAAAGATAATTAAGAGAATTTGTCACCAGCAGATCTGTACGATAAAAATTGGTAAAGAAAGTGTCTCAGGCTAAAAGCAAATGATACCAGGTGGAAAATGAGATTATCAGAAAAGATGAAGAATGTGAGAAGTGGTAAATATTAAGTGCGAAAGGCTATCTTGCTCCCCCACCCCCATTTAATCTTACTTCATATACATAGAACTGTTTAAAGGTAAAATAAGATAGCTTTCTGATGGGGCTTATAACCTATGTAAATATATTACATATAATATCTATGGCATAAAAGATGGACGTTTTATAGAGGATAAATGGTTGCAAGATTTCTATATTTATGTGAACTAGTACATTATTAACTGAAAGTGGGCTGTGAAATGTTAAGAATGAGTTAAGTTCTGAAGGAAATCAAGACACAAAAAAATTCAATAGATCAACAAATTCAGGAGATGATTTTTGAAAAAGTTAATAGGATAGATAGGCTGATAGCTAGACTAATAAGGAAGAAAAGAGAGGCGATCCCAATAAGCATAATTAGAAATGACAAAACAGATGTTACCACTGACTCTGCAGAAGTAAAAATAACCATCAAAAGCTACTATGAACACCTGTATGCACACAAACTAGAAAACCTACAAGAGATCGATAAATTCTTGGAAACATACACCCTCCCAGGAAGAAATTGATTCCTTGAAAGGACCAATAATGAGCTCCAAAATTAAATCTGTAATAAATAGCCTACTAACCAAAAAAAGCCCTGAACCTGATGGATTCACAGCTGAATTCTACCAGATGGACGAAGAAGAGCTGGTACCATTCCTACTGAAACTATTCCAAAAAATTGTAAAGGAGGAACTCCTCCCCAACTCATTCTATGAGGCCAGCATCATCCTGATACCAAAACCTGGCAGAGACAAAACAAAAAAAGAAAACTTCAGGTCAATATGTTTGATGAACATTGATGTAATAATCCTCAACAAGGTACTTGCAAACCAAATCCAGCAGTCCATCAAAAAGCTAATCTCAATGATCAAGTAGGCTTCATATCCAGGATGCAAGATTGGTTCAACACGTGCAAATCAATAAATGTGATTCATCACATACATAGAACTAAAGACAGAAACCACATGATTATCTTAATAGATCCAGAAAAACCTTTTGATAAAATTCAACATTCCTTTATGTTAAAAACGCTCAATAAACTAGGTATTGCAGGAACATACCTCAAAATAATAAGAGCCATCTATGACAAACAAACAGCCAACATCATACCAAATGGGGGAAGCATTCCCCTTGAAACCCAGCACAAGACAAAGATGCCTTCTCTCACCACTCCTATTCAACAGAGTATTGGAAGTCCTGGCCACAGCAATAAGGCAAGAGAAAGAAATAAGGGCATAGGGGAAGTCAGACTACCCCTGTTTGCAGACCATTACCAGTGAATGTTCCCTTAAGGCTCACAGGCTCTTATATCAGCTTGTGGTGAGTGCTGCTAACTAGTCTTTAATGGATTAAAATGTATAATGTGTTTCACTTGTGTATTAGTATGTTTTCACACTGCTGGTAAAGACATACCTGAGACTGGGCAATTTACAAAAGAAAGAGGTTTAACGGACTTAATGGTTCCACATGGCTGGGGAGGCCTCACAATCACGGTGGAAGGCAAGGAGGAGCAAGTCACATCTTGTGTGGATGGCAGCAGGCAAGAAGAGAGAGCTCGTGCAGGAAAACTCCCATTTTTTTAAAACCATTAGATCTCATGAGACTCATTCGCTATCACAAGAACAGTGCAGGAAAGACCCATCCAAAAATTCAATCACCTCCCACTAGGTTCCTCCCATGACAGGTGGGAATTGTGGGAGTTACAACTGAAGATGTGATTTGGGTGGGAACACAGCCAAACCATATCAACTTGTAAATTACTACAAAACTGTCAACACTTAGCCACTTCTGCTTCCTCAGGAAGGTCGGGGCAGCAGATCTGTGTGTTAAATATCTATGTGAAGTTATTTCCAGGAAGAAGTTTCATCTGTGGTTTCTTCTTCCCCAGGTCCCACAGTCTTCATTACAACCTCACGGTGCTGTCCCAGGATGGATTTGTATAGTCAGGGTTTCTCGCTGAGGGACATCTGGATGGTCAGCCGTTCCTGCTCTATGACAGACAGAAAGGCAGGGCAGGGGCCCTGTGGACAGTTGGCAGAAGCAGTCCTGGGAGCTGAGACCTGGGACACAGAGACCGAGGACTTGACAGAGAATGGGCAGGACCTCAGGAGGACCCTGACTCATATCAAGGGCCAGAAAGGAGGTGAGAGTCGGCAGGGGCAAGAGTAATGGCAGAGGCCTTCTCCAGGAGAGTTGGAGGCAGAGAGCAGGGACCTGTCTCTTCCCACTGGATCTGGCTGAGGGTGGGCTGAGAAATAGGGGTCAGTGGGGCTCAGCAGGGAGGTGAGCCGGCACTCAGCCCACACAGGGAGACATGGAGGAGGGCCAGGGAGGGGTCCCAGCTGGGCTGAGTTCCTCACTTGGGTGGGAAGATGAGGGGTTCAGGAATGAACTGCTGGGTGGGGGCAGGCTTGCATTCCCTCCAGGAGATTAGGGTCTGTGAGATCCATGAAGACAGCAGCACCAGAGGCTCCCGGCATTTCTACTATGATGGGGAGCTCTTCCTCTCCCAAAACCTGGAGACTCAGGAATGGACAGTGCCCCAGTCCTCCAGAGCTCAGACCTTAGCTATGAATATCAGAAATTTCTGGGATGAAGATGCCACACAGGCCAAGACACTTTCACCCTGTGATGGCAGACCGTCTGCAGAAACTACAGTAACATCTCGAATCCTAGGAGGGCATCAGGAGAACAGGTACCGACCCTGGGCAGGGGCTTTCCTCTCCCCCATTTCACTAGAGTCACTCCCCTGCCAGCTCTGTCCTGGGAAACCCTCTCTGTGCTATGGATGCAGGCGTTTCCTGTTGGCGTATTGTGTCCTGACTTTCCTCTCTTGTTAGAGCCACTGGATAAAGACAGTGGGTTGGGGACTGAACCATCCAGTGTTGTAATCTGGGAAAGCAATGGCCCACTCCCAACAGAATCCTCACCCTGGGGTGGGTGTTAGGCAGGAGAGGAAGCCCTCAGGGCTAGGGCTGCCCCCTCTGCCTCCCAGCCTGCCCATCCCAGAGAGTTCCCTCCTGGCCTCATGACCCAGGAGTCCAATCCTGACATCCCTCCCCTTCAGCATCAATGTGGGGATCTCAGAGCCTGAGGCCATAGTCTGAGGCCCATCCTCCTGCCAGCCCAAAGGAATTGGGCCCCAGGGTAAGGACAGACTTGCAAAAGATCCGGGGTCCATGAGGGCTTCAGCCAGAGTGAGAACACTGGAGAGGAGCAGCCCTGTTCCCTGAGTCTCCCTTAGAGGGAGCGGGGCTTGGCCATGTGCCTCACTGGCTCTGCCCTTTCCTATCCAGTGCCTACCATGGTGAATGCCAGGCCTCAGAGAACAAAGTCACCCCCACATGCTGGGCTTCCGGCTTCTATCCCCAGAATATCTCTCTGGCCTGGTGTCAGGTTGGGGCATTTTCTGAGCCAGGATGCCCATCGGTCTGTGGGTGTCCTGCCCAATGGGAATGGGACCTACCAGACCTGGGTGGCCACTAAGATTCCCCAAGAAGAGGAGCAGAGGGCTACCTGCTATGTGGGACACAGCAGGAATCACAGCACTTACCCTGGTGTCCTCTGGTGAGCCTGGGGCGACCCTCAAGTGTTCTGACCTAGAAAGGGTCAGGCCAAGGTGGGCACAGCAGAGATAACTGGAACTCTGAGTGCCCAGTGTGCAACAAGGCCCTTTTTTTCAGGGAAAGCCCTGATGCTTCAGAGTCTATGGCAACCGTTCCGTATGTTGCGGCTGCTGCTGTTTTTGTTATCATTATTATTATTCTCTGTGTCCTTTGGTGCAAGAAGAAAATATCAGCTGCAGAGGACCCAGGTGAAAAAAGGGGGCAGTGGCTGGAGATGGGAGGGACCCTGTCTGGGCAGTAGGGTCCCCTCATAGCTCCTGCACAGACAGGCATGTAGGTGACAGGGCTTTGGAACAGGGTTTGGAAGTTGGGGTATTTGGGAGGGGAATAGGAGCTACAATTTCATCTAGACCCCTAAGTCCTGCCCAAGCCAGGGCCGGGCCAAAGCCCTCGAATGTCCATCTGTGGCCTCCTCTTGCTGCAGGTGAGGAGTGGGCAGCAAGGAGGGCCGTGGCACCTGCTCTGTCCTCATCCCCATCCCTCTGTCTCTCAGGCTCACCAGCGTGCATCAGCGTGGGGTGAGCTGGGAATCATGTGCTGATTGCTGAGGGCCTGGATGATGATGGCTTCAGAGGGGGCAAATAGTAAAGACGGCTGTGATCTGGGGAGGGCTAGAAACTGGAGAGGAATATGAGGAGAGGTGGTGCCTCTAGTCCCTTCCTCTCTGCATCCCCCTCCCCTGTTTCTCCAGCCATCAGGAGGACACCAAGAAAAAGACCTATGAGGCCCAGACTGGGGGGCCTGCCTGTGCAGCCCCTTGGAGACCCCCTTGTAACAGGGAGGGTTCTGAGTGCACACAGCCATCTTTGTCCACTTTGTAGCTCCCCACGCGCCTCCTCCAGGAGCTGTCTCGGGGGTGTCGTGTCTCCTGGATCACTCGAGGCCATGCTCTTTCCAGGTTCCCACCACATGGCCCTGCACCCTGAGTTCCCTTGCAGATAATATGGATGAGAAGATACGCAGATGTCTCTGGGCCATTTGGGGAGTGGTGACCAGCCCCTTGTCAGGGCAGCTGTCATCCCTGTTTTCATCCTACTTCTAGGTGTTTCCTTGTCCAGGCCCTGAAGGACACAGTCCCTCAGGGACACAGTGCTCAGGGACCATGTTTTTTGGGCTTTGTTCTGTGCTCTGTGGCCTCACCTTGCCCTCCCTGAGCCTTTCTCAAGGTGGTCACTTTCCTGTAAATTTGGAGTAAAGGATGGTCAGGATGATTTCCCCCACAGTCAGTTGTTTGAGGGGAAAGTAAAAGAGAAAACAGGAAGTTTTGTGTTTCTGCAAAGACAGAGGCAGTGCAGGGGACAGTGAGAGGCTGGGTGTCCAGGAAACTGGAGTCTTTCTGCCATTTCCCCACTTTTTTGCACCTGGTGGTGGGGGTGGGGGTTTTTCATCCTTGAACCTAATTGCACTGTCTGTTGGCCCCTCAGTCCTGGGCAGATGGGAAGGTTCATCCCCTGCCCTGCAGCAAGAGGGCCCCGTCCAGGAGGCACCCACAGCAGGGGCAGTGCAGGTTTGTGGTCGCTCCTGCTTTCACCTGCACTGTCTCCTATAGAGGGGTTGTCACTTCTGGGTCCCCGTGGGCAGGAAAGTTTGCCTTGTAGGTCACGGGGCATTGGCCAGGGAAAGGGTGTGAAAGTCATGTGCTAATTTCTCAAAAATTCTCCTTTAAATATTGATGTCCAATAAAGATGTTCACAATTTCCGCTGGATAATCTTAATAGGATTTCCTCTAATATTGATGTTGTAAAGCATGTACAATCAAATGAGAAGTCAAGCTTGGAGCTTCCTCTCCAGGAGGGTCCATGTTGGAGATGGTGGTTGTGGCAGTGGCAATCCTGGAGTGCAGAGGGTGGGTGGAGGCAGCCTCAGGCTGAGGGGTCTCCAGAAACCCCCTGCTCCACAGGGAGAAGAAGAAGATTCCCTGTGGGCTGTGAGGGCAGTGGCCTGGGTGGAAGCCCTGCTAGGAACAGGGCAGGAAGGTCTTGCAGCCTCAGCAAGCAGCAGCCCTGGGGTGGAGGTGCATTTCCAGGGGTGAGTGGACCAGGCAGGAGCAAGGATGGCCCAAGTGCAGGTCACGGACCCGGGTGGGTGCTGAGGGTCTGGAAAGGTTGGGTGTCCTCAAGCGTGGAGGGTCCCAGGATCCAGTCAGGTGCAGACCCGGTGGCAGCCACGTGTTTTTGTGCCGAGCCCCCAGGCTTCTTGATGGGCTCTGCAGTTAGGGGCTGGCTGCTCAGGGCTCGGAGGGTGGAACGCTGAGCTGCAGGTGGAGCGGGGAGCCCAGTGTGCAGGGTCTGCCCTGTTGTGCAAGTGCCTCTGTAGGTGAGGAGGGCCTGGGGACTGAGAGGGAGAAGGACCGCGTGCGTGACCCAGCCCAGGCCTGGTAGGACACGGAGCTAGGACCATCCTCTCTTTGGGGAGGTTTCCCACTGTGTCTAGGCTGGTGGGGCTTGGGAGGAGGGGAGGGCCCCGGGTTCCCTCCTGGATCTGATTCTTGTCCTTTAGTCATGAGGCCCTTTCATTCCCCACATGGTGGATGGTGGGCACAGGGCAGGTATCATTGTTGAGGGAATCACAGGAGGAGACTGGTGGAGGCTGGAGAAACTAGGATGGGAGGGAGGAAAAAGTGGGGGCGTCAGTTCTTCCCTCAGAGAAAGGGTGAATCTGATTTCGGAGTTTCTGAGGAGGGAGAAATCCTCAGGGAATGAAAAGCAGCACTCTGCACCCAGTGGAGCATTTACTGTTTCTCTCTTTTCTCCAGAGCACATGAGCCTACGAAGCCCAGATCAACACCTGGTTGGGACAGGAGACCACCAGGGCACCATACAGCTGGAATTTCAGTCTCTGGTGCCAGCTCCTGGGTCTGCTGGCTCCACTGGATTCAACTCCCTACCCAGGTCTCACCAGCACTTTCCCTCTTGATGCCTCAGTTTCCTCATATATTAAATGGGAAACTAACAGCACTTATTTCTTGTGGTCAGGGATTGACAACTGTTAGTTGCTATGAGGTGTTTGCAGCTGTGCCATAATATTCGGTATTATTATTTTTGTTGTTTTGTTATTATCTTATTAACTTTTATTATCTTTTAATGTATTGTATGTGCAGTAATTACATGCACAAAAGCACATATGTGCCTTTAAACACATTGTATGTGCATAAAAGCTTTATGAGTGTGTGTCCTGTTGACGGTTCCTCCTGGCAAGCCTGGGACCAGCCTTTTTGGCACCTTGAGGTCCCCTCACCCTTCGCACACTGTTATAAATTACCCCATGTCTACTATGTCTGCATAATTTTATACTGTGGATTTTTACTCTTTAAATAGACATTTCTGGCCTGTGCTTTATTTCATGCATCTGGGAAGAGTAGAATACAAGGTTCAGGGGAAAAGGAGAGGTCTGTCTCAATGCCTTGACACAGCATGAAGAAATCTCTCCCTCTTCCTACCTCTCCCTGCCAGTTCCCAGTGATTGACAGATTCACAGCAAAACAGAAAAGGAAAGGTTGGGGGTGGGGGTGCACATCTGGGGCCAAAATTCAGGGGCTGACTCTGGGGGAACATCTGCCCTGAAGAGTTGGATCCTTCATGTGATGATGTTGAGCTGAAGTGTAATATCAGAGATGGGGGCAGAGAGGGCTTTGAGTTTCCCTGGTATTGAAGAATAGGAGTCAGACTGCTTCTGGGGTGAAGCGACTGCTGGGAACATGTGAACCAAATTGATGAAGAATAAGTGAATGGGGAATGTGGGTGAGTAAAGCAAGCATCAGCAGTCAGTTTCTGCCATCAGTTCAGGCTGATCGGGGTAGGGAGGTGGGGAGATGGATATTCCCCACCCTGTTGCTCAATCCTTCCTGACTGCTGGGTGCACCAAAATCTCAGAAATCACCACTAAAGAATTAATTCAGGTAACCAAACACCACCCACCCCTAAAAACCTTGAAATAAAAAATAATTTTTTAAAAAAGTGGCCGGGCACGGTGGCTCACGCCTGTAATCCCAGCACTTCGGGAGGCCAAGGCGGGCAGATCATGAGGTCAGGAGTTCAAGACCAGCCTGATCAACATGGTGAAACCCCATCTCTACTAAAACGACAAAAATTAGCTGGGCATGGTGGCACATGTCTGTAATCCCAGCTACTCAGGAGGCTGAGGCAGGCGATTCTCCTGAACCTGGGAGGCGGAGTTTTCAGTGAGCCGAGATCGCACCACTGCAGTCCAGCCTGGGTGACAAAGCAAGTCTCCATCTCAAAAAAAAAAAAAAAAAAAGGAATGATATTGGATATCCTTATTTTGTCCCCAACACAGAGGAGTAGTTTTCAATATTTTTCTCATTAATTTTGACTTTAGATAGAGGTATTTCTTTTTTATAAATAACTTTATTAGCTTAAGGAAGTTCTCTTTTATTTCTGGTTTATTGAGTTTTTATAATGAATAGTTGTTGAATTTTATCAAATGATTCTCATGCATCTGTTGACATAACTGCACGTTTTTCTACCTTTTTCTATTCATGTGGTAAATTACTCTGATTTTTTAAAGTCACATTTCTCTTATAAATCCCATTCAGTCCCATTGTACATTATCCTCTCCATATATTACTTGCTTCTATTTTCTAATATTTTAGATGGAATTTTGGTGGCTGTGTTCATCAGTTCATTCAGATGGTGGATATCTTTTTTGTAATGTCATTGTCATGTTTAAGTTCTTCTCTGGGCTATGTTGTCTCATAAAATTAGTTGGAAGGTGTTTACTCTTTTTTTATTATCTAAAAGAATATATGATAGTCTGCCCTCCATGTCTGTGTGTTTCACATCTGTGAATTTAACTACCTGAGGATCGAAACTGTTGTTGCTGCTGATGTATACTATGTAGTTAGGCCTACCTACAGCGGTTACATCTGTACTGAAGATATATAGACTTTTTCTTATCATTATTTCCTAAACAATATAGTATAACAACTATTTGCGAATAATTTACATTGAATTAGGTATTAGTAATCTATAGGTGATTTAAAGTATATGGGAGGATGTGCATAGGTAATAAGCAAATACTAGACCATTTTATACATGGGACCTGAGCATTCATAGATTTTGGTATCCACAGGGGGCCCTAGATCCCATCCCAAAAGGATACCAAGAGATGACTGAATAAGACTGACTTTTTTAAAAAAAGTTTTGGAAGAATTGACAGGGGAAAAAACGTGGGCAAAGAGTGTTTTTGGTGGGAAAGAATTTAATTAGAATCCCATTTCTTAATGGATATAGGACTACTTATATTTTCTATTCAGTTTTCTGTTGGCTTGTTCAATTGTCGTTTTCAAGAACTCATTTCATTGCACCTAAATTTTAAAAGGTATTGTCAGGAAGTTGTGTCTAATATTCTCTTATTTTCATTTTAATAAAATATACGGTTTTATGTTGTTCTTTATAGTGTTCATTTCTGTTTTCTCTCTTTTTATGATTGATCTTTCTGGGGATTTTGAAATAGTTTGCCCATCTTTCCCTCTATTTTCCTTAACATATTAATCATAAATACTTTGAGAATGTTCTTGCTTGCCTGCTTCAATATCCACATCAACTCTTAGCCTGATTTTTTTTATTATACTTTAAGTTTTAGCGTACATGTGCACAACATGCAAGTTAGTTACATATGTATGCATGTGCCATGTTGGTGTGCTGCACCCATTAACTCGTCATTTAACATTAGGTATATCTCCTAATGCTATCCCTCCCCACTTCCCCCACCCCACAACAGTCCCCGGTGTGTGATGTTCCCCTTCCTGTGTCCACGTGTTCTCATTGTTCAATTCCCACCTATGAGTGAGAACACGAGGTGTTTGGTTTTTTCTCCTTGCGATAGTTTGCTGAGAATGATGGTTTCCAGTTTCATCCATGTCCCTACAAAGGACATGAACTCATCATTTTTTATGGCTGCATAGTATGATAGACTGGATTAAGAAAATGTGGTACATATACACCATGGAATACTTAGTCTGATTTTATCTCTACTTGTTGCATTTTCTCTGCTGCTTGGCATGCCACATATTCTGGATGATGTGTTATAGAGGCTCTGGATTTTGCCATCTTCCTCCACAGACTGCTAACAATTTGATAGTTCATTAATTATAAAAGAATTACCTTTGGTAAAAATCGGACCCACTTTGATTCTGCTTAGGCTTGATTTTATTTTATTTTATTTTATTTTATTTATTTTTTTGTTATACTTTAAGTTTTAGGGTACATGTGCACAATGTGCAGGTTAGTTACATAGGTATACATGTGCCATGCTGGTGTGCTGCACCCACTAACTTGTCATCTAGCATTAGGTATATCTCCCAATGCTATCCCTCCCCCCTCCCCCCACCCCACAACAATCCCCAGAGTGTGATGTTCCACTTCCTGTGTCCATGTGTTCTCATTGTTCAATTCCCACCTATGAGTGAGAATATGCGGTGTTTGGTTTTTTGTTCTTGCGTTAGTTTACTGAGAATGATGATTTCCAATTTCATCCATGTCCCTACAAAGGACATGAACTCATCACTTTTTATGGCTGCATAGTATTCCATGGTGTATATGTGCCACATTTTCTTAATCCAGTCTATCATTGTTGGGCATTTGGGTTGGTTCCAAGACTTTGCTATTGTGAATAGTGCTGCAATAAACATACGTGTACATGTGTCTATATAGCAGCATGATTTATAGCCCTTTGGGTATATACCCAGTAATGGGATGGCTGGGTCAAATGGTATTTCTAGTTCTAGATCCCTGAGGAATTGCTACACTGACTTCCACAATGGTTGAACTAGTTTACAGTCCCACCAACAGCATAAAAGTGTTCCTATTTCTCCACATCCTCTCCAGCACCTGTTGTTTCCTGACTTTTTAATGATTGCCATTCTAACTGGTGTGAGATGATATCTCATAGTGGTTTTGATTTGCATTTCTCTGATGGCCAGTGATGGTGAGCATTTTTTCATGTGTTTTTTGGCTGCATAAATGTCTTCTTTTGAGAAATGTCTGTTCATGTCCTTCGCCCACTTTTTGATGGGGTGGTTTTTTTTTTCTTGTAAATTTGTTTAAGTTCTTTGTAGATTCTGGATATTAGCCCTTTGTCAGATGAGTAGGTTGTGAAAATTTTCTCCCATGTTGTAGGTTGCCTGCTCACTCTGATGGTAGTTTCTTTTGCTGTGCAGAAGCTCTTTAGTTTAATTAGATCCCATTTGTCAATTTTGGCTTTTGTTGCCATTGCTTTTGGTGTTTTAGACATGAAGTCCTTGCCCATGCCTATGTCCTGAATGTAATGCCTAGGTTTTCTTCTAGGGTTTTTATGGTTTTAGGTCTAACGTTTAAGTCTTTAATCCATCTTGAATTGATTTTTGTATAAGGTGTAAGGAAAGGATCCAGTTTCAGCTTTCTACATATGGCTAGCCAGTTTTCTCAGCACCATTTATTAAATAGGGAATCCTTTCCCAAGGCTTGATTTTAGACTTTGCTACTTTGCTATTTCAGTGTGGTACTTACTCCAAGGCCACGGCCCTCACTCATAGTGCTTCACCATCCTCATGTCTCAACCCGGGTTTGGCTGGGCTAAATTAATTCCAATATCTCCTCACACTATGAAGCCTTTGGCATTTCTACATAGCATGCAATCCCCAAGCAGCTGTTCTCTGGTGGGCTTCTTACAGTATCACCTGGAGCATATGCAGCTTTGGAGTGCAGATTTTGGGAGTTTCTTCGCTGTAGCTCCCTCCTTCAGCACCCTACCCTTAAATCCCAGTCAAAGTGCCAAGCCTGAACTCTGATCTCTGATTCCTTTGCTACTGAGATTGATTCTCTCTGCTTGGGTTCCATTTCCCTTCATTGAATTTTGAAAAAAATCCTCTTAGAAAGAAAGCTGATGAGGATGTGAGTCTCTCTTTCAGGGACTCCATTCCCTGGAGGGTGATAGTCCTGCTCTGGCTGCTGTTTTGCAGCTGCACAACTGCATCGTGTTTTGTCTGGCTTTTATACTTGTTTACAGTGGGAGGATGAGTTTTAAATGAGCTAGTCTATCACAGTTCAAGTCAGAAGACCTCTAATCCTTCAATAGTCATTGCATTTGAAAATCTGAATAGGGTAATTTGACAATTCACAGGCAAAGTTAATATGTTATATCTTAGTGCCCAGTTGAAACCTCAATTTCATCTTTAACAACCTTATACACACAAAATACACACACACACACACACACATCACTGTGTTATACAGTCATGCACTGCTTAATGATGTTTCTGTCAATGATTGATCACGTATACGACTGTCATCCTATTAAACGGAGCTGAAAAATTCCTATCACCTAGTGACATTGTAGCCATTGTAATGTCATAACACAATGCATTAATCATGTGCTTGTGGTGATGCTGATGTAAATAAACCTACTGCACTGCCAATCCTATAAAAGTCTACCCCATACAGTTAAAAACAGCATGTAATACTTGATGATAATAAATATGTTACTGGTTTATGTATTTACTATACTTTTTATGGTGATTTTAGAGTGTGCTCTAATTATTTTTTAAGTTAAATTAAAACAGCGTCAGGCAGGTCCTTTAGGAGGTATTCCAGAAGAAGGCATTGTTATCACAGGAGATGACAGTTCCATGCTTGTTATTACCTGTGAAATAACAGTGGGACAAGATGTGAAGGCTGAAGTTGGTGATATTGTTGATCCTGACCCTGTGTCAGCCTAGGCTAATGTATGTCTTTGTTTTTACCAAAAAAGATTAAAAGGTTAAAAAATTAAGTAGAAATAGTTTCTAGAATGAGAATATAAGGAAAAATATTTTTGTATAGCTGAATAATGTGCTGGTGTTTTAAGCTAAGTGCTATTACAAAATAGTTGAATTTTTTAAAAAATTAAGGTTTATAAATATGAAAAAGTTCAAGACTTGAACTCAGCTTTGGATCAAGTGGATCTGATAGACACCTACAGAGCTTTCCACCCAAAAACAACAGAATATACATTCTTCTCATTGCTACACAGCACCTACTCTAAAATTGGTCACATAATCAAAAGTAAAACACTCCTCAGCAAATGCAAAAAGAACTGAAATCATAATAAACAGTCTCTCAGACCACAGCACAATCAAATTAGAAACCAAAAGTAAGAAATTCGCTCAAAACCATACAACTACATGGAAATTGAACAACCTGCTCCTGAATGACTGTTGGGTAAATTATTAAATTAAGGCAGAAATCAATAAGTTATTTGAAGCTAATGAGAATGAAGAGACAATGTATCAGAATCTTTGGGACACAGCTACAGCAGTGTAAAGAGGGAAATTTATAGCACTAAATGCCTATATCAAAACACCAGAAAAATCTCAAGTTAACAATCTAGTATCACAACTAAAAGAACTAGAGAAACAAAAACAAATCCCAAAGCTAGCAGAAGACAAGAAATAACCAAGATCGGAGCTGAACTGAAGGAGAGAGAGACACACAAAACCCTTCAAAACGTTAATGAATCTAGGAGCTGTTTTTTTGAAAGAATTAATAAAATAGAACACTATCTAGACTAATAGAGAAGAAGAGAGAGAAGAATCAAATAAACAAATCAGAAATAACAAGGGTGATATTACCACTGGCCCCACAGAAATACAAACAACAATCAGAGAATACTACGAACACCTCTATGCAAATAAACTAGAAAATCTAGAAGAAGTTGATAAATTCCTGCCCACATACACCCTCCCAAGACTGAACCAGGAAGAAATTGAAACTCTTAGCAGGCCAGTAATGAGTTCTGAAGTTGAGGCAATAAATAGCCTACCAACCAAAAAAAGCCGAGGACCAGACAGATTGATAGCTGAATTCTATCAAAAGTACAAAGGAGAGCTGGTACCATTTTCACTAAAACTATTCCAAACAATTGAAAAGGGGGGACTCTTCCCTAACTCATTTTAAAAGGCCAGCATCATCCTGATACCAAAACTTGGCAGAGATATAACAAAAAAAGAAAACTTCGGGCCATGCATGATGAACATCAATGCAACAATCCTCAATAAAATTCTGGCAAACCGAATCCAGCAGCACATCAAAAAGCTTATTCATCACAATCAAGTTGGCTTCATCCCCAGGATGCAAGGTTGGTTCAACATACACAAATCAATAAATGCGATTCATAACATAAACAGAACTAAAGAAAAAAACCACATGATTATCTCAATAGATGCAGAAAAGGCACTTGATAAAATTCAATATACTTTCATGTTAAAAACTCTTAATAAACTAGGTGTTGAAGGAAGAGATCTCAAAATAATAAGGGCAATATATGACAAACCCACAGCCAATATCATACTGAATGGGCAAAAGCTGGAAACATTCCCCTTGAAAACCGGCACCAGACAAGCCTCTCACCACTTATATTAGTTTCACCATCATGAGAACAGCAGTTTCTTAAGCTGATAAGGAACTTCAGCAACGTCTCAGGATACAGAATGTGCAAAAATCGCTAGCATTCCTATATACCAACAACAGGCAAGCAGAGAGCCAAATCATCAACTCCCATTCACAATTCCTACAGAAAGAATGAAATACCTAGGAATACAGCTAACAAGGGAAGTGAAGGACCTCTTCAAGGAGAACTACAAACCACTGCTCAAAGAAAAATCAGAGAGGATACAAACAAATAGGATAACATTCCATGTTCATGGATAGGAAGAATCCATATCATGAAAATGGCCATACTGCCCAAAGTAATTTGTAGATGTGATGCTATTCCCATTAAACTATCATAGACATTCTTCACAGAATTAGAAGAAAAAAAAACACTATTTTTTTTTTTAAGATAGAGTCTTGCTCTGTCACCCAGGCTGGAGTGCAGTGGCGTGATCTCGGCTCACTGCAACCTCCGCGTCCCCAGGTTCAAGCGATTCTCCTGCCTCAACCTCCCAAGTAGCTGGGATTGCAAATGCGCACCACCACGCCCAGCTAATTTTTGTATTTTTAGTAGAGATGGGGTTTCACAATGTTGGCCAGGCTAGTCTTGAACTCCTGACCTCATGATCTGTCCACCTCAGCCTCCCAAAGTGCTGGGATTATAGGCGTGGGCCACTGCGCCTAGCCTGAAAAAAAAAACAAAACTATTTTTAAATTCATATGGAACCAAAAAAAGAGCCTGAATAGCCAAGACAATTCTAAGCAAAAAGAACAAAACTGGAGGCATCACATTACCTGACTTCAAACTATACTACAAGGTTACAATACTAAAACAGCATGGTACTGATACAAAAACAGATACATAGACCAATGGAACAGAATAAAGAACTGTGAAATAAGATCACACACCTACAACCATCTGATCTTTGACAAGTCTGACCAAAACAAGTAATGGGGAAAGAATTCCCTATTTAATAAATGGTGCTGGGAGAACTGGCTTGCCATATGCAGAAAATTGAAACTAGGCCCGTTCCTTAAACTATATACAAAAATTAATTCAAGATGGATTAAAGACTTAAATGTAAAACCCAAAACTATAAAAACGCTAGAAGAAAATCTATGCAATACTCTTCAGAACATAGGCATGGGCAAAGATTTCATGATGAAGACTCCAAAAGCAATTGCAACAAAAGCAAAAATTGACTAATGGAATTAATTAAACTAAAGAGCTTCTGCACAGCAAAGGAAACTATCAGCAGAGTGAATAGACAACCTGCAGAATAGGAGAAGATTTTTGCAATCTATACATCTGACAAAGGTCTAATATCCAGAGTTTACAAGGAGCTTCAGCAAATTTACAAGAAAAAAACAAACAACCCCATTAAAAAGTAGGCAAAGGACATGAGCAGACACCTCTCAAAAAAAGACATACATGCAGCCAACAAACATATGAGAAAAGTTGAACATCACTGATAATTAGAGAAATGCAAATAAAAACCACAATGAGATACCAGAGTGGCTATTAATAAGTCAAAAAACAAGAGATGCTGGTGAAGTCACAGAGAAAAAGCAATGCTTTCACACTGTTGGTGGAAATGTAAATTCGTTCAACCATTGTGGAAGACAGTGTGGTGATTCCTCAAAAACCTAGAGGCAGAAATTGACCTAGCAATCTCATTACTGGATACATACCCAAAGGAATATAAATCATTCTATTATAAAGATATATACACGCATATGTTCATTGCAGCACTATTCACAATAGCAAAGACATGGAATCAACATAAATGCCCATCAATGATAGACTGGATAAAGAAAATGTGGTACATATACAACATGGAATGCGATGCAGCCACATAAAGGAATAAGACCATGTCCTTTGCAGGGACATGAATGGAGTGGGAAGCCATTATCCTCAGCAAACTGACCCAGGAACAGAAAACAAAACACCATGTGTTCTCACTTATAAGTGGGAGCTGAATGATGACAACACATGGATACATGGGGGAGAACAACACACACTGGGGTCTGTTAGAGGGCATGGGGCTGGGGGAGGGAAGCACCAGGAAGAATAGCCAATGGATGTTGGCCTTAATACCTAGGTGATGGGACGATCTCTGCAGCAAACCACCATGGCACACATTTACCTACGTAACAAACCTGCACATTCTGTACATGTACCCCTGAACTTAAAAAAAGGGTGGAGAAAAAAAGATTAAAAAGTTACAGTAAGCTAAGATTAATTTATTATTAAAGAAAGAAAATGATTTTTAAAATTAATTTAGTGTAGCCTAAATGTACAGTGTTTATAAAGTCTAAGTAGTGTATAGTAATGCCCTAGACTTCACATTCACTCGCCACTCACTGACACCCAGAGCAATTTCCAGTCCTGTAAGCTCCATTCATGGTAAGTGCTCTAGACAAATGTGCCAGTTTTTAAAAAATCTTTTAACCACATTTTTGTGGCAAAATTTTGTGGGAAAATTCAAAGTCTTTTTTCTACTGTTCTTACACCCCAACAACTATCAACACAGAAGGCTTCTGCGATGAAATGTAGGGGATTTCTCCCCAAAAACAAGCAAACAATTGGTTCTGTTATGGACGCCAGCTGGGTATCCTCTAACTCAATTCTGACACTATCTCCCTGGAGATAATTTTAGATCCCGCAAGTTGATGGCTCAGTCCTCACGACTGTCACCCTCTCACTTCTGATGACAATCTCAAGCCCCAGATTATTTTGCCTGTGTTGCTAACTCACTGACTATAAATCAGGGTTCCCAAAACCCACCCTCAGGTTTGATTGATTTGCTAGAATGGCTCATAGCATGCCAGGAAACACTTACATACATTAACCAGTTTATTTAAAAGGATATTTTAAAGGATAAAGAGCCACATGAAGAGATAAGAGCCACATGAAGAGATACATAGGGTGAGGTCTGAAAGGGTCTTGAGTGCAGGAGCTTCTGCCCCATGTGTTTGGGAAGTGCTACCCTCCCTGGCACATGTCTGAGTTATTGTTCACCTTCCTATAAGCCTCCCTGTGTTCAGCCATACAGAAGCTCTCTGACTCTTCCCTTTTGGGTTTTGATGGAAGCCATATTTCTTAGGCATGATTCATTACATCATGGCCATCAGCTTAACCTTCAGCCTCTCTTGCCTTCCTGCCAATGGTATAATCCTATGTCTAAAAAAATCTAAAGATGCCACCAAAAAACAATTAGATCCAATAAATAAATTCAGTAAAGTGGCAAGATGCAAAATCAACATGCAAAAATCAATATAATGTCTACACATTAGTAATGAAGTAGCTAAGAAAGAAATTTAAAAGCAGTCCCATTTATGATAGCGACAAAAACCCCCCAGAAAAACAGGAATAAATTTAAGCAAGGAAATGAACAATCTCTTTACAAAAACCTACACAACACTGGGGAGCAGTTCCAAGATGGCCAAATAGGAACAGCTCCAGTCTATAGCTCCCAGCGTGAGCCATGCAGAAGATGGGTGATTTCTGCATATCCAACTGAGGTACCAGGGTCATCTCACTGGGGCTTGTCGGACAGTGGGTGCAGAACAGTGGGTGCAGTGCACCGAGCATAAGCTGAAGCAGGGCAAGGCATCGCCTCACCCAAGAAGCACAAGGGGTCAGGAAATTCCTTTTCCTAGCCAAGCAAAGCTGTGACAGACGGCACCTGGAAAATCGGGTAGCTCCCACCCTAATACTGCGCTTCTCCAATGGTCTGAGCAAATGGCACACCAGGGGATTATATCCTGCACCTGGCTCGGAGGGTCCCAAGCCCATGGAGCCTCCCTCATTGCTAGCACAGCAGTCTGAGATCAAACTGCAAGGTGGCAGCAAGGCTGGGGGAGGGGCGCCCACCATTGCTGAGGCTTGAGTAGGTAAACAAAGCGACCGGGAAGCTTGAACTGGGTGGAACCAACTGCAGCTCAAGGAGGCCTGCCTGCCTCTGTAGACTCCACCGCTGGAGGCAGGGCATAGCCGAACAAAAGGCAGTAGAAACCTCTGCAGACTTAAATGTGCCTGTCTGACAGCTTTGAAGAGGGTAGTGGTTCTTCCGGCATGGAGTTTGAGATCTGAGAATGAACAGACTGCCTCCTCAAGTGGGTCCCTGACCCCTGAGAAGCCTAACTGGGAGGCATCTCCCTGTAGGGGCAGACTGACACCTCACACGGCCAGGTACCCCTCTGAGACAAAACTTCCACAGGAACGATCAGGCAGCAACATTTGCTGTTCAGCAATATTCACTGTTCTGCAGCCTCTGCTGCTGATACCCAGGCAAACAGGGTCTGGAGTGGACCTCCAGCAAACTCCAACAGACCTGCAGCTGAGGGTCCTGACTGTTAGAAGGAAAACTAACAAACAGAAAGAACATCCACACCAAAACCCCATCTGTACGTCACCATCATCAAAGACCAAAGGTAGATAAAACCACAAAGATGGGGAAAAAACAGAGCAGAAAAATTGAAAATTCTAAAACTCAGAGTGCCTCTCCTCCTCCAAAGGAATGCAGCTCCTCACCAGCAACGGAACAAAGCTAGACGGAGAATGACTTTGATGAGCTGAGAGAAGAAGGCTTCAGACGATCAAACTTCTCCAAGCTAAAGGAGGAAGTTCAAACCCATTGCAAAGAAGTTAAAAACCTTGAAACAAGATTAGACGAATGGCTAACTAGAATAACCAATGCAGAGAAGTCCTTAAAGGACCTGATGGAGCTGAAAACCATGGCAGGAGAACTACGTGATGCGTGCACAAGATTCAGTAGCCGATTCAATCAACTGGAAGAAAGGGTAACAGAGATTGAAGATCAAATGAATGAAATGAAGCAAGAAGAGAAGTTTAGAGAAAAAAGAATAAAAAGAAATGAACAAAGCCTCCAAGAAATATGGGACTATGTGAAAAGACCAAATCTACGTTGGCTTGGTGTACCTGAAAGTGACAGGGAGAATGGAACCAAGTTGGAAAACACTCTGCAGGATATTATCCAGGAGAACTTCCCCAACCTAGCAAGGCAGACCAACATTCAAATTCAGGAAATGCAGAGAATGCCATAAAGATACTCCGTGAGAAGAGCAACTCCAAGACACATTAATTGTCAGATTCACCAAAGTTGAAATGAAGGAAAAAATGTTAAGGGCAGCCAGAGAGAAAGGTTGGGTTACCCACAAAGGGAAGCCCATCAGACTAACAGCGGATCTCTCAGCAGAAACTCTACAAGCCAGAAGAGACTGGGGGCCAATATTCAACATTCTTAAAGAAAAGAATTTTCAACCCAGAATTTCATATCCAGCCAAACTAAGCTTCATAAGTGAAGGAGAAATAAAATACTTTACAGACAAGCAAATGCTCAGAAATTTTGTCACCTCCAGGCCTGCCCTACGAGAGCTCCTGAAGGAAGCACTAAACATGGAAAGGAACAACTGGTACCAGCCACTGCAAAAACATGCCAAATTGTAAAGACCATCGATGCTAGGAAGAAACTGCATCAACTAACAAGCAAAATAACCAGCTAACATCATAATGACAGGATCAAATTCACACATAACAATATTAACCTTAAATGTAAATGGGCTAAATGTTCCAATTAAAAGACACAGACTGGCAAATTGGATAAAGAGTCAAGACCCATCAGTGTGCTGTATTCAGGAAACCCATCTCATGTGCAGAGACACACATAGGCTCAAAATAAAGGGATGGAGGAAGATCTACCAAGCAAATGGAAAACAAAAAAAGGCAGGGGTTGCAATCCCAGTCTCTGATAAAACAGACTTTAAACCAACAAAGATCAAAAGAGACAAAGAAGGCCATTACATAATGGTAAAGGGATCAATTCAACAAGAAGAGCTAACTATCCTAAATAGATATGCACCCAATACAGGAGCACCCAGATCCATAAAGCAAGTCCTGAGTGACCTACAAAGAGACTTAGACTCCCACACAATAATAATGGGAGACTTTAACACCCCACTGTCAACATTAGACAGATCAACGAGACAGAAAGTTAGCAAGGATATCCAGGAATTGAACTCAGTTCTGCACCAAGCGGACCTAATAGACATCTACAGAACTCTCCACCCCAAATCAACAGAATGTACATTCTTCTCAGCACCACACCGCACTTATTCCAAAATTGACCACATAGTTGGAAGTAAAGCACTCCTCAGCAAATATAAAAGAACAGAAATTATAACAAACTGTTGCTCAGACCACAGTGCAACCAAACTAGAACTCAGGATTAACAAACTCACTCAAAACCGCTCAACTACATGGAAACTGAACAACCTGCTCCTGAATGACTACTGGGTACATAATGAAATGAAGGCACAAATAAAGATGTTCTTTGAAACCAATGAGAACAAAGACACAGCATACCAGAATCTCTGGGACACATTTAAAGCAATGTGTAGAGGGAAATTTATAGCACTAAATGCCCACAAGAGAAAGCAGGAAAGATCTAAAATTGACACCCTAACATCACGATTAAAAGAACTAGAGAAGCAAGAGCAAACTTTACATTCAAAAGACAGCAGAAGGCAAGAAATAAGTAAGATCAGAGCAGAACTTAAGGAGATAGAGACATAAAAAACCCTTCAAAAAATCAATGAATCCAGGAGGTGGTTTTTTGAAAAGATCAACAAAATTGATAGACCGCTAGCAAGACTAATAAAGAAGAAAAGAGAGAAGAATCAAATAGACACAATAAAAAATGATAAAGGGGATATCACCACCGATCCCACAGATATACAGACTACCATCAGAGAATACTATAAACACCTCTACGCAAATAAACTAGAAAATCTAGAAGAAATGGATAAATTCCTCAACACATACACCCTCCCAAGACTAAACCAGGAAGAAGTTGAATCTCTGAATAGACCAATAACAGGCTCTGAAATTGAGTCAATAATTAATAGCTTACCAACCAAAAAAAGTCCAGGACCAGATGGATTCACAGCCAAATTCTACCAGAGGTACAAGGAGGAGCTGGTACCATTCCTTCTGAAACTATTCCAATCAATAGAAAAAAGGGAATCCTCCCTAACTCATTTTATGAGGCCAGCATCATTCTGATACCAAAGCCTGGCAGAGACACAACAACAAAAAAAAGAATTTTAGACCAATATCCCTGATGAACATCAATGCGAAAATCCTCAATAAAATACTGGCAAACTGAATCCAGCAGCACATCAAAAAGTTTATCCATTGCAATCAAGTTGGCTTTGTCCCTGGGATGCAAGGCTGGTTCAACATATGCAAATCAATAAACATAATCCATCACATAAACTGAACCAATGACAAAAACCACATGATTATCTCAATAGATGCAGAAAAGGCCTTTGACAAAATTCAACAGCCCTTCATGCTAAAAACTCTCAATACACTAGATATTGATGAAACGTATCTCAAAATAATAAGAGCTATTTATGACAAACCCACAGTCAATATCATACTGAATGGGCAAAAACTGGAAGTATTCCCTTTGAAAACTGGCACAAGACAGGGATGCCGTCTCTCGCCACTCCTATTCAACATAATGTTGGAAGTTCTGGCCAGGGCAATCAGGCAAGAGAAAGAAATAAAGGGTATTCAATTAGGAAAAGAGGAAGTCAAATTGTCCCTGTTTGCAGATGACATGATTGTATATCTAGAAAACCCCATCATCTCAGCCCAAAATCTCCTTAAGCTGATAAGCAACTTCAGCAAAGTCTCAGGATATAAAATCAATGTGCAAGAATCACAAGCATTTCTGTACACCAATAACAGACAAACAGAGAGCCAAATCATGAGTGAACTCCCATTCACGATTGCTGCAAAGAGAATAAAATACCTAGGAATCCAACTTACAAAGGATATGAAGGACCTCTTCAAGGAGAACTACAAACCACTGCTCAACAAAATAAAAGAGGACACAAACAAATGGAAGAATATTCCATGCTCATGGATAGGAAAAATCAATATCGTGAAAATGGCCATATTGCCCAAGGTAATTTACACTTTCAATGCCATCCCCATCAAGCTACCAATGACTTTCTTCACAGAATTGGAAAAAGCTACTTTAAAGTTCATATGGAACCAAAAAAAAAGCCTGCATTGCCAATACAATCCTAAGCCAAAAGAACAAAGCTGGAGGCATCACGCTACTTGACTTCAAACTATACTACAAGGCTACAGTAACCACAACAGCATGGTACTGGTACCAAAACAGAGATATAGACCAATGGAACAGAACAGAGGCCTCAGAAATGACACCCCACATCTACAGCCATCTGATCTTTGACAAACCTGACAAAAACAAGAAATGGGGAAATGATTCCGTATTTAATAAATGGTGCTGGGAAAACTGGCTAGCCATATGTAGAAAGCTGAAACAGGATCCCTTCCTTACACCTTATACAAAAATTAATTCAAGATGGATTAAAGAATTAAATGTTAGACCTAAAACCATAAAAACCCTAGAAGAAAACCTAGGCAATACCATTCAGGACATAGGCATGGGCAAGAACTTCATGACTAAAACACCAAAAGCAACGGCAACAAAAGCCAAAATAGACAAATGGGATCTAATTAAACTAAAGAGCTTCTGCACAGTAAAAGAAACTAATATCAGAGTGAACAAGCAACTTATAGAATGGGAGAAAATTTTTGCAATCTACCCATCTGACAAAGGGCTAATATCCAGAATCTACAAAGAACTTAAACAAATTTACAAGAAAGAAACAAACAACCCCATCAAAAAGTGGGCCAAGGATATAAACAGACACTTCTCAAAAGAAGACATTTATGCAGCCAATAGACACATGAAAAAATGCTCATCATCACTGGTCATCAGAGAAATGCAAATCAAAACCACAATGAGATAGCATTCATGCCAGTTAGAATGGTGATATTAAAAAGTCAGGAAACAACAGATACTGGAGAGGGTGTGGAGAAATAGGATCACTTTTACACTGTCAGTGGGAGTGTAAACTAGTTCAACCATTGTACAAGTCAGTGTGGCAATTCCTCAAGGATCTAGAACTAGAAATACCATTTGACCCAGTGATCCCATTACTGGGTATATACCCAAAGGATTATAAATCAGGCTACTATAAAGACACATGCACACATATGTTTATTGTGGCACTATTCACAATAGCAAAGACTTGACACCAACCCAAATGTCCATCAATGATAGACTGGATTAAGAAAATGTGGCACATATACACCATGGAATACTAAGCAGCCATAAAAAAGGATGAGTTCATGTCCTTTGCAGGGACATGGATGAAGTTGGAAACCATCATTCTGAGGAAACTATCACAAGGACAGAAAACCAAACACTGCATATTCTCACTCATAGGTGGAAACTGAACAATGAGAACACTTGGACACAGGGCGGCGAACATCACACACCGGGGACAGTCATGGAGAGGGGGCTGGGAGAGGGATAGCATTAGGAGAAATACCTAATGTAAATGACGAGTTAATGGGTGCAGCAAACCAACATGTATACCTATGTAACAAACCTGCACATTGTGCACTTGTACTCTAGAACTTAAAGTATAATAAAAATAAATAAATAAAATTAAAAAGGAAAAAATATATATGTAGAATATATATAATATATGTATTTATTTATTTATAGAAAGAGAAATTGAAAAAATTCTGAAAATAAATGATAATGGAAATGCAACATACCAAAACCTAAGGGATACAGTGAAAGTAATACTAAGAGGGAAGTTTATAGCTATAAGTAGCTACATCAAAAAAAAAAGAAAAACTTCAAATAAACAATACAACAATGCATCTTAAATAGCTAGAAAAGCAAGGGAAAACCAAACCCAAAATTAGTAGAAGAAAAGAAATATGAAGATCAGAACAAAAGTAAATGAGTTTGAAATGAAGAAAACAATACCAAAGATCAATGAAACAAAAAGTAAGTTTTTTGAAAAGTTAAACAAAATTGACAAATCATTAGCCAGACTAACAGAAAAAGACAGAAGACCCAAATAAATAAAATCAAACATGAAAAAAGAGACATTACAACTGATACTGCAGAAATTCAAAGGATCATCAGTGGCTACTATGGGCAACTACATGCCAATAAATTGGAAAACCTAGAAGAAATGGGTAGATTCCTAGATACATATAACCTACCAAGATTGAATGGTGAACAAAATCCAAAACCTGAACAGACCAATAGCAAGTAATCAGATAAAAGTCATAACAAAAAGTCTCCCAGCAAAGAAAAGCCCTGATGGCTTCACTGCTGAATTCTACCAAACATTTAAAGAAAAACTAATACCAATCCTGTTCAAACTGTTCCAAAAAATTCAGGAAGGAATACTTCCAAAATCATCCTACAAGGGCAGTATTACCCTGATACCAAAACCGGACAAAGACACATCAAAAAAAGGAAGCTATAGGCCAATATTACTGACAAATATTGTTGCAAAAATCCTCAACAAAATACTAGCAAATAAAAATCGACAACACATTAAAAAGATCATTCCTCATGACCAAGTGGGATTTATCCTAGGGATGCAAGGATGGTTCAAAATATGCAAGTCAATCAATGTGATACATCATATTCAACAGAATGAAAGACAAAAACCATATAATCATTTCAATTGATGCTGTAAAAACAGTCAATAAAATTCAACATTCCTTCATGATAAAGACTGTCAAAAAACTGAGTATAGAAGGAACATACCTTAACATAATAAGCCATTATGTACAACAAACCCACAGCTAGTATCATACTAAATGAATGGGGAAAAATTGAAGGCCTTTCCTCTAAGATCAGTAACACAACAAGGTTGCCTGCTTTCACCACCGTTATTGACCATAGTATTGGAAACCCTAGCTAGAGCAATCAGACAAGAGAAAGAAATAGAAGTCAAATTATCCTTGTTTGCAGATGATATAATCTTATATTTGGAAAAATCTACAAGACTCCACCAAAGAACTATTAGAACTGATAAACAAATTCAGTAAAGTTGCATAATACAAAATCAACATACAAAAATCAGTAGTAGCCAGGTACAGTGTCTCATGCCTATAATCTCAGCACTTTGGGAGATAGAGGAGGGTGTATCACTTGAGCCTGGAAGTTTAAGACCAGCCTAGGCAACTTAGGGAGACTGCATCTTTACCAAAAAAAAAAAAAAATTGTAATTAGCTGAGTGTGGTGACATGTGCCTGTGGTCCCAACTACTTGGCAGGCTGAGGTTGTAGGTTGAGACTGCAGTAAGTTGTAGTCATGCCACTGCACTCCAGCCTGGGAAATATGGCAGACGCTGTCTCTTAAAAAAGAAAAATTAATAAGACGTGATAGTGCATACCTGTGGTCCCAGCTGCTCAGGAAGCTGAGGCAGGAGGACCACTTGAGCCCAAGAAGTCAAAGCAGCGGTGAGCTGTGTTCATACCACTGCACTCCAGACTGGGCGACAGAGCAAGACCCTGTCTCAGAAAAAAGGGAAACCCTGGACATTCCTACACCTGAGGCCTCTTCAATGGCTGCTGCCAATGACTTTGGCCACAAGGGATGATGTATGAAGGAAACATGGGCCCTGAAATAAAATTGGTCTGAATTTGAACATGGCCTTTACCATTTTTTTATTACTATGGACAAATTACCCTCATTACTGAGCATTGGTTTCTTAATATATAAACTGGGAGTAATATCCCCAATTAATAACAATGGGACATAGCAGGATGGGGTTGCCCTTTTCACCCTTTTCATCCCTCCTCTCACTCACTGGATGAGAGTTTCTACACAATAATCAATTGGTGCTGTGCTGTGCTGTGTCACTTTGCATCTGCTCATGAGAGGATATTTTGTCTTTAAGATGCCTACTCTAAAGATATGAAGAGCTAGGAAAATGGTAATTGCTGCCCTTAAGCAAGCACTTGGTGCAGTGGCAGAACAAAGTTGGAATTTTGGGGTTGGGGTAGACAAGGAAAGAGGGCTGCAGACTTAGGGAAGAAGAACACCTTGTTGGCCATGTGAGGAGCATCCAGCACTTGCTACAGTTAGTGGGAGCAAAACAGTACAGAGATAGGTAAATCATGCTGTGGACTGTGAGTATATTCTTGATCAGCCAGTGATTATTCCACTCTCTACTGCCTTTAATTGGAGATCTACATTAAGCTACACACACAAACACACACACAGCTTATCTGGGTAGGGATGAATAAGAAAACCGGTCCTTTTCACAAAGATCTGCAGCTGAAATTCACATCATCTGCATGGTCCAAAATGGGAATCCACTGATGCTGTAAGTCCATCCAGCCTAGTGGAGCATAGTGTGGGCTAGATAAGGATGATATGAAATAATGAATGCAAAACACCAGCACAGGAAGCGGAATATGGCACATGTGCAAAACACTGCCCATTCCTTGTAAAGCCAAAATAGTATGTATTTATTTAAAGGACCTGGGTCTTCGAGTCAGACAGACCTGGATATCCTGGGACTGCTCTGATCAGCATGACATACAGAAAGCTATTTGAGGCTTCATAGAGCTCAGTTCTTTGTCTGTAAATACTTTCTTTTGTGTGAAAATTAAATTAAATAGCAATAGGGCTTGTAACACATTTGACACAATTGCTGGTACTGCAATTTGTGGTGCTAATGACAACGTTAGTGATGATGATTTTCTTCTGTAGGGCACCATGTTCTCTAGGGAATGGTGAATTCTAGAGGCCAAGTCTTACCCTAAAGTTCCATGTCACCCTATGAAAAAGCATTTGGGATAAAACAGGCTTTTGAGTCCCTCTAAAAACAGAGCATGTGAGTAGTTGGTATGGGGATCCGAGTTGGGTTGGGGAAAGAGGCAATTATTTTTATTCCCTTCAGTATGTTCTATCCTCTCTGATATTTCTAAATTATCTACACTTTCTCCATCAACATTCCCTTTTTAATTTGTAAATATAACTTTTTCTCATTATAATGTAATATATATTCACTGCAGAAAAATTACCAAATATTTCAAATGATCAATTACAAATTTAAACTATCCCATGATCCTTACAGCAGAGATATGTGGTTTCATTTCCTTCTAGTCAGTTATATATTTTCCTGCTGCTGCCCCATTACTGGATGTGTGCCATTCTCTCTCTCTCTCTATCTCTCTCTCTCTCTCTCTCTCTCTCTCTCCCACCCCCAAAGTTATGACCACAGACCTCAGTGGCCCACAGCCCTGCACTCTCCAAATGCCATCTCCCAGGTCAGTTCACTCTTACAATTCCTCAGGGGGCTGTTTCTCACTTTGTTCTCTGCCCTCACATCCCTCCACTCCTTCCACACTCCCTATTTTTAGGTTATACATTTATTTCTCTTTCACGCAGGAAAAAAAGGAGGACCCAGGTGAGAAATGCATCACCATCCCATTACTATCCCCAAATCTGCACTTGTATCCTCAGCCTTCCCACCAGTGATGATGGATGATCCCCGCTCCTAAGACCACCCCTGCACTCAAGCATAAGATCAATCCTTCCTTCCCCTATATCATCAATTTCCACTCTCTACTGGCCCATCATTTCTACAGGCAGACGTGCTGTAATATCTCCCCCCAAAAAAACAAACAAAACTGGACTAAACAAATCAAAACAAAATCTTCCCATCGAAATTTATCCCTTGATCTCTGATCCCATGTCTCCCTGCAACTACTGCCCTATACTATGGCAGTCTTCATAGGACAATCTCTGAGTCTATTCTTCATGTAGTCTTTTGAAACATTGCATTTTTTGTTGTTTGTTTGTTTGTTTGTTTTTTTGATACGGGGTCTCCTTGTGTTGCCCTGGCTGGTCTTGAACTCCTGGGCTCAAGCAATTCTCTTTCCTTAGCCTCCAAAGCACTAGGATTATAGGCTTGAGCCACCACACTTGGCCTGATAGTATAATGTTCTTACACTTTTTCTTTCTTTTTTGCAAACATTTTTCCATTTTATTATGACTTTTGTCTTCCAAATTATCTAATGAATTGTTCATTTCTATGATTCTGTAATCACATTTTTAATTTCCAGAGCTCGTTCTTGTGTATAATTTTACATAAATGAGTTCCTATTTCATAAATGCCACTTATTTTCTTACATCCTTTATATATTATTGATAATAGTAGCAGGGGACTTGTTGGGTCTCCTTGTTATCTTCTTTCACGATATTATGAAATTTTCTCTCAGAATTCATAAATGTAGTGGTTTCACATTTATCTTGGTAATTTTTGCTAAATGTCCGTCTCTCTCATGACAGTGCAAGCTCCATATCATCAAGATCTTACTTTAGCTCTTCTTCTATCTTCAATGTCTAGCTAATATCTTGATTCACCTTGAAATATACACCGGATGATGGACTTTAGTGTGGTGTGGGCAGTGAAGTCACACATGCCCTTTTGTCCTCCCGAGCTCTAAGCCTAGCAGCTGCCTGTCATAGAATGTTCACGGACATTGAAATGGTTCACTTGCATGGGGTGCAGAGTCACACTCACCTACCTTATGGGCAGAGCATCAACAAAAGATGAGTCAATTAGGTGTCTGAGAGAAGATCTCCTGGCTTCAATCCAGCTTCACCACCTCCTCAACCTCTCTGAGTCACATAGTAGATTCCTGATGGGTTTTCTCTGATGATTAAATTATATATTGTCTATGTATTATACACATTATTACTGACTGAGACATATTAAGTGTCCACAATTCATAGCTAACATCATATTGATTATACTATTTTGGTTGTTTTCATTCTTTTGTTTTATAAACGATAATTCAAGGAATATTCTTGTTATATATTTTTAAAAACGTGTGATTTTCTTCTTAGGCTACATTTTTAGAAGATAAGTTTTTTGCATCAACATGATCTTCTTGAGACATTTTCCAAAAATGCTCTTTAGACACTGGGGTGTTTTTTCTTTGAGATGGGGTCTCACTCTGTTCCTCAGGCTGGAGTGCAGTGGTGTGATCACAGCTCACCGTAGCCTTGACCTCCCCGGCTCAGGCGATCCTCCTGGGACTACAGGAGGGTGCCACCATGCCTAATTTTTTTTGTATTTTTTGTAGAGATGGGGTTTCGCCATGTTGCCCTGGCTGGTCTGGAACTCCTGGACTCAAGCAATCTGCCCACCTCAGCTTCCCAAAGTGCTGGGATTACAGGCATTAAGCCAACATGCCTGACTCTTTAGAAATTGTATGCCAGTATTTAATCCCATCAACTTTTATGACAGTAAATTTCCCCTATTCTCCACTCAATATTATTATCTTTGACTTTCATCTTTGCCAAGCTAAGATATATTAAACTTCCATCCCATTTCCTAATCCACATTTTAATTTTGTTGACATTTACTTATTACTATTATATTTGACACTTGCATTTTCTATGCCAAATTATGCTCTAATATTCATTAATCCTTTTCCAAATGGGACGTAGATATTTTTAAATGTTGAATTTAAGAAAGAAAACAAGAAGCCTCTGATATCTAGGAACTGATCTGACACTTATGGCTGGGACTCCTTGTTATATGAAGCTGGCCCAATGTTCATTGTTAAGCCATGTTATTCTCCTATTGGACCACAATCACCACAAAACACCAACATTAGAAAGTTCACTCTGAGATGATGATAAAGTGAGGAAATACAAGAACACTTCATAATTTTGTCTAAGCACTCTCTCCACTAATACCAGGGGCTGATGCTTGTCTACCAATTACAGCTTTATTCTGCTCTAGTCCACCCTCACTAGAGCTAAGATTTGTTGAGACATTCAATTACAGAATTGCCCCTGCTTCCTGACGAGTACCCAATCTAGAGTGAAGCCCACTTCCTCACCCTCCCCAGGATCACCCAACCAAAGCCCAAATCCTTTAAGAATTTCTTTCTAACACCCTCTTACCAAAACACCACATGGCTCACAGCACCTATTCTTGCACTCAGGAACCAGTAATAAACCCAACTTCTTCACCCACTAGGATATGTTCCTAGTGGACTTTGGAAGAAAGCTTCGGACGCATTATTATTTTGTCTATAAATTTTTTATGTGTCTTTGAGGTTGATTATGAGAAACTGTCTGTATATATCTATGTTTGTGGTTACCAAAGAGAAGTTTTTTAATTTATAAGTACTTAAAACTACCCTCATACTTCTTTATGGTGTTTATTTTTAGGTCATGCTTAGAGAATCCTTCTTCACTGCCCAATTGTAGACACTTCATGTATTGTTCCAGCTAGGTTGTGACAATGAGGAAAGAGGAGTCCAAGGGTGAAGAAAACAAAATTGTTGGAATACAAGGGGAGGAGGGGCAGCAGGTAAAGAATTCTAAGGTTTAAGTCTCTTGTTTTATAATTTAAAAAATATGTCTACAGAGCCTTCAGGATACTTGACATATGTCATATCCAATAGTTTGTCTTGAGAAAAATGGATACTTATCTTCTCCTTGTATTCACCTGGTTAAAGCAAACAATAACAACAGAATTCCAGTGCAATATAGACAATGATTAGCCCTGGCAATGGGCATTTTTGAACACTTAAAATGTTGAGGTGATAAATCATGTTTCGGTTAATGTCTGTACCCTCCACTTATACATATACATATTAATTAGACTTTCGTGGGCTTGCTGTGTTTTAAGGACGTGTCTAAGGCCCATGTGGACAAATCCGTGACTTCTCGATGAAGATAATTTAATATATATTCAATCTGAGAGTCCCACCATATATTTTGGGGGAGATTGAAAACTATGAGCACTCTAGATATGCACTGTTAAATATGGTAACTACTGGGCATACATAGTGTAGGGTTTGTTTTTGTTTGTTTGTTTTCATTATTAGTACAAATCCATTCAATGGGCAAGATAGACCAATCTATTTTAACATAACAGAATACAAATAGTCAATGATAGGGTTTCAGGTTGTATCTAACCTTTAAGAAATTATCACTTGCTAGGACTTCCAGTACTATGTTGAAAGAAGTGGTGAAAGTGGGCGTCCTCGTCTTGTTCCAGTTCTCAGGGGGAATGCTTTCATCTTTTCTCTGTGCAGTATAAGGTTGGCTGTGGGTGTGTCATAAAGGGCTTTTATTACTTTAAGGTATGTCCCTTCTATGCTGATTTTGCTGAGGCTTTTAATCATAAAGGGATGCTGGATTTTATCGAATACTTTTTCTGCATTTTATTGAAACGATTATTTCAGAGAGAGAGAGAGAGAGGGAGGGAGGGAGGGAGAGAGAGAGAGAGAGAGATGGGGTGAAGGAACAGGCTGGGAACCTGGGAGGAGACCCGGCCGCAGGCGCGCAGCCTGGAGGCGATGGTGAGCCCTGCCACGCGTGAGTCACGGACCACCCCCGCCGCGCTCTGCTCCCCGCCTGGCTCTCTTCTTCCCAGCCCCTCCCTTCCTCCTCCTGCTCCACTGATCCCTACTCAGGCTTCTTTCGCTGAAGAATTCCAGAAGGGACAGAACTAAGGATGAAGTGTGGCATTTGAACAGGGTTTACGGCTAGATCCTAGGAGGTCATTCTAAGGGTTTACATTGCATCACCGTCTGTGGTTACAAAGAGCTTTCCGGGAGAACTTTCCATTTGTAGGTTTGGTCAGGGAGACCCTGTGATCACCCCAGTGCCCAGAGAAGGAAACTGAAGCCCAGGGTTCTGCAGAGGCTTGCCCAGGCTACACAGATCTTCAGCTAGATTCGAATAGTTAAAAATCCAGGTGATCAAAGGCGGAGCAGCGTCTTCCAAGAGCCCGGAGAGAGAGGACACCCCACTCCTGGACGTTATATTCTGCAGCCCGCTGCTGGGAAATCCCAAGGGGTATGCGACCAGGTTGGAGTATCCTGGGCCCAGGGCCCACGAAAATGGCTTTCACTGTTGGAGGGGATCTTGAATCCAGAATCTGTTCCCAAAAAAGAGAAAGAAAAGCAGATTTGGGTGACCTCAAAAGTTTCAAACTACCTTCCCACGTATCCTAAAAAAAAAAAAAAAAAAAAAAAAACCTTCATTTTTAATATATAAAGACACTGAAAATTCAACAGTTTAAAAAAATCAATAAAATAGGAAAGTGGACAAAACACATGACAAATATTTCTTTTAAAATGATATGTAGATGGGAAGTGAGGACACAAAAATGTGGTCCATATGCGGAGCTTGCAGTGAGCCGAGATCGCGCCACTGCACTCCAGCCGGGGCCACAGAGCGAGACTCCATCTCAAAAAAAAAAAGAAAAAAAAAAAATGTGGTCCATATGATTCATCATTGGGGAAATGTAATTAAAACCATTATGAGATATTACTACACCCCTATCAGAATGAATAAAATAAGAAATAGAAATAACACCACATGCTGGATGTGGAGAAAATGGCTGAATCACTCATTGCTGGTGGGAATGTAAAATGGTACAGCCACTCTAGAAACTAGAGTATGGCGAAAAAAAAAAAAAACTAAACATGCCATTGCACTCTAGGGCATTTATCCCAGAGAAATGAACACTTAAGTTCACACCGAAATCAGCATACAGCATATAAAGGTTCGTAGCAGAGCAGAGACCTGAGCAGGAAAAAAAAAAAAAAAAAAAAAACCCACTGTCACAGCCAGACAGAATCAGTTCTGGAAACTCCCAAAAGAACTAGAAGCCACCAAGACCGGCAGCCCACCTTGGGCAGTGACAGTTTCTGCTCAAGGGAGACACAACCTGAAGAAGGAAAACAAGACCAAAATTGAGAAGCAATCTTTTAATCACAGTGTTTGCAAACACATAGCCAGGAAAGAATGTTAGCACAGAGGTCAGAAAGGCAGTCACTCATGGAGCTAGGAAAGGGAAGAGGTGTGATGGGAGGGGGCAAGCAAGGCATTTGTGGGACACTGGACAACTGTGCTTCTTGACCTAGGTGGTGCTTGTGTGGTCATAGTCGCTAGTTAAATATTGTGTACATTTGTAAGTAACTTTTCTGCATATATTTTATATCTCACAAAAAAAGAAAAGAGATCAGACTCCTCCCAGAAAAACAATGAAAGAAGGAGGTGTCACACCAAGATCAGTCAAACCTCCTTCCTACATTTGTAAATCCATCCAAGCACTAGCTCTGTGACCCTCAGATTCCTCATCTCTATTGAGACTCAGCATCTGCAAGAGTTTAAGAACAAGACCATGGGTAGATCATACTGTCATAAAATAGAATCTGTTTCTTGTGATACAACATGAGGGACCCCACCTCACCCCCCAAAATAGGTACTGAACAAAGGTTCCTATTCCCAGAAACCCCCTCTTCCATCTTTGGATTCATCCCTGAGATTGCAGAATGCTTCTGGCTGAAGGCAAAGCCCCATCTTTATGATTCCCCTCCTCCTTCGTCCACCTCTCCAAGATGTAGGCTTCTCCCTCATGCCTCAGACTCCAGGGCCTGTTTCAGGGTCAGGATCATAGTTCCCTTCTTCAGAGAGGAACTCTTAATGAAGCTGACCCAATTTGCTCTGGAGAGCACTGGAGGCACCTGCTAAGCCTCTCCCTTCAGTGGAGAGAAATTCCAGTGGAATCCCAGAGACCCTTGGCAAACCCACTGCAGACCACCCTGCTGAACCCATCTCCACACTCACCACTGCAAGGAAACTTCAAACTGAGTTCTACTAAAAAGCAATTTCGGCTCTTACACTTCCTCTTTAGTGTTCTTCTAGCTTACTAGGCAAGTAACCACAGTGTGCCTCCATTAATTAATAAATCCCCAAAACACTGGTCTTATGAACAGTGTATTGATCAGGGCTCTCCACAGAAGCAGAATGAATAGGCGACATATATCTCCAGTTGATCTGATGAGGCCCACTCACATTATGGAGGGCAATGTACATTAGTCAATTCCACTGATTTAAATGTAAATCATTTTTCGAACACACTCATGGGAATACCTAGAATAATGTTTGGCCAAATATCTGGGCTCCTTCGTGACCCAGTCATGTTGAGAAATCAAATTAATCCTCACAAGGAACAAATCAGATAATATTCACTTGGATATTAGACTAGAGCCTTGGACATACCAAGTGCTCTGTAAATGTTAGCCTTACAAATGTAAGGTGGTGTTTTAGATTTACAGAACACAGTATATCCTAAGGTATCACAGGCTTGTTGATGAACTCTGTTGGGAAAAATAATACATGGGAAATTTAGTTGTGGAAATTGAATTTTGTTATTTTATTTTTGTCTTTGCTTTTCTGTGTGAGTGAAGGAGTATAAGGCAAATTTCTGAGCACACGGGGCATGCACTAAAGGGGTTTCATTTGGCATTTGGAGCCAGTTTTGTCACACTATAGGAAAACTAAACCGTTATTTAAGAACTTCCCTGCCAGCTCTCACGTTGGGGACTGGCTGGTCCATCTAGCCTGGTTGGTTGATTCCAAAAATATGTGTAGGGAGGTAGAGTGACTAAACGTGAAGAATGGGGAACTCTGGAAGTGCAGAATTGAAGCCCAGAAGGGAACAGAAGCCTCCCTCTACTTCACAGAAGATGACTAGGACATGCTCATCCCTGGGATAGAAAATCCATTGGACTTGGAGACTCAGTGAGTTGTATTCCCGATCTCACCACTGGAGGGAGGTGGGAGAGGCATATGAGTGAGTGTGGAGGGGCTCAGAAGCCCAGCCAGCTAGTGTGCAGGTTGCCCTGCAGATTCTCACCAGGGCTGCTCTGAAGCCCAGAGGGCACCCCAGAGGAGGAAGGGAATGACAAAGCCTGCCTGGGGTCACAGGAAAAGAGGAGAGAGGCAGACTGAAGGAAGCCCAAGACTACAAAGTGAAAGAAAATGCCTTTTAGTCACTCAAGACATTGTCAGACACAGACTGGGAGCAGTGGCTCACACCTATAATATTAGCACTATGGTAGGCTGAGGTGAGGCCGGGAGTTCAAGACCAGCCTGGACAACAATGCAAGACCCTATCTCTACAAGAAATAAATTAATAAAAGACTTCTTCGGACATGACTAGAACCCAAGAGGTGGGTACCTGGTAGAGTTATATGGGAAGAATGGAGCAATGGGTTTGGCAGTTGGGGTGGGGAAACAGGGAGGAAGGGAATGAAAAAAACTCTTGAGGGTAGATGATGGTGCCAGTCTGAGAATCAAGCACCAGTTCCATTCTACTGTGCATCTAGTCACGTTGGCATAGACTTCCAGGCAGGAGGAGGAGCAAGCGGTGGGATCAGCTACATGTGGGCTTCCAAAGGTAATCCCAGGTGCCACCTCTCCTCCATACTTACTAGGAATCCCAGGCCCTTCCCTGAAGTGACACCATCCTGCATTCTTTGTACCTCTCTTTCCACTTCTTCTCACAGCTTTTCCCTCCCTCCTCCATTCTCCTGGCCAGGACCCACACTCACCCCACCTAACCTCTCTCTTTTGATCAGTCCCATAGTTCAGAAAGGAACAGAAATGCCAGCTGAATAAAAATTTATTTCGTGCTCTCTGGGCATGTATTTGAGAACAATAACATTGTTTCCGGTCTCAATGCACTTTCACCACATCTGATTTTCAGCTATGTGGGGAAGGCCATCTATCTGATCAACCCATCACCCAGTGAAGGAAACTGAGGCCCAGAGCCCTGAGGATGCTTGCCCAAATCACCCTGCCCTTCAGCTAAATCACCCAGAACAGGATCTTGCAAGGGCCCTAAGAGTCAGAGAAGACAGCAGCCCCTCGTGTTGGATTCTCCTGCCTGCCCAGGAAACTGGGTGGGAACCATTCAGATTCTTCCTGCATGAAAAGGGTGACCTGTGTCCTTGGGGATCCTCCAGTGGCCCTAGTTGCTCCTGCTGGGGATGACCTCAACTCCTGAATCCAACCCTGTAAAATAAGAAGAAATTCAGACATTGCAAGGCATGAAAAATTTTCTCCCAATAGCAAAGGTGAAGGATGTACTCGGAGAGGAGGGAACATACCAAGAAGAGAAGGAAGGAATATATATTGAAAAGAATACAAAACAAAAATAAACAGACCAAGACGTGGGATGTATAGAATCAGGCATCAACCCATGAAAAGGTGAAAAGGTGAAAAGGCAACAGGACCAGAAAGGAAGAGGGTCGCCTGGGTGGGTGGACAGCACAGCAGAGGGGACGCCATCTCCAAGAAGATGACCTTGACAAGAGCCACCATAAGTTTAAAGGTATGGAGAAGACATTTACTCAACTAAGGGACAGTTGGTGAATTCATTTGTTAAGGTTCATGGAAAGTAAGAAAATGAAAACGCCGGGCAATTATCAATTCTCTGAAAACATCAACATGTATGGAAAGAAAAACTAAGAGAGTTTACCATGTGGCTCAGGTCTGAGTAGCATTCACGTAAGTCAGTAATTTTAACTCTGGCTCTCAATGCACTCAAAATCTCCACCTGCCTACATGAGGAGGATGAAAATGTGTGTGCTGTGGAAGGTACTATGGACTGAAGGGATTTTGAAAAGTCAATACTTAATATCTAAAATGGAAATGTTTGAAGTGGCATAAATGTATATTATCAAGAGACATAAAGATAAAGAACAACATATGAAGTAAAAGGCTTCTATGTGGTTGTTTGCCAGGAAGCTGGTGGCTAGGAAGGATTGAGAGGGAGTAGAGGGGAGACCATGTTTTGTAACAGGGGAAATGAAAGGGAAGCAGGTAGCACCTGGAGCCTGCCTCATGTAGAGAACAGGGTTCCACGCAGTGGTCCAGGATCTCAGGGACTTACTGTGGCTGAGGCCACCTGCCCCCAGGACAAGCCCTTGGCACTGAGTCTACTGAAATGTGGGCAGGGAGAAGAGGAGGCCTTCGGACCTTTTACCTGAGCAGCCTGGTTTACTCTAGGCTCTGTCTTGTTTCCTGTCCAGAGATTAATGCAACAAACTGTCTCCAAATTCATCCAAGGGAGTGGAGTTCCTTCCCCTACTCCCGATCCCCCTCAACACCATCCTTTCTGGAAGTGTTATTCTGAACATGTTCTCGGATTTGTTTTTATCAGTGGAGAAAGAGAGGATAGAAGAGCACTCACCCAGCAGAGCCAGAGGGAGGCAGCTCCAAGGACTCCAGTGGCCACCAGAGCCCACCAGGACCCAGGGCTGGAGGTGCACAGTGAGATCCTCAGCGCAGAGGGAGAAATCTCCTAAGGGTAGGAAGGAATAACAGAATTGGGGAGCATTTCCTTACTTCACAGCAAGTGCAAACATGATGGGAAGGCATAGAGAAAAAGGAAGAAATTATAGGGAAATGTGCTTATTTAGGGGGAGGCAATACTGCGGGAGGGGTACAACAGACCCAGCACTGGTGGGGGCTAGGAGAAACAGGTATAATCCTTGACTAGAGAATGGATACTTGAGGTCAGAATAGTTACTAAATGAAGAGGATTACATACATTTTAAGGACGTTGATTTACGTTATACTTTGTCATTGGAATTTAAGGGAAAAGAAAGGAAATTAATAAATAAAAACAGGCTGCATGTGGTAAAATCAATAGTCAGCCCTGGGACTTGTGTTTGCAAAATGCTTTATCCAGGTGCGACACCGCTGACGTCCTGGATTCCCCACCCTCTAGCACCCAGTTCCCTCTCCTGTAATGAGACCGGGGTCAGGAGGAGAGATGGACAGATGAGCCCATGCTGAAGGCAGTCAGTCATCTGTGCCTGCAGATGAGAAACTGCAGTTTGCACCACTAGCCTCCAGCACAGAGATTCCATCCCAGCTCAGTATTTAGTATTTAGAGATGTAGTATTTAGTATTTAGAGATTCCTAAACACTGAGGGGCTCTGCCCAGTCTCCTTCCTCACACTGTGGGGCCTTGGCTTTCCCTCCCAACTCCACACCCCCAAATGCTGGTACAATGCTCAGGTTCATCCTGGACACCGCTCCATCCGACAGGGGAACACTTTTGATCCAGACGCTTTGACAACCTCGTTCAGTCTCCTCTGGAGAGAGCCGCCAAACCCTTTGCTGATGAGCTGAGACTGACCGGGGAACTGTGATCTCGGATGTGGTTGAGGATCAAAATCAAAATTATAGTCGACTCTTAAAGACCAAGTAGGCTCTAACCACGGAATTCCTCTCTACCCACTGATTCCCCCAAAAGAGGAAGAAGCCTCTTCTCTAAGTACACTAAGCTGAAAAACTAAGCTGAAGTACTAAGTACATTCAGCTTTCACTAAGCTGAAACAGCAAAGCGCTGAAACAGCAAACCGCAGGCATAACAGAAAAACCTCAACTTAAATAGTGCTGAGCTGCAACTTGTTTTCCGCGGCTTGTAGTCGAGGAGGAGCCCACGAGGCTTTAGCTGCTGCAAGATCCAAGCGCGCTCCCGCCCAGCGGTGGCCCCGGGCTCAGGGAACCAGCGCTGCTTCTCTCCGAGGCTCGCGGCCTGAGAAACCTTCCGCTCCGAATGCGGGCTGGCCTCTCCGGGAAGCCTTGAAACTCAACTCCTGGGTGGGCCAGGAAGGTTGTCCGAGTTGGGCAGCGCCGGCCGGGGCCCCCCTCAGAGCCGAGCTGCTCGCCTCCCTCGAGACCCAGCGCAGCCTGGAGGAGAGACCGGGTCCTCTCAGGTGGGGCACTTGGTGACTAGAGACCCCATGAGCCCCCACCCTCCAGCCTGGGGCGGGATAGCCCAATCGGATGCTGGGGGGTCCGTTTGGAAACCACTCTCTGCTTTGAGGACACGCGCGGAGCTTCCCTGGGAGCAGGAGGCTCTGAAGGAAGAGGGGCAGACGCGAAGCCTCTGGCCAGCCGCGCCTCCGGTCCAGGCCTCCCTGTGTCCACATCAGGTCTCCCGGCTTTTCACAACAGTGACCTTGACAGCGCCCAGAGTCCGCGGCTTCCATCCAGTCCCCTCTTCCCCTGCGAGGCCGAGAGGGTGCAGAGCTGGTGGCTTCAGGAGGTGGCTGTGAGCGCGGGTCTGGGGCCAAGAGCAGAGGACAGGAGAAGACTGCCAAGCCACCACCGGTCCTGCGACATATTCACCAGCTGCCGGCGGCGAGGTCAGACCCCAGATTCGGGTTTGCCCAGCAGGCGCTCGGCTTCCATGCTCGCTCTCCACCTCCCTGCCTCTCTTAAGGAGGACCTGGCCCATTAGGAAGCCCGGGGCGTTCTGTGGACTGGGTGGTCAAAAATGGTGTGTGGAGGAGGGAGTCAATTGAGATTAGACGTGAAAAACGGGGAACCTGGGGACCGCAGGTTGGGGCCCAGGAGAGGACCGAAGCTTCCATCCAAGACTAAGTGAGGAACACTGCGGCAAGAGGAAGGAAGATTGAGTCGCAGTTGACTTGTGGATTTTATCGGTTTTAGTCCCTGTGTGACCGCCAGAAGTCTGCAGCTTTATCCTTGATGAGTTCTGAAGGCCCCTGAGGAGAGCTGAGCCCAAGAGACTTTTTAATTCCACGGAGGTACTTCGCCTGAGGCAGGTCTCTTCTGTGCCCAGGGAAGGAAGGCTGGGAGTGAGGGTATCTGAAAATATTCACATGAGAAAAGGTCAAGTCCATTTTTGCTATCCTGTACTGAACACAGATCAATTAACTGGTCCCAGGATTGATAGCAACAGGCCTATAACTGGTCTCCTGGTTCCTATCCAGCCCTTCCCCCATAAAGGCAGAATCCTGTCTTCTTGGAACAGTGAATCCCCAGCAGAGGACCTCAGCCTGGGCTGCCTGGAACCTGCTACCCTGCCCAGGAGCTGTCAACACCTGGAGCGCAGTGCAGGAAGAATGCAGGGGCGCTTGGTGGGGAGGTGAGTGAGTGCAGAGGGTCTCCGGGAACTCCTTGGGCCTTTGGGGTAGCTCCCTCTCAGACTGTCCTGCAGGTCCTTACAAGGCCCACTACTGAGCAGGAAGAATGTCCCCAGGAGAGGCAAAGGGTGGGGCAAAGGCGGGTATGGGGTCGCTTGCACTTTGCAGCAAACTGGAGAGTGAGATGACAGGCAAGGAGTACTGGCCCTCACATGGAAACCTATATCACACTGCCCAAAGGGAATAGGAAAGGAACCACAGCGAGGTCCACAGGGGAGGGCTGGGGGAAGCCTTACCCAGGGCGGCGAGTGCAGCCTCAGTGGCAGAAATCCCAGCGGGCCCCCTCCTGCTGCAGACCCCGCTCCTCCTGCGAGGCCCCAGACGAAGCCCGACCCCCAGCTGCCTGCGCAGCCTCCAGGCAGGGGTCGCGGGGTGCTTCGACGAGAGAGTCTGGGCCAAAGCGCCAAAATCCGCCGCTGTCGCTCAGCCGCAGCCTGTTTGGGGCTGGGGAGCCTCTCCTGGTCGGTGATCGTCGCGGACAATAGACGAGACCAGAAATTAGATTTGGTTCCGGGATCAAGAACCTTTAATCAGGGAATGGAGATGGCAGGGGACGAGGCCTAAGAGATGTAGACAGCAGGTCCTGTCTGCTTAGGTCGCAAAGGGGAAGAAGGGGCGGGACTCGGGGTCCTGGACTGGGGCTGGGAAGGGTCCGCTCCAGGAGGGTGTGGGTTCCGATGCCTGGGTCCTGGAGGTCCGGGGAGTCGCGGAGGGACCTCCCTCCGGTAACCGACGGATTGGGGACAAATGCTCTGCCCAGTCTGATCCCAGACATCCTTGTAACCCAATATAGTTACAGCTCCGACGCCATGTTCTTCCTGGGTCCAGCTCCAACGCCATGTCCTTCCTGGGTCCCTCCAAAGTAGGGTTGGAGGATCAACTAGTGGATTCCGGCGAGGAGGTATCTTCCTCCCTGGAAGCAGCAGAACAAATTTCAGGGACTCGGGAGTCCAAGGCCTCATTCCAAAAACACTGAGAGATTGGGTACTGGGCGCACAGTATGTCTGTGGGGTCACGCAGACCTGGGAACCAGATCTTAGGGCCTGCAGACCTCCCTCTGCCTTGAGATCAGACTCCACCGCCAGTAACTGGGAGGAAACATCTGTACTCCAGGATTTAGAGACACCGACACGGGAGCAGGGCGCCCCCGTGTGCACAGAGCCCTGTTCTGCAGCTGGAAACCGAACGGGACCCTGTGGAAGTCGCGGGTGGGGAAGCGAAAGGGGAGCTGAGCGTCTGTCCTCAGTCCTTGGGCCACACGGGGGCGCTGCCGCTCTGCGCTCGGATTCTGATGAGCCGCTCTGGAGAGGATGGGGCGGTGGTCTGAGTAAGACACAGATTGTTGATCCAGAAAGGATGTATCAATGAGGTGGGGCTGGGGTTGTCCAGGGAGTGGAAAGGCCTTCTGAGAAGCCCTGGACTGCGCGGGGTTCCGGCTCTGCGGAACAGAGGAGGGCTCTGGAGCGGCCTGTCTCTGAGGTTTCCAACTCCTCCTTGCAAACCCTCCCTCCAGCCTTTTCATGGCAACACTCCAGGAAAATGGAAAGTTGATCATTTTTTTCTTCCACTCCTTAATCCTTTCCTGACTGCTACTTTTAAATAATTTTATTTTAGAAGAGTTTTAAATTTACATAAAAGTTGCAATGGTAGTACAGAGTTGCCATCCGCTCCACAGTCAGTTTCCCCTGATGTTAACATCTCTCATTACTATGGTCCATTTGTCACAGCTAATGAAGCCATTTTCATACCTTATTATTACTAAACTGCAGACTTTATTTGGAGTTCATTAGCGTTCCCCTAATGTCCTTTCTGTGTTTCAGGATTCCATGGAGAATATCACACTACATTTAGTCTCCGTCGTGCCTCCGCGGCATCCTCTGGTCTGTGACAGTTCCTGAGATTTTCCTAATTTTTGATGCCCTTCACAATATTGGGAAGTACTGACCAGATATATTGTAAAATGTCCCTCAAACTGAATTTAGTTGGGGTGTAGATCATGGTTAGACTATGGTTATGGGTGTTTAGATGAGGTGAAGTGCTATTCTCCAAACACCTTATCAAGGTTATAGAATATCAATTTCATGTACCACTGTTGATGTTGAAGTTGATCACCTGGTATATTAGCTTCCTGTAGCTGCCACAACAAATGCCCTCAAAGTTGGCAACTTACAACAACAGAAAATTATTCTTTCACAGTTCTGGAGGCCCAAACTGCAAAATCAATATGCAGGGCCTCACTCCCTCTGAAAGCTCTAAGAGCAAATCCATTCCTTGAGTCCTCCAGCTCTGGCAGCTGCAGGGCATTGGTCAGCGTTCTTTGGCTTGTAGCCCCATTGCTCTAGTCTCTGCCTCATTCTTCACATCACCTTCTCCTCTTCTGACTCTCTCTTCTGTGTACCTGTTAGAAAGACACTTGTCATTGGATCTAGAGCCCACCTGGGTCATCTAGGAGGATCTCCTCATTTCAGTATCCTCCGCTTAATTACATCTGCAAAGACCCTTTTTTTCCAAACAACTTGACATTCACAGCTGCTGGGCACTAAGACAGAAACATATCTTTATGGGGTCCACCATTCAACCCACTACATCTGGCTAAGCTAATATTTCCAGAATGGCAATCCATCAGTGCACCCTAGGTTACAATCCTCATTCTCATTCCCAAATAAACTCAACATATTTGGACATTTCTAATGTCATGTTTTTTAGGTTGAATAATCTAGTGTCAGAAATGATCCTGAAGAAAGATTATCTTTGGAAGAGACTTATACTGAGTTTGTTGCTTGATTTTTCCTCTGCTTCTGAATATCTTTTGAGAGCAAAATTTACTTTCTAAAATGGTAAGGATGAGTCAACTCCTTAAAAGCTGTTTGGGCTGTTGTCACCATTCTATGTGAGCCTTCAGTCTCCCCAAAGAGAAATTTTTTGTTGTCAGGATAAAGTGGTACATGAATAAACAAGATTTCCATTAGGCAGCGTGCCAGTCTCAAGAAAATTCTGGAGAAAATGGTGACAGGATAGACAATTAGATCACAGGCTGCCTGCACATCAAGTAAAAACAAAAATCCTATGCTAGGCACACACTATTAAAAAACAAATCGCTCCAACCCCTACCATTTCCTCACAGAGATTATAGAATTTTTCTTTTGCTGTTGAGAAATTAATAAGAGGCAGAACAGGATGCCAAAACTCCAAAGCATCCAATATAGGCCCTCTTCTGGGACTCCTGTCAGCTATATGTTCAAAAATTATTGTCAGTGGCTCATGCCTGTAATCCCAGCACCTTGGGAGGCCGAGGTGGAAAGATTGCTTAAGCTCATGAGTTTGAAACCATCCTGGGCAACATAGCAAGAGTTCATCTCTATTTTAAAAAATTAAGGCCGGTCGTGGTGCCTCACGCCTGTAATCCCAGCATTTTGGGAGGCCCAGGCAAGCGGATCGCCTGAATTTGGGAGTTGGAGGCCAACCTGACCAACATGGAGAAACCCCGTGTCTAATAAAAATACAAATTCAGCCAGATGTGGTTGCGCATACCTGTAATCCCAGCTACTCGGGAGGCTGCGGCAGGAGTACAGCTTGAACTCGGGAGGCAGAGGTTGCAGTGAGCCGAGATCATGCCATTGCACTCCAGCGTGGGAGAAAAGAGGGAAACTTCATGTCAAAAAAAAATAAAAATAAATAAGAAAAGAAAAAAATTAAGGTCGTCTCTTGTGTACTTTTTAAAATCAATGGATAGAGTATAGCAAAGTTAATTTGGATCTTCAATGGCCATCCTTGGGGTCTTTTGAGTTCCCCAAACTTGTCTTTCTTAAAACTAAAGTAGGCTGGGCGCGGTGGCTCACGCCGGTAATCCCAGCACTTTGGGAAGTCGAGGCGGGCAGATCACGAGGTCAGGAGATTAAGACCATCCTGGCTTGCACGGTGAAACCTCGTCTCTACTAAAAACACAAAAAAATTAGCTGGGCATGGTGGCAGGTGCCTGTAGTCCCAGCTACTCTGGGAGGCTGAGGCAGAAGAATGGTGTGAATCCGGGAGGCGGAGCTTGCAGTGAGCCCAGATCCAGCCACTGCACTACAGCCTGCCGACAGAGTGAGAATCCATCTTAAAAAAAAAAAAAAAGAAAAGAAAAGAAAAGAAAAAAGAAAGAAATTTCTGCATTACCTATGGATGTTAAATCTACTTGAGTAGACTTTAATTCCAAGTTTGTGAATAGCTTTTCTTCAAAACATGCTGAACTTGGTAAAAGAGCCAGCAATTTAGGGAAACTATGTGCACTTCTGATCTTGTCCATTTGATAAATCACCTGCCTGTCCCCTTGAGGACCCTACTAAGAAAACTGCTTAAAAACTTTTTTTAAAATTTTTTCTTTTTGAGATGAAGTCTCACTCTGTCACCAGGCTGGAGTGCAGTGGTGCAGTCTCGACTCACTGAAACCTCCACCTCCTGGGTTCAAGCAATTATCCTGCCTCAGCCTCCCGAGTAGCTGGGATTACAGGTGCCCACCACCATGCCCAGCTAATTTTTTGTATTTTTAGTAGAGACGAGGTTTCACCATGTTGGCCAGGCTGGTCTTGAATTCCTGACCTCAGGAATCCCTGACTCTCCAAATGTCCCCACTTGTTATGTCATTCCCACTGACAAAACAAAAATAATGCTATCTTGTGTTAGGCTGTTCTTGCATTGCTATAAAGAATACATGAGACTGGGTAATTTATAAAGAAAAATGAGTTTAATTGGCTCACAGTTCTGCAGGCTTTATGGGAAGCACGGTGCTGGGCATCTGATCAGCTTCTGATGAGGTCGCAGGAAGCTTACCATCATGGCAGAAGGCAATAGGGGAGCAGGCACGTCACATAGCGAAAGCAGGAACGAGAGAGAGAGTGGGAGGGGAAGGACGCCACACACTTTTAAACAACCAGCTCTCACTATTTCAAAGACAGCACCAAGGGGACGGTGCTAAACCATTCCTGAGAAATGTGCCCCCATGATCCAATCACCTCCCACCAAGACCCACCTCCAACACTGGGGATTACAATTCAACATGAAATTGGGGTGGGGACAAATATACAAACTACATCACACCCTTTCACTGCTGAATCTAATACCTGTCTCTGTATAGGCAAAACTGTTGATATTGGCAAACTTTATAATATACCTCCTATAAAAATCCAGCTTGATCCATCAAAACCCCTGCCTAATATCAAACAATATCCACTTAAACCAGATGGTGTTATAAGTCATTAAACCTATTACAGAAGGACATAAAAAGCAAGGCCTCATTATTCCATGTACTCATCCTTCTAACACCCTAATTATACCTATTAAAAACCAAACAACTGGGATTAAAGGTTTGCTCAGGAATTCTGAGCAATAAACTATATAGTGATTCCAAGACATCAGTGGTTCCAAATCCCTATATCTCATTAAACTCACAACCTATTGATAGGAGGTTTTTCACTGTCATTGATCTATGAAGTGCATTCTTCAGTAATCCAGTGGATCAGGCCAGCCAGTATCTTTTTGCCTTTACCTTGGAAGGCCAACAATTCACCTGGACAGTAATGCCTCTTGCTTTTACTGAAAACCCTTCCTGTGTTTTTCAAATATTAAAGGAACACTTGGAGGAGATAGTTTCTCCTTAAGGTTCCACCTTACTACAATATATAGATGGCCGCCTTCTTTGCTCTGCTTCACAGATAGCCTATGAAAAAAATGGTGTACAACTGTTAAAGCAACTGACTGCTAAAGACCATGAAGTCTCTGACGAAAAATTGCAGCTAGTGAAAACTCAGAAGAAATATTTGGGACACTTAACTTCAGAAAATGGATTACATTTAGACCCAGATTGGCACTTTGTAATTTCTTCAGTCAAGAACCAAGTGCCACAGAAAAACACAGAATATTATAATGCTGTATTTGTGGTGTGTAAACTACTCGTGTCTTAAGTAGAAAGCATAAAAGGTGAACCAATAAAAAATAATAACTACAAGACTTTTCAACACATAGACGGTACAAGGCCAGCTGCAGTGGCTCATGCCTGTAATCCCAGGACATTGAGAGGCTGAAGTGAACAGATCATTTGAACTCAGGAGTTTCAGACTAGCCTGGGCAACATGGCAAAACCCAGTCTCTTTTAAAAAATGGAAAAAATTAGCTGGTTATGGTGGCACGTGTCTGTGGTACCACCTACTTAGGAGGCTGAGGTGAAAGGATTGCTTGTGCTTCGGAGGCAGAGGTTGCAGTGAGCTGAGATTGTGACACTGCACTCCAGGCTGGGTGACAGAGTGAGATCCTCATCTAAAAAAAGACATAGATGGTATAAGAAGATATAAATAGAAACAACAAAAAGTTAAAAAGAAAGAGGATGGAGTTAAAGTGTGAATTCTTATTACATATCTTTCGGTTTTTGTTTATACAAGCAGTGTTAAGTTTTTATCAGATTAAAATAATGGTTATAAGATATCTGCAAGCAGCCTGGTGATCTCAAATCATAAAAAATGCAACAGATATACAAAAAATAAACAACAGGAAATTAAATCATATCACCAGAGAATCACCTTCACTAAAAGGAAGACATAAAGGAAGGAAAGAAGGAAGAGAAAACAAGCAAAACAACGAGAAAACAAATAAGAAAATGTCCTTCTTTATCAATAATAACACTGAATGTAAATGGTCTAAACTCTCCAATCAAAAGAAATGGAGTGGTGGAATGAATAAAAAAAAAAAAAAAAAAGGACCCAATGATCTGTTGCCTACAAGAAACACACTCACCTATAAACACACACATAGACTGAAAATAAAGGGATGGAAAAAGATTGGTCATGCCAATGGAAATCAAAAAAGTGCAGGAGTAGCTATACCTATATCAGACAAAATAGATTTTAAGATAAAAACTATAAGAAGAGACAAAGAGGGTCACTATATAATGATAAAGGGGTCAATTCAGTAAGATGCTATAACAACTATAAATATACATACCCCAACACTGGAGCACCCAGCTGTATAAAGCAATTATTATTAGAGCTAAAGAGAAAGATAGATCTCAGTACAATCATAGCCAGAGACTTCAGCAGCCCCCGTTTCAGCATAGGACAGATCGTTTAGACAGAAAAGCACCAAAGAAACATTGGACTTGATCTGCACTATACATTAAATGGATCTAATAGATATTTACAGCATATTTCATCCAAGAGCTGCAGAATACACATATTTCTTCTCAGGACATGGATCATTCTCAAAGACAGGCCAAATATTTGGTCACAAAACAAGTCTTAGAACATTCAAAAAATTGAAATAATATCAAACATCTTCTCTGACAACAATGGAATAGAACTGGAAATTAATAACAAGAGGAATTTTGGAAACTATACAAACACATAGAAATTAAACAATATGCTCCTGAATGCCTGGTGGGTCAATGAAGACATTAGGAAAGAAATTTAAAAATTTTTTAGGGAGAGGGGTGGAGCAAGATGGCTAGATAGAAGACTTCACTAACCGTCCCCCTGCAACAAAGATACCAATCTAACAACTATCTACATTTAAAAAAAGACAAAATCACCTTCACTAGAAACAAAAGTTATGTGAGCATTCACAAAACCTGGTTTTTAACTTCATATAACTGAAAGAAACACTGAGAAGGGTAGGATGTTGTCCCGAATTGCCAATGCCGCCCCAGCCCCATCCTCCAGCAGCAGCCCTGCAGTGTGGAGAATCATGCACTTGGGAGAGGGAGAACACAGCGATTGTGACACATTGCGTTGAACTCAGTGGTGCCCTGATATAGAGTTATATTGGAAGAATGGAGCAATGAGTTTGGTGGTTGGGGTGGGGAAACAGGGAGGAAAGGAATGAAACAAACACTCGAGGGTAGAAGATGGTACCAGTCTGAGAATCAGGTGCCAGTTCTTTTCTACTGTGTGTCTAGTCACATTGGTGTAGACGTCCAGGCAGGAGGAGAAGCAAGTTGTAGGATCAGCTACATCTGGGCTTCCAAAGGTAATCTCAGGTGCCACCTCTCCTCCATACTTACTAGGAATCCCAGGCCCTTCCCTGAAGTGACACCATCCTGCATCCTTTGTACCCTGCTTTCCACTTCTTCTCACAGCCTTTCCCTCCCTCCCTCCTTCATTCTCCTGGCCAGGACCCACACTCACCCCACCTAACCTCTCTCTTTTGATCAGTCCCATAGTTTAGAAAAGAACAGAAATGCCAGCTGTGGTCAGGTGTTTTAAAAATTTATTCAGTGCTCTCTGGGCATGCATTTCAGGACAATAACATTGTTTCTGGTCTCAATGCACTTTCACCACATCTGATTTTCAACTATGTGAGTTAGGACACCTATATGGTCAATCAATCAACCAGGGAAAGAAACTAAGGTCCAGAGCCCTAAGGATGCTTGCCCAAATCACCCTGATTTTGGCAGAACAGGATCTTCCAAGGGCCTTAAGAGTCAGAGAAGACCGCAGCCCCTTGTGTTGTATTCTGCTGCATGCCGGGGAAACTGGATGGAAACGATTCAGATTCTTCCTGCATGAAAAGGACAACCTGTGTCCTTGGGAATCCTCCAGTGGCCCCAGTTGTTCCTGCTGGGTGTGACATCGATGCCCGAATCCAACCCTGTAAAATAGGGTGAAATTCAGATATTGCAAGTCATGAAAAATTTTCTCCTGATAGCAAAGTTGAAGGATAACAAAACTGAAGGAGGGAACATACCAAACAGAGGAGGAAGGAATATACAAAAAATAACAACAACAACAACATCAACCAACAACAAGAACAAAAAAAATACCAAGATATGGGATGTATGAAATCAGGCATCAACCCATGAAAAGGTGAAAGGGCAACAGGACCAGAAAGGAAGAGGGTCACCTGGGTGGGTGGACAGCAGAGGGGAAGCCATCTCCAAGAAGATGACCTTGACAACAGCCAACATAAGTTTAAAGGTATTGAGAAGACATTTACTCAACTAAGGAACAGTTGGTGAATTCATTTAAGGTTCATGGAAAGTAAGAAAATGAAAATACTAGGCAATGATCAAATCTTGAAAACTTCAGCATATGTGGAAAGAAAAACTAAGAGAGTTTACCATGTGGCTCAGGTCTGAGTAGCAGTCACGTAAGTCAGTAATTTTAACTCTGGCTCTCAATGCACTCAAAATCTCCACCTGCCTACACGAGGAGGATGAAAATGTGTGTGCTGGGGAAGGTACTATGGACAGAAGGGATATTGAAAAGTCAATACATAATATCTAAAATGGAAACATTTGAAGTGGCATAAATGTATATTATCAAGAGACATAAAGATAAAGAACAAAATATGAAGTAAAAGGCTTCCATGTGGTTGCTTGCCAGGAAGCTGGTGGCTAGGAAGGATTGAGAGAGAGTAGAGGGGAGACCATGTTTTGTAACAGGGGAAATGAAAGGGAAGCAGGTAGCACCTGGAGCCTGCCTCATGCAGAGAACAGGGTTCCACGCAGTGGTCCAGGATCTCAGGGATTTACTGTGGCTGAGGCCACCTGTCCCCAGGACAAGCCCTTGGCACTGAGTCTACTGAAATGTGAGGAGGGAGAAGAGGAGGCCTTCAGATATTTGACCTGAGCAGCCTGGCTTACTCTAGACTCTGTCTTGGCTCCTGGCCAGAGATTAATGTAGCAAATTGTCTCTAAATTCATCCAAGGGAGTGGAGTTCCTTCCCCTACTCCTTATCCCCTTCCACACCATCCTTTCTGGAAGTGTTATTGTGAACATGTTCTCGGATTTGTTTTTATCAGTGGAGAAACAGAAGACAGAAGAGCACTCACCCAGCAGAGCCAGAGGGAGGCAGTTCCAAAGACTCCAGTGGCCACCAGAGCCCACCAGGACCCAGGGCTGGAGGTGCACAGTGAGATCCTCAGCGCAGAGGGAGAAATCTCCTAAGAGTAGGAAGGAATAACAGAATTAGGAAGCGTTTCCTTACTTCACAGTGAGTGCAAACATGATGGGAAGGCATAGAGAAAAAGTAAGAAATTATAGGGAAACGTGCTTATTTAGGGGGAGGCGATACTGCGGGAGGGGTACACCAGACCCAGCACTGCCGTGGGGTAGGAGAAACAGGTATAACGCTTGACTAGAGAATGGATACTTGAGGATCAGTATAGTTACTAGATGAAGAGGACTACATACATTTTAAGGACATTGATGTACATTATAGTGTATCATTGGAAGTTAAGGGAAAAGAAAAGAAACTTCATAAATAAAAACAGGCTGCATGTGGTAAAATCAATAATCAGCCCTGGGACTTGTGTTTTCAAAACGCTTTATCCAGGTGTGACACCTCTGACATCCTGGATTCCCCACCCTCTAGCACCCAGTTCCCTCTCCTGTAATGAGACCAGGGTCAGGAGGAGAGATGGACAGATGGGCCCATGCTGAAGGCAGTCAGTCACCTGTGCCTGCAGATGAGAAACCGCCGCCTAACCTTTCTGAACCTCATGCGGAAAAAATGTTTGCACCACTAGCCTCCAGCACAGAGATTCCATCCCAGCTCAGTATTTAGTATTTAGAGATTTAGTATTTAGTATTTAGAGATTCCTAAATACCGAGGACTCTGCCCAGTCTGGTTTGACCATGCTCCTCCTTCCTCACACTGTGGGGCCCCAGCTTTCCCTCCCAATTCCACACCCCCAGATGCTGGTACCATGCTCAGGTTCATCGTGGACACCACTCCATCCGACATGGCAACACTTTTGATCCAGCCGCTTTGACAACCTCGTTCAGTCTCCTCTGGAGACAGCCACCCAGACCTTTGCTGATGAGCTGGGACTGAGGGGAAAAGGCCTGCGATCTCTGATGGGGTTGGCAATGGACACCAAAGTCGTCTTCTAAAGACCAAGTACGCTCTAACCACGGAAATCGTCTCTAACCACTGACTCCTCCAGAAAAGGAAGAAAGAAGCCTCTCTACACTAAGCTGAAACACTAAATACACTAAGTGTTGATTAAGTAGACTAGGTACACTAAGTGGTAAACTTGGTAAACTTAGAGCACTAAGTACACTAAGTACAATAAATGGTAAACTTGGTAAACTTAGAGCACTAAGTGCACTAAGTTCACTAAGTAATAATATTAGTACTAAGTGGTACACTAAGCTGAAACCGCAAACCGCAGCCATGGCAGAGGAACCTCAGCTTAAATAGTGTGGAGCGGCCACTGGTTTCCGCGGCTCGTAGTCGCGCCCGCGAGGAAACGCCAGGGAGGCTTCCTGCCCCGCCCAGCGGTGGCCCAGGGCACAGGGAACCACGGCTGCTTCTCTCCGAGGTTTGTGGCCTGAGAAACTCTCCGCTGCGAATCTGGGCTGGCCTCTCCGGGAAGCCTTGAAACTCAACTCCCGGGTGGGCCAGGAAGGCTGCCCGACTTGGGCAGCGCCGGCCGGAGCCTTCTTCAAAGCCGAGCTGTTCGCCGCCCTCGAGGCCCAGGCGAGCCTGGAGGAGGGACCGGGTGCGCTCAGATGGGGCCCTTGGTGACTGGCGACCCCATGAGCACCCACCCTCCAGCCTGGGGCGGGATGGCCCAATCGGGCGCTGTGGGGGTCCGTTTGGAAACCGCTCTCTGCTTTGAGGATACGCGGGGAGCTTCCCTGGAAGCTGTGAAGAGGGGCAGACACGAGGCCTCTGGCCAGCCGCGCCTCGGGTCCAGGCCTCCCTGTGTCCACATCTGGTCTCCCGGCTTTTCACAACAGTGACCTTGACAGCGCCCAGAGTCCGCTGCTTCCGTCCAGTCCGCTCTTCCCCTACGTGGCCAAGAGGACGCAGCACTGGCGGCTTCAGGAGGTGGCTGTGAGCGCGGGGCTGGGGCCAAGAGCAGAGGACCAGAGAGGAGTCTCCAAGCCACCACCGGCCCCGTCACCGGCTACCGGCTAGGTCAGGCCCCAGATTCGGGTTTGCCCAGCGGGCGCTCGGCGTCCACGCTCCCTCTCCACCTTCTTGCCTCTCTAAGGAGGACCTGGCCCACTAGGAAGCCCGGGGCGTTCTGTGAACTGGGTGGTCAAACACGGTGTGTGGGGAAGGGGCCAATTGAGATTAGACGTGAAAAACCGCGAACCTGGGGACCGCAGGGTTGGGGCCCAGGAGGGGCCCGAAGCTTCCATCTAAGACAGGTGACTAAGTGAGGGGCACAGGTGCAACAGAAAGAAAGACTGATTTGCAATTGACTTGTAGGTGTAATCGGTTTTAGTCCCTATTTGACCACCAGAGGTCTGCAGCTCTATCCTTGGTGAGTTCTGAAGGCCCCTGGGGAGAGCTGAGCCCAAGAGACTTTTTAATTCCACAGAAGAACTTCGCCTGAGGCAGGTCTCCTCTGTGCCCAGGGAAGGAAGGCTGGACGTGATGGTTTCTGAAAAAAGTTACACAGAGAAAAGGTCAAGTCCATTTTTGCTATCCTGTACTGAACACAGATCAATTAACTGGTCCCAGGATTGATAGCAACAGGCCTATAACTGGTCTCCTGGTTCCTATCCAGCCCTTCCCCCATAAAGGCAGAATCCTGTCCTCTTGGAACAGTGAATCCCCAGCAGAGGACCTCAGCTCCCAAGCTCCATTCAGCCTGGGCTCCCTGGAACCTGCTACCCTGCCCAGGAGCTGTCAACACCTGGAGTGCAGTGCAGGAAGAATGCAGGGGCGCTTGATGGGGAGGTGAGTGAGTGCAGATGGGGTTCCTGGAACTCCTTGGGCCCTTGGGGTAGCTCCCACTCAGGCTGTCCTGCAGGTCCTCACAAGGCCCACTACTGAGCAGGAAGAATGTCCCCAGGAGAGGCAAGAGGTGGGGCAAGGGCGAGTATGGGGTCCCTTGCATTTGCGGCAAAATGGAGAGGGAGATGAGAGGCAAGGAGTACTGGCCCTCACATGGAAACCTATAGCACACTGCCCAAAGGGAATGGGAAGGGAAACACAGCCACGCACGTCCACAGAAGACTTGGCAGATGGGAGAGGGTAGCTTTGAGGACTGAAATCCCTACTTCACAGGACTCTGGATACTTGGACACTTGCTTCCTCCTGTGCTTCTGTACGAATCTCAGGACTGTGGGACACTCTCTGCACTCTTATTCTTGTAATTCTCTTCTCTCCGGATGGCCTCCTTTCCCTTGGAGTGCAGCAGTGGCCATCAGATTCTTGGGCTGAAGGTCACTGGGTGACTGTGGGATTCTGGGGCCAGTTACTTCCCTTTCTTAGCCACCCCATGCTTTACAGAACTGAACTCCACAGTCATACTCATCTCTCCCAGTGAAGCTCAAAGGAATTATTAATAAAAAACACAAAAACATAAATGGAATGATGTTTATGGAACCAATTGATTAACGTGGAAAAGTATGGGCTTCCCAGTTTTCTGCCCTTCGTGAGAACTTAATCCTGAAACACTGATCTCATGTCAACCTTCTGCCTTAACTGGGAATTCCTGTGGCCAGTCTGTTCTAAGGGTATCCCGTGAGCCCCTAGGGATGGAGAACAGAAGGCCACTTTTCCTAAACACACACGTGGTTCTGTCCTGGCCAGATCAGTGGACTTCCAGTGTCCTTCCTGAGTCACACCGAGGTGAATTGCATAGACCAGAAACCCACATTTTAAAAAGAATAAAATAAAATAAGTGGCCTGTAGTGTGGGGGCTGGGGTTGGTGCGGGCTTCCGGCTTGGCCGCGGGTGTCTGCATCGTTCAGCCCCGGGGCTTTTGTGTCGGGTCTGGCCTGGCTTTCTGTCCGCAAGTTTTTGCCCTGCTCCGCGGCGCTCCTCCGGGGCGGGAGCCGCGAGGCCCGGGCGAGCTCGGGCGGGACCGGAGGCTGCGAAGGCTGCCGGGAGCGGGACTCGCAGCTCCTGGATATGCCAGCGTTCCTGGAAGACTCCTGGGTCCTGACGAAAGACAAGTTGATGAGTGAGTTGGTCGCCATTAAAGTGAGGCTCCCGGCCCGGAGCAGCGCAGAGACCAGGACGCGCAGCCTCGCCTGCAGCACTCGGCCCTACCTCTACCCCGCCGCTACCTCTACCCCGCCGCGGCGCCGACAGCGAGGGCCCCGCCTCCCCCAGCTGGCTCCAGAGCCAAGCCACCCACAGCAGGAAAGCCACGAAGAAAACAGTTCAACTCAGACCAAAAGATAAAGCTGATCTCGAGGTAACCGCGCTCACTAATGAAGATCTCGTGGACCCGCTTGCGAGGTATAAAGAGAAACCTAGTCCTACTGGAGAACAACCAGGAAGCGATGTGAGAAAAAAACCTTGAAACCGAAGGAACGAGGACGATCTGTCGCCCAGGCTGGCGTGCAGTGGCGCGATCTCGGCTCTCGGCTCACTGCGGCCTCCGCCTCCCGGGTTCAAGAGATTCTCGTGCCTCAGACTCCTGAGTGGCTAGAACCACAGGCATGCGCCACCTCGCCTGGCTACATTTTTTTTTTTTTTTTTTTTTTTTTTTTTTTTTTTTTTTTTTGTATTTTTGGTAGGGACGGGCTTTCCCCGTGTTGTCCAGGCTGGTCTCCAACTCCTGAGCTCAAGGGATCTGCCCATCTCGGCGGATTAACAATTTAATCTTCAGCAGAAAATGGAAGGCAGAATTGAAATAAAGGTTCTAATAGATACTGTGACAATGAAGAAGACTAGAGTAAAGATCAAGCTTGAGAAGACAGAACCACTAAAGGGCAGAGCAAAGACTCCAGTAACACTGAAGAAAAGAAGACTTGAGATAGTCAGAGCTATTCTCACGCTGGAATAACTGAGGCTGAACGCACAAGTGGAGCTTCAGAAGGCGGAGCTCTGCAGGCCTGGAGTAGGGAGTCTACCAGAGACCGGAGGAGAAGGCCAAGGAAGAGGGTGGAAACCAGAACATTTTCCAATAGACAGTGCAGTAATTTCAGAGAGTGCTCCCACAGCTGAAACTCTAATGGCTTCAGGACACAAAACCTTCGTTGTCAGTAGGATGACTGGAAATTTCAAGCATGCAGCTCCTATTCTGCAACTCAGTAAATTTTCAAACATACCCCAAACTCCAAAGAGACCACTGGGGTTGGGGGGGAACAGAATAAAGAAGAGTAGAAAGGGATATTCTTAAGGAAATGTTGCCCTATGAAGCATCTACACCAACAGGAATTGCTGCAGACCAGTCAAAGGGGCTACAGGCAGGCCATTAGAACTCACTGAGTTCAGGATGGCAGAATCTTTTTCATCTAAATATGTTCCTAAGTGTGTTCCCTTGGCAGATGTCAAGTCAGAAAAGACAAAAAAAGAATGAGCCATTTCTGTATGGACAAAAATTTTGCTGTTTGTTGTTGTAGTAGGTTTTGTTTGTTTGTTTTTTGGTCTATCAAGCTATAGAAACCAAACAAGGAAATCTTTTCTCTAACGTTCTTCCTGATGACTCTAGAAACCCAACTGAATGGAATCCATCTGGCACATTCAAGTTGGCCTCCTATTTTTAATAACTGTATTGAAAAACACTTGTGTACCCTTGTTGACTTAAATAGCTAAAAAAAAAAAAACAGGTGATTTCACCTCAATAAATGTAGTATTCCATGAAAAGCAAACAAAATATATATAAATGAACTTCATTAGAGTGTTTTTGAACTCTGGACTAGCAGGAGATCACTTCATGCCATATGAAAATCTTTTATAGCTCTGAAACTTTTTTGTAGGCTTTTTAAAATTTTTTCTTCTCATTGTCCAAACCCATGCAGGGTTTCTTTAAAATGTGGACACCTGGTTTCCTTTTTGAAAAATGAGATATATATATATATATATATATATACATATATATATACACACACACACACACATATATATACATATATACACATATATATACATATATACACACATATATATACATATATACACACATATACATATATACACATATATACATATATACACATATATACATATATACATATATACACATATACATATATACACATATATACATATATACATATATATACATATATACATATATACGTATATATACGTATATATACATATATATACATATATATACGTATATATATGAAACAAGAAGGGAAAAACATGGTAATATAGTATGAAGTTACACATTTAAATACTTTGAATTCTTACAGAAAAGAGTGGAAGAATTATCTTCTACTGAATAAAAACTTTACAGACATGGAAGACAATGAAATTTGGTAAGAGAAAAAGTAACATGGTTGTACTTTTTGTAACTGCAACGAAATTTGATGGTGTTTATGAGGAAAACTACAGCAATAATCTCTTCTGTAACTTTTATTAATAGTAATGTTAGACTCAGAAATGGTGGCCTCCATGTTCTTCCGCCCGCTGTTGGTGGCCGCCACCCTTCGGACCACACTGCGGGCTGCTGCTCAGGTTCTGGGAAGTTCTGGATTGTTTAATAACCATGGACTCCAAGTACAGCAGCAACAGCAAAGGAATCTCTCACTACATGAATACATGAGTATGGAATTATTGCAAGAAACTGGTGTCTCTGTTCCCAAAGGATATGTGGCAAAGTGACCAGATGAAGCTTATGCAATTGCCAAAAAATTAGGTTCAAAAGATGTTGTGATGAAGGCACAGGTTTTAGCTGGTGGTAGAGGAAAAGGAACATTTGAAAGTGGCCTCAAAGGAGGAGTGAAGATGGTTTTCTCTCCAGAAGAAGCAAAAGCTGTTCCTTCACAAATGATTAGGAAACAGTTGTTTACCAAGCAAATGGGAGAAAAGGGCAGAATATGCAATCAGGTATTGGTCTGTGAGTGAAAATATCCCAAGAGAGAGTGCTACTTTGCAATAACAATGGAAAGGTCATTTCAAGGTCTTGTATTAATAGGAAGTTTACATAGTGGGGCCAACATTGAAGATGTTGCTGCTGAGACTCCTGAAGCAATAATTAAAGTACCTATTGATATTGTAGAAGGTATCAAAGAGGAATAAGCTCTCCAGCTTGCACAGAAGATGGGATTTCCATCTAATATTGTGGCTTCAGCAGCAGAAAACATGATCAAGCTTTACAGCCTTTTTCTGAAATACGATGCAACCATGATAGAAATAAATTCAATGGTGGAAGATTCAGATGGAGCTGCATTGTGTAAGGATGCAAAGATCAATTTTGACTCTAATTCAGCCTATCGCCAAAAGAAAATGTTTGATCTACAGGACTGGACCCAGGAAGATGAAAGGAACAAAGATGCTGCTAAGGCAGATCTCAACTACACTGGCCTCGATGGAAGTATAGGCTGCCTAGTAAATGGTGCTGGTTTGGCTATGGCCACAATGGATATAATAAAACTTCATGGAGAGACTCCAGCTAATTTCCTTGTTGGTGGTGGTGCTACAGTCCATCAAGTAACAGAAGCATTTAAGCCTATCACTTCAGATAAAAAGGTACTGGCTATTCTGGTCAACATTTGTGGAGGAATCATGCACTGTGATATTACAGCAAAGGGTATAGTCATGGCAGTAAAAAGTTTGGAAATTAAAATACCTGTTGTGGTACAGTTACAAGGTACACAAGTTGATGATGTTAAGGCACTAAAAGCAGACAGTGGACTTAAAATACTTGCTTGTGATGATTTGGTGGAAGCTGCTAGAGTGCTTGTAAAGCTCTCTGAAATAGTGAAGCAAAGCAAGCGCATGTGGATGTGAAATTTCAATTGCCAATATGATCTGAAAACCCAGTGATGGCTGAAGGTGTTAAATGTGCTACAATCATTAAGGATACTGTGTTCTGTGTTATTGTTCTTTTAAGTGTGTGGAGATTGTAGTTGCCATCTAGGCACACAAACATTTAAAAGCATTTGGTTTGCATTTAATTCTACCATTCAGAATGGACTGTTTGTAAGAAGCATGTATAATGCAAATATCTTCTTTATTTCGTCACAGCCAGTCTTTTTTGCTTCTACAAAATGCAACTTGCAATATGACAGTTTATTATTGTTGGATACAAAGTTCTTCATTGATAAGAGACCTACAAATAAAATAAATATGAAGATAAAGCTTTATTCTTCAGTGTTAACATACAGTATATCTAATAACTAGCCTCATTAGTAGACCAGTATATTAAAACACTGTTTTATGTAAAAAGTGTTTATCTTCAGCACCAAATACATAATAAATGTAACAATCACTATTTATAAACAGAGCTTTCAAACACTCCTCAGAAAATCAAAATACTTCTAAGTATTTTGATGAAGTAACTTTGTAATTATGTGAACATTGTTTTAATCATTAGGAAACGCTGATAACTGCAAGAATTCATGATTCCATGGTATTAAGAAGCACCTGTAGGTTTGTTTCAAATAGAGGCATATTAACCAAGGGAAAAAAATAGTAATGTTATTATTGTAGCCCTATCATATTCACTTTTTAAACGACTGGCTTTTAAAAGTATCATGAAAGTCCTACTTCAGTAAAACCCATTTAAGTACAGTTGATGTTTAGCAGGGATCTTTTAGTGCAGCATAAACATGCTTTAGAGAACTGTTGGCTGGCTGTACATGTTTTTAAAAGCTGTTAGCTAGCTATGAGGCTACAGCTGAAAATTACACTTTTTATGAGAAATTGTAAACACTGGTCTTATGTTTCATCTGGATTCCTTATTGCATCATCTTCTGTTAACAAAAACAAATTTTCCCAGTTTTTTTGCCTTGTATTTCCCAGCACAATTTCATTTAAAAGTACAAAAAGTGTTTGCTCTCAAATTGCATCATAAGCAAGTGTTAATACTCTGGGCTTTTTTATGTTTGTTTGTTTGTTTGTTTTTTGAGATGGAGTCTCGCTCTATTGCCCAGGCTGGAGTGCAGTGGTGCTATCTCGGCTCACTGCAAGCTCGGCCTCCCGGGTTCACGCCATTCTCCTGACTCAGCCTCCCAAGTAGCTGGGACTACAGGCGCCCGCCACTACGCCCGGCTAATTTTTTGTATTTTTAGTAGAGACGGGGTTTCACCGTTTTAGCCGGGATGGTCTCGATCTCCTGACCTCGTGATCCGCCCGCCTCGGCCTCCCAAAGTGCTGGGATTACAGGCGTGAGCCACCGCGCCCGGCCTGAAGGACACCCTTAGAGAAGTGCAAAATACTATGGCAGGTTTCAACAATAGAATCAAACAACTAGAAGAAAGAACTTCAGAGCTCTAAGACAAGGCTTTCAAATTAACTCTGACAAAAACAAAGAAAAAAGAATCAAATGAACAAAGCCTCCAAGAAGTTTGGGATCATGTTAAATGACCAAACTTAAGAATAATTGATGTTCCTGAGGAAGAAGAGAAATCTGCAAGTTTGAAAATTTTATTTGAGGGAATAATTGAGGAAAACTTCCCTGGCCTTGCTACAGATTTGGACATTCAAATACAAGAAGCTCAAAGAACACCTGGGAAATTCATCTCAAAAAGATCATCACCTAGACACATAGTCATCAGGTTATCTAGGGTCAAGATGAAGGAAAGAATCTTAAGAGTTGTGAGGCAAAGGCATCAAGTAACCTGTAAAGGAAAACCTATCGGATTAACAGCAGATTTATCAGCAGAAACCCTACAAGCTAGAAGGGATTGGGGTCCAATCTTTAGACACTTAAACAAAATAATTATCAACCCAGAATTTTGTATCCAGTAAAAGTGATGAAGGAAAAGATAAAGTATTTTTCTTTTTTTTTTTTTTTGGGACAGAGTCTTGCTGTCACCCAGGCTGGGGTGCAGTGGCACAATCTCAGCTCACTGCAAGCTCCGCCTCCTGGGTTCATGCCATTCTCCTGCCTCAGCCTCCCAAGTAACTGGGACTGCAGGCGCCCACCACCACGCCCAGCTAATTTTTTGTATTTTTAGTAGAGATGGGGTTTCATCATGTTAGCCAGGATGCTCTCCATCTCCTGACCTCATGATCCGCCTGCCTCAGCCTCCCAAAGTGCTAGGATTACAGGCATGAGCCACTGTGCCCAGCGGAAAGATAAAGTATTTTTCATACAAACAAATGCTGAGAGAATTTGCCACTAACAAGCCAGCACTATAAGAACTACTAAAAGATGTTCTAAATCTTGAACCAAAATCTTGAAATATACCAAAATGTGACCTGCTTAAAGCATAAATCTCACAGGGCCTATAAAATAATCACACTACAAAAAAAAAAAAAAAGGTATTTAGGCAACAACTAGCATAATGAATAGAATAGTACCTCACATCTCAATACTAACACTCAATGTAAATGGCCTAAATGCTCCACTTGAAAGATATGGAATTGCAAAATGGATAAGAATTCCCCAACTAAGTATTTGCTGTCTTCAAGAGACTCACCTAACACATAAGGACACATACAAACTTAAGATAAAGTGATGGAAAAAGATGTTCCATGCAAATGGGCACCAAAAGCAAACAGGAGTAGCTATTCTTCTATCAGAAAAAATAGACTTTAAAGCAACAACAGTTTAAAAAGACAAAGAGGGACATTATATAATGACAAAAGGACTAGTCTGACAGGAAAATATCACAATCCTAAATATATGTGCACCTAATACTGGAGCTCCTAAATTTATAAAACAATTACTACTAGACTTAAGAAATGAGATAGATGGCAACACAACAATAGTGGGGGATGTTAATACTCTACTGACAGCACTAGACAGGTCATCAAGATAGAAAGTCAACAAAGAAACAATGGACTTAAACTCTACCCTAGAACAAATGGATTTAACAGATATTTATAGAACACTCCACCCAACAACTGCAGAATGTACATTCTATTCATTAGCACATGGAACATTCTCCAAGATAAATCATATGATAGGCCACAAAACAAGTCTTAACAAATTTGAGAAAATTGAAATTATGTCAGGTACTCTCTCAGACCACAGTGAAATAAAATTGGAAATCAACACCAAAAGGAGCCCTCAAAACCATGCACATACGTGGAAATTAAGTAACCTGCTCCTGAATGATCAATGGATCAACAATACAATCAAGATGGAAATACAAAAATTCTTTGAACTGGCCTGTGTGGTGGCTCAATCCTGTAATCCCCACACTTTGGGAGGCCAAGGTGGGTGGATCACCTGAGGTCAGGGATTTGAGAGCAGCCTGACTGATATGGTGAAACCTTGTCTATACTAAAAATACAAAAATTAGCTTGGTGTGGTGGTGGGTACCTGTAGTCCCAGCTACTCAGGAGGCTGAGACAGGAGAATTGCTTTGCTTGAACCCGGGAGGTAGAGATTGCAGTGAGGCGAGATGGTGCCACTGCACTCTAGCCTGGGTGACAGAGCAAGACTCTGTCTCCAAAAAAAAAAAAAAAAAAATTCCTTGAACTGAATGATTATAGTGACCGAACCTATCAAAACCTCTGGGATACAGAAAAAGCAGTGCTAAGAGGAAAGTTCATAGCATTAAATGCCTACATCAAAAAGTCTGAAAGAGCACAAATAAACAATCTAGGGTCGCACCTCCAGGAACTAGAGAAACAAGAACAAACCAAACCCAAATGAGCAGAAGAAAAAAAAATAACCTAGATCGGAGCAAAACTAAATGAAATTGAAACAAAAAATTACAAAAGATAAATGAAACAAAAAGCTGGTTGTTTGAAAAGATAAATCAAATTGATAGACAATTAGTAAGATTAACCAAGAAAAGAAGGAAGAAGATTCAAATAAGCTCAATTAGAAACAAAACAGAAGATATTACAACCAATACCACAGAAATACAAAAGATCATTCAAGGCTACTATGAACACCTTTATGCACATAAACTAGAAAACCTAGAGGACATGGATAAATTCCTGAAAATATACAACCCTCCTAGATTAAACCAGGAAGAAATGGAAACCCTGAACAGGCCAATAACAAGCAGTGAGATTGAAATGGTAATTTAGGCTCTACCTCTCCCCCTCCCCCTCCCCCTCCCCCTCCCTCTCCCTCTCCCCACAGTCTCCCTCTCCCTCTCTTTCCACGGTCTCCCTCTGATGCCAAGCCGAAGCTGGACTGTACTGCTGCCATCTCGGCTCACTGCAACCTCCCTGCCTGATTCTCCTGCCTCAGCCTGCCGAGTGCCTGCAATTGCAGGCGCGCGCCGCCACGCCTGACTAGTTTTCGTATTTTTTTGGTGGAGACGGGGTTTCGCTGTGTTGGCCGGGCTGGTCTCCAGCTCCTAACCGCGAGTGATCTGCCAGCCTCGGCCTCCCAAGGTGCCAGGATTGCAGACAGAGTCTCGTTCACTCAGTGCTCAATGGTGCCCAGGCTGGAGTGCAGTGGCGTGATCTCGGCTCGCTACAACCTCCACCTCCCAGCCGCCTGCCCTGGCCTCCCAAAGTGCTGAGATTGCAGCCTCTGCCCGGCCGCCACCCCATCTGGGAAGTGAGGAGTGTCTCTGCCTGGCCGTCCATCGTCTGGGATGTGAGGAGCCCCTCTGCCTGGCTGCCCAGTCTGGAAAGTGAGGAGCGTCTCTGCCCGGCCGCCATCCCATCTAGGAAGCGAGGAGCGCCTCTTCCCGGCCTCCATCCCCATCTAGGAAGTGAGGAGCGTCTCTGCCCGGCTGCCCATCGTCTGAGATGTGGGGAGCACCTCTGCCCCGCCGCCCCGTCTGGGATGTGAGGAGCGCCTCTGCCCTGCCGCGACCCCGTCTGGGAGGTGAGGAGCGTCTCTGCCCGGCCGCCCCGTCTGAGAAGTGAGGAGACCCTCTGCCTGGCAGCCGCCCCGTCTGGGAAGTGAGGAGCGTCTCCGCCCGGCAGCCACCCTGTCTGGGAGGGAGGTGGGGGTCAGCCCCCGCCAGGCCAGCCGCCCCATCCAGGAGGGAGGTGGGGGTGTCAGCCCCCCGCCCGGCCAGCCGCCCCCTCCGGGAGGGAGGTGAGGGGCTCCTCTGCCTGGCCGCCCCTAATGGGAAGTGAGGAGTCCCTCTGCCCGGCCACCACCCCGTCTGGGAGGTGTACCCAACAGCTCATTGAGAACGGGCCAGGATGACAATCGCGGTTTTGTGGAATAGAAAGAGGGGAAAGGTGGGGAAAAGATTGAGAAATCGGATGGTTGCCGTGTCTGTGTAGAAAGAAGTAGACATGGGAGACTTTTCATTTTGTTCTGTACTAAGAAAAATTCTTCTGCCTTGGGATCCTGTTGATCTGTGACCTTACCCCCAACCCTGTGCTCTCTGAAACATGTGCTGTGTCCACTCAGGGTTAAATGGATTAAGGGTGGTGCAAGATGTGCTTCGTTAAACAGATGCTTGAAGGCAGCATGCTCGTTAAGAGTCATCACCACTCCCTAATCTCAAGTACCCAGGGACACAAACACTGCGGAAGGCCGCAGAGTCCTCTGCCTAGGAAAACCAGAGACCTTTGTTCACTTGTTTATCTGCTGACCTTCCCTCCACTATTGTCCTATGACCCTGCCAAATCCCCCTCTGTGAGAAATACCCAAGAATGATCAATAAAAAAAAAAAAAAAAATGGTAATTTAAAAAATTACCGGCCGGGCGCAGTGGCTCACGCCTGTAGTCCCAGCACTTTGGGAGGCCTAGGCGGGCAGATCACCTGAGGTCGGGAGTTTGAGACCAGCCTGACCAACATGGAGAAACTCCGTCTCTTCTAAAAATACAAAAAAATTAGCCAGGGGTGGTGGTACATGCCTGGAATCCCAGCTACTCGGGAGGCTGAGGCAGGAGAATCACTTGAACCCAGGAAGTGGAGGTTGCAGTGAGCAGAGACCGTGCTATTGCACTCCAGCCTGGGCGACAAGAGTGAAACTCCACCTCAAAGAAAAAAAAAAAGGTACCAACAACAAAAAAAAGCCCAGAACCAGATGGATGCACAGCGGAATTCTATCAGACATTCAAAAAATGGTACCTATACCACTGACACTATTCCAAAAGGTAGAGAAAGAGGGAATCCCCTCTAAATCATTCTATGAAACCAGTATCACCCTAATACCAAAACCAGGAGAGGACATAACAAAAAAAAAACAAAACTACAGGCCAATATACCTAATGAGCATAGATGCAAAAATCCTCAAAACATACTAGTGGCCGGGCGTGGTGGCTCACACCTGTAATCCCAGCACTTTGGGAGGCCAAGGTGGGCTGATCACTTGAGGCCAGGAGTTCAAGACCAGCCTGACCAACATGGAGAAACCCCATCTCTACTAAAAATACAAAATTAGCTGGGCGTAGTGGTGCATGCCTGTAGTCCCAGCTACTTGGGAGGCTGAGGCAGGAGAATCGCTTGAGCCCAAGAGGCGGAGGTTGGGGTGAGCCGAGATCTCGCCATTGCATTCCAGCCTGGGCAACAAGAGCGAAACTCCGTCTGGAAAAAAAAAAAAATGCTAGCTAACAGAATCCAACAGCATATCAAAACAATAATCCACCATGATCAAGTGGGTTTCCTACCAGATATGCAAGGATGGTTTAACATATGAAAGTCAATAAATGTAATACACCACATAAACAGAATTAAAAACAAAAATCACATGATCATCTCAATAGATGCAGAAAAATCATTTCACAAAATCCAGCATCCCTTTATGATTAAAACCCTCAGCAGGGTTGGGCATGGTGGCTAACGCCTTTAATCCCAGCACTTTGGAAGACTGAGGGGGGTGGATCACGAGGTCAGGAGATCAAGACCATACTGGCTAACGTGGTGAAACCCCGTCTCTACAAAAAAAATACAAAAAATTAGCCGGGCGTGGTGGTGGGCGCCTCTAGTCTCAGCTACTTGGGAGGCTGAGGCAGGAGAATGGCGTGAACCCAGGAGGCGGGTGAGCGGAGATCGTGCCACTGCATCCAGCCTGGGCCACAGAGCGAGACTCCATCTCAAAAAAAAAAAAAAAAAAAACCCTCAGCAAAATCAGCATAGAAGGGACATACCTTAAGGAAATAAAAGGCATCTATGACAAACCCAGAGCCAACATTATACTGAACGGGGGAAAGTTGAAACCATTCCCGCTGAGAACTGGGACAAGTCAAGGATTCCCACTTTCACCACTTCTATTCAACATAGTACTGGAAGTCCTAACCAGAGCAATCAGACAAGAGAAAGAAATAAAGTGCATCTAAATTGGTCATAAGGAAGTCAAACTGTCGTTGTTTGCTGATGACATGATTGTATACCTAGAAAACCCTAAGGACTCATCCAAAAGTCTCCTAGAATGGGTGAACAAATTCAGCAGTTTCACGATACAAAATTATTGTACAAAATCAGTAGCTCTGCTATACACCAACAGCCACCAAGCTGAGAATCAAATCAAGAACTCAACCCCTTTTACTTTAGCTGTGACAAAAATAAAGTACCTAGGAATATACTTAACCAAGGAGGTGAAAGATCTCTACAAGGAAAACTACAAAACACTGCTGAAAGTAATCACAGATGACACAGACAAATGGAAACACATCCCATGCTCATGAATGGGTTGAATCAATATTGTGAAAATGACCATACTGCCAAAAAAAAACTACAAATTCAATGCAATTTTCATCAAAATACCATCATCATTCTTCACAGAACTAGAAAAAATAATCCTAAAATTCATATGGAACAAAAAAAGACCCTGCATAGCCAAAGTAAGACTAACCAAAAAGAACAAATCTGGAGGCATTACATTACCCAACTTCAAACTATACTATAAGGCTGCAGTCACCAAAACAGCATGGTACTGGTATAAAAATAGGCCTATAGACCAATGGAACAGAATAGAGGACCCAGAAATAAAACCAAGTACTTATAGTCAACCGAACTTCAACAAAGCAAACAAAAACATAAACTGGGGAGAGGACACCGTATTCAACAAATGGTCCTGGGTTAATTGGCAGGCCATATATAGAAGAATGAAACCGGATTCTCTTCTCTCATCCTATACAAAAATCAACTCAAGGTGGATCAAAGACTTAAATCTAAGACATGAAACCATAAAAATTTTAAAAGACAACATAAAAAAATAACCTTCTAGACATTGCCTTAGGCAAAGACTTCATGACCAGGAACCCAAAAGCAAATGCAACAAAAACAAAGATAAATAGATGGGATTTAATTAGACTAAAAGCCTCTGCACAGCAAAGAAACAATCAGCAGGGTAAACAGACAACACACAGAGTGAAAGAAAATCTTTGATCTACACATCCGACAAAGGACTAATATCCAAAATCTACAAAGAATTCAAACAAATCAGAAAGAACAAAACAAACAATCCCATCAAAAAACGCACTAAGGACATGAATAGAAAATTCTCAAAAGAAATATACAAATAGCCAACAAACATATGAAAAAAAATGCCCAACATCACTAATGATCAGGGAAAGGCAAATCAAAACCACAATGCAATAACACCTCACTCCTGCAAGAATGACCATAATCAAAATACCAAAAAAAAAATAGATGTTGGCATGGATGTGACGAAAAGGGAACACTTTTACACTGCTGGTGGGAATGTAAACTAGTACAACAATTACGGAAAACAGTATGGAGAATCCTTAAATAACTAAAAGTAGATCTACTGTTTGATCCATCAATCCCACCATTGGATATCTACCCAGAGGAAAAGAAGTCATTATACAAAGAAGATGCCTGCATATACATGTTAATAACAGCACAATTTGCAATTGCAAAAATATGGAACCAGCCCAAATGCCCATAAATCATCGAAAGGATAAAGAAAATGATGTATATGTATACCGTGGAATACTATTGAGCCATAAAAAGGAATGAAATAATGGCATTCGCAGCAACCTGGATGGAAATGGAGACCATTATTCTAAGTGAAGTAACTCAGGAATGGAAAACCAAACATGGTATGTCCTCACTCATAAATGGTAGCTAAGCTATGAGGATGCAAAGGCATAAGAATGATAAAATGGACTTTGAGGACTCAGGGGAAGAGGGGTAGGGAGGTGAGAGATAAAAGACTACACATTGGGTACTTTGTATGCTGCTCAAGTGATGGGTGCACCAAAATCTCAGAAATCAACACTGAAGAACTTATTCATGTAACCAAACACCACCTGTTCTCCCAAAAACCTATTGAAATAAAAAAAAATAAAAAACAAAACAACCCCACCCCCAAAAAAAGAAATAAAGAAGACATAAATAAGGGCGGAGAAATACTATGTTCAAAGATTGGAATATTCAGTATTGTTGAGGTACCAAGTCTCCCACAACTGACCTGTGGATTAAGTGCAATTCCAATCAAAATCATGGCAGGGCTGAACCTAAAAGTTTAAAAAAATAAAAAATAAAAATAAATCCTGGCAGGTTTTTTTTAAAAAGAAATTACCAAGCTGATTTGTCAATTTATATGGAAATCTGAAGGACTTTGAATATCCACAATAATTTTTAAAAAGAAGAAACTTGGAAAATACACACTACCTGATTACAAGACTTACTATAAAGCTCCAGGAATCAAGGTTGTGTTACTGGCATAAGGATAGCCATGAATCGGTGGAATAGAATAAAGAGTAGATGAATAAAACCACACATATATGTCTCTGAAAAATGCTTTAAGGGGAAAGGATAGTGTTTTCAACAAATGGTGCTGGAAAAAAAAATGACAAGAAATAAGAGGAACACCATATCCAAAAACTCATTTGATATAAATCATAGATATAAACATAAGAGCTAAAGTTGCCAGCCTTCTAAAACAGTGCTACGCAATAGGCTATAATATGAGTCACAAATGTGAGCCACATCGGTAATCTTTAATTTTCTGGTAGCCACATTTTAAAAAGTAAAAAGTAATCAATGAAATTATTTTTAACAATGTTTTATTTAACCCAATACATCCAAAATATAATTTTAGCATGGAATCAGTATAAAAGATTATTGGCATATTTAACATTTTTTTCTCATACTTAGTCTTTCTTGAAATTATTCCTTAGAGCCTCCAGGGCTTAGAAATTCCTTAATTTTACATCCTGCCATGTCAAGATTTCTTCCAGTTCCGGGGATTCTAGGATTTGCAGAAGACATCAGTACCACTTACATTTCCAACTCTGGGTCCCGGAAAGAAAGAGTACAGAGACACAGTCGAGGCTGGCACCCACCTTAGCCTCCTCCTCTCCCAGCCTTCCTCCACACACCAGGCAACTCACCCTGCCGGCAAGCTCGGGGTTTCATGAAGTGCCAGGCACTGGTGGGAAGTGGTCAGGAGATAACACAAACCCTGATCTCCGCAACCAGCCTCAGGAAGTCCTTCTGAAACCTACCCAGCCCCATTCCTGCCGCAGCCTGGGTGCTTTCCCCGGCGGAGCCACACGTCTGCAGAGGGTGATTCTAGAACACCCTTCCTCCCAATAACCCAGGGCTTCCTCCTTCATCTGCTTCAGGACTCAGCTCGCATGGCACCTCTCGGGAAATCTCACTCTCATGATAATAACTTCAAATTGCACCTGGCTCCTTTCATCTTCCGTGCCTTGCTTTTCTCTTAATCATCCTTTATTTTCGGACACCCCTGTAGTTGACTTCAGTGACTTTTTATTGGCCACGTCTTTCAACCGAAGGTAAATTCCTTGAGAGCCATGATTTGTGCCTGTTTGGATTTGACCCAAGCGCCTAGAATAGCGCCTGACGAAAAGTAGATGCTCAACCAACAGTTAGGGGCTGAATAAATCTAGAGACCAGAACCTCTTAAAGTTGAGTCTGGGGCTGACAGGTCGGTATTTTCCCAATATATGATTTTTGAGGTCCACAGGGGAGCGGTGGGGAGAGGCTTACCCAGGGTGGTGAGCGCAGCCTCAGTGGCAGAAATCCCCGTGCGCCCCCTCCTGCCGCAGAGGAAGACAGACCCCTACGGAGCCTCCAGGGCGCAGTCTCCAGGGCGGAGTCCCGGGGCGCTTCGGGCAGGGAGTCTGGGCCAAAGCGCCAAAATCCGCCGCTGTCGCTCAGCTGCAGCACGTTTCGCGCTGGGGAGCCTCTCCTGGTGGGCGACCGTCATGGACAATCGACAAGACCAGAAATTAGATTTGAGTCCAGAATCAAGGACCTTTAAGCAGGGATTGGAGATGGCAGGGGGCCAGGATTAAGGGATATAGACAGCAGGTCCTGTCTGCTTAGGTTGCAAATGGGAAGAAGAGGCCGGATGCCAGGGTCCTGGACTCTCAGGGTTCGGGTGGGGCCAGAATCCTGGACTCTCAAGGCTGGGGAGGGGCCGCCCTCCAGGATCCAATAGGGTATAGGTTCAGATGCCTGGGTCCTGGAGGTCCGGGTAGTGGCGGAGGAACCGCCCTCGGGTTCCCGATGGATTGGGGACAAATGCTCAGCCCAGTCTGATTCCAGAAATCCTTGTAACCCAATATAGTCTCCAGCTCCGATGCCATGTCCTTCCCGGGTCCCAACGTGCTGGGGCTGGAGACTCATCTAGGGGATTCCGGGGAGGAGGGATCTTCCTCTCTGGAAGCAGCAGAACAAATTTCAGGGACTCAGGAGTCCAAGGCCTCATTCCAAAAACACTGAGAGGCTGCGTACTGGGAGCACAGTATGTCTGTGGGGTCCACCCAGACCTGGGAACCAGGTCTTAGGGCCTGCAGACCTCCCTCTGCCTTGAGGTCAGAGTCCACTGCCACTAACTGGGAGGAAACACCTGTCGCGGGACGGGGTCGCCCGCATGTGCACAGAGCCCTGTTCTGCCGAGATCCGAAGGGGAACCTGGGGAGGTCCCAGATGGGGAAGGGACAGGAGAGCTGGGTGTCTCTCCTCAGTCCTTCGGCCACACGGGGCCGCTGCCGCTCTACGCTTGGGTTCTGATGAGCTGCTCTGGAGAGGACGGGGCGGTGGTCTGAGTAAGACACAGATTGTTGATCCAGAAAGGATGTATCAATGAGGTGGGGCTGGGGTTGTCCAGGGGGTGGAAAGGCCTTCTGAGAAGCCCTGGACTGCGCGGGGTTCCGGCTCTGCGGAACAGAGGAGGGCTCTGGAGCTGCCTGTCTCTGAGGTTTCCAACTCCTCCTTGCAAACCCTCCCTCCAGCCTTTTCATGGCAACACTCCAGGAAAATGGAAAGTTGATCATTTTTTTCTTCCACTCCTTAATCCTTTCCTGACTGCTACTTTTAGATAATTTTATTTTAGAAGAGTTTTAAATTTACATAAAAGTTGCAATGGTAGTACAGAGTTGCCATCCGCTCCACAGTCAGTTTCCCCTGATGTTAACATCTCTCATTACTATGGTCCATTTGTCACAGCTAATGAAGCCATTTTCATACCTTATTATTACTAAACTGCAGACTTTATTTGGAGTTCATTAGCGTTCCCCTAATGTCCTTTCTGTGTTTCAGGATTCCATGGAGAATATCACACTACATTTAGTCTCTGTCGTGCCTCCACGGCATCCTCTGGTCTGTGACAATTCCTGAGATTTTCCTAATTTTTGATGCCTTTCACAATATCGGGAAGTACTGACCAGATATATTGTAAAATATCCCTCAAACTGAATTTAGTTGGGGTGTAGATCATGGTTAGACTATGGTTATGGATGTTTAGATGAGGTGAAGTGCTGTTCTCCAAACACATTATCAAGATTATATCAATTTGATGTACCACTGTTGATGTTGAAGTTGACCATCCATATTTTTACTTCCTGTAGCTGCCACAAAAATGCCCTCAAAGTTGGCAACTTACAACAACAGAAAATTATTCTTTCACAGTTCTGGAGGCCCAGGGCATTGGTCAGCGTTCTTTGGCTTGTAGCCCCATTGCTCCAGTCTCTGCCTCCTTCTTCACATTGCCTTCTCCTCTTCTGACTCTCTCTTCTGTGTACCTGTTAGGAAGACACTTTTCATTGGATTTAGGGCCCACCTAGGTCATCCAGGAGGATCTCCTCATTTCAATATCCTCAGCTTAATTACATCTGCAAAGACCCTTTTTTTCCAAACAACTTGAAATTCACAGCTTCTGGGGACTAGGACAGAAACATATCTTTGTGGGGACAACCATTCAACCCACTACATCTGGCTAAGCTAATATTTCCCAGAGTGGCAATCCACCAGTGCACCCCAGGTTACAATCCTCATTCTAATTCCCAAATAAACTCAACATATTTGGACATTTCTTTAATGTCTTTTTTTTTTTAGGTTGAAAAATCTGGTATCAGAAGTGATCCTGAAGAAAGATTACCTTTGGAAGAGACTTATGCTGAGTTCATTGCTTGATTTCTTGCCTCTGTTTCTGAACATCTTTTGAGAGCAAAATTTACTTTCTAAAAAGATGGGTATGTGTCGACCCTTTAAAAGCTGTTTGGGCTATTGTCGCCATTCAATGAGAAACTTCAGTCTCCCCAAAGAGAAATTATCTGTTGTCAGGATAAACTGGTACATGAATAAACAAAATTGCCATTAGGGGTCGCACCAGTCTCAAGAAAAATCTGGAGAAAATGGTCACAGGATGGACAATTAGATCACAGGCTGCCCACTAAGTAAAAACAAAAATCCTATACTAGGCACACTATTAAAAAACAAATCGCTCCAGCCTCTACCATTTCCTCACAGGGATTATGGAATTTTTCTTTTGCTGTCGAGAAATTAATAAGAGGCAGAACAGGATGCCAAAATTCCAAAGCATCCAATATAGGCCGTCTTCTGGGACTCCTGTCAGCTATATGGTCAAAATTTATGGTCGGTGGCTCATGCCTATAATCCCAGCACCTTGGGAGACCAAGGTGGAAGGATCACTTGAGCTCATGAGTTTGAAACCATCCTGGGCAACATAGCAAGAGCTCATCTCTATTTTTAAAAATTAAAATAAATAAGGAAAGAAAAAAAAATTAAGGTCCTCTCCTGTGTACGTTTTGAAATCAATGGGTAGAGTACGCCAAAGTTAATTTGGATCTTCAATGGCCATCCTTGGGGCCTTTTGAGTTCCCCAAACTTGTCTTCCTTAAAACAAAACTAGAAGACCATGGTCCTAAAATTAAACAATGTGAATGGGAGGCTTAGTTTACTTGGTACTTCAAAGTTTCATAATGCATTCGGGATTCAAACATTGCCTCCCTCTAAGATTCTATCACAAAATTAACTGAGACCAGCAAACAGTTAAGGAAGGACAACAAGGCTTTAGGGCCCCAGATTCTTTCCTCTCCAGAGGAGAGATTTCCTGTTCTCTTTCCTCTGTTCTTCTGTATCCACCTTTGGCTGAATTACCTTTCCCTCCAATTCCTCAGCTTCCACTACCCTTGAACCTGGACTGTTAAAACTTATCCCCTTAATGGCCGGGCACCATAGCTCACGCCTGTAATCCCAGCACTTTGGGAGGCTGAGGCAGGCAGATCACGAGGTCAGGAGATCGAGACCATCCTGGCTAACACGATGAAACCCCGTCTTTACTAAAAATACAAAAAATTAGCCGGGCGTGGTGGCAGGTGCCTGTGGTCCCAGCTACTCAGGAGGCTGAGGCAGGAGAATGGCGTCAACCAGGAGGTGGAGGTGGCAGTGAGCCGAGATCACGCCACTGCACTCCAGCCTGGGTGACAGAGCGAGACTCCGTCTCAAAAAAAAAAAAAAAGAAAAGAAAAGAAAAGAAAAAAGAAGAAGATACTTGAACAAGCATATTGATAGCAGCACAATTGGTGATTGCAAAAATATGGAACCAGCCCAAATGCCCATCAATCAATGAATGGATAAAGAAAATGTAATTTTATATATATCTATATCTATATATATCTATATCTATATATAGATATATAGATATATAATGGAATACTACACAGTCATAAAAAGAAAGGAAATAATGGCATTCAAAGCAACCTGGATGGAGCTGGAGACCATTATTCTGAGTGAATTAACTCCGGAATGGAAAACCAAGCATTGTATGTTCTCACTTATAAATGGGAGCTAAGCTATGAGAACACAAAGGCTTAAGAATGATACAATGGACTTTGGGAACTGGCGGGGGAAGGGTGGGAGGGAGCTGAGGGATACAAGACTACACATTGTGTACAGTGTACACTAATCAGGTGCTGGATGCGCCAAAATCTTGGAAATCACCACTAAAGAACTTATCCATGTAAACAAACACCACCTGTTCCCCCAAAACTATTGAAATTTAAAAATGTTTTAAATAAATAAAATTTAAAAGGATTAAAAATGGATTATTTGCTTTCAAAAAAAAAGAAATCACCACTTGCACAGTTTTTATGTAATGTGAAATATGAATATCCACAATTACATGAAAAGCTGTTAAAAATAATCCTCCCAGTCCGGGCATGGTAGCTCACACATGTTGTTCCAGCTACTGGGAAGGCTGAGGTGAGAGAATCCCTTGAGCCCAGGAGTTCTAGGCTGCAGTGAGCTATTATGGTGCCACTGCACTCCAGCCTGGGTGACAGAGCGAGACCCTGTCTCTAAACAACAGCAATAATAATCCTTCCTTCCTGAGTCAGACGGGCATGGAGACGCTTCTGGAAGGAACACCGCAATGGCTGCGCAGGGACAGCCCCAGGTCCAGTTCAAACTTGTATTGGTTGGTGATGGTGGTACTGGAAAAACGACTTTCGTGAAACATCATTTGACTGGTGAATTTGAGAAGAAGTATGTAGCCACCTTGGGTGTTGAGGTTCATCCCCTAGTGTTCCATACCAACAGAGGACCTGTTAAGTTCAATGTATGGGACACAGCCGGCCTGGAGAAATTCAGTGGACTGAGAGATGGCTATTATATCCAAGCCCAGAGTACCATCATAGTGTTTGATGTAACATCGAGAGTTACTTACAAGAATGTGCCTAACTGGCATAGAGATCTGGTATGAGTGTGTGAAAACACCCCCACTGTGTTGAGTGGCAACAAAGTGGATATTAAGGACAGGAAAGTGAAGGCGAAATCCATTGTCTTCCACCGAAAGAAGAATCTTCAGTACTACGACATTTCTGCCAAAAGTAACTATAACTTTGAAAAGCCCTTCCTCTGGCTTGCTAGGAAGCTCATTGGAGACCCTAACTTGGAATTTGTTGCCATGCCTGCTCTCGCCCCACCAGAAGTTGTCATGGACCCAGCTTTGGCAGCACAGTATGAGCACGACTTAGAGGTTGCTCAGACAACTGCTCTCCCGGACGAGGATGATGACCTGTGAGAATGAAGCTGGAGCCCAGCGTCAGAAGTCTAGTTTTATAGGCAGCTGTCCTGTGATGTCAGTTGTGCAGCGTGTGTGCCACCTCATTATTATCTAGCTAAGCGGAACATGTGCTTCATCTGTGGGATGCTGAAGGAGATGAGTGGGCTTCGCAGTGAATGTGGCAGTTCAAAAAATACCTTCATTGTTTGGACCTGCATATTTAGCTGTTTTGGAACACAGTTGATTCCTTGAGTTTCAAATATAGACTGCTACAGTCACATCACAATATTCAGCGGTGAAATCTTGTTTGTTACTGTCATTCCCATTCCTTTTCGTTTAGAATCAGAATAAAGTTGTATTTCAAATATCTAAAAACAAAAAATCCTTCCTTTTTCAACTCAATATTTGTGTAAGGCTAGATTTTTTAACATATACACTTCAATCAAAGTAAGAAAATGGCTGGGATGCAGCTGGAGGCCATAATCCTAAGTGAATTAATGCAGGAACAGAAAACCAAATACTGCATCTTCTCACTTATAATTGGGAGCTAAACACTGAGCACACATAGACATAAACATGTGTATAACAGACACTGTAGACGACTAGAGTGGAGAGGGTGGGGACGTGGGTTGAAAAACTACCTGTGGGTACTATGTTCACTACCTGAGTGACAGGATCCATACCCCAAACCTCAGCATCAGACAACATACCCATGTAACAAACCGGCACATGTAACCCCTGTATCTATTTTTTTCTGGTTTTTTTTTTTTTTTTTTTTGAGACAATTTCACTCTTGTTGCTCAGGCTGGAGCGCAATGGCGTGATCTCGGCTCATCGCAACCTCTGCCTCCCGGGTTCAAGCGATTCTCCTGCCTCAGCCTCCTGAGTAGGTGGGATTACAGGTATGCGCCACCACCTCCAGCTAATTTTGTATTTTTAGTAGACATGGGGTTTCTCCATATTGATAAGGCTGGTCTCGAACTCCCGACTGGGATTACAGGCGTGAGCCACCGCGCCTGGCCACCCCCTGTATCTAAAATAAAAGTTAAAAATTTAAAAATAAGTACATAAGAGAATGTATGCTATGAGCCAAGAATGATGCTTGCAAAATTTTGCAAGAACAACACTTATGAAAATGAAAAATAATCACTCTTCTTGTTACCAAAAATCTTGGTAGCTGCAGAAGGTGGGATCTTTCCTCACTGGGAGTCGCAGAGCCAATACATGAAACCAAAAGTGAGCCTTAAGCAGAGCAAGCTTTATTTCCTGCACAGGACTTGTAAAGAGGAGAGCAGCTCTGCCAAGTCAACTTCTCCACTAGTGAGGCGGCTAGTGAGGGGTGAGGGGGCTAAAATGTAGGATTGCTCTAATGAAGGGGTTGGGCATTAAAAGTGAGGGGGAGGAATATTCATATGTTTTATGGGAACAGGCAGTGAACTTCTCCAAACTGGTAATACCGCTTTCCTTTTGGTCCTTTTAGGACTTCTTCTACTCATCGTCATGGAGATCGTCAACTGTCATGGCATGGATGGGAGCGCAATTTAGCCTGGAAACGGGATTACAATGAAGCGTGAGGTCTTTTTGAAGTCATTTGGCCGGCTCTCTTGGTTGTAACGAGTCTCAGCTGGTTTGACTACAAAGGCAACTTCTTGAAGCAGATCCTGTTTTTTTGTTTTTGTTTTTGTTTTTTGTTTCTTGTTTTTTCCCCCTAGACATCTCACTCTGTCGCCCAGGCTGGAGTGCAGTGGTGTGATCTCGGCTCACTGCAACCACCACCTCTCGGGTTCAAGCAATTCTCCTATCTCAGCCTCCAGAGTTGCTGGAATTACAGGCGCGCACCACCACACCCGGCTAATTTTTGTATTGTTAGTAGAGACAGGGTTTCATCATGTTGGCCAGGTTAGTCTTGAACTCCTGACCTCGTGATCTGCCTGCCTCGGCCTACCAAAATGCTGCGATTACAGGCGTGAGCCACCGTTCCCGGCCTATACGTTGTTTATTTTGGAAAAATTAAAAATTAAGTTTTTTTTCATTAAAGATATGTTATTTCCGATCAAGAGATCAAGACCATCCTGGCCAACATGGTGAAACCCCGTCTCTACTAAAAACACAAAAATTAGCTGGGTGTGGTGGCACACGCCTGTAGTTCCAGTTACTGGGGAGGCTGAGGCAGGAGAATCGCTTGAACCCGGGAGAAGGAGGTTGCAGTGAGCCGAGATCATGCCACTGCACTCCAGCCTGGGGACAGAGCAAGACTCTGACTCAAAAAAAAAAAAAAGTTGTTTCTATTAACATGTAATGGGTTATTAATATTCTCTTAAATGAATTAATATTTTTAATATTTTGTTTTAATATCTTTTAATTTATATATGATAAAAATTGATACAATCCACAGAAACAAAATTTATTTGGGTCCTCACTAATTTCTTTTTTCTTGTTGCCCAGGCTGGAGGGCAATGGCACGATCTTGGCTCACCGCAACCTCCTCCTCCTGGGTTCAAGTGATTCTCCTGCCTCAGCCTCCCAAGTAGCCAGGATTACAGCCATGCGCCACCACGCCGGCTAATTTTTTGGACTTTTAGTAGAGACAGGGTTTCTCCATATTGGTCGGGCTGGTCTCGAACTCCCAACCTCAGGTGATCAGCCCGCCTTGGCCTCCCAAAGTGCTGAGATTACAGGCGTGAGCCACCGCGCCCAGCCAGGACTAATTTCTAAGAGTGTGCAGAGATACCGAAACCTAAAAGTTTAAGAACTGCTGATTGCTGGGAAACTCTGCAGTTTCCCGTTCCTCTCGTAACCTGGTCATGTGTCCTTCTTCCTGGATACTCATGACGCAGACTCAGTTCTCATTCCCAATGGGTGTCGGGTTTCTAGAGAAGCCAATCAGCGTCGCCACGACTCCCGACTATAAAGTCCCCATCCGGACTCAAGAAGTTCTCAGGACTCAGAGGCTGGGATCATGGTAGATGGAACCCTCCTTTTACTCCTCTCGGAGGCCCTGGCCCTTACCCAGACCTGGGCGGGTGAGTGCGGGGTCGGGATGGAAACGGCCTCTACCGGGAGTAGAGAGGGGCCGGCCCGGCGGGGGCGAAGGACTCGGGGAGCCGCGCCGGGAGGAGGGTCGGGCCGATCTCAGCCCCTCCTCGCCCCCAGGCTCCCACTCCTTGAAGTATTTCCACACTTCCGTGTCCCGGCCCGGCCGCGGGGAGCCCCGCTTCATCTCTGTGGGCTACGTGGACGACACCCAGTTCGTGCGCTTCGACAACGACGCCGCGAGTCCGAGGATGGTGCCGCGGGCGCCGTGGATGGAGCAGGAGGGGTCAGAGTATTGGGACCGGGAGACACGGAGCGCCAGGGACACCGCACAGATTTTCCGAGTGAATCTGCGGACGCTGCGCGGCTACTACAATCAGAGCGAGGCCGGTGAGTGACCCCGGCCAGGGGAGCAGGTCACGACCCCTCCCCATCCCCCACGGACGGCGCGGGTCCCCTCGAATCTTCGGGTCCCAGATTCACCCCAAGGCTGCGGAACCCGCCCAGACCCTAGACCGGGGAGAGTCTCAGGCGCCTTTACCCGGTTCTTTTTCAGTTTAGGCCAAAATGCCCACAGGGTGGTGGCGACGGGGGCGGGGCTTGGTGGGCGGGACTGACTAAGGGGCGGGGCCAGGGTCTCACACCCTGCAGTGGATGCATGGCTGCGAGCTGGGGCCCGACGGGCGCTTCCTCCGCGGGTATGAACAGTTCGCCTACGACGGCAAGGATTATCTCACCCTGAATGAGGACCTGCGCTCCTGGACCGCGGTGGACACGGCGGCTCAGATCTCCGAGCAAAAGTCAAATGATGCCTCTGAGGCGGAGCACCAGAGAGCCTACCTGGAAGACACATGCGTGGAGTGGCTCCACAAATACCTGGAGAAGGGGAAGGAGACGCTGCTTCACCTGGGTAAGAGGGTCCACAGGGCTACTCTCCCATCTCCTTCTTGGGCTAGGACTGTGCCCACAGCTGACAGACCTCAAACAGTAGAAGAAACAGGGATGGAGGCCAGAATACCACTCCTCCCTTGGATCAGGAGAGGGAGCTGTCACCTGAGGTACAGGAGATCCTATACCACAGAGTGACTCTCTTAAAGGGCCAGACCTCTCTCAGGGGCAATTAAGGAATCTAGTCTCGCTGGAGATTCCATCCTTCAGATGAACTGATGAGCAGTTCTCTTTGACTCCCAGTATTAGGAATCACGGGGGAGTTTCTCTCGTGCCTGATTCTCAGCCCCACACCAAGAGTTTTTGGAGGTCTGACTCCAGCTTTTCTCAGTCACTCAGCATCCACACAGGCCAGGACCAGAAATCCCTTTTCACCTTCTACCCTGGGCTAGCTCATCCCGATTCTAGAACTTTCCAAGGAATAAGAGGCTATCCCAGATCCCTAAGTCCAGGCTGGTGTCAAGGTTTTGTCCTCTTCTCCTACTATAATTGTCCTCTTCCTTCTCAGGATGGTCACATGGGTGCTGCTGGAGTGTCCCATGAGAGATACAAAGTGCCTGAATTTTCTGACTCTTCCCCTCAGAGCCCCCAAAGACACACGTGACTCACCACCCCATCTCTGACCATGAGGCCACCCTGAGGTGCTGGGCCCTGGGCTTCTACCCTGCGGAGATCACACTGACCTGGCAGCAGGATGGGGAGGGCCATACCCAGGACACGGAGCTCGTGGAGACCAGGCCTGCAGGGGATGGAACCTTCCAGAAGTGGGCAGCTGTGGTGGTGCCTTCTGGAGAGGAGCAGAGATACACGTGCCATGTGCAGCATGAGGGGCTACCCGAGCCCGTCACCCTGAGATGGAGTAAGGAGGGGGATGGGAGGTCATGTCTCTTCTCAGGGAAAGCGGGAGCCCTTCTGGAGCCCTTCCGCAGGGTCAGGGCTGAGGCCTGGGGGTCAGGGCCCCTTACGTTCCCCTCTTTTCCCAGAGCCGGCTTCCCAGCCCACCATCCCCATCGTGGGCATCATTGCTGGCCTGGTTCTCCTTGGATCTGTGGTCTCTGGAGCTGTGGTTGCTGCTGTGATATGGAGGAAGAAGAGCTCAGGTGGGGAAGGGAGAAGGGTGGGGTCTGAGTTTTCTTGTCCCACTGGGTGTTTCAAGCCCTAGGTAAAAGTGTGTCCTGCCTCGTTACTGGGAAGCACCATCCACACACACGAGCCTACCCAGCCTGGGGCCCTGTGTGCCAGCACCTACTCTTTTTTTTTGAGACGGAGTCTTGGCTCTGTCACCCAGGCTGGAGTGCAATGGCGTGGTTTCAGCTCACTGCAACCTCCGCCTCCCAGGTTCAAGCAATTCTCCTGCCTCAGCCTCCCTAGTAGCTGGGACTACACATGCGTGCCACCACACCTGGCTAATTTTTTTTTTTGTATTTTTAGTGGAGATGGGGTTTCACTATGTTGGCCAGGCTGGTCTCGAACTCCTGACTTTGTGATCTGCCTGCCTCGGCCTCCCAAAGTGCTGGGATTACAGTCGTGAGCCACCGCACCCAGCCGCACCTACTCTTTTGTAAAGCACCTGTGACAATGAAGGACAGATTTATCACCTTGACGATTGTGGTGATGGGGACCTGATCCCAGCAGTCACAGGTCACAGGGGAAGGTCCCTGCTGAAGACAGACCTCAGAAGGGCAGTTGATCCAGGACCCACACCTGCTTTCTTCACGTTTCCTGATCCTGCCCTGGGTCTGCAGTCACAGTTCAGGAAACTTCTCTGGGATCCAAAACTAGGAGGTTCCTCTAGGACCTTATGGCCCTGCCTCCTCCCTGGCCCCTCACAGGACATTTTCTTCCAACAGGTGGAAAAGGAGGGAGCTACTCTAAGGCTGAGTGTAAGTGCGGGGCGGGAGCGTGGAGGAGCTCGCCCACCCTATAATTCCTCCTGCACCACATCTCCTGTGGGCTCTGACCAGGTCTTGTTTTTGTTCTACCCCAGGGAGCGACAGTGCCCAGGGGTCTGAGTCTCACAGCTTGTAAAGGTGAGATTCTGGGGGTCTGAAGTGGGTGGAGGGTGGGGCAGAGGGGACAGGACTGGGTTGTGGGGATTTTTTGATTCAGAATTTTTGAGTGTGTGGTGGGCTGTTCAGAGTGTCATCACTTACCGTGACTGACCTGAATTTGTTCATGACTATTTTCTTCTGTAGCCTGAGACAGCTGCCTTGTGTGCGACTGAGATGCACAGCTGCCTTGTGTGCGACTGAGATGCAGGATTTCCTCACGCCTCCCCTATGTGTCTTAGGGGACTCTGGCTTCTCTTTTTGCAAGGGCCTCTGAATCTGTCTGTGTCCCTGTTAGCACAATGTGAGGAGGTAGAGAAACAGTCCACCTCTGTGTCTACCATGACCCCCTTCCTCACACTGACCTGTGTTCCTTCCCTGTTCTCTTTTCTATTAAAAATAAGAACCTGGGCAGAGTGCGGCAGCTCATGCCTGTAATCCCAGCACTTAGGGAGGCCGAGGAGGGCAGATCACGAGGTCAGGAGATCGAAACCATCCTGGCTAACACGGTGAAACCCCGTCTCTACTAAAAAATACAAAAAATTAGCTGGGCGCAGAGGCACGGGCCTGTAGTCCCAGCTACTCAGGAGGCGGAGGCAGGAGAATGGCGTCAACCCGGGAGGCGGAGGTTGCAGTGAGCCAGGATTGTGCGACTGCACTCCAGCCTGGGTGACAGGGTGAAACGCCATCTCAAAAAATAAAAATTGAAAAATAAAAAAAGAACCTGGATCTCAATTTAATTTTTCATATTCTTGCAATGAAATGGACTTGAGGAAGCTAAGATCATAGCTAGAAATACAGATAATTCCACAGCACATCTCTAGCAAATTTAGCCTATTCCTATTCTCTAGCCTATTCCTTACCACCTGTAATCTTGACCATATACCTTGGAGTTGAATATTGTTTTCATACTGCTGTGGTTTGAATGTTCCCTCCAACACTCATGTTGAGACTTAATCCCTAATGTGGCAATACTGAAAGGTGGGGCCTTTGAGATGTGATTGGATCGTAAGGCTGTGCCTTCATTCATGGGTTAATGGATTAATGGGTTATCACAGGAATGGGACTGGTGGCTTTATAAGAAGAGGAAAAGAGAACTGAGCTAGCATGCCCAGCCCACAGAGAGCCTCCACTAGAGTGATGCTAAGTGGAAATGTGAGGTGCAGCTGCCACAGAGGGCCCCCACCAGGGAAATGTCTAGTGTCTAGTGGATCCAGGCCACAGGAGAGAGTGCCTTGTGGAGCGCTGGGAGCAGGACCTGACCACCACCAGGACCCCAGAACTGTGGAGTCAGTGGCAGCATGCAGCGCCCCCTTGGGAAAGCTTTAGGCACCAGCCTGCAACCCATTCGAGCAGCCACGTAGGCTGCACCCAGCAAAGCCACAGGCACGGGGCTACCTGAGGCCTTGGGGGCCCAATCCCTGCTCCAGTGTGTCCGTGAGGCAGCACACGAAGTCAAAAGAGATTATTCTCTTCCCACAGATACCTTTTCTCTCCCATGACCCTTTAACAGCATCTGCTTCATTCCCCTCACCTTCCCAGGCTGATCTGAGGTAAACTTTGAAGTAAAATAAAAGCTGTGTTTGAGCATCATTTGTATTTCATTTGTGCGTTTTGTGCCTTGTTGTTTTAATTTTTTAACCACATTCAAGCTATCCTTTGGCTTCCAATGCCATGGTCCACCCAGAACTGCATTCACTGGCCCATGTTCTAGTTCTGGTCATGCCGACTTTCCCGTTTTCCTGGTGAATCCCTGTAATCACCTGAGTCTCATTCTGTCAGGTGATATCCAGTAAGAAGGCAACATGTGCGGTGAGAAAGCCCAGGGAGTCCTGGGTGTGAATTTTTACTTTGCCATTTCTTCCTGTGTGACACGCGGTGGGGCTTCACCTGTCTGAGCTCCAGTTCCTCATCTTGTACGTGGCACTGTTTTCTTGGGAGAGTCATTATAAAGCTAATATAAAGTACCTGTACTGTGGTTTGAATGTGTCCTCCAAAAAGCATGTGTTGGAAACTGAATCCACAATGCAACCATATCGGGAAGTGAATCCTAATGGCTGGCTGGCCATGGAGGTTCCAACTTTATGAATGGATTAATACTGATTATAAAAGGGCTTGAGGTTGAGGCAAGTTCAACCTCTTGCCCTCACTCACCCACTTGCCTTTACCAAGAGATGATACAGCAAAAAGACTCACCAAATGCCGGGATCTTGATATTAGACTTCTTATCCTCCAGAACCATGAAATAGGCTGCTTTGCTTTATAAATTACTCAGTCTGCGTATTATATTACAGCAACACAAGATGGGCAACCTGATACTTAGGTTTCAGTTAGTGGTAGATATTTTTATTTCAAGCATTCCTACTGGAGTATTAGTTTCTTCATAAGCCCAGAATCTTTGCATTTTAGCAACAACAAATAAGTCTTTTTTTTTTTTTTTTTTGAGACTGAGTTTCACTCTTGTCACCCAGGCTAGAGTGCAATGGCATGACCTTGGCTCACTGCAAACTTGGCCTCCCAGGTTTAAGTGATTCTCCTGCTTCAGCCTCCCAAGTAGCTGGGATTACAGGCGCCTGCTACCACGCCCAGCTAATTTTTGTATTTTTAGTAGAGACAGAGTTTCATCATGTTGGCCAGCTGGTCTCGAACTCCTGATCTCAGGTGATCCACCCACCTTGGCCTCCCAAAGTGCTGGGATTATAGGCATGAGCCACCACGTTCCACCAGAAGTCTTAATTAATGCAAAGAAAATCAATCTATAGATTTGATGGAAATTTGGACTCCTATATCCTACTTTTTATCCCACTCCTATATACTACTCATAAGGAGTATAGAACTATTTTCCTTCTCTACTTGGTCTGCCCATTTCTACTTCCTGCCATATCGGCAGGCTATGTTTGCCTCACCTCAAAGATCTGCCTTCCTCAGTTTTAGATCTTAAATCTTTTTAAGCCAGACTCCAAGGGATCTTTAACAAATATTTATCGAACCCTTCCTGTGTTCAAAGAATGTTGTGAGGTCCAGGGTGGGACTAGGGGGCGAGAAAGGTTCCTGCGCTGAAGGAATCTAAGATTTAGTAACAATGAATAAACAGACTTGAAGATAACTATTGTGGTTAGCGCTGAAAGAAACGTACAAAATGCCAAAAGTCAAGGAGGAAACTATGTTTTCTAGGACAGTGGTTCCCAACATTTTTGGCATCAGGGACCGGTTTCATGGAAGACAATTTTTCGGAGGGGTGGTTTTGGGATGATTCAAGCGCGTTACCTGTATTGTGGACTTTATTTCTATTATTACATTATAATACATAATGAAATAATTATACAACTCACCATAATGTAGAGTCAGTAGGAGCCCTGAGCTTGTTTTCCTGCAACTAGACAGTCCCATCTGAGGGTGATGGGAGACACTGACAGGTCATCAGGCATTAGATTCTCATAGGAGCGAGCAACCTAGATCCCTCGCATGCACAGTTCACAATAAGATTCACACTCCTATGAGAATCTAACCCCACTGCTGATCTGACAGGAGGCAGAGCTCAGGCGCTAATGCTTGGTCACCTGCCACTCACCTCCTACTGTGCAGCCCAGTTCCTAACAGGCCATGGACCGGTACCAGTCCATGGCCCAGGGCTTGGGAACCCCTGTTTTAGGAGACTTAGGTTTTTCTAAAGGAAAAAATGTTTGAGTTATGCTTTGAAAAATGTAAGACACCACTGTAGATGTTTTAATCAGGGAATTGGGTTATTACCAAAAAAAAAATGTTGGAAGATGAAAGAGCAGGTTCTTTATGCCTCCTGGCTTGACCCTGGAACAATTTAGAACCAGCCCAGTGAGGCATGTACTCCCCATGAGGCCACACAAGAGCTGTGCTTTCTTAGATCTGGATCCCACTACCACATAGGGGTTCCTGGGCACCTGGACACCAGGGAAGAGGGGTCAACCAGGTCCCACTCCTCTGGCATGACACTCAGTGATTCAGTCAAGATACTGTTGGGAAAACAGCCCATGCCATGGGACTTCCCCATGGTCGGAAAAGTCTTGAATAGCTAAAAGCAAAACAGGATAGTTAGGCTGCATTATGTAGATAATGGTGACTCATGGGCAGGCCCTGCCTCCTTGGGCCATTGTATGTGAACAGATCTTTGTGTGATTATGGGATAATTCTGGGTTCTTTTCTCCATGTGCCTGTTCTTAATTGGCCCAGGAGAGGGAACCCAAGGGAAGGAGGAACCCGAGTGATCTTGTCCTCTTTTGACATCTCATTTCTAGCCACAAGGTTATGAATCATAGATCTCCAGAAGTCAGTGGTCCTAGAGGAAAAAAGCATCTGCCATAGCAGCAGAATGACAGGGAGACAGCTATTCCTATTACTAGAGTTTTAACAGCCCCTCTCAGCCAGCTAGCCCAGACTAGGATCTTAACGGGGGCTGGGACTTACTTCCATATATTGTAAATGATGTAACCTTGTCTTCATGATGACCTTAAATATATCTTGATGAACAGTATAAGAAAGCAAATGAAGCCTGGGCGCGGTGGCTCACGCCTGTAATCCCAGCACTTTGGGAGGCTGAGGCGGGTTGATCACCTGAGGTTGGGAGTTCAAGACCAGCCTGACCAACACGGAGAAACCCTGTCTCTACTAAAAATAAAAAATTAGCTGGGCGTGGTGGCGCATGCCTGTAATCCTAGCTACTCAGGAGGCTGAGGCAGGAGAATCGCTTGAACCCAGGAGGCTGAGGTTGTGCAGTGAGCCAAGATCACACCATTGCACTCCAGCCTGAGCAAGAAGAGTGAAACTGCGCTTCGAAAAGAAAGAAAGAGAGAGAGGGAGGGAGGGAGGAAGGAAGGAAGGAGAGAGAAAGAAAGAAAGAGAGAGAGAAAGAAAGAAAGGAAAGAAGGAAAGAAGGAAAGAAAGGAAGAAAGGAAGAAAGAAAGAAAGGCAAATGATCACTTAGAGGATTTTGTTTGGTAGTTAAAACCATTTTGAAACAGAGGGAGGGAAGAAATCACCTATGCTTCCTCAGTGGTAAAGAGACTGGGAACCACCACGCCAGAGTTAGAAAATATGAGGCAACAGAAGGGCTGTTATATGTAGTGAAAATTTCCAAACCCGGTCCCCTGGAGGGAATACTTGGTGACTGGGCCTTAGAGGAAAGAGATGCTTGTCCAGCCCATTGCCTGTGTGTCCAGGAGAGACTGTGCCCACCTTGAGAGACTGAGAGAAGACCCTAGTGAGGAGAAGCCCCCAGGCCAGCCGTCAGCACAGGGCATTGGAGGTCCCCAACCAGCTCCAAGTCCTGAACAGAGCACAGCCTCCAGAGGTTTGTACTGTTCATACCCAGCAGAGGCTGTGTGCCAGCCCTCCCCATGCAAATCAGCGTCCCTGCAGGGTATGTAAAGGACCTCTACCTATGCTTTCTATGGGGGAACAAATATCCCATGGGACACTGAAAGACTATGGAACATTGTAGAACATGTATTTACCAAACTGTGTCCAACTCAGAGCCTAAATTGTTTATTGGTGCTGTTTCAACCAGTACACGTGATTCTTTTTTTTTTTTTTTTTTTTAGTATTTATTGATCATTCTTGAGTGTTTCTCGGAGAGGGGGATTTAGCAGGGTCATAGGACAATAGTGGAGGGAAGGTCAGCAGATAAACATGTGAACAAAGGTCTCTGGTTTTCCTAGGCAGAGGACCCTGCGGCCTTCTGCAGTGTTTGTGTCCCTGGGTACTTGAGATTAGGGAGCGGTGATGACTCTTAATGAGGATGCTGCCTTCAAGCATCTGTTTAACAAAGCACATCTTGCACCGCCCTTAATCCATTTAACCCTGAGTGGACACAGCACATGTTTCAGAGAGCACGGGGTTGGGGGTAAGGCTATAGATCAACAGCATCCCAAGGCAGAAGAACCTCTCCCAGTACAGAACAAAATGGAGTCTCCCATGTCCACCTCTTTCCACACAGACACAGTAACAATCTGATCTCTCTTTCTTTTCCCCACATTTCCCCCTTTTCTATTCGACAAAACCGCCATCGTCATCATGGCCCGTTCTCAATGAGCTGTTGGGTACACCTCCCAGACGGGGTGACGGCCGGGCAGAGGGGCTCCTCACTTCCCAGACGGGCCGGGCAGAGGCGCCCCCCACCTCCCGAACGGGGCGGCTGGCAGGGCGGGGGCTGCCCCCCACCTCCTGGACGGGGCGGCTGCCGGGCGGAGACGCTCCTCACTTCCCAGACGGGGCGGCTGCCGGGCGGAGGGGCTCCTCACTTCTCAGACAGGGCGGCCCGGCAGAGACGCCCCTCACCTCCCAGACGGGGTGGCGGTCGGGCAGAGACACTCCTCAGTTCCCAGACGGGGTCGCCGCCGGACAGAGGCGCTCCGCACATCCCAGACGGGGCGGCGGGGCAGAGGCGCTCCCCACATCTCAGACGATGGGCGGCCGGGCAGATACGCTCCTCACTTCCTAGATGGGGTGGTGGCCGGGCAGAGGCTGCAGTCTCGGCACTTTGGGAGGCCAAGGCAGGCGGCTGGGAGGTGGAGGCTGTAGCGAGCCGAGATCACGCCACTGCACTCCAGCCTGGGCAAGATTGAGCACTGAGTGAGCGAGACTCCGTCTGCAATCCCGGCACCTCGGGAGGCCGAGGTGGGCAGATCACTCGCGGTCAGGAGCTGGAGACCAGCCCGGCCAACACGGGGAAACCCCATCTCCACCAAAAAATACAAAAACAAAAAAAACCAAAAAAAAAACCAAGTGATTCTTTCTGCAGAGGACATCTTGGCTCTTGGCACTCCACCACAGACTTGGTATGAGATCCTGGCTGAGCACTTTTTTTTTTTTTTTTTTTTTTTTTTTTTTTTGAGACAGAGTTTCGCTCTTGTTTCCCAGGCTGGAGTGCAGTGGCATGATCTTGGCTCACTGCAACCTCCGCCTCCTGGATTCAAGCGATTCTCCTGCCTCAGCCTACGGAGTAGCTGGGATTACAGGCATGTGCCATCACGCCCCGGCTGATTTTGTACCTTTAGTAAAGACGGGGTTTCTCCATGTTGGTCAGGCTGGTCTCGAACTCCCGACCTCAGGTGATCCACACACCTTGGCCTCCCAAAGTGCTGGGATTACAGGCGTGAGCCAACGCACCCAGCCTGGCTGAGCACTTTCAAGTCTCATTCCTAACATCTGTCAGTTAAGCTGGGATAACAATTATCTGACTGACTGCACGGAATTCTGAATGAATTGAATTGGATAATACATGTAAATCCTTGTGGTGGGAATTTGGGTGCCATTTTCTTTGCATTATGAAAATCCAGGTCAACTCTTCTTTCTTCTCCCAATTGTTTTTATTGCACATCTATAAAAACAAGAAAAGAATTTTCTTGCTTTTCTTTTTTTTGAGACACAGTCTCGCACTGTCGCCCAGGCTGGAGTGCAATGGCACAACCTCTGCTCACTGCAAACTCTGCCTCCTGGGTTCATGCCATTCTCCTGCCTCAGCCTCCTGAGTAGCTGGGATTACAGGTGCATGCCACCACGCCCAGAAAATTTTTTGTATTTTTAGTAGAGACGAGGTTTCACCGTGTTAGCCAGGATGGTCTCAATCTCCTGTCCTCATGATCTGCCCACCTCCGGCTCCCAAAGTGCTGGGATTACAGTCATGAGCCACCGCGCCTGGCCAAGAATTTTCTAATAAACAAGAAAAACCTCACCTGTAATCCCACTACTTGGTACAATAATCATACTTATTTTTCTTTATTTCCTTCCAGTGTGAGCAAGGACAATTTAGCTTTGGGAACCCACAAAGAAACCATTTCAATTAAAAGCACAGGAAGCCCCACCAGTCCCATGAGGTTTTTGCCACCCCTAAGTAGTTCCATATGAGAAATTAAGAGTAGCGATGCTTGCTTTGAGGAATTGGAGGGAAAACTAAAATGAAAGTTGAATTTGGATAAGAGAAAAATCAAGGGCACTCACTCTTCCCAACCCCAGCCTGTCTGACTCTCTCCCCATCATCCTCCTCACTACTTTCAGGCAGGGTGGAGATAGCACCAGGGGGAGATTCTGGGAGACAGGGCACTACTGCAAGAACAGCAGGACAGCCCCACTGGTGGCTGTGGGATGCTCCGTGGCCCTGCCTACTGCTGTTCTGGAGGATGCACCGCCTCGCTTTCCTTTCTGGTGTTAGAGCCAGGTGACTCTGTCCAAAGAGTAGGTTCTTTTTCCCCACAGAGGCAAACAGGAAACGTTTCCTTTCCTAACTAGCTCTGCCTAGTGCCTGGAATCTTACTGAGTCAGTCCCGCAGTAAGTCAGCAGCTCAGGAAATCTACCCTCTCTGAGCCTCCCTGCAGTTCAAGCTGCTTAGGGAACTTGATATTTTCAAGACATCTGTCTACACATGGGCAGCCCAGCCGCCGAGTTAGTGGTGGCAACCAAAGCGAACAGAGGACTTGGCTTCCTGAAAACAGAGGCAAAGAAGTATAGCTATCCAACCTTCTGAGTCTTGTCTCTATATGGAGATGCCCATATGGACAAATAGGGTCTGGACAAGGGGAAGGGTTAACATGAGAAAGTCACATGATTTCTGCTATGCTATTCCTCTGTGCGCTTACCCTTTCTGTTTCTAAATATTTCAGCTAAAAGACAATAAATACTGCAACCCTTACATTCCTTCAGCCCTGCTTTCACTTGTCCTGGGTGTCCTGACTGTCATCTTCATTCATTTATATCAAACACCATTCAATCAATACTTACTACAAGCAAACTATATGTGAGATCAAGAGTACTATTCAAAATAGTTGACAGCTGGTATGGCAATGGAAATTAATATATAAATAAAATTTTCCCAATTATGCTATTTTTCTGTCCTAACTAAATGATTATAAAACTACTTACCAAGTGACACAGTTGAAATATAAATAATTTCTTAAATAGTTATAACAATTTCCAAATTATTTATTGATTTTTAAACATTTTTTGCATTTCTTAGGTGGTAATTATTGGTTAAGTGATATATGCCTATGTTAGCCATGATTTGACAAAAGAGCCTTGTATAAGCTTCTGATAATTTCCCCATTAAATTGTTTGTATATTATGACGTATGTAATCAACTATATTGTTCATGGTGCCAAATCCTCTCTCACTTTAGCAGCTATGTTAAAGATTTTTTAGCCCTTGAACTGCTGTCTGAAATTCTTTTTCTTTCTTTTTTTTTTTTCTTTTTTTGAGACAGTCTCACTCTGTCGCCCAGGCTGGAGTGCAGTGGTGCGATCTTGGCTCACTGCAACCTCCACCTCCCCGGTTCAAGCAATTCTCCTGTCTCAGCCTCCCGAGTAGCTGGGATTGCAGGCACATGCCACCACGCCCAGCTACTTTTTGTATTTTTAGTAAAGAGGGGGTTTCACCACGTAGGCCAAGCTGGTCTCAAACTCCTGACCTCAAATGATCCACCTGCCTCGGCCTCCCAAAGTGCTGGGATTACAGGCATGAGCCACCACGCCTGGCCTAGAAATTCTTTTTTTTTTTTTTGAGACGGAGTCTCCTGTCGCCCAGGCTGGAGTGCGGTGGCGCGATCTCAGCTCACTGCAAGCTCCTCCTCCCGGGTTCACGCCATTCTCCTGCCTCAGCCTCCTGAGTAGCTGGGACTACAGGCGCCTGCCACCATGCCTGGCTCATTTTTTGTATTTTTAGTAGAGACGGGGTTTCACCATGTTAGCCAGGATGGTCTCGATCTCCTAACCTTGTGATCTGCCCGCCTCGGCCTCCCAAAGTGCTGGGATTACAGGCATGAGCCACCGCGCCCGGCCTAGAAATTCTTATTATTTAATATCTCCGTTCACTCCACCACAAAAATCAATTAATAAAAGCCATCTTTAATAAGTAGGCTTAATTGTATTGATTAAATTAAAAATTGTCTTGATTTAATTGGTTACATCTATGAAGCTTTGTAAACATCCTTCATGGTTGACTTAATTTAAAAATTTTAAGTTCTTAATATATTTTACTTTTGTCATCAAACTACAATTGCAATCACATAAATTATTAGATAATCTAATTGACTTTTTCTCTTGAAGTTGACATTTTTCTTTCAAATGGTATATCATATTTTTAAACAATACTATCTACTTTTTCCCCTTTGCTTTATGTATTTAATTTTATATATTAACTGATTCTTATTTTTCTACAATTAATCCAGCTTCTGTAATTTTTAATATTTCCTCTGGAAAGGATAAAGATAACATTGACATCTCTGTTAATATATAAGTTATTAACGTCAAATTTCTGGGAAAAAAAGTTTATGTCCTAAACACTTACTACTCCCATTTCACAACTTCTATTAAAGTGAATATAAAAGGTTTGGTACAATTCCCTAATGCTCTTGGCATCCCACTATTACAGAGTGCCCAAATATGCTTTCTAGTTTCATGACTTCAATTCCAGTATCTTTAGAAATATTTTTAATTTTCCCAAATGCTTATTTCATATGTAGTTGTGAATATAAAGTTTAGTGAGGCAAATATTTGAAGTAATTTTTCATTTAAACATTTTACTGCATCATCCTGACATCACTGAATACAGTAACTTATATAGTACCAATTTAAAATATAAAGAGACTTTTTTTTTTTTTTTTTTTGAGACAGATTGTCGCTCTGTCACCAGGCTGGAGTGCAGTGGCATAATCTCTGCTCACTGCAAACTCTGCCTCCCAGGTTCAAGCGATTCTCCTGCCTCAGCCTCCCAAGCAGCTAGGACTATAGGTGCATGCCACCACGCCCAGCTAATTTTTGTATTTTTTTGTAGAGACAGGGTTTCACCATGTTGGCCAGGATGGTCTCAATCTCTTGACCTCGTGATCTGCCTGCCTTGGCCTCCCAAAGTGCTGGGATTACAGGCATGAGCCATTGTGCCTGGCCATATAGAGACTTCTCTAAAACTTTGGCTTCTCTGAACTTTCTCTGTGACATATACTAGAACCATCTGTAGCATTGTGTAACCATTTCACATCAAAACCACTTTTCTTGAGCACTGATGAGTAAGTAAGCTTGATACATCATTTCAGTTCCTCAGATGAGCAAAAATCATTAGTTTTATATCATCAGTTTTATAAGTCTGAAATTTAGTATTTAAGTCACTAATAAAAACACATTTTTGTGGCCGGGCGTGGTGGCTCACACCTGTAATCCCAGCACTTTGAGAGGCCAAGGTGTGCGGATCACGAGGTCAGGAGATCAAGACCATCCTGGCTAACACAGTGAAACCCCGTCTCTACTAAAAATACAAAAAATTAGCCGGGCATGGTGGCAGGCGCCTGTAGTCCCAGCTGCTCGGGAGGCTGAGGCAGGAGAATGGTGTGAACCTGGGAGGTGGAGCTTGCAGTGAACCGAGATCGCGCCACTGCACTCCAGCCTAGGTGACAGAGTGAGACTCCGTCTCAAAAAAAAAAAATTTTTTTTTGTTACATAATTGAAGCTTTCTTGGTGATGATTGATTGCCTAGATTTATAAATTTACTAAAAAGTTGTCTCATCATGGTAGATATACGTTTTGTGACCATTGTAACCATTAATGTAGACTGCAATGATATGCACTATTTACAACCTTTTTTAAGACTCTATTTAGCAGTAGACTAATTACACAGTAGGTAATATTAGCATTCTAATGGTACTTTTTCAATGTTTTGTTCTTTTTATGATACAAAGTATTTCAGGGGATTTATTATTTCAAAGACTTCATTATGTGAAGCTCATTCATAATATTCTTCAAATTCTTCTTATTACTAGTTTTTCCCTGAATTCTGAGCACCGACAATATGCTAGAACATTCACCTTTTCACACATCCACAAGATGTGTGCTTTGCATATCGTTTTCATTTAATATTTACATTTCAAGCAATAATCAGCTACCTGTGAGTTTTGTCAAAATTATCAGGGGTTTTTTGTTTGTTTGTTTTTTGACATGGAGTTTTGCTCTTGTTGCCCAGGCTGGAGTGCAATGGCGCCATCTCAGCTCACTGCAACCTCCACCTCCTGGGTTCAAATGATTATCCTGCCTCAGCCTCCCCAGTAGCTAGGATTACAGGCATGCACCACCACACCTGGCTAATTTTATATTTTTAGTAGAGACAGGGTTTCTCCATGTTGGTCAGGCTGGTCTCGAACTCCCAACCTCAGGTGATTCACTCACCTTGAGCTCCCAAAGTGCTGGGATTACAGGCATGAGCCAATACACCTGGCCAATTATCAGGTTTTTAATTAAATTTTAGAAATGTGAATTATTGTTTCCTTTGAACTGAATCTTATGCAATACTGAAAGCATTCCCACCTGCCATAATCTTTGCATATCAGTTGTTCCAGGCTGTGATTCAATATTAATACCATTGGTTTCATGATTTGTCTCAGATTCAGAAGAGTCATGTTTACAGTATCTAAAAGCAATGTTTAAAATGTATGTAGGCCTGGCACTGTGGCTTATGCCTGTAATCCCAGCACTTTGGGAGGCTGAAGCTGATGGATCACCTGAGGTCAGGAGTTTGAAACCAGCTTGGCCAACATGACGAAACCCCATCTCTACTAAAAATACAAAAATCGGCTGGGCGCGGTGGCTCATGCCTGTAATCCCAGCACTTTGGGAGGCCAAGGCAGGTGGCTCACCTGAAGTCAGGAGTTCAAGACCAGCCTGACCAACATCGTGAAACTCCGTCTCCACTAAAATACAAAAAATTAGCCAGGCATGGTGGTACATGCCTGTAGTCCCAGCTACTTGGGAGGCTGAGGCAGGAGAATTGCTTGAACCCGGGAGGCAGAGGTTGCAGTGAGCTGAGATTTCGCCATTGCACTCCAGCCTGGGCAACAAAAGTGAAACTCTGTCTCAAAAAAAAAAAAAAAAAAAAAACCCTTCTGTCTCAAAAAAAAAAAAAAAAACCCTTCTGTCTCAAAAAAAATAAAATAAAACAAAAATATAAAAATTTGGTGGGTGTGGTGGCACACACCTGTAGTCCCAGCTACTCAGGAGACTGAGGCAGGAAGATCGCTTGAACCTGGGAGACAGAAGTTGCAGTGAGCCGAGATCACACCACTGCACTCCAGCCTGGGCAACAGAGTAAGACTCTTATCTCAGAAAATAAGTAAATAGATAAATAAATAAAATGTATTTAAACTTTGTCACTTCACTCTTACTGTTTACTATTCTAAGTTCTTGAATTTATAGATATCAAAACACTGCACAGTTATTATTTCCAGATGAATAATAACACAATAACAATAGAAACAAGGAAAAGCCAAACAAATATACTATTTATAAGTTACAGCATGTGAGGATAACAATTAACTGATGATTTTCCTAAACCACAAAACAATGAATGTACAATGGTGACATGGCTGAACCAGCCGGTGGTGCCATAAATGATTCTCAGATGCTGCAGTGCAGGAGACCCATCCATTGATGATCACTGTGATAGACTAAGACAAATAGTTAATTAGTTAATGAGATATTAGAATTTCTAGTACTTATTAATTTTACCACCTATCACGATAACCATTCTATTTTCTGTAACAATCAGTATTGGCTGTACTAGTGCACACTGGCTGGATGCCAGTGTGTAAGACAATGCCATAAAGGGCTATATGAGCATTAGCTACTATGCTATGACTTTTAACATTGAGTTGATTAGGTTCAAGGGTCAGGTGGGGCACTTTTAGAAATTACAGTAACAGAGGCCCTCAGGAGGTAGGATTCCCTTTTCTTTTTGGAGACAGAGTCTTACGCTGTCACCCAGGCTGGAGTGCAATGGCGGGATATCGGCTCACTGCAACCTCCGCCTCCCAAGTTCAAGCAATCCTCCCACCTCAGCCTCTTGAGTAGCAGGGATTACAGGCATCTGCCACCACGCCTGGCTAATTTTTGTATTTTTATTTTTATTTTTGTTTTGAGATGGAGTTTCATTCTTGTTGCCCAGGCTGGAGTGCAATAGCGCAATCTTGGTTCACCGCAACCTCCACCTCCGAGGTTCAAGCAATTCCTGCCTCAGCCTCCTAGGTAGCTGGGATTACAGGGATGTGCCACCACACCTCGCTAATTTTGTATTTTTAGTAGAGACGGGTTTTCTTTTTTTCTTTTTTTTTTTGGGGGGGATGGAGTCTGGCTCTGTCGCCCAGGCTGGAGTGCAGTGGCACGATCTCGTGAGGATGGCTCACTGCAAACTCCATCACCCGGGTTCAAGGGATTCTTCTGCCTCAGCCTCCCAAGTAGCTGAGATTACAGGCGTCTGCCACTGTGCCTGGCTAATTTTTATATTTTTGATAGAGACGGGGTTTCACCATGTTGGCCAGGCTGGTCTCAAACTCCTGACCTCAGGTGATCAGCCCACCTTGGCCTCCCAAAGGGCTGGGATTACAGGCGTGAGCCACCGTGCCCGGCCAAGGCAGGGTTTCTCCATGTTGGTCAGTCCGGTCTTGAACTCCCGACCTCAGGTGATCCACCCACCTCGGCCTCCCAAAGTGCTGGGATTACAGGTGTGAGCCACTGCGCCCGGCCTAATTTTTGTATTTTTAGTAGAGTAGAGCTGTGATCATGCCACTGTACTCTAGCCTGGGTGACAGAGTGAGATGAGACCCTGTCTCTTAAAAAAAAAAAAATGGCCAGGCGCCATGGCTTATGCCTGTAATCCCAACACTTTGGGAGGCTGAGGCAGGTGGATCACTTGAGGTCAGGAGTTTGAGACCAGCCTGGCCAACATAGTGAAACCCTGTCTCTACTAAAAATACAAAACTTGCCAGGCGTGGTAGAGGGCGTCAGTAATTCCAACTACTTGGGAGGATGAGGCAGGAGAATCGCTTGAAGCCAGGAGGCGGAGGTTGTAGTGAGCCAAGATCCCCCCATTGCACTCCAGCCTGGGCAACAGAGCAAGACTCCGTCTCAAAAAAAAAGAAAGAAAGAAAAGAAAAGAAAAGAAAAGGAAATATGCAGTCTATTTAGGAAAGAATGCATGAGTTTGTTCATAAAGCATAACAGTGGGCGTGGGTAACCAATGAAGACTGCTCGGAATATCCATTAAGCACAAATTCCTGCGAAAATACATAAGACCACAGGCACCAGATTCCACAACAAAGTGTGTGTGTGTGTCGACATGCATGTGTGTGTGCACGCACATGCATGTGTGTGGGGGGTGTGCCTGTGTGTTTGTGTGCACATGGGTGTGTATGTGTGCTGGTGTGGAGAAAACCTGATTAATAATGTCCAAGCCACACTCCAAGACCTCTTCCACTCAGGCTGGGGTCCCAGGAGCAGATGGTGGGCAAAGGGCAGGAATAACCTGTGCCTCAAGCTGCAAACAGGATCCATAAAATAGCCAAAAGACAGTGTTCGGGGTGTAACTAAACTTATGAGGCAAAGAGGAGAGACTGGGAGAGGACTGAGAGGAAAACCAGGTGTGAGGCTGTCATGCAAAGCAGGTCCCTTGGGGTCACCACCTGTTGTTCACCAGGGCTCAGGATAAAAGCCAGAATATCGCATGCTATGGGTTAAGAAATAGGCTTTTGAGGGAATTTTCAATTCAGTGTCAGCAAGTAAAGAGAAAGCATGAGTCCAATTCCTTTTATTTTTCCATAGAAGAGCAAACCAGGCACACTACTGGACATGCAGGTGGAGGGGAGGGATGAGGCAGTGTGTTATTGCTCTCCATTATGAGTCAAGCATGAGAGCAGCCTTATCAATGAAGAGGCACACAAACAGCGTAGGCACCTAGCACTCTTGATTAGAGTGTCAGTTATTGACAGGTTGTGCTAACCTGACTTCTAAGATGGTCTCCAGTGATCCCCCATCTTAGTATTCGAGTCTTTGTGGAATCCTTCCCACCTTGAGTTTGGTATGGACCTTGTCACTTAATTCTAACCAATGGAATATGACAAAGGTGAAAGTCTATCATATCCATGAGTAGACAATAAGAGTTTGTGGCTTTTATCTTGCTAGCAGACTCATTTACTGACTCAAGTAATCAAGCTGCCATGTTAAGGAGGTCCATGTGGTGAGGAACTGAGAGTGCTCTCAACTCAACATTCAAGAGGAACCAAACCTTCAGTCCTACCACCCTTCGTGCTTCCTACCAACAACTAAGTTAGTGAGCTTGGAAGCTCATCCTTTCCTAGTTGAGTCTTCAGGGAAGACCCCAACTATGATTGCAGCCTTGAGGGGCCCTGAAGAGAGGACCCAGCTATGCTGTATTGAATTGCTGTCCTTCAAATATTGTGAGATAATAAGGGTGTGTTGTTTTAAGCCACTTATTTTAGGACAATTTTTATGCTGTAATGATAACTAATATACAGGAGATGTTCAAAAATACAAGCTACCCAGGAACTGGAGACCTAGGGGCCCATGGCTAGTCACACGTCCCTCTGCCAGGAGTGAGAAAAACACCCCTGGTTCCACTGGATTCTAACTTTTGGAAACCCCACTCACTGGAAGAAGAGGGAGCCCCAGGTTCTAATGAGTTTGTTTTTCAGGCAACCCAGAATGACCTCCCAGCATCATTTCCAGACAGTGTGGCTCCTGACATCACAAATATAGTAGAATAACACCAAACTGAGTAAATAGGACAGTAGGCTGCAGACCCCCTCATGTGCCAATGATCTTTATAAAGACTTAAAACCTCACTATGCATAGAGTTGATAAAGGCACCAAATGAACCAGAGAAAGGAGACTCAAGTCAAGAAAATGTATCTCAACTAGGAAATGTTTTTGTGACCACAAAGGGGAGGAACCAGGAAGTTGTGGTAAACTGTAGCGGAAGTTAAAGCTAAAAAAAAAAATGAGAGAGAACCAGTGAATTTAAAAATACTTAACAGACATAATGACAAAAAGTAGTAAGTACATCTCTTTGGATCGTGAGAAAGAAGATCAGGAATGAAAGATCTAGCTGGGCCTTCCCCCACCCTCCCCAGCCTTGGTTCCCTGATTAGTGCTCCAGGCCTCTCCAGGGCCTGACACTCAATCTTCTCTTGGGAACTAATTATGGCAATGTACCACGAGGTACTGTTCCTCAGACTAAACGTGGTTTTTTGTTTGTTTGTTTGTTTTTTAGACAGGCTCTCACTCTGTCACCCAGGCTGGAGTGCAGTGGCACAATCTCAGCTCACTGCAACCTCTGCCTCCCCAGTTAAAGCAATTCTCCCACCCACTTCAGCCTCCCCAGTAGCTGGGACTACAGGTGCACGCCACCATGCCCTGCTTTATTTTTATTATTATTATTATTATTATTATTTGTATTTTTGGTAGAGACGAGGTTTCACCATGTTGGCCAGGCTGGTCTCAAACTCCTGGGCTCAAGTGGTCTGCCCGCCTCAGATTCCCAAAGTGCTGGGATTACAGGCATGAGCCACTGTGCCCAGCGTAAACGTGGTTTCTTATGTTTTTAAATTCCCCTTGAAAATATTCTCTTGTGACCAAAAAAGACCCTTGGGTGTACAGAGAATAGGTTTTGTCATAACTGTAACTAATGTGAGCTTCCACTAAAAACCCAAGATACAAATATATTCACAACTTTATTTTTCCAGTGATCCATTCTAATACCTCTTGGGGCTTCCTGTGAAATGTCTAAGCACCCCACAGCCAAAGGGTACACTCGTAGTCCCCTTCAGTGCTAAGAACAGAAAAGAAGCTGTTGCTTTTCTCTGCTATAGGTGTTGCTGTTGAAAATTCATCCCACACAATTGATGGAGATAATTTTCACTGCTTTAGTCACCTAAACAGGCCTTGCTGATCCACATTCCTGTTCAGATTACTAGGATTCTCTAAGGGAGGGATGATTGTTGAAGCTGAGTGATGGAAACACTTTGCTATTCTTTCTAATTTTTTATAAATTTTAAGTTTTCAATAATAAAAAGTTAAAAACCAAAAATTAAAAGAATCTGACAGGCCAGATATGGTGGTTCACGCCTGTAATACTAGCACTTTGGGAGGCTGAGGCAGGAGGATCGCTTGAGGCCAGGATTTCGAGGCTAGCCTGGGCAACATAGTGAGACACTATCTCTACACAAAAAAAATTTAAATTGAAAACAAAACGGCATTCCGGCTCCTTGGAGAAACGGTCGATTCTAGGACTGGGGCATCCTATGATGTCAGAAAGTATTTACATGCTCGATTAAAAGGTGAGAACCATATCAAAGGGACACAGGAGCCAACTGGAAATAATTCCAATAGTTAAAATGGAAACAATTTGAGCAACAAAATAAGTAATAATGGAATTGGATTATAACCCATAGAATAAAATAAGTATCCATTAGCCCATATTGATAAAAGAAATTCTTAAATAAATAAATGGGAAGATGTGGCAGTACTTTTTCACAGAAGAATTCATTAGCAAAGCCTAACGGTGTGGCTAGCCTGCGTCATGACAATGGTTGGGAGAAGCAGCAAAATAGCAGACTAGCCAGAAATTTAAAAGGGAAATCAAAGGAACAAAACAGACAAAGAATGCCTTAGTAAAATACCATTTAACTTTGGTAGTTTAAAAAGCTATGTGCAGCACACAGGGTTATAACTGCTTAGAAGAGAGACTTGAGAAGGCTATAGGAAGCTACTCCTCCCTGCAACTAAATATGAGGTCTCAGAAATAAAGAGAAAGCCATGGCTCACTTGTAAACTCTCTGAACTTTGAAAGTACCCTCCAAATCACACACAGCTCCAACAGCAGGGTTAGAAGCCTTACTGGCTTAAGGCATTTAAGCACAAACTCTAACAGATCACTGGCTGACCATTAAGCTATGCTGATCCAGGGGCAACCCCTAAGAATTCAGGCTTAAAAATAAAAATAAGAATTAAAAAAGGACGGGAGGCTGAGGCAGGAGAATCGCTTGAACCCAGGAGGCAGAGGTTGCAGTGAGCCGAGATCACGCCGTTGCACTCTAGCCTGGGCAACAAGAGTGAAGCTCTGTCTCAAAAACAAAAAGGAACCTGAGCAGAAATATCTGAGCAGAAATATCTGAAGCCTCATACTGCATACTGCAAGGGAAAAGGACTCCACTGAATTAGTACAGGCAAGTCACTATAAAAATATCTGAACCCTCATACTGCAAGGGAAAGGGACTCCACAGAATTAGTACAGGCAAGTCACTATAAAAACAAACAAAACAACAACCACCTTCACCCCCAAGAGAAAGAAATTGGAATCCAGAGCTAGCATATATTGTCTAAAATTTTCAGTTTTCCAAAAAAGTTACAAAAGGGCAAAGAAATAGGAAAATGCAATCCATTTGCAGGGAGAAACAGTCAATAGAAATTGTCGGCCAGGCACGGTGGCTCATGCCTGTAATCCCTGCACTTTGGGAGGCTGAGGTGTGTGGATCATTTGAGGTCAGGAGTTCGAGACCAGCCTGGCCAACATGGTGAAATCTGTCTCAATAAAAATACAAAAATTAGCTGGGCATGGTGATGCACACCTGTAATCCCAGCTACTCGGGAGGCTGAGGCAGGAGAATTGCTTGAACCACGGAGTCAGAGGTTGCAATGAGCTAATATCATGCCACTATACTCCAGCCCTGGAAATGGAGTGAGACTCTGTCTCAAAAAAAAAAAAAAAAATTGATTCACACCTAAACATTAATATATTATACTGAAACTATTACCAGCCAAAAATAGAAATGACATCTTAAAAGCAATGAGAAAAAACTCATCTCATACAAATACACTCATACACACAGACACAATAATCTTAATAGCTAACCTCATCAGTAACAATGGAGGTTAGAAGGCTGTAACATGGGCTGGGTGCCGTGGCTCATGTCTATAATCCCAGCACTTTGGGAGGCTGAGGCAGGCAGATCACGAGGTCAAGAGTTCAAGACCAGCCTGGCCAACATGGTGAAACCCCATCTCTACTAAGAATATAAAAATTAGCTGGGTGTGGTGGTACATGCCTGTAATCCCAGCTACTCGGGAGGCTGAGGCAGGAGAATTGCTTGAACCCGGGAGGCGGAGGCGCAGTGAGCCAAGATTGTGCCACTGCACTCCAGCCTGGGCAACAGAGCAAGACTCTGTCTCAAAAAAAAAAAAAAATTAAAGAAGACAGTAACATATGCAAATTTGGGGGTTAGTGGGGAGAAGCTAGCAATCAAGAATTTTACATCAAGAAAAATTATCCTTCAAAACTGAAGACCGGTACAGGGACAGTGGTTTGCACCCATAATCCCAGCACTTTGGGAGGCCAAGGTGGGAGGATCGCTTGAACCCAGGAGTTCAAGACCAGCCTGGGCAACAAAGTAAGACCCTGTCTCTGCAAAAAAAAAAAAAAAAAAAAAATTTAGCCATGTGTGGTAGTGCACACCTGTAGTCCTAGCTACTCAGGAGGCTGAGGCAGGAGGCTCTCTTAGGCCCGAGAGATTGAGGTTGCAATGAGACATGATCATGCCACTACACTCCGGCCTGGGCAACAGAGCGAGACCCTGTCTCCAAAACCAAAATTTATTCTAAAGAAAACAAAAAGAGAAGCCAACATGAACATATTCTTACATAAACAAAGACTAGGGAGATTTATCTCTTGCAGATATGTCTTACAAGAAACACTAATGTAATACTAAAGTAAGTTCTTCAGACTGAGAAGAAATGACACCAGATAATAATCCCAATCCAATGAAAAACAATTATTGTATGTCAATTAAAGATAAAACTTGTAGCTAGGCACAGTGGCGCACACCTGTAATCCCAGCTACTTGGGAGGCTGAGGCACAAGAATCACTTGAACCCAGCAGGTGGAGTCTGCAGTGAGCCAAGATCACACCACTGTAGTCCAGCCTGGGCAACAGAGCAAGACTCCATCTCAAAAATATTACATTAAAAAAAGTAAAATTTGTAAAAGAAACAAACAGCATCAGAAAAAATAATATGTTGGTAATTATTTTTTAAAAACTAAAAACTAAAAACTACAAATCTCTTCTTTTTCTTTTTCTTTTTTGAGAGACAAGGTCTCACTCTCTCACCCAGGATGGAGTGCAGTGGTTTGACCATCGCTCACTGCAGCCTCAAATCCTGGACTCAAGTGATCCCCTCACCTCAGCCTCCTCCTGAGTAGCTGGGACTACAGATGCACACCGCCATGCCTGGCTCCTTTTCATTTCTTAACTGTTTTAAAAGAAATTACATAAAACAACAATTATAAAATTACAGTGTTGGGTTTGTAACATCTAAAGATAATGTGTGTGTATATATGCACTCACACACATATGACAATAATGGTACAAAGGATAGGGAAAAGATGGAGTTACATTGAAACAAAGGAACCACATCAGATTGTAAGTCCAATCCACAAGAACAAATCATCAGAAACACTAAATAAGTTTCATACGAAAAACTTTAAGTGTATTTTACTAATTTCTTCTCTTAATTTTTTAAAAGACGTAGAATTTGGCTGGGCACAGTGGCTGACGCCTGTATTCCCAGCACTTTGGGAGGCCGAGGTGGGTGGATCACCTGAGTTCAGGAGTTCCAGACCAGCCTGGGAAACAGGGCAAAACCCCGTCTCTACTAAAAATACAAAAATTAGCTGGGCATGGTTGTGCTCACCTGAAATCCCAGTTACTCAGGAGGCTGAGTTGGGAGGATCTCTTGAGCCTAGAAAGCAGACGTTGCAGTGAGCCGAGATCATGCCACTTCACTCCAGCCTGGAGTACATCCCTACACCCCCTCAGGTTCAGTCTGAACTGAACAGGGGATACCTGTGAAAGGAAAATAAATCTTGGGGCCCGAAAATCACTAAGCTAAAGGGAAAAGTCAAGTTGGGAACTGCTGAGAGCAAACCTACGTCTCATTCTATTCGGTCACTCCTCTGCTTACTGAGATAAATGCTATCTGATTGCCTCCTTTGGAGAGGCTAATCAGAAACTCAAAAGAGGCCGGGCACAGTGGCTCACACCTGTAATCCTAGCACTTTGGGAGGCCGAGGCGGATGGATCACCCGAGGCCAGGAGTTCGAGACCAGCCTGGCCAACATGGTGAAACCCCGTCTCTACTAAAAATACAAAAATTAGCTCAGCGTGGTGGCACATGCCTGTAATCCCAGCTATTCGGGAGGCTGAGGAATGAGAATCGCTTGAACCTGGGAGGTGGAGGTTGCAACAAGCCAAGATCGCACCACTGCACTCCAGCCTGTGCAACAGGAGCGAGCCTCCATCTCAAAAAAAAAGAAACTCAAAAGAAAGTAACCATTTGTCTCTTATCTACCTATGACCTGGAAGCCCCCTCGCCACTTGGAGTTGTCCCACCATTGCTTCAAGTTGTCCCGCCTTTCCAGACCGAACCAATGTTAATCTTACATATGTTGATTGATGTCTCATGTCTCCCTAAAATGTATAAAACCAAGCTGTGCCCTGACCAACTTGGGCACATGTCATCAGGACTTCCTAAGGCTGTGTCACCGACACACATCCTCAACCCTGACAACATAAACTTTCTAAATTAACTGAGACCTGTCTCAGATATTCAGGGTTCACACTCCCCTGGACCCCCTGACTTTCTTCAGGGCACTGGCCACTTTCTTGTCTGTCTTTGGACACTCTCCTCTAGAAGTCTTTGAAATTCTTGAGGCAGGAAGGACCAATTCCCAGCCCTGAATCTTGCATAAAGTGGGTCCTTTTTAAATGGAAATACGGCTACTCCTCAAAGGAAGGCTAGGAATTTTGCTCTGTGTGACCCTAGTCGTAGTTCTTCACAGAGGGCTCCATTTCACTTGCCTTTCCTTCTGCTTTTTTCTTCACTCGTTTCCCCACAGAGCAAGACAAAAGAAGCCGGCAAGGATGGCTCTGGTCAGGGTCTGCCTTCAGCCACCCAAATGGGATTGCAAAGAGGAGGACAGGGATGGAAAGGGGAAAGTTTGATTTGGTTTGGTTTGCTTAGTCTTTCTATTGGTACCACTTCCTTATCCCAACCTCATCATCTTCCCCGATCCCTACCAACCCACTGCAGGCATATGAGCCCTAAAATCTGGGAAAGGCTTTTTTCCCTAGGGGCCCTGGCCTCACAGACTTGCCCAGGGGGGTAAATTCTCAGTGGCTCAGTGGCACGTGCCTCACGTCCTCACCGGCAGCCTAGATAGATAGATAGATAGATAGATAGATAGATAGATGATAGATAGATATATAGTTTTTTTTTTTTTTTTTTTTTTGAGACGGAGTTTCGCTCTTGCCGCTGCCCAGGCTATAGTGCAATGGCGCCATCTCGGCTCACCGCAACTTCCGCCTCCCAGGTTCAAGCGATTCTCCTGCCTCAGCCTCCCGAGTAGCTTGTATTACAGGCATGCGCCACCACACCCGGCTAATTTTGTATTTTTAGTAGAGAGGGGGTTTCTCCATGTTGTTCAGGCTGGTCTCGAACTCCCAACCTCAGGTGATCCGCCTGTCTTGGCCTCTCAAGTGCTGGGATTACAGGGGTGAGCCACCGCGCCCAGCCGGGAGCCCCTATTTTAAGGACGCTATTGCTGTGGAGGAGTAACCCCACTTTTAGGAATCCTTTTCCGTGCGAAAGGCTGTTTGAGATCAGGCGCAACAACTTCTCCCGCTCAGGTTACCCTCAGAAAGGCTATGGACCCCGGACTCCGCCCCAGATTGCATAACAACTGAGGGGTGGGTCCCTATTTCCTCTCTGGGATCTGTAGCCAATCATTCACGAGGTAAACAGAACGACCGAGTTTCTCTCAGCCGAGAACTGTGGCTGCCCCTCCGGTGAAAACAGAGGAAGTGGGAGCGGCAGGAAGCGCTTTGGGACCAGGGCGACCCCTGAAGCGTAGAGGAACCAGGTCACAAGCATACGTGAATGCTCACATTCCATAGTTATCAAATGTATTCAGGTTTAAATTTTACTTTTCTAGAAAAAATGTAAATAATCCGTTGAGAATATTTAATGAAAAATGTTGGTCGTATCTTTATCTGGTCTGCGGCTCTGTCCCTGTTTCCTGGATAGGAGACTACGTCTGTATCTTGTATCACAGGAGGCACCTTCTTCCTGTTTCCTGGCACAGACTTGTAAGTGAATTTCCTGCCCGCCTCCGCCCACAGCGTAAGCCGCGCTGGAACAGCTCACTTATTGCCCCAGATGTATGTGGAGTAACCGCCTTCAGTTTCCTGGTTCTGAGTTTCCGTGTTACTCAAGCAATGCTTCTGCTGAATTTGTCTTTTTTTTTTTTTTGAGACAGAGTCTTGCTTTGTCGCCCAGACTGGAGTGAAATGGCGTGGTCTCGGCTCACTGCAGCCTCCACCTCCTGGGTTCAAGCGAGTCTCCTGCCTCAGCCTCCTGAGTGTGCAACTTATCTTTTTATTTTATTTATTTATAATTTTTTGGCTAATTTTGGCTATTTTGTGTCTGTGTGTGTATTTTTAGTAGACATGGGGTTTCACCATGTTGGGCAGGCTGGTCTCGAACTCCTGACCTCAGGTGATCCGCCCACCTCGGCCTCCCAAAGTGCTGGAATTACAGGCGTGAGCCACCGCACCTGGCCTATTTATTTATTTATTTATTTGTGACTGAGTCTCGCTCTGTCACCCAAGCTGGAATGCAATGGCGTGATCTCGGCTCACTGCTACCTCCACGCCCCAAGTTTAAGCAATTCTCCTGCCTCAGCCTCCCGAGTAGCTGGGACTACAGGTGTGCACCACCACATCCAGCTAATTTTTTGTATTTTTAGTAGAGATGGGGTTTCACCATGTTGGTCAGGCTGGTCTCGAACTCCTGACCTCAAGCGATCCACCCACCTTGGCCTCCCAAAGTGTTGGGATACAGGCGTGAGCCACTGCACCTGGTTGAATTTCTCCTTTTAATTGGAGGTTTCATTTTATTTTTCTTTATTTATTTTTTTGAGACGAAGTTGCACTCTTGTTGCCCAGGCTAGAGTGCAGTGGCGCGATCTGGGTTCACTGCAACCTCTGCCTCCCAGATGCAAGTGATTCTCCTGCCTCAGCCTCCTGAGTAGCTGGGAATACAAGCACCCACCACCATGCCCAGTTAATTTTTGTACTTTTAGTAGAGACAAGGTTTTGCCATGTTGGCCAGGGTGGTCTCAAACTCCTGAGCTCGTGATCTGCCCACCTCAGCCTCCCAAAGTGCTGGGATTACAGGCGTGAGCCACCGTGCCTGGTCTCGTTCTTTATTTTTTATTTTATTTTTTGACACCAGATCTGCTCTGTTACTCAGGCTAGAGTGCAGTGGCATTGAGAGGTGACAACCTGCTAGCAGCCCTTGCTTGCTCTTGGCGCCTCCTCGGCCTCGGTGTCTGCTCTGGCCGGGCTCGAGGAGCCCTTCAGCCCACTGCTGTGCTGTGGGGGCCCCTCTCTGGGGCTGGCTGAGGCCGGAGCCGTCTCCCTCTGCTTGGGGGGAGGTGTGGAGGGAGAGACGCCAGTGGGAACAGGGGCTGCGCGTGGTGCTCCCGGGCCAGTGGTGTTCCGGGTGGGTGCGGGCTAGGCAGGCCCTGCACTGGGGGCAAGGTTGGCGTCGCCTGCTGGGCTTGATGGGGGGGTGGGGGAGGAGCGCCCTCTGGGCTGCCGGAGTGCCCCACTAGGCGCGGCAAAGTCCCGGGAGTGCCATTGAGAGGTGAAGCCAGCTGGGCTTCTGGGTCTGGTGGGGACTTGGAGAACTTTTGTGTCTAGCTAAAGGATTGTAAATGCACCAATCAGCACTCTGTGTCTAGCTAAAGGATTGTAAACACACCAATCAGCACTCTGTGTCTAGGTAAAGGATTGTAAACGCACCAATCAGCACTCTGTGTCTAGCTAAAAGTTTGTAAATGCACCAATCACCACTCTGTGTCTAGCTAATCTGGTGGGGATTTAGAGAACTTTTGTGTCTAGCTAAAGGATTGTAAACTCACCAATCAGCACTCTGTGTCTAGCTAAAGGATTGTAAACACACCAATAAGCACTCTGTCAAAACGGACCAATCAGCTTTCTGTAAAATGAACCAATCAGCTCTCCGTAAAATGGACCAATCAGCTCTCTGTAAAATAGAACAATCAGCAGGATGTGGGTGGGGCCGGATGGGGGAATAAAAGCAGGCCACCCAAGCCAGCGGCGGCAACGTGCTCGGGTCCTCTTCCACACCGTAAAAGCTGCTTTGTTCTTTTGCTTTTTGCAGTAAATCTTAGTGCTCCTCACTCTTTGCGTCTACGCTGCTTTTATGAACTGTTAACACTCACTGTGAAGGTCTGCAGCTTCACTCCTTAAGCCAGCGAGACCACAAACCCACTGGGAGGGATAAACAACTCCAGACGGGAGGAACAAACAACTTCGGGTGCACCACCTTTATGAACTGTAGCACTCACTGTGAAGGTCTGCAGCTTCACTCCTGAGGCCAGCAAGACCACGAACCCACCAGAAGGAACGAACAACTCCAGATATGCCACCTTTAAGGGCTATAACACTCACCGCGGAAGTCTGCAGCTTCACTCCTGAAGTCAGTGAGACCATGAACCCACCAGAAGGAAGAAACTCTGGACACATCTGAACATCTGAAGGAACAAACTCTGGACACACCATCTTTAAGAACTGTAACACTCACCGCGAGGGTACACGGCTTCATTCTTGAAGTCAGCGAGACTAAGAACCCAACAATTCCGGACACAGCATGATCTTGGTTCACTACAACCTGGATCTCCCAGAGTCAAGCAATCCTCTCGTCTCAGTCTCCCAAGTAGCTGGAACTACAGGTGTGTGCCACCATGCCCCACTAATTTTTGTATTTATTGTAGAGACGGTTTCAGCATGTTGCCCAGGCTGGTCTCCAACTCCTGGACTCAAGTGATCCTCTCCACCTAGGCCTCCCACAGTGCTGGGATTACAGGAATGAGCCACCACGCCCGGCCTAATTGGAAGTTTTAGAGTGCAGTGGGGATCACGTGCGTAGAGGTTACTGCTGCCTTAATTAAAGGAGACAACATGTTTCATAAAACTTGGAAATTGTAGAGGGTGTGGGGAACCACTCAAATTCAGAATATCAAAACAGAACTTTATTTTTTGTGTATTTGTTGCCAATCTTTTTCCCTACATATGTAATGTTTGTTTGTTTGACATGACTACCATTTCTGTTTTCATAATATGTTTAATACTTTTCCTCCACTTAACAAACATGGCTACGATTTGCCAAGTTGCTGATCATCCTTTTTTTTTTTTTTTCGAGACAGAGTTTCACCCTTGTTGCCCAGGCTGGAGTGCAGTGGCAGATCTCAGCTCACTACAACCTCTGCCTGCTGGGTTCAAGTGATTCTCCAGCCTCAGCCTCCCAAGTAGCTGGGATTACAGGTACCCGCCACCACTCCTGGCTAACTTTTGTATTTTTAGTAGAGACAGAGTTTTGTCAGGTTGGCCAGGCTGGTCTCAAACTCCTGACCTCCAGAGATCCACCCGCTTCAGCCTCCCAAAGTGCTGGGATAACAGGCGTGAGCCACTGAACCTGGCCCAGATCATCCTTTTAAGTGTTCTTTTTCATTTGTAGGTTTAACATTGGCTTTGGGGTGAGAAAGAAACCAAGACTCACCCAGAGTCATAAGCCCAACAAGAGAATGGGTCTGTCTGGGCTAGCCCTGGGCTACTGGATGAGCAGGGTTGGCCTTTTCATTCTCTGAGTCTTCGTTTCTCTGGCCTTTACATTTCTCTGGAGGGACTTTTCATTTTCTCTGGAAACCAACTCCAAGTGCACTTTTCCAGAAGGCATTTTTGTAATGCCTGGTTGGCTGCATGCGACCTCTGGTTTTCCTCCTTCACCCTTTCCTGCTCAGTCACTGCATTTTCTGTTCTCAAAAGAACCCTCTCATATAGCACGTGCAGAGAGCAGTAGCGAGTCAGGCTGTCCCGCGGTGTGTGTCCGGACTCCTGTGTGCTCTGGCAGTGGGGCCAGTGGGCTGGGAAGAGTTGCAGGAGAAACCCAGTGGGAGAGAAAGACTCCAACCTGGGAACCTCGGGGCATCTGGTAGCGCCAGAATGACTTTCCAAAATTTTGGTTGGGGCAGTCACAGGCCCCTGCTCGCCACGGTGGCCTCTGGCAAAGAAACACATGTGGGGCAGACAAGAGGGATGCTCGCCAATCTCCTCTGAATTTTGCAACCCTGTGTGTTAAAAACAGGTATTTCTGGTCTTTAAAGACACTTGGAAAAGACAGACTTGTTGAATACTTAGAAAGGCCAAGCCACAGCCAGAAGCTTGGTGTCTGGGATCCATCATCTCTAAGGTTTTAAAAGCATCTTGCTGGAATAGGAACAGCTCCGGTCTGCAGCTCTCAGCAAGACCAACACAGAAGATGGGTGATTTCTGCATTTCCAGCTGAGGTACCTGGTTCATCTCATTGGGACTAGTTGGACAGTGGGTGCAGCCCATGGAGGGCGAGCCAAAGCAGGGCAGGGCATCGCCTCACCTGGGAAGTGCAAGGGGTCAGGGGATTTCCCTTTCCTAGCCAAGGGAAGCCGTGACAGACTGTACCTGGAGGAACAGTACACTCCTGCCCAAATACTGGGCTTTTCCCATGGTCTTCACAACTGACAGACCAGGAGATTCCCTCCCGTGCCTGGCTCGGTGGGGCTCATGCCCATGGATCCTTGCTTACTGCCAGTGCAGCAGTCTTAAGATTGGCCTGGCATGCTGCAGCTTGTTGGGGGGGTGGGAGGGCGTCCGCCATTCCTGAGGCTTGAGTAGGCAGTTTTATGCTCACAGTGTAAACAGGCCGGGAAGCTTGAACTGGGTGGAGCCCACTGCAGCTCAGCAAGGCCTACTGCCTCTCTAGATTCCACCTCTGTGGGCAGGGCATGTCAGAACAAAAGGCAGCAGACAGCTTTGGCAGACCTAAACGCCCCTGTCTGACAGTTCTGAAGAGAGCAGTGGTTCTCCCAGCATGGCATTTGAGCTCCGAAAATGGACAGACTGCCTCCTCAAGTCGGTCCTTGACCCCCGTGTACCCTGACTGGGAGACACCTCCCAGTAGGGGCCAACAGACACCTCACACAGGCAGGTGCCCCTCTGGAACAAAGCTTCCAGAGGAAGGATCAGGCAGCAATATTTGCTGTTCTGCAGCCTCCGCTAGTGATATCCAGGCAAACAGGGTCTGGAGTGGACCTCCAGCAAATTCCAACAGACCTGCAGCTGAGGGTCCTGACTGTTAGAAGGAAAACTAACAAACAGAAAGGAATAGCATCAACACCAACAAAAAGGACATCCACACCAAAACCCCATCTGTAGGTCACCAACATCAAAGACCAAAGGTAGAAAAAACCACAAAGATGGGAAGAAACCAGAGCAGAAAAGCTGAAAATTCCAAAAACCAGATTGCCTCTTCTCCTCCAAAGGATCACAGCTCCTCACCAGCAAGGGAACAAAACTGGATGGAGAATGAGTTTGACAAGTTGACAGAAGTAGGCTTCAGAAGGTTGGTAACAAACTTCTGCGAGCTAAAGGAGGATGTTCAAACCCATCGCAAGGAAGCTGAAAACCTTGAAAAAAGGTTAGACAAATGGCTAACTAGAATAAACGGTATAGAGAAGACCTTAAATGACCTGATGGAGCTGAAACCCATGGCACGAGAACTACATGACTCATGCACAAGCTTCAGTAGCTGATTCAATCAAGTGGAAGAAAGGGTATCAGTGATTGAAGATCAACTCAATGAAATAGAGCAAGAAGACAAGATTAGAGAAAAAAGAATGAAAAGAAATGAACAAAGCCTCCAAGAAATATGGGACTATGTGAAAAGACCAAATCTACATTTGACTGGTGTACCTGAAAGTGACGGGGAGAATGGAACCAAGTTACAAAATACTCTTCAGGATGTTATCCAGGAGGACTTCCCTAACCTAGCAAGGCAGGAAAACATTCAAATTTAGGAAATACAAAGAACACCACAAAGATACTTCTTAAGAAGAGCAACTCCAAGACACACAATTGTCAGATTCACCAAGGATGAAATGAAGGAAAAAATGTTAAGGGCAGCCAGAGAGAAAGGTCGGGTCACCCACAAAGGGGAGCCCATCAGACTAACAGCGGATCTCTCAGCAGAAACCTTACAAGCCAGAAGAGAGTGGGGGCCAATATTCAACATTTTTAAGAAAAGAATTTTCAAACCAGAATTTCATATCCAGCCAAACTAAGCTTCATAAGTGAAGGAGAAATAAAATCCTTTACAGACAAGCAAATGTTGAGAGATTTTGTCACCACCAGGCCTGCTTTACAAGAGCTCCTGAAGGAAGCACTAACCATGGAAAGGAACAACTGGTATCAGCCACTGCCACTGCAAAAACATGCCAAAGTGTAAAGACCATTGACACTATGAAGAAACTGCATCAATTAATGGGCAAAATAACCAGCTAACATCATAGTGACAGGATCAAATTCACCCATAACAATATTAATCTTAAATGTAAATAGGCTAAATGCCCCAACTGAAAAACAGACTGACAAATTGGATAAAAAGTCAAGACCCATCGTTGTACTGTATTCAGGAGACCCATTTCATGTGCAAAGATACAAATAGGCTCAAAATAAAGGGATGGAGGAAGATCTACCGAGCAAATGGAAAGCAAAAAAAAAATCAGGGGTTGCAATCCTCGTTTCTGACTAAAAAAAAAAAAAAAAGATTTCAAACCAACAAAGATCAAAAGAGAGAAAGAAGGGCATTACATAATGGTAAAGGGATCAATTCAATAAGAAGAACTAACTATCCTAAATACATATGCACCCCAAACAGGAGCACCCAGATTCATAAAGCAAGTCCTTGGAGACCTACAAAGAGATTTAGACTCCCACACAGTAATAATGGGAGACTTTAATACCCCACTGTCAATATTAGACAGATCAATGAGACAGAAGGTTAACAAGCATATCCAGGACTTGAACTCAGCTCTGGACCAAGGGGACCGAATAGACATCTACAGAACTCTCCACCCCAAATCAACAGAATATACATTCTTCTCAGCACCACATCACGCTTATTCTAAAATTGACCACATAATTGGAAGTAAAACACTCCTCAGCAAATATAAAAGAACAGAAATCACAACAAACTGTCTGTCAGACCACAGTGCAATCAAATTAGAACTCAGGATTAAGATTCACTCAAAACTGCACAACTACATGGAAATTGAACTACCTGCTCCTGAATGACTACTGGGTAAATAATGAAATGAAGGCAGAAATAAAGATGTTGTTTGAAACCAATGAGAACAAAGACACAACATACCAGAATCTCTGGGACACATTTAAAGCAGTGTGTAGAGGGAAATTTAGAGCACTAAATGCCCACAAGAGAAAGCAGGAAAGATCTAAAATCAACACCCTAACATCACAATTAAAAGAACTAGAGAAGCAAGAGCAAACACATTCAAAAGCTAGCAGAAGGCAAGAAATTACTAAGATCAGAGCAGAACTGATGGAGATAGAGACACAAAAAACCCTTCCAAAAAATCAGTGAATCTAGGAGCTGGTTTTTTGAAAAGATCAACAAAATTGATAGACTGCTAGCAAGACTAATAAAGAAGAAAAGAGAGAAGAATCAAATAGACACAATAAAAAATGATAAAGGGGACATCACCACCAATCCCTCAGAAATACAAACTACCATCAGGAATACTATAAACACCTCTACACGAATAAACTAGAAAATCTAGAAGAAATGAATAAATTCCTGGACACATACACCCTCCCAAGACTAAACCAGGAAGAAGTTGAATCCCTGAATAGACCAATAACAGGCTCTGAAATTGAGGCAATAATTAATAGCCTACCAACCAAAAAAAGTCCAGGACCAGACGGATTCACAGCCAAATTCTACTGGAGGTACAAAGAGGAGTTGGTACCATTCCTTCGGAAACTATTCCAATCAATAGAAAAAGAGAGAATCCTCCCTAACTCATTTCATGAGAACAGCATCATCCTGATACCAAAGCCTGGCAGAGACACAACAAAAAAAGAAAATTTAAGCCAATATCCCTGATGAACATCAATGCAAAAATCCTCAATAAAATACTGGCAAACGAAATCCAGCAGCACATCAAAAAGCTTATCCACCATGATCAAGCCGGCTTCATCCCTGGGATTCAAGGCTGGTTCAACATATGCAAATCAATAAATGTAATCCATCACATAAACAGAACCAACGACAAAAACCACATGATTATCTCAATAGATGTAGAAAAGGCCTTCGACAAAAATTCAACAACCCTTCATGCTAAAAACTCTCAATAAACTATGTATTGATGACATATTTCAAAATAATAAGAGCTATTTATGACAAACCCACAGTCAATATCATACTGAATGGGCAAAAACTGGAAGCATTCCCTTTGAAAATTGGCACAAGACAAGGATGCCCTCTCTCACCACTCCTAGTCAACATAGTGGTGGAAGTTCTGGCCAGGGCAATCAAGCAAGAGAAAGAAATAAAGGGTATTCAATTAGGAAAAGAGGAAGTCAAATTGTCTCTGTTTGCAGATGACATGACTGTATATTTAGAAAACACCATCATCTCAGCCCAAAATCTCCTTAAGCTGATAAGCAACTTCAGCAAAGTCTCAGGACACAAAATCATTGCACAAAAATCACAAGTATTCCTATATACCAATAACAGACAAACAGAGAGCCAAATCATGAATGGACTCCCATTCACAATTACTACAAAGAAAATAAAATACCTAGGAATCCAACTTACAAGGGATGTGAAGGACCTCTTCAAGGAGAACTACAAACCACTGCTCAACAAAATAAAAGAGGACAAACAAACGGAAGAACATTCTATGCTCATGGATAGGAAGAATCAATATCGTGAAAATGGCCATACTGCCCAAGGTAATTTATAGATTCAATGCCATCCCCATCAAGCTACCAATGACTTTCTTCACAGAATTGGAAAAAACTACTTTAAAGTTCATATGGAACAAAAAAAGAGCCCACATTGCCAAGACAATCCTAAGCAAAAAGAACAAAGCTGGAGGCAGCACGCTACCTGACTTCAAACTATAGTACAAGACTACAGTAACCAAAACAGCATGGTAGTGGTACCAAAACAGATATATAGACAAATGGAACAGAACAGAGGCCGCAGAAATAACACCACACATCTACAACCATCTGATCTTTGACAAACCTGACAAAAACAAGCATGGGGAAAGGATTTCCTGTTTAATAAATGGTGCTGGGAAAACTGGCTAGCCATATGTAGAAAGCTGAAACAGGATCCCTTCCTTACACTTTATACAAAAATTAACTCAAGATGTATTAAAGACTTAAACATAAGACCTAAAACCATAAAAACCCTAGAAGAAAACCTAGGCAATACTATTCAGGACATAGGCATGGATAAATGCTTCATGACTAAAACACCAAAAGCAATGGCAACAAAAGCCAAAATAGACAAATGGGATCTAATTAAACTAAAGAGCTTCTGCACAGCAAAAGAAACTATCATCACAGTGAACAGGCAACCTACAGAATGGGGAAAAATTTTGCAATCTACCCATCTGGCAAAGGGCTAATATCCAGAAGCTACAAAGAACTTAAACAAATTTACAACAAAAAAATCAAACAACCCCATCAACAAGTGGGCGAAGGATATGAACAGACACTTCTCAAAAGAAGACATTTATGCAGCCAAAAGACATATGAAAAAATGCTCATCATCACTGGTCACCAGAGAAATGCAAATCAAAACCACAATGAGATGCCATCTCACGCCAGTTAGAATGGTGATCATTAAAAAGTCAGGAAACAACAGATGCTGGAGAGGATGTGGAGAAATAAGAACACTTTTACACTGTTGGTGGGAGTGTAAATCAGTTCAACCATTGTGGAAGACAATGCAGCGATTCCTCAAGGATCTAGAACTAGAAATACCATTTGACCCAGCCATCCCATTACTGGGTATATACCCAAAGGATTATAAATCATGATAAGGACACATGCACATGTATGTTTATTGCGGCACTAGTCACAGTAGCAAAGACTTGGAACCAACCCAGATGTCCATCAATGATAGACTGGATTAAGAAAATGTGGCACATATACACCGTGGAATACTATGCAGCCATAAAAAAGGATGAGTTCATGTCCTTTGCAGGGACATGGATGAAGCTGGAAACCATCATTCTCAGCAAACTATCACAAGGACAGAAAACCAAACACTACATGTTCTCACTCATAAGTGGGAGTTGAACAATGAGAATACACAGACACAGGGCAGGGAACATCACACACCGAGGCCTGTGGGGGGGTTGGGGGTTAGGGAAGGGATAGCATTAGGAGAACTACCTAATGTAAATCACCAGTTGATGGGTGCAGCAAACCACCATGGCACAGGTATACCTATGTAACAAACATGCATGTTGTGCACATGTACCCCAGATCTTAAAGTATAATAAAATAAAAAATAAAAAAAATCTTCCCTACTTTTTAAACTGTATGTTGCTTTGTAGCAATACATTATGCACATTATAAAGTGTTTTAATTAGAAATTTTAGAAGATATGATAAAGAAAAATAATTTAAATAACAATTTTTATTCAAAATACAAATAATAGGGCTGGGCGCGGTGGCTGACGCCTGTAATCCTAGCACTTTGGCAGGCCGAGGCGGGCAGATCACGAGGTCAGGAGTTCAAGACCAGCCTGGCCAACATGGTGAAACCCTGTCTCTACTAAAAATACAAAAAATTAGCTGGGCGTAGTGGCGGGTGCCTGTAATCCCAGCTACTCGGGAGACTAAGGCACAAGAATCGCTTGAACCCGGGAGGCGGAGGTTGCAGTGAGCCGAGATCGCACCACTGCACTCCAGCCTAGGCGACAGAGTGAGACTGTGTCTCAAAAAAGAAAAAAAAAGAAAAGAAAAGAAAAAGAAAAAAGAATATTTTGCCCTTATAACATTATTAATTATATACTTTCAAGTGAGAGCAATATGACTAATTATGCTTAATTATTTTTGAAAATGATGCTTTAACAATTTGTAATGCAGACATTTGATGGTCTGGTTCTATGTTGAGTTCATGTTGATACTTGGTCTTAAGGACAGTTAGAGCTGATAAAAATAACTTGTGCATAAACCAGGCGCGGTGGCTCACGCCTGTAATACCAGCACTTTGGGAGTCTGAGGCGGGCGGATCACGAGATCAGGAGATGGAGACCATCCTGGCTAACACGGTGAAGCCCCGTCTCTATTAAAAATACAAAAAAAATTAGCCAGGTGCGGTGGCAGGCACCTGTAGTCCCAGCTACTTGGAAGGCTGAGGCAGGAGAATGGTGTGAACCTTGCAGTGAGCCGAGATCACGCCACTGCACTACAGCCTGGGCAACAGAGCGAAACCCCGTCTCAAAAAAAAAAAAAAAGAAAGAAAAAAAAAAGAAATAACTTCTGCACACATCATAACATTCATACATAATGAATCATTGATATACTCATTAAAATGTGACTCATCCAGGAAAATCCCATCCCTAAATTATTTAAAGTTTTTGTTTTCCCTCAGCTACTATTTCTGTTCTACCTTATGCAAACTAATGAGAAACCATTGTCCCAAGACTGGTGGCCTCCTGGCATGGTTGTGCAACAGCTGTTGTCAAACTCCAGAGTCTAAAGTGCACCACGAAAGCCAGATGGCAGGCCAGATCCAGCCTCCCTGCTAAATGAAATGTTCACTGGCCAGGGAGAAACAACCACGTGGAAAATTAAATAAACCCATGACATTTGTAGCCAGCAGCTCGGGTGTTTTGTAGGGTTTTCCCTGAGAAGTGGGGACTAATCGCATGAATCACTTTTTTTTTCTTTTTAGAGTCTTATCTATTTGTGAATAAATGTTTCCAATTAAAGCATTGCTACTAAGCCTCAGTTTTCTCACCTCTACCATGGAGTTAAAATGTCTACTTCACACTGTCCATAAAAGAATTAAGATGGCCGGGCGCGGTGGCTCACGCCTGTAATCCCAGCACTTTGGGAGGCCGAGGCGGACGGATCACGAGGTCAGGAGATCGAGACCATCCTGGCTAACACAGTGAAACCCCGTCTCTACTAAAAATATGAAAAACTAGCCTGGCGTGGTGGTGGACGCCTGTAGTCCCAGCTACTCAGGAGGCTAAGGCAGGAGAATGGCGTGAACCCAGGAGGCGGAGCTTGCAGTGAGCCTAGATTGTGCCACTGCACTCCAGCCTGGGCGACAGAGCAAGACTCCGTCTCAAAAAAAAAAAAAAAAAAAAAAAAAAAAAAAAAAAAAAAAAGCCAGGCATGGTTGGTGGCTCACACCTGTAATCTCAGAACTTTGGGAAACAGGCAGGATCACTTCAGCCCAGAAGTGTGGGACCAGTCTGGGCAACATAGTGAGATCCTGTCTCTTAAAAAAAAAAAGAAAAGAATCAAAATAAAACAAGAAAACAAAAACACAGAACAAGTGCATCATCATAGTGGTGACAATTTTTAGGAAACTTTTTTTGTTTTTTTCTGTGTGAACCTAACTCATCTAATAAGGGAGTGTGTGAACATTTCCATGTTGGTCCATTTTTTATGTGCCTAAATGGACAAAGTCACCCAGGACCTGGCTGCTGGACTCATCCTTAGGAAGAATAAAGAAAAAGGAAGTTTATCTCTAGCATCTTTCTCTTGCCCTTGTTTTCTTCCTGGCCACAGTCATGCCCTGGATTTCAGTGTCTCTAAACATCTAGCAGCCTCTCACCCAGCATAACCCCTGTTGAGGTCCAGGGCACGATGGTGGGAGTGGGTGCAGAAGAGACAGAGAGACCACTGGTTTGAGTGTCTAGGGTTTGGGTCCTCAGGAAGAACTTGGCCCGGCGCGGTGGCTCACGCCCGTAATCCAAACACTTCGGAGACCGAGGCGGTTGGATCACCTGAGGTCAGGAGTTTGAGACCAGCCTGGCCAACATGGTGAAACAACGTCTCTACTAAAAATACAAAAAATTAGCCAGGCGTGGTGGCAGGCACCTGTAATCCCAGCTACTCAGGAGCTTGAGGCAGGAGAATCACCTGAACTCGGGCCGCGGAGGTTGCAGTGAGCCGAGATTGCGCCAGTGCACTCCACCCTGGGCAACAAGAGTGAAACTCCGTCTCAAAAAAAGAAAAAAAAAGAAGAAGAACTTCTTGACTTGACTCAGCAGGACTTTTTCCATGGGTCTAAAGCTAGGTGTGAAGAGAGTGAGCTCGTGGTGAGAGGAACTTGTTCATCAAAAGGAGTCCATGCCCAGTGGCAGAAGTGGAGAGGTGGGTATGGGACACACAGGGAAGCTGCTCTCTTCTGTTGTCTGTGGCTTCTGTTGGAGGATGTGCTGTGGGAATGCAAGGAGGAGATGGAAGGAAGGTGTCAATATAGCTTTAACAAAGGAAAAAAAAATGAAAACACCGAAACCACCCTTGCAAAAATTGTAACAGTGAGAAAATTATGACATTGAAAGATATCCAATCTAACCCAACTCCTTCTTGCCTTTAACCTCCAAATTGCACTTAGTCATTCCTGAGCAAAGGCCAAGCTAACTTTGGGAGAAATTTCGTTTACAGTTTAAATGATAATAGCCCTTCCCAAAACTAACCTGTCTTTGTAAAAATGATGAAAGGCCACCAGGTTAGGGAGGATGAGAGGGGCCTGAATGCAGGCTTAGATAAACAATTACCCGCCATTGTTTCAGAGGTCACAAGATTTGTAACTTCCCCAATTAGTCCTGTAAAATGATATCACTGTGGCCTTTTGAGATGTCTTTGCAGTTATTTTTTGTTTTGTTTGCTTTGAGACAAGGTCTTGCTCTGTCACCAAGGCTGGAGTGCAGTGATCATAGCTCACTGCAGTCTCTATCTCCTGGGCTCAAGTGAACCTTCCACCTCAGCCTTCCAAGTAGCTGGGACTGCAGGTGCATGCCACCATGCCTGGCCAGTTTTGTTGTTTTTTGGTTCTGGGGTGTTTTTTGCTTGTTTGTTTGTTTTGTTTTTGTATTTTTAGTAGACATGATGTCTGGCTCTGTTGTTCAGGCTGGTCTCAAACTCCTGGACTCAAGCGATCCTCCTGCCTCAGCCTCCCAAACTGCTGGGGTTACAGGCACGAGCCACCTTGCCCAGCTCAGGCTTTTCCATTTTGGAAAACCAGATGACTCCACCCAGATCCAAGACCGGTCCTATGGCCCCACTCAGAAGTGGACTCAGTGCACGAGGACCATTTTCCACATCCCTATGATTGCATCCCAATCAATCAGCAGCACCCATTCCCTAGCCACCTGCCCAGCAAACTATCTTTTTTTTTCTTTTTTTCTTGAGACTCTGTCGCCCAGGCTGTAGTGCAGTGGTGCAATCATGGCTCACAGCAGCTTCAACCTCCCTGGCCCAGCCTCCCAAGTCACTGGGACTACAGGTGTACACCACCACACCTGGCTAATTTTTAAATTTTTTGTAGAGATGGTGTCTTGCTGTGTTGTCCAGGCTGATCTCAAACTCAAGGACTCAAGCAATCCTCCTACCTCAGACTCGAAAAGTGCTGGGATTACAGGTGTAAGCTGCCATGCCCAACCCAAACTATCTTGAAAAAGCCTTCAAATTTGAGAGGAGGCTGATATAAGTAATAATAAGACTTCAGTCTCCTGTTTAACTGGCTCTATGTATATAAAACTCTTTCTCTATTGCAATTCCCCTGTCTTCATAAATTGGCTCTATCTGAGCAGCAGGCAAAATGAACCAATTGGGTGGTTACAACAGTATCAGCATATACAGTAGAATTGTAATATCCATCATATACCAACTGCAAATTAATTTTAAAAGATATATTGTTAAAACCATATAAGTGATATAAGTAATTTACAGAAGAATAAATTCAATTGAACAATAAATATGAAATTATTTTCAACCCCTCCAGTCATATAGTAAAAGTAAATTAAAACTTTTTTTTTTTTTAGACAGAGTCTCACTCTGTCGCCCAGGGTGGAGTGCAGTGGCGCGATCTCAGCCCACCGAAACCTCTGCCTCCTGGGTTCAAGCGATTCTCCTGCCTCAGCCTCCTGAGTAGCTGGGATTACAGGCGCCCGCCACCATGCCCGGCTAATTTTTGTATTTTTAGTAGAGACGAGGTTCCACCATGTTGGCCAGGCTGGTCTCGAACTCCTGATCTCAAGTGATCCATCAACCTTGGCCTCCCAAAATGCTGGGATTACAGGCATGAGCCACTGCACCCAGCTTAAAACAATGTTTTAACCTCTTGTTGATAAGAGTGTAAACTTATCACCTTTGGGGGAAGTAATTTAGTACCTATTAATATTAAACATTTTCATAACCTTTGATTTAGCATTTCCACTTAAATTAGTGCCTTAGTTAGTTTGGGCTGCTATAACAACACCACAGCCTGGATGGCTTATAGACAACAGAGGTTTATTTTTCACAGTTCATGGGGCTGGGAAGTTCAGGTATCAAGGCACTGGCAGTTAAGGTGCTTGGTGAAGGTCCTTTTTCTGTTCCCAGTTCACAGATGTCCCACCTTCATTTTCTTTCTTTTCCTTCTTTTTCTTTCTTTCTTTTTCTCTTTCTCTTTCTTTCTTTCTCTCTGTCTTTCTTCCTTCTTTCTTCTTTCTTTCTTTCTTTTTTTTTTTTTTAACAGATGAGGGTTTTCTCTGTCACCCAGGTGGCTGGAGTGCAATGGTGTAAGCTTGGCTCACTGCAGCCTCAACCTCCTGGGCTCAACTGATCTTCCCACCTCAGCCGCCCGAGTAGCTGGGACTACAGGTGCATGCCACCAGGCCCAGCTAAATTTTTGTAATTTTGTAGAGACGAGGTCTCATTATGTTGCCCAGGCTGGTCTTGAACTCCTGGGCTGAAGCAGTCCTCCCACCTCGGCCTCCCAGATGCTGGGATTACAGACGTGAGCCACCACACCCGGCCCATCCCACCGCCTTGCTGTGGCAGGGAGAGCAATAGCCTCTCTTCATCTCTTTATAAGGGCACCAATCCCATTATGCCCCCATGACTTTATCCAAACCTCATTATAGCCCAGGCCCCACCTCCAAAGACTATCACATTGGGAATTAGAGAGCTTCAACATACAGTTTGAGGGGACTACAAACATTCCATTCATGGCAACTAGGAATTTATAGAAACACTCCCTCTAGTGTGCAAAAAAGTAAGTACAAGAATTTTTGGGGTTTTTTTGTTTTTTGTTTTGTTTTGTTTTGTTTTGTTTTCTGAGACAGGGTCTCGCTGTCACCCAGGCATGGTACAGTAGCATAATCACAGCTCATTGAAGCCTCAACTTCCCAGGCTCAAGCAATCCTCCCCGCTCAGCTTCCCGAATAGCTAGGACTATAGGCATACACCACCACACCCAGCTAATTTTTTTTTTTTTTTTTGAGATGGAGTCTCGCTCTGTCACCCAGGCTGGAGTGCAATGGCACGATCTCAGCTCATGGCAACCTCCGCCTCCTGGATTCAAGCAGTTCTCCTGCCTCAGCCTCCTGAGTAGCTGGGACTACAGGCGCATGCCACCACACCCAGCTAATTTTCATACTTTTAGAAGAGACAGGGTTTCACCATGTTGGCCAGGCTGGTCTCGAACTCCTGACCTCGTGATCCACCTGCCTCAGCCTCCCAAAGTGCTGGGATTACAGGTGTGAGCCACCGCGCCCAGCCTAATTTTTGTATTTTTTGTAGAGATAGGGTTTCACCATGTTGCCCAGGCTGGTTTCCAATATCTGGGTTCAAGCAATCTGCCCGCCTTAGCCTCCCAAAGTGCTGGGATTAGAGATGTGAGCCACGGCACCCACCCAAGAATGTTTTTTTGAGGCATTATGTCTACTAGTGAATAATGGGGGGGGGGGGCCGTGGGGGGAGTACCAGAATAGTTAAAGTAGGCTGTGTATATACAATGAAATATCACAGTATCATTTTGTAAAGATCTATATGTATTGACATGGGAAAATGAGCACATCATAAATAAATAATAAAAGTTGCAGAACAATATAAACTGGAAGAAACATTTTTTTCAATCTTCCCCTCCATCCATCTTTGCTGATATATAAACAGGAAAAAGTTGGGGGAGAGAATACAGGAACACGGAACAAACAGTAAACAATGGTTATCTCATAGACGTGATTGGCGGCATTTTTGGTTTTGGTTTTCTTTTTGAGACGGAGTTTCGCTCTCTCACCCAGGCTGGAGTGAAGTGGCACGTTTTTGGCTCCCTGCAACCTCCGCCCCCCAGGTTCAAGCGATTCTCCTGCCTCAGCCTCCTGAGTAGCTGGGATTATAGGCACCTGCCACCATGCCCGGCTAATTTTTGTGTGTGTGTGTTTTTTTCAGTAGAGACGGAGTTTCACTATGTTGGCCAGGCTGGTCTTGAACTCCTGACCTCAGGTGATCTGCCCGCCTCGGCCTCCCAAAGTGCTACGATTACGGGCATGAGCCACTGCACCCTGCCATAGAGGGCATTTTTGCTTTCTGAGTTAGTCAGGGTTCTCCAGAGAAATAGAATATACATACATACGTACATACATACATACTTGCAGAGAGAGAAAGAGAGAGTGTGACTTATTTTAAGGAATTAGTTCACAAAATTGTGGAGGCTTGGTGAGTCCAAAGTCTGATAGGAGAGCCCAGCAGGCTGGAGACACAGGAAAGAGTTGCAGTTCAAGTCCAAAGGTGGTGTGCTGGAAACTTCTGACCAGAACAAAAGAGAGAGGACAGCCTTTTGTTCTAACCAGGTCTTCAACTGATTGGATGAAGCCCACCCTCATTACATTTAAAGTTCACCAATTTAAATGTAAATCTCATCCAAAAACACCTTCACAGAAACATCCAGAATAATGTTTGACTAAATATCTGGACACCATGGCCCAGACAAGTTGACACATAAAATTAAACATCGTAATGAGATCTGCTGCTATCTATGAATTTATGTTTCTAGTGTATTTGTAAGGTACATGGATCATTCCTTTATTTCTCTCTCTATATATATAGATATATATATACTTTTTATAATCATAAATATGTGTATGCATGCATATGTATGTATAAGAAAATATATATACATATAGACATAAAATTATGCATTTGTGCTAGGTACTTGTGATGGTTAATTTTATTTGTCAACTTGGCTAAGCCATGGTATTCAGATATTTGGTCAAACATTGTGGATGGTTTTGTGAGGGTATTTTGGATGTTTCAAATTGGTGCATTTTGAATAAAGCAGACTGCCCTCCACAATGTGAGTGGGCCTCATCCAATCATTCAAAGGCCTAAGACAAAAAGACTGAGGTCCCTGAGGAAGAGGGAATTCTGCCTCCACACCGCCTTTGGACCTGAGCTGTAACATCAACTCTTTGCTGCTGGCCTGCCTGCTCTGCAGATTTTGGATTTGCCAACCCCTATGATAGCATGAAACAGTTCTTTCATCTGATTGGTTCTAACTCTCTGGAACACCCTAACTAATACAGTGCTGTTATAGGTACTGAGAATAGAGTGATCAACAGGGAAGAAAACGTGCTGTCTTGGGGCCTTGCTGGCGGGTGGATGGTAGACACTCAATTGTGTGAGGCTCATTGGCCATAGAGGAACTCATGCAGGAGAAACTCACCTTGCCTAGGTTGAAAGGAGGGGAATCAGGCACATATTCCCCTCTGAGGAATATGTCAGCAGAGACTGGATGTGGCAAGACTACAGGTGGCGGGTAGGTGGGACAGAGTATTCCAGACCAGGGAACAAAAAGGGATAAAAGTCTTGGGGTGGAAAGGACATGTTTGAGAAACAGAAATAAGACCAGGTGCTGGGACCAGGAGTCCTACACTCATCACACTCAGTTACTCATGGGGTGACTTCAGAAGCCCTAAAAGATTTTGTTTCCCAATTTTTTTTTTTTTTTGACAAGATCTTGCTCTGTTGCCCAGGCTAGAGTGCAGTGGCACGATCATAGCTCACAGCAGCCTCAATCTCTCGGGCTCAAGTGATCCACCCACCTCAGCCTCCTGAGTAGCTGGGACTACAGATGAATGCATCATGCCCAGCCGATTTCTTTTGTTTGTTTGAGATGGAGTCTCGCTCTGTCACCCCGAGTGGAGTGCAGTGGCATAATCTTGGCTCACTGCAACCTCCACTTCCCAAGTTCAAGCTATTCTCCTGCCTCAGCCTCCCTAGTAGCTGGGATTACAGATGCCCACCACCACACCCAGCTAATTTTTGTATTTTGAGTAGGGACGGGGTTTTGCCATGTTGGCCAGGCTGGTCTCGAACTACTGACCTCAAGTGATAACGCCCGCCTCAGCCTCCCAAAATGCTGGGATTACAGGCATGAGCCACTGTGCCTGGCCCAATGCAATTTTAAGATGATTTTATGTATATTGTAGGAGAGAAAAATAGGTAAATATATTAAGAGTATTAAGAGCCAAGGCTTTCGATTGCCCTGATAAAAGATATACAAATACAAAGTCCAAGAAGAGGGAAAAACCTATAATGTACAATTTGAATTGGAAATACCAATATGAATTCATGATTTTTTTTAAACCCTAAATGTGACTTAAAGCGATGACACCTCTGTAGCAACGAGCTCTCCCAGCACTAAAGACCATTCCTCACTAAAACGAATCAATGTTCCTTAGAAAGATGGCTGATTTTGGCCAGGTGCAGTGGCTCACGCCTGTAATCCCAGCACTTTGGGAGGCCGAGGCGGGCAGATCACAAGGTCAGGAGATCGAGACCATCCTGGCGAACACAGTGAGACCCTGTCTCTACTAAAAATACAAAAAAGTAGACAGGCATGGTGGTGGGCACCTGTAGTCCCAGCTACTTGGGAGGCTGAGGCAGGAGAATGGCATGAACCTGGGGACAGAGCTTGCAGTGCGCTGAGATCACGCCACTGCATTCCAGCCTGGGCGACAGAGCAAGACTCGGCCTCAAAAAAAAAAAAAAAAAAAAAAAAAGATGGCTGATTTTGGCCAAGTGCAGTGGCTCATGCCTGTAATCCCAGCAATTTGGGAGGCTAAAGGCAGGCAGATGCAGATCACTTGAGGCCAAGAGTTTGAGACCAGCCTGGCCAACATAATGAAACCCCATCTCTACTAAAAGTACAAAAATTAGCCAGGCGTAGTGGCAATGCCTATAATCCCAGTTACTCAGGAGGCTGAGGTGGGAGGATCACTTGAACTCTGGAGGCAGAGGTTGCAGTGAGCTGAGATCATGCCACTACACTTCAGCCTGGGTGACAGAGTGAGACTCTGTCTCAAGAAAAAAAAAGGAAAGAAAGAAAGAAAAAAGAAAAAGAAAAATGGCTGATTCCACATCTGGAGCTGGGAAAGTAAAAAAAAATTGTGCCTGGGACATCTAGTTGTGTCAAAAGCAAGCAAGTGCTCACAGAACTTTTGGGGTATGTCAGAATGGATGTAGGAGTTAGCTTAAAAGGGCTCCCACTGGGGCCCTCTCCCAATCTAGATCATTCTGGCCAATAAGGTGAAACCCCGTCTGTACTAAAAATACAAAAATTAGCTGGCCATGGTGGCATGCACCTGTAGTCCCAGCTACTCAGGAGGCTGAGGCAGGAGAATTGCTTGAACCCAGGAGGCAGAGGTTGCAGTGAGCCGAGATCGTACCACTGCACTCCAGCCTGGTGACAGAGTGAGACTCCATCTCAAATTAAAAAAAAAAAAAAAGGCTCCCACTGGACACATAAGGTACAGTTCGAGCACAAAAAAATAATGACTGTAACCAATTGTGAAATATTAAATGGATACCTGGCATGGTGTAGTCCCAGCACTTTGAGGCCAAGGCAGGTGGATCACTTAATCTCAGGCAACATGGCAAAACCCCATCTCTACAAAAAATACAAAAATCATCTGGGTGTGGTGGCATGCACCTGTGGTCCCAGCTACTCAGGAGGCTGAGGTAGGAGGATCACTTGAGCCTGGCAGGTTGAGGCTGCAGTGAGTGGTAATTGCGCCACTGCACTCCAGCCTGGGCAACAGACCGTGATGCTGTCTCAAAAAATAAAAGAAATACTGAATGGATAAAAACCCTAAATCTATAGTTTAAAAAAAGAAAAAAAATAAATTTTCTACCTTTGGAGATTAATATCATACCAATACCTTATTCTGAAAACTGGTAAAGGGAAATAAGCATTTACCTTGCCTTTTAGAAGGACCCTACTTTGGCCGGGCGCTGTGGCTCATGTCTGTAATCCCAGCACTTTGGGAGGCTGAGGCAGGTGGATCACTTGAGGTCAGGAGTTTGAGAAGGACCCTACTTTTTCCAGTTGGTGAGAGAAAGCTCCTTCCTAGGTAATTATGCCCTTATAAATGTAGAAGTGGGAGAATTAGAAAAGCACCTTTTGTAATTTCTGATGAAATAACCAATTCAAGCAAGAATCACTGTAGATGGCGATAAGAGAAAGTTTTTCAGCGTATACACACAGTGTCAAAGAACCATGCAGACGACTTGCTAATTGCCAAGAGGGAAACATAACCTTTACAGAAAAGATCTGACCGTGTCCATCCTAACCAAGCAATCATACTTAGCATCACTGCTTGTGGGATGGCTTCATATCATATGCCTTCTGATGTGAGGCAATGTGACATATATAGCAAGTTTGAGGAATTAGTCCCAAGACTGGGTAACCTGAATCTAACCAAGAAATTGGGGGAAAACCCCTCAAAACTCAGGGAGACAGATGAACACATTAAGTGACATCAAAGAAACAGTAAGACAAATCTAGAATGTTGAACAGTCTAAAAGACAACTGCCCTAGTATCCTCAAAGATCCAATTCCAAGAAGAAAAAAACTGGATGATTGTAGATTAAAAAGAAAGGGGTGAGAAAAGGACATAAAAAAATGCAATGTTGAAACTTGATTGGTTCCTGTTCTGGGAGTTTTTTAAAAGCTATATATTAAAACATCATGCTATACACCATAAATCTATACAATTTTTATTTGGTAATTATACTTAGGAAAAATTAAATGCTATAAAAGGCATTCAAATTGGAGAAGTTTAATGCTAGATGACATTAAAAATTATTAACTCATTAAACATGATGATTCTATTATGATTGTGTAAGAGATGTATATGAAGTATTTAGGGGTGAATGGTCATGATGTCTGCAAGTTTCTTTTTTTTTGAGATGGAGTTTTGCTCTGTCACCCAGGCTAGAGTGCAGTGGCACTATCTTGGCTCACTGCAACCTCCACCTCCCAGGTTTGAGCAATTTTCCCACCTCAGCGTCCTGAGTAGCTGGGATCATAGGCATGTACCACCATGCCCGGCTAATTTTTTGTATTTTTAGTAGAGACGGGGTTTCACCATGTTGGCCAGGCTGGTCTCCAACTCCTGGCCTCAGGTGATCCGCCTACCTCGGCCTCCCAAAGTACTGGGATTACAGGTATGAGCCACCATGCCCAGCCGATGTCTCCAACTTTCAAATGGTTCAGGGCTGGGTGCAGTGCAATCCCAGCACTTTGGGAGGCCGAAGGAGGCGGATCACCTGAGGTCAGGAGTTTGAGGCCACCTTGGCCAACGTGGTGTAATCTCGTCTCCACTAAAAATACAAAAATTAGCCAGGCATGGTGGTGCACACCTGTAGTCCCAGCTAATGGGGAGGCTGAGGCAAGAGAATCACTTGAACCCGGGAGGCAGAGGTTGCAGTGAACCAAGATTGCACCACTGCACTCCAACCTGGGTGACAGAGCAAAACTCCATCTCAAAAAGAAAAAAAAAGTTCAAATGGTTGAGAAAAGACAACACTTGTATACTGTTGGTAGGAATGTAAATTAGTACAGCTATTATGGAAAACTGTATGGCGGTTCCTCAAAAAACTAAAAATAGAATTACCATATGGGGCTGGGCACAGTGGCTCACACCTCTAATCCCATCATTTTGGGAGGCCAAGGTGAGCGGATCACCTGAAGTCGGGAGCTCGAGACCAGCCTGGCCAATATGGTGAAACCCCATTTCTACTAAAAATACAAAAATTAGTTGGGCGTGGTGGTGGGCGCCTGTAATCCCAGCTACTTGAGAGGCTGAGGCAGGAGAACCGCTTGAACCCGGGAGGCGGAGGTTGCAGTGAGCTGAGACCGTGCCATCGCACTCCAGCCTGGGCAACAAGAGTGAAACTCCATCTCAAAAAAAAAAAAAAGAATTACCATATGATCCAGCAATCTTGCGTCTGGGTATTTACTAAAGAGATTTGAAATCAGTATGTCGAGGAGATACCTGCACTCTCATGTTCGCTGCAGCACTATTAACCACAGTGAAGTTACATAGTCAAACCGAGTGTTCATCAGCAGATGAATGGATAAAGAAAATATGGTATATAGGCCGGGCGCAGTGGCTCAAGCCTGTAATCCCAGCACTTTGGGAGGTCGAGGCAGGCGGATCACGAGGTCAGGATATCGAGAGCATCCTGGCTAACACGGTGAAACCCCATCTCTACTAAAAGTACAAAAGAATTAGCTGGGCGTGGTGGCAGGCGCCTGTAGTCCCAGCTACTCTGGAGGCTGAGGCAGGAGAATCACTTCAACCTGGGAGGCGGAGTTTGCAGTGAGCTGAGATTGCACCAGTGCACTCCAACCTGGGTGACAGAGCAAGACTCCGTCTCAAAAAAAAAAAAAAAAAAGAAAGAAAGAAAGAAAATATGGTATATATACCGTGGAATGCTATTCAGCCTTTAAAAAGAAATTTTGTCATTTGAGACAGCGTTAATGGAATTGGAGAACATTATGCTGAGTGAAGTAAGCCAGGCACAGAAAGACAAATACTGTATGTTCTCACTTATAAGTGGAATCTAAAACAATCGAACTTAAAGGAGGAGAGAGCAGAATAGTAGTTACCAGAGGCTGGGGGTCTGGGGTAAATGGGGATATGATGGTTAAAGGTTACAAAGCTTCATTGGACTGGAAAAATAAGCTTTTCTTTTTCTTTGAGATATACTGCACAGCAAAGTGAATATAGTAAATAATTCTTGGACATTTCATAAGTGTTGAGGGTAAATATCTTTTTTACATTTTTAACATATTCCCTCCTCTGAATGTAGAGAGTAAATTTCAAACATTCTCACCACAAAAAAAGTAAGTATTTAAAAGTGATAGATGTTGGGCCGGGTGCAGTGGCTCACGTCTGTAATCCCAGCACTTTGGGAGGTGGAGGTGGGTGGATCACCTGAGGTCAGGAGTTGGAGACCAGCCTGGCCAACATGGTGAAACCCCGTCTCTACTAAAAATACAAAAAATTAGCCGGGCATGGTGGCGGACGCCTGTAATGCCAGCTACTCGGGAGGCTGAGGCAGAAGAATCACTTGAACCCGGGAGGCGGAAGTTGCAGTGAGCCGAGATTGCACCACTGCACTCCAGCCTGGGCAACAAGAGTGAAACTCCATCTCAAAAAAAAAAAAGTGATAGATGTTAATTTGCTTGATTTAATCATCCCACAGTGTATTCATGAATCATAACATCACTTTGTACGCCATAAATATATACAACTATAATTTGCCAATTTACAATTAAAGGTTAAAATTTTTAAAAATAAAAGGTAATGACAACAAAAAAAATGGATAAGTAGACAGAAAAATCGATTAATACAGAAGCTGGCAAAAACTAGTAAAGCAAATATGGCAAAATGTAGAATTTGTTGAATCTTTCAGTATTTGGGTGTTTATTGTTCTTTTTCTATGTTAGAAATTTTTCAAAATAAAAAGTTGCAAATGATTTCCATATTATTCTGATTTTTACACAGTAACAGAAAACATTCCTGGCTGCAGCTCATTAATATTTCTTCTTTGTTCTCCTGAGGAATCAAAAGATTCTCATTTATGATATGTCAAAAGGCACATAAAGAAACATATCCAAACTTTGTTGTCTCTTCATTCAAGTTTGGCTTTAATATTTTATTAAAAATTTTTGTATTTGTAAATATTAAAACACTGAAACTTGCTACTGACACAAGAACGACAATGCACTAACAATAAAATCAAAGTAGAAGCTAAACTATTCAGAAGCAGTAGCAACTCCATGATTCCAAGGTAATTTAAACAGGCAATTTCAGAGTGCTTCAAGATGAAGGCGCAAAGCAGCCTCTCAGCCTGCAGTGATGCTACGACACCGGCAGATGGCGCTGCAAAGCTTCTCAAATGCAGCGGGAAGTCCATTTACCAACGGCTGTTGCGATCTCTTAATTAGCTTGAACTGAGTTTGTATTAGAATTTATAATTTTTACTGCATATTGCAGTTACTCGTATATTACTGACACTGGAACAGACATGTTTTAACAAACTGGTTGAGCCGTATCAGTGCGAACCAGCTGAATGTCAGCGCTGTTCCCTCCTGTGACAGAAGCCACCGGCGCCTGCCTGAGGGCACTCCCCTCACTGGGACTCTCAGTACCACGCCCACCTGTCCCCAAGGTTTGTTTCATCACTAAGCCCCACCTTCCAGCATTTTCACCTTTCTCCTTCACTTGATCCTTCTTCCTAACATCGTGTTAACACACTCCAAACTAAAAAAGTTCCTCAACTGCATATACTCTGCTCCCTCCATTTTTTTCTTTCATTGCAATCACTGCCAAACATTTTGAAAATTCTCTCCTCACCTCCACTGCCTTTACGCTTTTCCTCCAAATTATTCCTTAACCCTCTGACATCTGGGGCTTCTGATTCCACCTCTCCAAAGAAATGCTCCCACCAAGACCATGGAGGCCCCTCTCGTTGCTGGTGGATACTCGTTCATTTTCCCCGCCACCACCCATCAGCAGCGTTCCACGCCGCCCTTCCTTCCTTCCTTCCTCCCCTAGCTTCATCACACCACGTTACTAGGTTTTTCCTGTCTCACTGGCTCCTTTCCCTGCTCTCCTTTTTATATGTTTCCTGCTTTCTTCCTCAGCCTTCTCTGCTCCCCACACCTATATGTTGATGATGCCCAAATCTCTGTCTCCAGCCACGACCTCTCTTTCCCCAAGCTCCATTTGCATAAACTGTCTCTGATGAGATTTAGGGCGCTTACGGTGGTATGGCTGTAGACAACTGTCTCAGGAAACAGACCCATGACCCACCCAGTTGCCAAGTCAGAAACAGGATGTATACTCTTGACTTGTCTCTCTCCCCTACACAGCAAAACAATCCCAAGACATGTCAATTCTATCTCCTGAGCAACCCATAAAACGATTTCTCTTCTTTCCATCTTCCATTACCCTAATTCTGGTGTTCATTCTCTCTCCCTGGGATGGCTGTAAAAGCCTCTGATTTCTCCCCTTTCCAAACCAGTCTCCACACTGCAACCATAGTGATCTAAGGCACAATTCTCACCTTTTCAGTCTTAGGCTTAAAGTTCAACATCCCTCTGGATACAGTCTAAATCTTTAACACGGCTGAAAAGGCCCAGCAAGAGCTGGACCAAGCCCACCTCTCCAGCTTCACCTTTCCTCATTTCTCCTTTGCACCCTCTGCCTCTGAACAAGTTACAGTCTTCCAAAGTTGTCATGTTTCTTGACCTTTGCTGTCTCCTCTGCCCAGAATGCAATTTCCCTGTCTGGCTAACTCCTGTCCAGCATTTGGCCTCAGCATGGACATCTGTTCCTCTAGGACGCTTCCCCTGATTCACCAAGACCAGCTTAACTGCCCCTACTGGCTGTTCCTATAGCAATTCTTTACCACAGACTACTGATTTTTTGTGTTTGTTTTGTTTTGGCAGTCTGACATAACTTTATACTAATGCAGCTTCTAGCCCTGTCCCCCACTCCTTCCTGATCAGTATCCCAATGTCCCTCCTATATGGAGCCACCACTACCCCACAGGATCCTGTACCACCCTTCTCCCAGAACTTATCACACTTTTTTTTTGTAATTGTGTTTCCATTCTCCAATAAATTGTGAGCGCCACAAAGAACCATTTCTATCTCACTTACCACTTGGAAGTGACTGGCAGGTAGTAATTGCTCAACAAATGTTCTATGAGTGAATGAATCCTTGGGATAATTATAGTACTAACCATCTTATTTAGTTATGACAGTTCAATAGAAACACGTAAAATAATGCTTTTATAGTTTACATACTGCTATAGAGCTATTGTATTATATTATTATTATTCTATTCCTACCCTCTATTGCTTGAGAGTAGGATATTGCCTTATTCAATTTTGGTTATTGTCCCAGAACTCAGGGATATATGTCTGGCATATATTGTTTTTAACCAATTTTTGTTGACTGTATCAATGATTGTAAGAAGTGAACAAAGGGCCAGATAATTGAACTATCCTGGACCACACACAGCTACCCTGTTCCAGAAGCAGGACTATAATCCCATCTGGAAAAAGGGAAACTTGGAAGTTGACATCTAAATGAAATTCCAGCATGGATGAGAGAAGCCCTGATTTCTCTCCATCAAGAGACTAGCCAGCTATGGAAGCCACCAGAGCCCCAGACCTCCATGGTCAAGTATTCACATAGTAGACATGACCCAGACAAGAGGGTGCGTATTTCAGCGTGGAGGGGAGACTGGGCCCTTGGTTTCCTGTGTCTTTGTAGTCAGTTCTAACCTCAGCCTCAGGCACTGGTGTTGGGGCCCTATTCATCCTCATCTGCACGTCCCTCAGTTCTTTTCCTGTTGCTATTATCCTATAGAGTCAGCAAGTCATGGAAGAGGTTTTACAGTCTAACCCTGTGGGGGTGTCAGGAGTTGCCTCCTGCCAGGTCTTCAGCATAAAAATCCCCCCTCCTCAGCTCCCAGTCAATTCTTCATCCCCACCCCTAGACTCTCCCAAATACCCCTGATGAAACCCCTGAGGTGGAAAAAGATAAAGACAAGCAAAGATAAACAGCACAGGAAGCAGAGGTACAAATAGAATTCTGATTTTTCTCCTTTCTCTCCATATTTTGAGGAAATGAATCCAATGTCCTCACCCCACCTCCTGCAGCGGAGAAGTCCCCTGAGCATCTCTGAACATCATGAACCCTCAAAGTAAGCTTAGCTTGGGCCCCTTTTCCTTTTCTATCAGTGAGGCCAAAGAGCCCCAGATGGGAGACAGGTGGATTTTTCTCTCAGCTGGGACCTTTTCTCTTTCTTGTCTAGCACATTTTGGGAAACCTTCAAGTACATTCTCATGCTGGTATTATTTAAACTTTGCACTGGAGTGAATTCCAGGAGTTATGTCCACACTGAGACCAATGGAGATGAACCTAAAGCAATATGTGGCCAAACACCTTAGCCTCTTTAAATATACTTTCCTTTGCTCCTTGGTTAACAGGGTCTGTCTGCTCGCATTAGAGAAACTGCCCAGTGACTCAGATCCTGAAAGGATCTGCTTTAGAGAAAAAAGGAGTCTGGTACTTCTCACTCCATCTAGTGGGCAACCTGTCCAACTACACTTTTTGCTATCATCCAATACAGACAACACTGGCAGTCAATAAAAAAGCTCATTCTCCCATTTCTAAAAGAATTCAATCTAGGAGTCTAGCTGCTGGCTTAACAAAGGGATATACAGCAAAGCCTAAGGTGCCCTGACTCACGAGAGAGCTGATTTCTGCCGAAATGCTGAGGTGAAACCCTAAAATGGTTCTGGCCACCTGCTAGGTTCTAGCTCAGACCCTGCACTGGATCATCTTTGTTCCACCCCCAAACCAGAGTAAATGGAATTCAGGAGGCTGGTTCTGTGCCCGCCCCTATGTACCTCAAATACTCGTAGCTGCCAAGCTTTTAAACAATGAAACTTAACACTGTACTTAAAGGGCTGTTCTGCTCAAATCATAAATGTGCACGCTAGTTGTTCACCAGTAATTAAAACTACTCGTACACATTTAATCAACATTTTCACAAGCGTTTTGCCTTAACTAAAAATTTGTATCAACATGAAGTCCTAGAATTATACTGCATGAGCCCCCAGGATTTGGAGAACATCATTCACCCTTCTTAATCCAAAAACTTGGGTGCCTGAAGGTGGGGTTTTGATCATGGCCAGGCTTCAAATTTAGGTCAGGCTCTGGTGGTACATCCTTATATGCTTGGTGCTCAGCACAGGTCAAGACACACAATAGACCCTCAATAAATATTTGCTGAATTTGAACAATTCCTGTAAAAATCTCATTAAGAGACATCAGCTTGGGACACAGTTCCTCTCTTACTGTTCCTTCTCCCAGAAGCTCCTGGAATGAGCAGGTCTGGCGGCAGGGGGCACACAGGGCTGCTGCTCAAATCGGAGAATGGCACAAACTCCAAAAGGGAGCTGGATTTAGACCTCCCCTCCCCATGTAGATAACGGGATTCCTAAGGTGCAGAGTGGGAGAATGGGTAGAGGAAGCAGGTTTCAGAGACTGAGAACCTACTAAACTCCTAAGAGAACTTTCCCTTGCAAAGAGAATGCATGAAAAAAGAAGGGAGAAGAGGAGAGAAGCCTCCCACAGCTGTTAGCCTGGAACAGCCGCTCTCACCTCAGTTCATCTGGGGAAGGGGCTACAAAGCAAACAATCTTTATTCACAATTGGGGTGGCAGAGGGGAGATACCCCCAGGTCAGTCCAAAAGCAAAGATACTGGGAGGGAAGATGGCGCTGGGCGAGGAACTCAGCACTCATCCTCACCCAGCAGGGCATAAGGGTTTCGGCCAGCCAGGCTGGACCCTGGAGCCGAGGTTGGGGTCTCCTCATCCCCTTCTCCCTCCTCATCCGCATCCCGGTCCTCCTCTCCCTCCTCCTCACAGGAGCTGCTCAGCTCTTCCTCTTCCTCCTCCTCCTCGTCACCTGCTGGCCCCACCCTGCCCTGCAAAACCACCAGCTCCGTGGTCTCTGGATGGGACTCCCAGGTGCCTGGGGAACCAAAACAAGAAAAAAATGGAGGAGAGTTTTGAGCAAGAACTAAAGCCAAGGAAAGATGGGGAAGAGGCAAAGACTAGGAATAACAATAATCTTTAGAGCTGCTGGCATTCATTCATTCATCCATTCATTCAACTTCCTATGTGCAGATTGCTGAACAGAACCTTTGTGCACATCAACTTCAATCTTTACAATCACTATGCTAAGGGTCAATTATTACCCTCAGTTTGCAGATCAGGAAAATATCACAGATGTTAAGTAACAGAGCTAGCCAACAGGTACAGAATCCAGGTTTGACCCTCTCTCTGGCCACAAAGCCCACACCCTTTTACCTACGCTATAGCAGGGGGCTGGGGAAGAATATCTGGGCTCTGACCTTTCTGTTCACTGTAGCCTGGGGGATGAAAACACAGGCTGAGGCGGCCGTCCACTGCCAGCCGCAAGAGACTGTTGGCTGCTCTGTACACATCATTCCGAGCCGCCTTGGCTGTCTTGTAACCACGTTTCTCTGCCCAGGCTGGAGGAAGAAAAGAATAATGGAAAGGGAAAGCATTAACCAGGTACCAGTTATACTCCCACTCCCATAACACAGTCCTTCCAGTTTTCCCCAAAACATTCCAGGCCAGAGATCTTACTGGCTATGCAACAAAAATCTAGGGGTGAGTGGACAGCAGCTTCATCAATGGCAGAATCTCTGAGGAGAGGAAAGGAGACAGGGAAGGGTAAAAGGCGAGGCAGGTAAGGAAGAGCAGCTGAAACCAGGTGGGGCGAAGCCAGGCACATGGAACTCACCTTCACAGATGTCCCAGGCACACCAGGGGTGTTCCGCTGAGGGGTCCTCAGCCTCTGGGTGGCGCAGGTGGAGCAGGGCCTGCACGGGAATTCGGGAGGCCAGGTAGCCCACAGCAGTGTAGGGCTCCTGGATCTGGGCGATAGGGTAGATCCCTGCCAGAACCTGAGGGAAATGAGCACTCAGTACTTTCCTCAATGTCCCACCTTCTCTCTTTCCCTTACCCACCCTCCCCGTCATACCTGCAACTGCCTAGGCAGAAGAGATGGGAAGATGAGGCCTGGGCAGTCACAGAGCTTCACAGAGGGGGTAAGAAAGTAGGTCTGAAAGTATCGGGTATGGCCCGGGGTTCTGGAGACACTCACGACTTTCCGCCCCACCAGCCCATTGATCAGCGAGGACTTTCCCACATTAGGGAAACCTGAGGAAGGCAAGGAAAATTAACGTTTAACAGGTTTCTACTCTGTGATGGGACTTGGTGCTATACCTATAGGTAAAAGGGGAACTAAGGCTCAGAAATTAAGGAAATGGTATTGCAGAATACAAATCACGCTCTGGGCTGCCAGGGTTAAATCCTGGCCCTTCCACTTACCAGCTTTGTGATGTCAGGGCAACTAACTTTCTGAGCCTCTGTTTCTTCATTTTACAGTGTGGACACCTCCCTACCTCAGGGTGGTCAGGATTAAATGAGATAACCAATACAACTTGTGTGGGTCAGTGCCTGCAGTACAGTAAGTACCCAGTACCAGTGATCCACATCTCATAATTACTATGACTTGGCCTGGCACAGTGGCTCACGCTTGTAATCCCAGCGTGATTACTTTGGGAGGCCAAGGCGGGTGGATCACCTGAGGTCAGGACTTCAAGACCAGCCTGGCCAACATGGTGAAACCCCATCTCTACTAAAAATACAAAAATTAGCTGGGCGTGGTGGTGGGCGCCTGTAATTGCAGCTACTTGGGAGGCTGAGGCAGGAGAACCACTTGAACCCAGGAGGCGGAGGTTGCAGTGAGCTGAGATTGCACCATTGCACTCCAGCCTGGGCAATAAGAGGGAAACTCCATCTCAAAAAATAATAATAATAATTACGATGACTTGTCCAAGGAGAAAACTGGAAGCCTTGGGGCTCACTGCCACTCTGCTCACTCACCACCACCAGTTTTTGTGTTTCTGGCTGACTTCAGTGCCTTCATCTCCCTTCCACAGAGCATCTCCTTTACCCCACCTCAGCTGCCCACTCCCATGGTAATACCTGCATCTTGTCACTTCACAGCTCCAAAGCCTCAATTCCAAGCACCCCTCTCTGCCCTGACAACTCATCTTTCCAGCTCACTTACTCTGGTTACTCCATGCCAGTAAGTCTTTGACCCCTGACCTTAACACAGTAACACTATGCAATACCCAACTCGTGTCCTCAATTTCCTTCTTACTTGACTCAGATTTCATGATCCAGCTCCTCAGCCAGGCCCGTTCACAGACCTGGAACTCCCTGGTCCCACTTCTCCCCTCTATCTTACTCACCTGGCAAAATCCCAACCCTGTAAAATCCAGCTCTGCCCATTCAGCACTGCTCCTGGGCAGCTGACTGTGGCTAAGAAAAGATGTACCACTGTGCTCACTCTTTACAACACATGCAAGTATCTAGGAGGAAGGGAGGGAAGGAGGGAGAAAAAAGTTCTCCTTTGACGACCACCACCAGACCTAGTTCTCTGTCCGCTTTGCAGGAAAACTCCTTAAAAGACTTACCTACTTTTTTCACCATTTCTTCCTGCTATCTTCTTTGTAACTGTAAACTACAACATACAAAAAAATGCACAGAACATACATGTGCAGCCTGATGAACCCCATACCACCCAATGTGTGACAACATGTTCCATCTGTCCTTGTTTTTTTTGTTTTTGTTTTTGAGACAGAGTCTCACTCCCTCACCCGGGCTGGAGTGCAGTGGTGCGATGTTGGCTCACTACAACCTCATCCTCCCAGGTTCAAGCGATTCTCGTGCCTCAACCTCCTGAGTAGCTGAGACCACAGGCGTGCGGCTCCACACCTGGCTAACTTTTTGTATTTTTAGTAGAGATAGGGTTTTGCCATGTTGGCCAGGCTGGTCTCAAACTCCTGACCTCAAGTAATGCGCCTGCCTCAGCCTCCCAAAGTGCTAGGATTACAGGGATGAGCCACCATACCGGCCGCCACTCATCCTTCTTGATCATAATCCTCTCCCTCTATACATGCAAGCTTTATCCTTTTAAGGAAATCAACTCCTTACATTTCTCTTTAGTTTATGACCTGTGTATCTCTCAACAATGCAGCTTAATTTTGCAGCTTTCAAACTTGATAGAACTGAAATTGTGCAGTATGGATGCTATTGGGTCAGACTCTTTTCACACAATGTTATGTGAAGTTGTTGCACCTTCTCTCATGGGCCTACTCCAGTTTGGCTTTCTCCACCCCACTGAAACCACGGATCTTCACATTGCCAAGCCTGCTGAGCAGCTCTCTGTTCTCTCATTTGGCCTGTCAGCAACAGTTGACACAGCTGATTCCTCCTTTCCTCTTCAAACACCTTCTTCATTTGACTTCTGGGACGCTCCCTTGGTTTTCCTCCTTCTCACTGTCCTTTGCCCAACTAAATGCTGGCTTGTCCTAAGGCTCAGTCCTTGACCTCCTCTTCTCCAACTATTTCCTTTCTCTCCTACATCTCATCCAATTCCATGGCTTTTTTTTTTTTTTTTTTGACGAAGTCTTGCTCTGTCACCCAGGCTGGAGTGCAGTGGTATGATCTTGGCTCACCGTAACCTCTGCCTCCAGGATTCAAGCAATTCTCCTGCCTCACCCTCCTGAGTATCTGGGACTACAGGCACGCACCACCACACACGGCTAATTTTCTGTATTTTTTGGTAGAGACAGGGTTTCACCATGTTGGCCAGGCTGGTCTCAAACTCCTGGCCTCAAGTGATCCACCTGCCTCAGCCTCCCAAAGGGCTGGGATTATAGGCATGAGCCACTGTGCCCAGCCTAATCCTGTGGCTTTAAATACCACTTATATCCATCAATGGTTCCCCAAATTTAAATCTTTCCCAAATTCAAATTTCCGTCCTCTTCTCTCCCCTAAGCTGCTGACTACTTACCCACTGCCTATTCAACATCTCCACTAGGGATATTTAAAAAGAATCTGAAATTTCATTTCTGATTCCCCTCTCCTCCCCAAAGCCTTCAAATCTGCTTCTCCCCCAGTCTTCCCATCTCAGTATTTCCAGTTGCTCAAGACAAAAACCTGGAAGTCCTTCTTTATCCTCACTTTCCTTCACGTGCCAACTGCAAGCCATCAGCGATCTCATTTTCTCTACCTTCAAAATATATCATGCTTCCGGCCCTGTCTCACCACCTCCAGCTCCAGCATCCTACTCTAAGCAACTCTTATTTCTCTCCTAGATTACTGAAATAGCCTCAACTGCTCTCTCTGCTCCCTTTCTTGCCCACCCCCCATCATTTATTCTCTACTCAGGAGGTAAACTTATAAGAAACAAAATCAGATCCTATCATTCCCCTGTTCAAAACCTACCCTTGGCTTCTCATGAGACTTGGAATAAAATCCAAAATGGCTGTCACAGCCTCAGGGCTCTACATGATGTGGGCCCTGGTGATCTTGCTGACCTCATCCCCAGTACTTTATCCTGGCTCCCATACTCCAATCCCCTGGGCACTCTTGCTGGTCCTAGAATCTCCAAGCCCGTTCCCTCCTCAAGACCCTTTCCCCACAGTTCTGAATGGCTCACTTCATCTCATCATCCAGTTCTCTCCTCAGGGAGGTTTTCCCTGAGCACCTCTCCTCTCAGTCACTCTCTATCCCCTTTCATTGCTTTATTGCCTTCACTGCCCCTACATGATTTCGGATCACAAAATCTATTTACTCACAAGAAAATAAGCTCCATGAATCTACAGACCTTTTTGCCATTTCCACAGCAGTATGTCCCATCCCTAGAATATCTGGCACCTGGTTAAGTGTTCAGTACATATTTGTTGAATGGGTAAATGAATGAGAGCTGGAGGGAAATCCAAACTCAGGGGTGCCTGTGCCACAGCAAACACTCTCCCTCTCACACCACCTGGAATAGAGATCAGCTAGAGCAGAGGCTGCTAAGAGAGGGAACAGAGGCTCCTTGTGACAGGGAGACTAGGATCAGAAGTCAGGGAAGGGACAGCCGGGTGAAATGACTGGAAAGAGGAGCAATCACTCAGCAGTAAGGCAGGTTCTTCCAAAGACAAAAAGGACACAGAGATAAGTCAGGGCACTTCCAAGGAACCCAACTACCTACTCCACACTCCCAAATTTATTCTGGGTTGGGCCCTTTTTGGTTCCAATATCACCTCAGATACCATAACTTGTCCAAGGTCTCTTCTTACCTCTCCCACCCTAAATGAAGACGGGCCCTGGGTCCTAATCATACATTCCTTTTTCCTCCACTGTGAGCTGAGACAAAGCCCTTAAGAGGAGATTCTCCTTGGCAACAAACTTAAAGGGTTAAAACCTAGAAGAATACTAATTCTTGCTGAGCTCCTACTATGATTTGATAATCACTGTACTACAGACTAATTACTACAATTCAAATGGTTTATATAAACCACTTAAAACAGTGCCTGTTACATAGTAAGCACCATATAAATACTGAGTTTTAACAATAATAATTGTTATTATTGTTATCACTATTTGTCAGGCATTCTTACACTCTCTTAACACTATTCCCATCATTCCTCACATCCATTCTTTTTTTTTAAAGACAGGGTCTCTATCAGCCAGGCTGGAGTGCAGTGGCACAATCATAGCTCACTGCAGCCTTGAACTCTTGGGCTCAAGTGATCCTCCTGCCTCAGCCTCTGAAGTAGCAGAGACTACAGGCACATACCACCACACTTGGCTAGTTTTCTTTATCTTTTGTAAAGATGGGGTTTCACTATGTTGCCCAGACTAGTCTTGAGCTCCTGGTCTCAAGCAATCCTCCCACCTCAGCCTCCCAAAGCGCTGGGACTATATAGGCATGAGCCCTCACACATGGCCGTCATCCATTCTTTTACTCAGGTATCAATGTCCTTATTTTTAAAATCAAAGTAACTAAGACTCAGAGTAGCAAAATCACTTACTCAAGACCTCACAGCTGAGAAGAGGTGGAATTTAACTCAGGCTGTCATGATCCTTCCACTGCAGCAGACGCCTCTTCTGCCTTGCCCACCGCCACTGGCAGAGATCACCCCTCAGACACCCTGGGGCCTAATGAGACCTGATCGCCCTCTCTCTTCTCCGAATATGAAAACTCTGTACCTCCTTGGAGGCCACCACGCACAAGCTGCCACTTCCTTACCCACACAGCCGATGGTCACCACCCCATCCTTGTAGCGCTCTTGGGTTGGGCCAGTTGGCTCCATTGCTGAATCAGTCTGCTGCTCCACCAGGACTGCTGGGCCATCCTCCTCTTCCTCCTCCTCCCCAGAGCCATTACCCCAGGTGGCCCCAGCCACATCCCGAGCAATCTTCTCCCGCCAGCTGCTCAAGTCCACTGCTCAAAGAAGGAGAAGATTAAAGAGGTTCTCCCCAGGGCTGCTGTGCATGATGGCACATACTGTGCCCTGCACAGATTATGTAACTGGCACCCTCTGGAGTTGTACAGTGCCAACCTAAATAAGAGCAGGTCAGAGAATCTCCCAAAAGTCATTTGACCCTACCCTCCCTGGAATCACGCACGTTTCTCTGAGCTTCTGAAAAGTACTGGGAAGGCTAAAGGCAGCAAGCCACTGAGGCTCCTGACTACCTGCTGCCTCTCGTCCCACCAAGTCAGTCTGCTCCTTATTCTGTCCCTTCCCCTGGCCTCTTGCACATATCCACCATAGAGGGGTTGGCTTCAGGAAAGGTGAGCAAAATGATTCTGCATCTTTGGTCTCCCCCATGTCCTCCTACAGCCCTCCTCTAAGGGCCACATACCTTTCCCCACAGTGATGGCTTCACAGGCTCTCAGCAACTGCTCTGGCCCCAGGGCCCGAGTCCATCCTCTCCCCCGCCTCCGACTCTTCTTCAAGACTGAGATCAGAGGGCACAAAAGGATGGGCACACGGGCTTAGGCCTCTCATCTCTCCCACCACCCTTAGGCCCAAGACCAGGTGCCCCCTTGTCAATAAGCCTCTCTGTTCTCCCCTTTGTCCCCTGCCAACTCACCTCTCCCAAGTTGCCCTCTCTCATTGCCCACTCACCACTACTAGGGTCCTGTGGGGTGCGGGGGTCCCGAGGAAAAGAGGTGAAAAGGACGACGTGGAGCTGGGGATAGTGTTGATGGAAATAATGCTTCCAGGCAACCACAAGAGCTGGCGGGGCCAGATCCACCTTGTTCAAAACCAGCACCAGGGCCAGTCCAAGTTCTCCAGTCACATACTCATAAAGTGCTGGCGGGAAATTCACAACCTAGGACAGAGTTGATAAGAGGATGGAGCAGTGAAAGTCAACCCAGAGTTCTCTGCCTCCAGCTCCCCACTCAGCAGGTGTAGCTCAGAGACAAGGCCCTGGTGGTAGCAGACTCTGGGCTAAAAACTATAAACCAGACAAACTGAAAAACAAAGACAAAACAGGGGTTAGTAATACTTCTGAGTCTCAGAGGGCTTCCTATAGGTCATGATTAGAGATGGAAATGAACCCAAAACAAGACAAGGAAACAGCATCACTTAGCACACTGAGGTAAAGGCTGGGATCGGAAACAGGGATGGGGGTTAGGGTAGAAATTAGTCTGCTTTTTTGTGTGTGCACAACTATGTAAGTGTGTACACGTGCATATATGCATGCATGCAAGTACGTGCACATGTGTGCATGTTTGTGTGTTAATGTGACTGTGAACATGTGTGCAAACATGCCTGTGTATATTGATGTGCACATGATGTACGTGTGAGTATGTGTGTGTACATATTATTAAGGACCTCCAACCTAAATGGTCCTCACAGACCTCCCTTTCTCCCACTGGAGGACAAGAGTGAAGTTGCAGAGCTAGGATTCACACAGGGCAGTCCAGCAGCAGTCTACAGCCTTAACTACTACTCTAGCATTCCAGGTGGGTTCTGTAGCAACTGATGTGGCAGTGCTAGAGAAATGAGATAAGGAAGAAAGGGCATCTTTGGGCTGGGCAGGAGGAAGTCCCCAGCTGCATTCATAGAATCCCTGGAGCTCCAACACTTGGATTTTCTATTGGTCTGTGATGAGCTAAAGGACAGGACATGGCTGTTTTGAAGAGAAGAGTGAGCTGGCCAAGGGAGGAATGACAGGCTATAAGAGAATAAAAAACTGAGTTCCTAACTGCGGACATCAGCACTAGGTAGAGATTAGAAAGACAGGAAGATAGATACCTCTCTGTCTCCCAACTCTTGCCTCTGACCTTTGCCCCTGAAAAACCTTTCTCCCTCCTCCTTGCCCACCCTTATCCCTAGTACTCACTGGATGTCGGATATCAGTGATAAGCAGGACGATGTCAGACATCTCTAACACCCGCCACAGCTGCCTCCATGTCTAAAAAGACAGGATCAGGAAGAGAAACTGAAAACAGAGTCCCTCTCCAGCCTGATCCCAAACCAATTTGACCATAGGTCACTATGCCCCACTCCTGTCCCTAGAGTACACTGTCACCTCCAGATTGTGCTCAAAGTAGCTGAGTTTCTCAGAGGAGTAAGCCCCATGAATCTTCCCAAGATAGTCTTGGAAGCTCCGTTCCTCTTGGCTCATTAGTTGCTCCTTGGACATCTCATAGCTCCAAGGAGGACGTCGAGGAAAGTCCAGAACTGGGAATTCAGGAAAAAGTCCAAGTGTGAGGAAATCTTCAGGATTCAAGAGTACATCCCAGACCCCTCCTTCCTCACAGTCGGCTTTTACCTTTCCAAACTCCTTCCCCAGCCCAATGCCTGTCTTGCTCTCACTCACCTGAGCCAGGCTGATACACCTCCCGGATGTCCAGCTCCAACAACTCAGCACTGACCGGCTGTAGAACTTGCTCCCGGGCTGCTCTCTTTCTCCTCTCTACCTCCTCCCTGCTGTCTCTCTCAAAATGCAGTCGGTATCTAAGGGAACAGGGACCGAGACATCCAGAGCAATCCTGTGGCCACAAACTCCTATTTTCTCCCCTCTTGTACAATCAACTTCGCAAACCATTCTCTCCAGAGTCGTTCAAGTCTCCTCTCTCAAGTCAGACTTCCCCCAAGTCCTTCTTTCAGGCAATACTCAGCCTTCTCCTTCTAAAAGCCCAACTCTCTCCAGCCCCTCTGGAAAGGAAGACTGTGGCCCGCTGTGGGGAGCCGAGTGGCTAGCGGAGAACTGTGGCATCCCAGGCCCACCGTCTTCACCAGTAGCAGCCCGCTTTCCCCCAAAGCTCTGACTTCCGGGTAGGCGGGAAAGCCGGGACCAGCGCCCCCTCCCACCCTCACCGATTTGGGTCGTAGCCTCGTGGACCCAGCCCCTGAGAAGGCTGCTGGTTAAGCCTGCGGATATGATGGGTCACAGACTCCCCGTCCGAGGTGTCGGTCTGTTCCTCTCGCCGCTCCCGGCTCCCGCTGCGGCTGTTGGAACTGGAGCGCAGCCCATCTTGAAGCCCTGCGGGGAGGGGCCGGTGACGCCAGTGCTGGCCAGCTCTCAGGGGCCATAAGACCCTCTCCCCCATCGGCCTGACTCCCTTTCATCCCACTCAACTTCTTCCGATGTTCAGTCCTCCCAGACACCCTATTTGGGACCCTCCCGGATGTGCGTGGGGGGAGTCACTCCTTCAGGGAGCAGTGGGGACGGCGCCCCGTGCTAGCTGGAGGGATTCCCCTCCCCCAACTCTCCATCCTTCCCCACCCCTTCCAGATGTAGGGGGGGTGGGGGATCCCCTCCGCGATAGGCCGCGAGGGTTGACGCGGTCCCACGACCCCCTCCCACGATCCCCAGAGGTGCAGCGGGCACACCCCTCCTTCCAGATGTGCGGAAGCCCGAGCCCCGCCCCCTCCTCCCGCTCCCGCACTGACCTCTCTTCCGCTCCCGTTTGTCCTGCAACTGCTTCTTCTTCTGCTTCACGCTGAATGGCTTCTTCCTCGGCATGGCCCGGACCAGTCACCTGGCCCGCCCTCCGCCGAGCTCCCGCCGCCTCAACTGACTGCCCCCCGGGGCAGCCCCCGCCGCAGGGGCCCGGGACCCTAGAGGAGGCGGGGCTAGCAGGTGACGTCAGCGGGCGGGCCCGACAGAATTACCGCCGCGGCGGCGATGGAAGGCGGACGGGGGAGATATAGTCACTTCCCTCCAGGAGCGAGGCGAGAGGATGATGCGGGGTGGGCTACTGGCACGTGAGAGCCAGTGGCACCGAGAGGGCGCCCCGGCGGCGAGGAAGGAGGCGCGCGTGGGAGGACCAGGCTAACTCCGTCACGGACGCTACCAACTCGCGTTCGGAGGAGGGGGGGCGCGTGTCATCACTACCTTGCGCTCCCGGGAGAACCTACCACTCACCTGGAGGGGGCGGCGGAGCGGAGGGCGGGGCCTACTACCTAGGGGAGAGGGGGCGTGGACACGCTGAGGCTATACTACAAAGCCCCGGGCTTGACCTTAGTGGAAAGCCGAGACTGCGTCCAGGTTGCTGGACTACACCGGGGGCACGGTCAGAGGTCTTTAGGGGAGGGCGGCGGTCTGAGAGTCCTGGGTGCCGACCTGTTGGGACCCAAATTCCTTGTGGGAACGATGATAAGGAGCAGGTTTACAGATCATAAGTGCAAAAGCGGGCGAGAAGGGAAACCCAAGCGGGACAAGGACTTTTGGGGGGAGGTCAAAGGGCACGAAGTTGTGCCTGCAGCTGTTACCATAGTAACCGAGGACCGGATGTGGCGATCTTACGGTGCGACAGTCCTCTTCTCAGGCCCTCTGGCCCGAGAGCCTGTTGACTCTGTGACACACTCTGAGGAGCTGGTTGTGGTGTTTTCCAGCGAGGGAAGAAAAGAGTAATTTTTTCAAAGCATTTATAGAAACGCAGCAAAGGGAAGGTGTGAGGTTGCCGCCATGCCTGGCAGAGACGGAGGGAGGCAGTTGGCTCCGGAATGCGGCCGCCGCAGATGTTCTCCGCAACCTTCCGGAAGTGGAATGGCGGGAGCCTCAGCATTGCTGCCCACCGACCCCCCGGAAGCGGAAACAGAATCCCCGCGTGCCCCTTCCTCACTACCCTCCAAATCCCGCTGCAGCCATTGCCGCAGACACGATGCCGAAACGAAAGAAGCAGAATCATCACCAGCCACCGACACAGCAGCAGCCCCCGCTGCCCGAGCGGGAAGAGACTGGAGATGAGGAGGATGGGAGTCCCATCGGTGAGGGGTCTGGGAGGGATGTGCACATGCCTGTCAAGCCCGTCCGGGCAAGGGGCTAGGGGCTAATAAGGTGCGAAGGAGGGGGCTGTAACGGAAGGAGGAAGGGCGCACGCGCTGGGGAGGGATGGAAGTGGGGCTCTCCCAAATGGAGCCTTGAACCAGGAGTTCTCTTACTGGAACCATCAACCTCAATACGGCCCCAGACCTTTCTGGAGAAGGCGGGGGTGGAGAGAATAAAGAGCTCTTTTGCGCAGCCGCAGAACAGTAGGGGAAAGGGGTAGTAGAGATGTTGCAGATTGCGATGACTGGGATGACAGTTTGTATCCAGACTTTGACTGAAAAGGTACAGGTGCAGCTTTCTCTAAACTAGTCCTCTGGCCAGCAGTTAAGGTGAGGGATTGGTTCATGTCTGGAGACACTTAGGTTGTTTTGGATAGCGACGGTACGGTGAAGAAAAAAAGTTGTCAGTATCTTTTCCTGCATTATCCCCTTTGATTGAATATCTACTTTTTGCAAACCCTGAAACAGCTTTGCAGAAAAAAGGGCAGATAGATGGGGTGAGAACTCCCAAGACTGCTGAAAATATACCTGACTTTACTGGTTGAATTAAGAAATAAGTAATACAAGAAAAACACCTAAGAACAGAATCATCAGTCCTTTAATCCATTCTGATGACCATATTTTCATGTCTGCTCTTAGGACCACCCAGCCTTCTGGGCCCTCCCCCCATGGCCAATGGAAAACCTGGCGACCCTAAGTCAGGTGAGGAGGAAGGGGCCCTGATCCTTGTATTAGGTCGTAGAGAAGACAGCAAGGGAGGGGATAAAACCCAGGAAGGACTTAAAAATAAAAGATCAGGGATTCCATCCCTAAATGAATGGAGAGAAGTTGTATATTTGCTGATTTAAAAACTCAATGTTGTAAAAATGTCACTTCTTCCCAAATTGATAAACAGATTTCATGCATTCCAAGTCAGAACACCCATAATGTTTTTGTGGAAATACACATTATTATAGGGAAATGCAAAATATCAAGGCGACTATCAAGACAATCTTGAAGTGGGAGGGCTTACTATGAATATCAAGATTTGTAAGCTGGGCATGGTGGCACACGCCTGTAGTCCCAGTTACTCAGGAGGCTGAGGTGCGAGGATCCTTTGAGCCCAGGAGTTTTTGAGGCCACTCTGGGCAACATAGTGAGATCCTGTCTCTAAATACAAGAAGAAAAAAAGACTTACTATAAAGCTACAATAGTTACAACGATGCAGTTTGGAAACAATGATAGACATAAGTCAATAGGACTTATGTCCCGAAGAGTCCAATAACAGGCCCATACATGTGTGGACACTTCATTTATGATGAAGATGGAACTGAAAAGTTGGTCTTTTCAATAAATGATATTGGATCAATTGGATATTCATGTGAAAAAAATGGAATTTCACCTTGCACTCATAATCATATACAAAGATCTATTTCAAATGGACTGTAGATCTAAGTATAAAAGGTAAGAGAATAATTATTCTAGAAAGTAAATGTATTTTCTAAGAGTAGCTAAGAGTTCTTAAACAGACAAGAAATGCACGTATACACACTAACCATAAAGGAAAGATTGATAAATTGAACTCCGTTAGAAAATATAAATTTGCGGCTGGGTACAGTGGCTCACGCCTGTAATCCCAGCACTTTGGGAGGCCGAGGCGGGCGAATCACGAGGTCAGCAGTTCAAGACCAGCCTGACCAACATGGTGAAACCCCTGTCTCTACTAAAAATACAAAAATTAGCCGGGCATGGTGGTGTGTGCCTGTAATCCCAGCTACTGAGGAGGCTGAGACAGGAGAATCGCTTGAACCTGGAAGGCGGAGGTTGCAGTGAGCTGAGATTGCACCACTGCACTCCAGCCTGGGGGACAGAGTGAGACTGTCTCAAAAAAAAGAAAAAACAAAATACAAACTTGCCAAATAATACCATTAAGAAATTAACAGGAAGCCATACAATAGAAGATATTTGCAATAAATATAACAAATAAAGATCCTGTATCTATAATATATAAAGAACTCTTCCAGACAAGCCATTTGAAAAATTGACAAAAACACAGGACACCTTATTAAAATGGAGATCTAAATGAACTAAAGGTCTAAATGAACAAGTACTCAATATCATTAATTGTCAAGTAAATGCAAGATAAAAATATACCACTTTGAAATTAGAACTCTTGTGTACTGCTGCTGGGATTATAAAATGGTGAAACTACTATAGAAAACAATATGAAGAGGTTCCTCTTAATTAAAAATAGAACTACCAGATGACAAAAAAATTAAAAATAGAATTACCCCAGAACTCCTGCTTCCAGGTATATATCAAAAAAAAAAAAATGGAAAGCAGGGTCTTGAGATATTTGCAGACTCATGTTCATAGCAGCAGTATTCACAATAACAAAGAGGTGGAAGCAACCCACATGTCCACTGATGGAAGGATAAATGTGGCGTGTACATACAATGGAATATTATTCAGCCTTATGAAGGAAGAAAGTGCTGTCACATACTACAACATGGATGAACTTTGAGGACTTTATGTTAAGTAAAGACATAGTGTATTATTCCACTTATCTGAGGTGTCTAAAGTCAAATTCAGGGGCTGGGCATGGTGCTTCACGCCTGTAATCCCAGCACTTTGGGAGGCCAAGGCAGGCAGATCACTTGAGGTCAGGAGTTCGAGAACAGCCTGGCCAATATGGCAAAACCCTGTCTCTACTAAAAATAGAAAAATTAGCTGGGCATGGTGGTGCACACCTGTAATCCCAGCTACTCGGGTAGCTGAGGCATGAGAATTGCTTGAACCTGGGAGGCAGAGGTTGCAGTGAGTCGAGATCACGCCACTGCACTCCAGCCTGGATGACAGAGCAAGATTGTCAAAACAAAAAATAAAAATAAAGTCAACTTCAAAGAAACAGTAGAATGATGGTTACCAGAGGCTGGGGGAAGGAAGCTGGAGGAAGGGGAGTTTTGTTTAATGGGTACAGAGTTTCAGTTTTGCAAGATAAAAAACTTTTGGAGGTCGGGCATGGTGGCTCGTGCCTGTAATCCCAGCACTTTGGGAGGCCAAGTCGGGCGGATCATGAGATCAGGAATTCAAGACCAGCCTGGCCAATATGGTAAAACTCCATCTCTACTAAAAATACAAAAATTAGCCAGGCGTGGTGGTGGGCGCCTGTAATCCCAGCTACTTGGGAGGCTGAGGCAGGAGAATCACTTGAACCCAGGAGGCAGAGGTTGCAGTGAGCCAAGATCGCGCCACTGCACTCCAGCCTGGGCGACAGAGCGAGACTCCATCTCAAAAAACAAACAAAAACTTGGAGATCTGTTTCACATCAATATGAATATATGTAACACTACTGAACTGTACACTTAAAAATAGTTAAGATGGTAAATTTTATGTGTTTTTTACCACAATAAAAACCGAACAAAACAAGGCATGATGATTCATGCCTGTAATCCCAGCACTTTAGGAGACCAAGGTGGGAGGATCACTTGAGCCCAAGAGTTCAAGACCAGCCTGGGCAGTGTGGCAAGACCCAATCTCTCATTAAATAAATAATAATAACCAAACAAAAAAATAACCACCACTTTTCACACTCACCATGGCAAAATTTAAAAACCTAACAATTCCAAGTGTTGTCAAGGCTATAGGACAACTGCTGGTGAGAGTGCAAATTGGTATAACCACTGTGAAAAAAAAGTTTGGCATTATGTATGAAACTTGAGCATAACATATACTTTATAAGCCAGTAATACCTCTACTACGTATATATTCAACAGAAATGCATACGTATGTGTAACAACATGTATAAAAATGTTTATAGTGGCATTTCTCGTTATAGCCCCAAACTGGATACCACCCACATGTCCATCATCAGTAGAATGGATAAATAAATTGTTGTGTATGCATGCAATGGGACTACACTGCAACGAAAATGAATGAACTGCTGCTACAGGCAACCTGGATGAATCTCACAAACATGATGTTGAGCGAAAGGAGCCAGACATAAAAGAATGCAGACTGTATGATTCCATTTTTGTGAAGTTCAAAAACAGGCAAAAACTAACCTATGGTGTCAGGATAGTGGTTACCTTTGGGGAGGAGGGTGGGTAATGGGAAAAGGGGCACAAGGGGAGGATCTTTTGAGGTGCTAATAAGGCTTTATCTCTTCACCTGGTGGTGGAAACTCAAGTGTGTCTACTTTGTGAGAACTGGGTTGTGCACTTAAAACTGGTGTGTCTTTATGTATGCTGTTCTTCAATAAAAAAAATTTTTTTAATCACGGTTTATCAGGATTCAGCTGCCCATTAGACACCTTTCTGTGTCTCTCTCTCTCTCTCTCTCCAGCTCTTCACAGAGGTCCTCCAGGATCAAGGGGACCACTGATTCCACCACTGCTGAGTCTCCCACCTCCTCCTTGGGGTAGAGGCCCAATTCGGAGAGGGCTTGGCCCCAGGTCTAGCCCATATGGTCGTGGTTGGTGGGGAGTCAATGCAGAACCTCCTTTTCCGGGGCCAGGCCATGGGGGTCCCACCAGGGGAAGCTTTCACAAGGAACAGAGAAACCCTCGAAGGCTCAAAAGCTGGTCTCTTATCAAGAATACCTGCCCGCCCAAGGATGACCCCCAGGTTATGGAAGGTGAGGTCCATTTTGTTATGCCCATTACTCCCAGAGTGACCTAATTTTCAGAAGATCATTCACAATCTTCTCTGGGCTTTCCTTTTTGCTTTTGAAGCAGAAGTAGACCTCAATGTTATTTCTCCCAGGAGAAAGACTACCATTCCAAAATACCTGGAAATGGTAGGGGGTAGAAAATCAGTTCTCCTTCTGTCTCTGCGTTTCATTGTATTTGTTTTCTTTGTTGCTCAAATTTTTAACTGTTCCATTTTCACTTGTTCACAGACAAATCCGACCGCCCTGTCTGCCGACATTTTGCCAAAAAGGGCCACTGTCGATATGAGGACCTCTGTGCCTTCTACCATCCAGGCGTCAATGGACCTCCTCTGTGAGACTGTGCCTTCCCATCCAGGCTGGAAGGAGCTCTCTGTGACCTAGCGGCCATTTATTTCTCTGTAGCCCTATGATGGCTACTGTGAGGCTCTTCTAACACCCTCAGTCAGTGACACACCCATCCCATCCACCACTTCCCCCGTGTGGGGTCCAGAGTGGTGTTGCATCACTGGTGCGCGGCATACGCGCTTTCTTCTGATCCAGCCTGTAGAGACTCGCCTTTGGGACCCATCTTTGCTTCCTTTCAGTTGCCTCCTGGATCTTCTTTCCCGTCATCAAATGACTGCTGAACAGGAAACCTCTTTGGTGCTGTTTCTTGTGCATCTGTCCACCTGTTCCCCAGTATTGCCCTCAATTCCTGAGAGCCCTGGAGCGGTTTCCTACCATTCCCTTCTTTTAGCTGCTTGTTTTAAGTCCTTTTTATGTGACATTCCCTACCCCCAATGTTGTCAGCTGCTTGTGAAACTCAGCCAGGTTGTCTAACCTGGGGTCAAGTTTGGGTGACTGGTGCAGAGTTACTTCCTAAAAGGCCACTCTCCCTGCCTTTGGATTTCATAGTTTCTCTGTCAGTAGCATGATCCCCACCGCTATGGTCTATCTATGATCACCGTGCTTTGTGAAACTGTGCATCCCCTTGTAGCCTTTCTCAGTGTCCGTGGCATTTTTGTGACTTCCCAGCACTAGAATAAGTTTTCCTGCCAAAATGAGTGAGGCGCTTGGTGCCCTCTGGACTTTCCCACTTCCCAACATGGGAGAATTGTGAACTTTCCATCAGACTGCCTCCCTGGCCCTCCCCATTCTTCTCCTGTTGGTTATTCTGAGTCTGACACAGACCCATGACATGTCTTATAAAGCCTCCAATGGCTTTATCCTACCTAGATCCCTTCCAGCCCATTTTAATTAGACTATGTCATTGTGAGGCCACCAGTCCATTCATTTGAATTCTGTGAATCTCCACCTTGCCTATCTTTGGGTAGAAGCTGGACAGTACTGTTGCCCTCTTCCAATCCTCTTCCCCTACATCCCTGGCACTGGTTGTTTTCTGTGAAAACAGCAGTGAACAGGTTCAGTTTTGAACTGGCCCTGAGGAAATGGGTCAGGAGTTGTATTGGCAAGAGGGAGGGGTGAGAGCTGTTGGAGAACTGAGAATGAGGTTTTTTTTTTTTTTTTCTTTTTAACTTTTTTTATATTAGTAATAAATGCAGTGGAAACCAGCATTTTATTTAATCCCTGTGTTCTAGTCATCTCTGGAGTTGCAGATGAAGCTGTTCTCACCTGGTGGAGTCAGCTTATTCTTTAGTTCATACACACTAGTGATGGGGAATGACAAAGCTTAAGGTTCTTCCAGGCTGAAAAAAACCAATGGAGGTTCCATTAGCCTGTAGGCATCAACCAGAACAAGCTGCCTTATGTTCAAGGGCAAAGTTTTGTAAGAAAAAGGAAAGGCCAGGTGTCCGTGGAGTTATTTTTAAATATTTTACTTTGCAGAGTTTGTGTTTATGGAGTGGTAATGATGAAGGAGTCTTTCAGCAGCAATTTGCAGAATGCCTGTGGGCCAGGCAATATACCAAGCACTAGAGATAACTGACAGCCAAAGCCAATGGATTTAAAATGTACAGGGAAGACAGGTTTCTCATAATCACAAATAGCATGTAAAGTTAAACCTGTCAAAAGTGCTGGGAAGAAGACAGGGAAGAAAAGAGGGTGAAAGAGAGTTGTGTAATAAAGGGAGTCAGGGTAGGAGATGCAACTGAGACAAGCTCCAAAGGATAAACAGGAGGTGGGGTGGGAGAGGGAAGTCAAGGCAAAGGTCTTCGCTAAAAGACCTAGGGGAAGAGGAGCTAAGAAACCTAGGGACAGTGGGAGATGATGCAGAAGAAAGAGGAGTTAGACCACTCAGGGCCTTGGAAAACATGAAGATTTGGCTCTTTTCTTAGAACAGAAGCCTTTGAAGAATTTTAGACAGGAGTATCATGGCTTAGGCTGGCTTTTCAAAAAAAATCAGCTTGTATGGAGAGGGCCCACCTTGGACCTGGAAGTTAATTAGAAGGCTACTGGCTACTTCAGTAGTACAAGTGAGCCATGATGGTGACATAGACTTGGGTAGTAGAGTTGGAGAAAAGTAGACATTTGAAAATTACAGGTCAAAATAAAAGTATCAGATTTCTCCAGGTAGTTCTGGCTTATGTAACTGCCATTTAAAAAGAAGTCTTAAGATAGAAGTTTATGGCTGGGCGCGGTGGCTCACGCCTGTAATCCCAGCACTTTGGGAGGCCAAGGTGGGTGGATCACGAGGTCAGGAGATCAAGACCATCCTGGCTAACATGGTGAAACCCCATCTCTACTAAAAATAGAAAAAAAATTAGCCAGGCGTGGTGGCCGGCGTCTGTAGTCCCAGCTACTCGGGAGGCTGACGCAGGAGAATGGCGTGAACCCAGGAGGCGGAGCTTGCAGTGAGCCGAGATCGCACCACTGCACTCCAGCATGGGCGACAGCGCAAGACTCCATCTCAAAAATAAATAAATAAAAAATAAAAATAAAAATAAATAATTTTTAAAAAGATAGAAGTTTATTTCTCTCACAGGTCAAGAGGTGGACAATCAACAATCCAAGATGTGTGACAATGCCACCACTACAAGGTCCCTGAGTATTCAGAACCTCAACCCCCAACTTTCAGATTCACAACCACAAGCTTCTATTCACTGTCCAAAGTGAAGCTCTGGCTTCCTCATCCATGTTCAAAGCCTCAGGATGGAGGAAGGGCTGAGAACACCAGTTGTCTGGGAAGAAACTTCTTTTTTTTTTTTTTTTTTTTTTTGAGACGGAGTCTCAGCTCTGTCGCCCAGGCTGGAGTGCAGTGGCATGATCTTGGCTCACTGCAAGCTCCGCCTCCCAGGTTCACGCCATTCTCCTGCCTCAGCCTCCCGAGTAGCTGGGACTACAGGCGCCCACCACCATGCCCAGCTAATTTTTTGTGTTTTTAGTAGAGATGGGGTTTCACCGTGTTAGCCAGGATGGTCTCGATCTCCTGACCTGGTGATCTGCTTGCCTCGGCCTCCCAAAGTGCTGGGATTACAGGTGTGAGCCACCACGCCCAGCCGGAAGAAACTTCTTAAAAGTTAACTTATAACTCCTCAACTTATGGGCAAGCATTTAAGTTGAGTTTATTAATTCTACAGAGGTTATCTCCCTAAAAGGGGGCTAGGAATGACAGGATTAGGGTTTGTGTTTGGTGATTTCAAAAGAAACAGGAAATTGTTCTGGCTTAGATGCTGTCAGAAAGATGACTACTTCTTAATCTTATCTAGAAGGAGGGAGAAATGAAATATGGCTAAAGCTGTAAGGTAAAAAAGCCAACACATTTTAGCTGACAGGGAACTGTGTGGTGTTTTTGTGCTTAGACAAGATTTTGAAGTTTGTCTAATTTCATCACAAACACAGGATGACCTTGTTTGACACTGATTTTCTGTGAGATAGTTTATGTTCAACAAGAGTACCATGGCCTAACTATGGGCAACAGGCCAGCTCCCAGCAACACCAAAGCCTGCCAGTTATTGTCAGGCCAGTTCCCAATTCTCAGGGACTGTTTTTCTTAAAAGTATGCAAACATATAATTACAGGTTGAGATGAATCATATGAAGGAAATAAATGGGGTACTGAATAGAAACAGTAGTTGGGGAGCTACTCAAGACATGGTGGCCGGGCGCGGTAGGTCACGCCTGTAATCCCAGTACTCTGGGAGGCTGAGGCGGGTGGATCGCCTGAGGTCAGGAATTCGAGACCAGCCTGGCCAACATGGTGAAACCCTGTCTCTACTAAAATAACAACAACTAGCGAGGCGTGGTGGTGGGCATTTATAAATAATCCCAGCTACTTGGGAGGCTGAGGCAGGAGAATGGCTTGAACCCAGGAAGCAGAGGTTGCAGTTAGCCGAGATTGCACCATTGTACTCCACCCTGGGCAACAGAGCGAGACTCCATATCCAAAAAAAAAAAAGACATGGTGGCTAGGATAGACCTCTCTGAGGAATCTGTAGATGAAGGGCCCAGAACTTAGCCTTGAGGAACTCTGACATTGAATTGCTAAGTGAAGAAGGACAAGGATAAGCCAGACAAGGAGACTAAGGAGGGATGACGGAGAGGCAGGGAGAGATCTCAGAGTGTGGCGTCACCTGGCTGCTTGCTCAGTGCCAGGTACCCTGCTAAGCTCTTTATAGACATTGTCTTTGTCTTATTTAAGCTTCACATACTTTTTTGGGGGGGGAGAGGGGGTGGTTCAAGCGATTCTCCTGCCTCAGCCTCCCGAGTAGCTGGAATTACAGGTGCCCACCACCACACCCGGCTAATTTTTTGTATTTTAGTAGAGATGGGGTTTCACCATGTTGGCCAGGCCGGTCTCGAACTCCTGACCTCAGGTGATCTACCTGCCTCGGCCTCCCAAAGTGCTGGGATTATAGGCATGAGCCACCGCACCTGGCCAAGCTTTGCATACTTTCAGTGAACACTTTAGTGCCTACTGTAGGGCAAGCACTGTTTTAGGAGCTGGAGCTACATCAATAAAAAGGACAAAATCCCTGCCCATATGGAGCTTACATTGCTTTGAGGATGATAGACAATATACATAGGTAATATAATTTTAAGTAATAGTAAATGCTTCAAATGAAAATAAAGTGAAAAAAGAGGTTAGAGAGTGACAGGTGGAAGAGAACAGGTTGATACAAAGAGAGAGCTGCTTTGAGGAGGTAACACATAGAGAGAAAATTAAACGAGGGAACAAACCATATGAACACACAGAGAAAGTGCGTTCCAGGCACAGGGAACAGCAAAGGCAAAGGCCTTGATGCAGGAATGACTCTGGGGTGTTTGAAGTAAAAATAGAAGGCCAGGCCAGGCGTGGTGGTTCATGCCTGCAGTCCCAGCACTCTCAGAGGCTGAGGCAGGAGCACTGCTTGAGCTCAGAAGTTTGAGACCAGCCTGGGCAACATGGTGAGACCCTGTGTCTGCAAAAATGTTTAAAAAGTACCCAGGCCTGGTGGCGTGTGCCTGTAGTCCTAGCTAGTTGGAGGCTGAGGTGGGAGGATCCTTTGAGGTTGCAGTGAGCTATGATTATACCACTACACTCCAGCTTGAATGACAGACCAAGATCCTGGTTCAAAAAAAAAAAAAAAAGCCCAGTGTGGCTAGACTGTGGGAGATGGGATCAAGATGTTTAACAGAGGGCATATTGTACAGAGCCCTATAAACTATGGTAAAGCATTTGGATTTTATTCTGGATTTTATACTTTTTTAAATATTTTTATACTTTGAACAAATGGATTTACTTTTTTTTTTTTTCTTTTTGAGACGGAGTCTTGCTCCATCACCCAGGTTGGAGTGCAGTGGCATGATCTCAGCTCACTGCAACCTCCACCTCCCGGGTTCAAGTGATTCTCCTGCCTCAGCCTCCCAAGTAGCTGGGACTACAGGCGCCCACCACCACGCCTGGCTAATTTTTGTATTTTTAGTAGACACAGGGTTTCGCCATGTTGGCCAGCCTGGTCTTGAACTCCTGACCTTTTGATCCGCCCGCCTCAGCCTCCCAAAGTGCTGGGATTACAGGCGTGAGCCACCGCGATTGGCCCATGGATTTACATTTTAAAACCACCTCTGACTGTAGGTGTGAAGGATAGACTAGAGAATGAGAATGACAGCAGGCAGACCAGTTAGGAGGCCAGCGCAGTGCAGTGGTCCAGGGAGAAGAGACGATGGCTTGGTCAGGGTAGAGGTGGAGAGAAGTGGTTAAATTTGGGTTATGTTTTCGTCTCAGTTGATGGCAATTACATCTTTCTAGTTAACTCAGGCCAGAAATATTGGAGTCATCCTTAATTCTATTTGTCAAACATGACCTCCAATCCATTAACAAAACTTGTTGGCTCTTTTCCAAAATACATTCAGAAACCAGCCCTTTTCACACCTCCACTGCTGTCACCCTAGTCTGAGTCACCATCACCTCCTAATAGATCTCCCTGCTTCTGTCATTTCTGCCCATTCTTTGCTGCCTGCCCCCTCCCACCTCCCGCCCAGGTTGTTCTCAGCACAGCCTCCAGAGTCATCCTTTTTATTTAACAATTTAAAAAATGTTATAGGCCAGGCATGGTGGCTCACGCCTCTAATCCCAGCACTTTGGGAGGCCGAGGCAGGCGGATCACGAGGTCAGGAGTCCGAGACCAGCCTGACCAACATGGTGAAACCCCGTCTCTACTAAAAATACAAAAATGAGCCAGGCATGGTGACGCACGCTTGTAATCCCAGCTACTCAGGAGACTGAGGCAGGAGAATTGCTTGAACCCAGGAGGCAGAGGTTGCAGGGAGCCGAGATCACGCTACTGCACTCCAGCCTGGGCAACAGAGCAAGACTCTGTCTCAAAAAAATAAAATAAAATAAAAATTAAAAAATTGTATTATATACGGAGACAAGGGGTCTCGCTATGTTGCCTGGGTTGGTCACAAACCCCTGGGCTCAGGCAATTCTCCTGCCTCAGCCTCCCAAAGTACTGGCATTACAGGTGTGAGCCACTGCACCTGGCCAGGTCATCCTTTTATTTATTTTATTTTATTTTTTTTTTTTTGAGACGGAGTCTCGCTCTGTCGCCCAACCTGGAGTGCAGTGGCGGGATCTCGGCTCACTGCAAGCTCTGCCTCCTGGGTTCATGCCATTCTCCTACCTCAGCCTCCCCAGTAGCTGGGACTACAGGCGCCCGCCACCTCGCCCAGCTAACTTTTTTGTATTTTTAGTAGAGATGGGGTTTCACCATGTTAGCCAGGATGGTCTCAATCTCCTGACCTCGTGATCCACCCATCTAGGACTTCCAAAGTGCTGGCATTACAGGCATGAGCCACCGCGCCCCAGCCCAGGTCATCCTTTTAAAATGTAGGTTGGATCACATCACTCTGCTCAGAACTCTGCAGTGACTTCCATTTAAATCAACAGAAGAAGCCAAAATCCTTAAGATAATTTAAAAGACCTTTCCCAATCCAGACCCTGCTTTACTTCTCTTTTCACCTTTCCCACAACTCTGGCTCACTCGTGCCACTCCAGCCCCTCTTGCCTCCTTCCTGTTTGTTCCCCATGTATGTCCGAACACTCCTGTCACAGGGCTTTACTCCAGCTGTTTCTTATGCTAGAAAGGCCCTTCTCCTGGAAATCCATGTGGCCAAAACTAATCTTCTTTAATGATTTGCTTGAATTTCACTTTACTGAGGCCTCATTTAAGACTAAAATCTGTCCTCTTGATACTTTTAAACTTGATCCATATTTTCTTTTATCTATAGGATCATCTCCCCTGCTGGAAACCTAATCAGAGATCTTTATTTTATTCAGTAGTATCCCAAGAGCGTAGAAGAGTGCCTGGCACATACTATACACTCAATAAATATATTTGTTGAACAGATGAATGAAAAAATGAGGCAGACTTAGCTGGCTGATGGATTGATTAGGGGAGGAGGAATGGAGAAAGAGGATGATGACCTTTCAGTTTTGGCCCAAATAACTGAATGACCTGTGGTGCAATTTCTTGATGGGGAAGCCTGGAAGAGACAGGCTTTAGGAGTAAGAACAAGAGCTCCATTTTGTACGTATGAGAGAGATTTATTAAAGATCTCAGAGAAGATGTCCCATAAGCAGTTGAATTCATGAGCCTGGAGCTCGGGGCAGAAGTTGGGGGCCAGCAAGAGAAGTTTGGGAATCTTCATTGGTTATAGATGGTATTTAAAGTCAGGAGGTGATAGGTGATAAGTCTAGATTAAGGAGAGTGTCAAAGATTTAGCCCTGAGGCACTTCAACATTTAGACTTCAGGAGAAGCCCATTAGATGCAAAGGAAACCTATAGAGAGTAGTGTCCCTGAAGAAAACAAAGGAGGGAGGGAGCGACCAAGTCTATCAAACATTGATGGGAGAGTGAGTAGGATGGCCCCAGATCTGTTGACTTTGGCAAGTGTGAATTCAGACAATGGTGGCAACAAAAGCATGATTGTAGTGGTTTGAGAGCTGACAGAACTACAGGAGCACCTTGCTCAAGCTCCCATATTAAGTGGTAGAGTTAGAAGTGAACCAAAGTCTTGATTGTGGTGATAGTTTACTGGGTTTATGCAGGTCAAAACTTATTTAAGTGATACTTTGCAGTTTATTTTGGGTGCCATTTTATTTTGTGTACAGTTTATTGTATGTCAATTATATCTCAGTAAAGCTGTTACCAAAAAAAATAAATGAACCGAAGCTCCACTGCACCGTGACTTCTGCATGTTGGGCTCCAGTTCCCTGTTTACAATTGTACACTTCGGGATTTTGTGACACATTTCAACACTGGACCGATCAGACCTCTCCCTTAGCCATTGGTCTGCACTGTCTTTTCTGCCCATGACCCAGTCAGTCTCGCGCCCCATGACCCTCTCCTAAAACACGCGCAGTCTCCTCTCTCTTCCCCTTCCTCTCGTGTCTTCCTTGCCTACCAGCCTCACCTGATGGGCTCGTGTTCTCTCCGTCCCCGATCCACTCGGGCTCCGGCAGCTGTTGCTTGGGCGCCTTCGGCATCGCGGTGGCAGAACTAGAAACGAGTTACAGATAGAAACTAGAATATGCTTTTTAAAAAAACAAAAAACAAAACAAACAAAAAAACAGTATGCCTCAACTCCTTCATACTAGTAGGAAATTATTATGTTCATTCCTTGAGTCTCGCGGCGTCGGGAGGTCACGGCGTCAGGCTTCCCAGACAGTCGTAAACGCCATGTGTTTACGCGACTGGAGCAAGCGGACGCCGGCCCCGCTCCGTCATTGCAGGCCACGCCTCCACTGAACCAGGGCCACGCCCCCGAGATGACGGCGAAGCTCGCACGTGCGCAGCCCGGGGGCGGGGTTGGCCGCGCCAGCTTGGAGAGCCAGCCCCATCGGGGTTCCCCGCCGCCGGAAGCGGAAATAGCACCGGGCGCCGCCACAGTAGCTGTAACTGCCACCGCGATGCCGAAGGCGCCCAAGCAGCAGCCGCCGGAGCCCGAGTGGATCGGGGACGGAGAGAGCACGAGCCCATCAGGTGAGGCTGGTAGGCAAGGAAGAAACGAGCAGAGGGGGAAGAGAGAGGAGACTGCGCGTGTTTTAAGAGAGGGTCATGGGGCACGAGACTGACCGGGCCCCTGCGGGAGTTACTGCGCATGCGTGCCGTGGGCCCGGGAGGAGTTTGCCGGGGAGGAGTGGGTTTGGAATCGGGGTTAAAGGAAAGAGATCCAGATGTCGCACGTGACCTAAGTGAGACTGGGCGAGATAAAAGAAAGAGCATATGGCACCGAGGGAGAGATGGGGAGAAATGGGAAAACCTTGCTTAAAAAATTTGGACATCCGCCCCACCATACACTGTATTCCACCAGGAATATATGAGCCCTGCCTCGACCTCCCCTTCCCCCTGCGCGCGCATACACACACCTTGGGAGCCTGTGATCCCCCTTGTTTCTCAAGAGAGGGTGACTCCTTCATGGTTTCTTTCTTAAGACACCCCTCTCACTCAACTGGAGCAAGAGTGTAGATTTTTGATGTTGGAATGAGGGTTAAGGTTTACTTAAAAAGCAGCGAAAGTTTGTTAAGCGCTTGTTTTTAATTAAGCACTCTATATACTGTGCTTTGAGAGGGGAAGGAAAAAAACATGAAGATATCCTCCCAGGGTTGAAGTCAGTTTTAAGGGGGACATAAATGGACACAACTAACCCCAGTAGGTACACAGTAACTAATTTTAAAAGCACTTATTGGATGCCTACTGTATACCAGGTACTGTGTGGAGGAAGTGGGAATGTAGAGATAAAAGATAAGACTTTCCCTCAAGGGACAACCCAGTATGGTGAAGGGTCAGAGCATTAACCAGACAGACAGTGGTTGTCAGAGTATGATGAAGGTGCTTAAGAATGTTATGGGACTGTAGAAGAGAGGAGGAGCATCTACTCAGACAGGTAAGGGAGTGTCAGCAAAGCCTCCCAAGAATATGTAATAGCTGAGTATTTTTTTTTGAGGCACATTGTAGCTCCATCACCCAGGCTGGAGTGCAGTGGCATGAACATGGCTCACTGCAGCCTCCACCTCCTGGGTTTAAAGGATCTTCCTGCCTCAGTCTCCCAAGTAGTTGAGACTACTGGCATGCACCACCACACCTTATTTTTAAAATTTTTTGTAGACACAAGATCTGGCTATGTTGCCTAGGCTGGTCTCAAACTCCTGGGCTCAAGTAATTCTCCTGCCTCAGCCTCCAAAAGTGCTGGGATTACAGGCGTGAGCCACTACATCTGCTCCCCAGAGTTTATTCTTGAAAGATCATCGTGAATTAGCAAGGGGAAGCGCATTCCAAGCCAAGGAAGTTTGTGGAAGGTAGAGATGTAGGCAAGCCTGACTGGTCCCACTAGAGCCTGGTGACTAGTGTGATGAAGTCAGAAAGATGCTCAGGAGACAGATAATGAAAGGCTTTAGATGCCATTCCGAGGAGTTTAATCCTAAAGACATTAAGAAGGAAGGCCCATTGAAGTGCATAAGGAATGATTATGAACAGTTCACCTGTAGCACTGAGCAATGGAGAATGAATGGCCTTGAACTGGTCAAGATGGAGGCGGGGAGACCATTTAGGGGGCTCTGGCCATGATCTAGGTGAGAAGTGGTAAGGGGATAAGCCAAGGCCTGAAGAATAAAGAGTTACTAAGGAGGCGGCATTGATCGGAACTGAGAACTGATTAAATGAAGGGAGAAGTAAGGTTGACACTTAAGTAACCCAGTGACTAGTAGACTATTAACTGAAAGCAGTAATGGACAGGAGAGTAAGAAGTGGAAAGAGATAAGGTGAACTTCTGAATGCTGAGTTAGGCGTTTCTGAGGATTTCTAAAAGGAAATGGCAAGAAGAGAGTTTGTTTAGTCACTGTGGAGAGACAACTATACTAGGAGTAAAGACACAGGCAAGTAGAGTTGAAGTGCTGGATATGGAAGAGTCCCCTAGAGAGTGTTTGCAGATTGAACCAAAAAGAAGGTTAAAGGTGGGAACCCTAAAGAACTTCAGCAATTGCAGGAAGCAGGTGGGGAAGGAGGCTGAAGAGATGAGACTGAGAAAGGCAAACAGCCAGAGAAACTGGAGGCAAACCAGGAGTGAGCAAGATCCCAGAAATTAAATAATGATAGAAGAGAATAAAAAAGGTGTGGAGGTAGGCAGCATGGAATGCTGCAGAGAAGTCAGGCAAAATAAGGACCAAAAAATACTTTGTGGTTTGAGGAGCTAAGGGTTCAGTGGCAACTTTGGCAGAAGTAGTGTTCATTCGGAGATGATACCAGATTGCAGTATGTTTCAAAGGTATGGGAGAAGAGAAAGTGAAGCTTGTGAATTACGATTTTGAGACCCAATGAGGACAAGAATACGAAACAGTAATGGGGGAGAGGGGTATAAGGGTAAAGAAGGCTTGCTTTCTTGCCTTGAAGGAGCAGCTTAAGCGATATACGAAAGGAGAGAAGACACAGTATATCTCTAGCCACACTTAATCTTTTTCAGTTCCTTGGGGATTATACTTTCTCACAATGAAACTCTTCAGAGGCTTTTCCTGTCCCTATAATGAAGTGGATAAGAGTGATTAAAGTACAAAAGATTTTTTTGGTTTTGGTGGGTTTTTTTTTTTTGTGACGGAGCCTCACTCCAGGCTGGAGTGCAGTGGCGCGATCTCAGCTCACTGCAGCCTCAATCGCAGGCTCAAGCCATCTTCCCTTGTAGCTGGGACTACAGGCACACACCGCCATGCCTGGCTTATTTTTTGTTTGTTTTTGTTTTTTGTTTTCTGTAGAGATGAGGTCTTGCTATGTTGCCCAGGCTAATCTTGAACCTCTGGCCTCAACCAGTCCTCCCACCTTGGTCCCCAAAATGTTGGGATTACAGGCGTGAGCCAGTGTGCCTGGCCACAAAAGAGATTTAAAGGAAGGAGAGATGGTATGGCTGTGTTAGTCCTTGGGGAGAAATTAGTGTCTGGGATGAGTCAGTCATCTGTGTTGATAAGGTGAGCTGATCAGGTTTTTCCTTCTTAGGTACTTCAGTAGATCCTTCCTCCTAATGCCTTTAGGATTAAACTCCTTGGAATAGCATATAAAGCCTTTTATTATTAATCCTGCACAATTTTTCAACTCTCACACTAGTCACCCAATACTGGGCTCAGATTTTTTTTCTTTAACTTTTTTGTTTGTTTTTTGTGGTTTGTTTTTTGGGGAGGAGGAGGGCCCCAAACTTTGAAATGTGTTCTGGATGGAGGATGCAGATTAAGCAAAGACAGACATAAGCGTGCCTGGGACTTCATAAAGGAACAGAAAGAAGCCAGTATCGAGACCAGAGGTGTGGGTAGGGAAACAGAAAAGATAGGGTAGGGCCATTTTAGTCTGTGAAGCCTTTAATTATTGGAATTGTCTCTCGTTAACTCTAGTTTTTTGGAGAAGTAGATGCACCATAAAACTTTCCTGAATAAATGATTACTTTGAAATACATGGAATTCTAGTCTGAGAATATTTTAATGTAGTAGATGGCGGATACCATTGACTTTTTTTCTTTTTTTTTTTTTTTTTTGAGACAGTCTCGCTGTGTCACCCAGGCTGGAGTGCAGTGGCGCGATCTTGGCTCACTGCAACCTCCACCTCCCAGGTACAAGCGATTCTCCTGCCTCAGCTTCCCAAGTAGCTGGGACTACATGCGTGCTCTGCCACGCCCAGCTAATTTTTGTATTTTTAGTAGAGATGGGGTTTCACCATGTTGGCCAAGCTGGTCTCAATCTCCTGACCTTGTGATCCACCCACCTTGGCCTCCCAATGTGCTGAGATTACAGGCCTGAGCCGCCGCACCCGACCAATTTTTTTTTTTTTAATATTAAATACTGAAATGCTTAAGGGTAGAATTAGATAGCAGTGAATGGAAGGGATGTTTTGGAAGAGAAGATAATAAATAGGCCTAAGCCTGAAGGGAAATCATGAGGCTGCCTCCAGTAGGGGAGGGAGTTGGACATGGTCCTCTACCTTCAGGGAAACAAGGATGGAGAGGGGGAGAGCTAGAATCTGTTGAATCTGTTTTGGCTTTACTGGGAACACAGGCTAAACAGTCTCTCAGGTTACTCTCTAGAATGAAAGCACACAGACAGGTAAATATGACACAATGTGATTTGTGCTATAATATTCAAGCAGAACAAGTAAGGCATAGACTGAGGTGTTCATTTGCTTACCAGATAACTCTATTTACATGGCCTATAGGTTTTACAAACAACGTGTCCCCCTGGCCAGGCACAGTGGCTCAGGCCTATAATTCCAACAGTTTGGGAAGCTGAGGCAGGAGAATTGCTTGAGGCCAGAGGTTCAGGATTAGCCTGAGCAACATAGTGAGACCTCCTCTCTAAAAATTATTATTTTTTTAATTAGGCAGGCATGGTGGCGCTTGCCTGTAGTCCTAGCTACTCAGGAGGCTAAAGTGGGAGGATCACCTAAGCCTAGGAATTTAAGGTTACAGTGAGTTATGATCATGCCACTGCATTCCAGCCTGGGTGACAGAGCAAGACCCTGTCTCTTAAAAAAAAAAAAAAAAAAAGGAGGGTGTGTGTGTGTTGTATACATGTGTGTGTATCTACACATATCTCCCAAATTGAATTTATAATATCTTCTTCCTTCCTATAAGACCTTCTCTTCCACTGCCTCCTTAATTAATAAATGGTACCACTTAGCCCAGCTAATTTTGCCAGCTAAAAACACAGGAGTCATCTCTGAGTGCTCTTTTTTTTTTTTTTTTTTTTTTTTTTTTTGAGATAGAGTCTTGCTCTGTCACCCAGGCTGCAGTACAATAGCGTGATCTCAGCTCACTGCAACCTCCGCCTCCTGGGTTCAAGCAATTCTCCTGTCTTAGCCTCCTGAGTAGCTGGGATTACAGGCGCCCGCCACTATGCCTGGCTAATTTTTTGTATTTTTAGTAGAGACTGGGTTTCACCATGTTCACCAGACTAGTCTTGAACTCCTGACCTCAAGTGATCCGCCTGCCTCTGCCTCACAAAGTGCCGGGATTACAGGCATGAGCCACCGCGCCCGGCCGGGTGCTCTTTATTCCCCACCTCTAGCCCCATCCTATGAATTCTTCTTTATGTCCGCTTGTCACCACCACCCAGACTACTCTGACAGCCTCCCCAGTGGATTTCCCACTATGCTTATTCCCTCCGATTCTTGCTGTACTCTGAAGCCAGAGTGAAACTTTAAAGTGTGAAAGTGATCATACCAATAAAGTCCCCATTCCTTAACCTTGCTACAAGGCCCTCACTCCAGCCTTACCTTGCACCATTCTCCCCTCAGTCTGTAAGCTTAGCCATACCAAACCTTTCCCTGTCTCTCAGTGTGTGTGCTTTCTCACAGCTGGGCCTGTGCACAGCACTGGAATTACACCATGTGTCTGACTAACTTCTCATACTCCTCATTACTTCAGTTATTTGCTTAAATGCCATCTTCTTAGAGAGGCCGCCACCAGAGATGAAGCCAGCCTCTCCCCCACCACCAAGTAGGCTTTACCTTTTCTTTTGGAACCTTCAGTACACCTGGAATTACCTATTTAAAAATCTCTCTTCCTATAGCCTGCAAGCTCCAGAGGAGACCACATTTGTCTTGTTCATTGCTATGATCCCCTACGCTAGCACAATATCTGACACATGGTAGCTGTTTAGTAGATACTTAGTGGATGAATGAATAGAGATGGGAATGATTATTTCTGCAGGAGTTGTGAGACAGTACAAATATTTAAGGAGTGATAGTTAAGCTAGAAAAATAATAAAATAGGATAGAGGCTACAGAGATCTTTGCAGGGGGGATCAGACTGCTTTGGAATTTGCAGATAAGCATTCACGATGTCCGCTTAACTTTCTAGACAAAGTGGTGAAGAAAGGGAAGAAGGACAAGAAGATCAAAAAAACGGTGAGAAAATGAGGGTTGAGGATAAGAAATGACTATGGATGTTTCCAAGCTAAATAAATAGCCATGTGAAGGAGGTGGGAGGTCCAAGGGAGGAGAAAAGATCTTGTCAAGAGAGGAGATAGGCAGGGCACGGTGGCTTACACCTGTAATCCCAGCGCTTAGGGAGGCAGAGGTGGGAGGATAGCTTAAGCCCAGGAATTTGAGACCTGCACACTCCATTCTCCACAAAAAGAAAAAAAAGAGAGAGACAGGAGGTAAGGTGAGGGTGGAGTGGAGGGCCAGTGGGCCAATGTGTGGCAGAGCACAGCCTGCTTGGATTGCTCTTGGAAACATGTTTACCTGTAGCTTAACTCCCTTTATAGTTCTTTGAAGAGCTGGCAGTAGAAGATAAACAGGCTGGGGAAGAAGAGAAAGTGCTCAAGGAGAAGGAGCAGCAGCAGCAGCAACAGCAACAGCAGGTACAAGTGCCACAGGGCCCACCAATCCTGGGAGGCATCTGGGTTCCACCAACCCCTTTCCAGCCCATGTTGCTCCATTCAGCTGATGGGGAACCCTCTGTGAGGCAGAAATACAGCAGGGGCCTGGGCTTCATTTTCTCACTGTTCTTTTGCTCTCAGCAGCAAAAAAAAAAGCGAGATACCCGAAAAGGCAGGCGGAAGAAGGATGTGGATGATGATGGAGAAGAGAAAGAGCTCATGGAGCGTCTTAAGAAGCTCTCAGTGCCAACCAGTGATGAGGAGGATGAAGGTAAATGACCTGAGGGGGAATGGGTACCTGGAATCCATGAGTCATGGAGAGTGATACCTCATACCCTGATCTTCAAGTTGGATTCAATTGGGGGGCCAGACATTGTAATTCTTTCCTATCTCATGTTCTCCCCCTGTCATTTCAGTACCCGCCCCAAAACCCCGCGGAGGGAAGAAAACCAAGGTAAGCCATCTGTGTGGTAAACGGAGACTCCAAGGATGCAACCTTGACCATCCTACTGACTTCTGTGGCCCTTTCATTCTCTAGGGTGGTAATGTTTTTGCAGCCCTGATTCAGGATCAGAGTGAGGAAGAGGAGGAGGAAGAAAAACATCCTCCTAAGCCTGCCAAGCCGGAGAAGAATCGGATCAATAAGGTGACAGTGGTGGCTCGATCAGTCACTCTCACTCCATTTAGCACCTTCTGGCCATGGTGGAGTAATTTCCCGCTTTTAAACTAGCTCTTCTCGGTCTGTCTTACTTATACTGTTAAAATCATCTTTTTAGAATACATGCCCAGGCTGGGCACAGTGGGTCACGCCTGTAATCCCAGCACTTTGGGAGGCCGAGGTGGGCGAATCACGAGGTCAAGAGATCGAGACCAGCCTGACCAACATGGCGAAACCTCATCTCTACTAAAAATACAAAAATTAGCCAGGCGTGGTGGCGTGCGCCTGTAATCCCAGCTACTTGGAAGGCTGAGGCAGGAGAATCACTTGAACTTGGGAGGTGGAATTTGCAGTGAGCTGAGATTGAGGCACTGCACTCCAGCCTGGGCAACAGAGCAAGACTCAGTCTCAAAAAAAAAACAACAAAAAAAACCATGCCATTTTTATCACTCAGAAATCTACAGTGATTCTGTTGCTTTAAGCACAGAACCTGAAACAAAGCCCCAGGTCCTTGCTCTTCTACTTGTGACTCTTCTGCGTGTGCATCTTAGTCCATGTCCATTTGAGCTCTTGAGAAAGCCTCCAGTGCTAGTGCCACTCACTCTGGTGGCGCACTTGCCTGACTTATAATCCTTAGCCTTGCTGACGTTCCCTAGTTATCTCTTCGCTATCTAGTCTGAAGCTGGAGGGTAGGGTTTTTCTGGGTCTCATTTTTCGTCAGCAGCACTCAATACAGATGGTCTCCAACTTCTGCTTCGGTGTACGATTTTTCTACTTTATGATGGTGTGAAAGTCATACTCATTTAGGGTACTCCTCAACTCATGATGGGATTATATCCAGATAAACCCATCATAAGTTGGAACTATTTTTTTTTTTTTTTTTTTTTGAGACGGAGTCTCACTCTGTTGCCAGGCTGGAGTGCAGTGGCGTAATCCTGGCTCACTGCAACCTCCGCCTCCCGGGTTCAAGTGATTCTCCTGCCTCAGCTTCCTGAGTAGCTGAGATTACAGGCACGTGCCACCACGCCCAGCTAATTTTTGTGTTTTTAGTAGAGACAGGGTTTCACCATGTTGACCAGGATGGTCTCGATCTCTTGACCTTGTGATCCACCTGCCTTGGCCTCCCAAAGTGCTGGGATTACAGGTGTGAGCCACCACGCCCGGCCAAGAACTATCATTTTTTATTTAAGTTTCTGGTGGGTTTATCGGGATGCAACCTGTCGTAAATGGAGGAGCATGTGTATGGTTAACACAGTAGACTCTCTAGAAATGCTTATTACACAGCAAAGTAGCACAATAATTTGTATGTATGTGTGTAATGTGTATGTGTGTCTCCTCCAGGCCGTATCTGAGGAACAGCAGCCTGCACTCAAGGGCAAAAAGGGAAAGGAAGAGAAGTCAAAAGGGAAGGCTAAGGTGAGAGAGTAACTAGCAGGAGGAGGTATTGGGGCCCAGGAATTAAAACATTTCATCAGGGCTGGGCGCGGTGGCTCACGCCTGTAATCCCAGCACTTTGGGAGGCCGAGGTGGGCGGATCACGAGGTCAGGAGATCGAGACCATCCTGGTAACACGGTAAAACCCCGTCTCTACTAAAAATACAAAAAAAATTAGCCGGGCGTGGTGGCGGGCGCCTGTAGTCCCAGCTACTCGGGAGGCTGAGGCAGGAGAATGGCGTGAACCCGGGAGGTGGAGCTTGCAGTGAGCCGAGATTGCGCCACTGCACTCCAGCCTGGGTGACAGAGCGAGACTCCGTCTCAAAAAAAAAAAAAGAAAAAAAAAAAAAACATTTCATCAGACCTGTCTTTTCCCTATTAGCCTCAAAATAAATTCGCTGCTCTGGACAATGAAGAGGAGGATAAAGAAGAAGAAATTATAAAGGAAAAGGAGCCTCCCAAACAAGGGAAGGAGAAGGCCAAGAAGGCAGAGCAGGTGTGTATTTGGTGTTGGGGCAAGGTGGAATGAGGGACTAGGGCTTCCAGGGTCCTTATGGGAGAGTTAGAATCTGGGGATATAGTTATTATCCCAGCAAACCTTTATTCTTTTCTTTTTTTGGGGGAGTAGTTGGGGTGGTGGTTCGTTTGTTTTTGTTTTTGTTTTTGTTTACACAGGATCTTACTCTGTCACTCAGGCTGGAGTGCAGTGGTGTGAACACGGCTCACTGAAGCCTCAACCTCCTGGGCTCAACAGATTCTCCTGCCTCAGCCTACTGAGTAGCTGGGACTACAAGTGTGCACCACTACCCCTGGCTAATTTTTTTATTTTTAGTATAGAGATGAGGTCTCACTATGTTGCTCAGGCTGGTCTTGAATTTCTGGGCTCAAGCAGTCCTCCTGCCTCAGCCTCCCAAAATGCTGGGTTTACAGGTGTGAGCCAGCATGCCAGCCAGCAAACTTTTTCTATAAAGGGCCATATAGTAAATGTTTTTGGCTTTGCAGGCCACATACAATCTCTATCACATATTCTTTTTTTTTTTTAACAACTCTTTGAAAATACAAAAATTATTTTTATAAAGTTCAGGAGCTATATAAAAATAAATGTCAGGTCAGCCTTGGCCCATGGGCTGTAGTTTGCAACACCTAATCCAGTGAAGAAAGGGCCTGGAATTTATCTCAGATGATCTGGGTCCTGGCTCTGCCTTCACTGGCTGTGTGACCTTGAATACATCTTCCCATCCCCTTGGGTCTCACTTGTCTCCTTTGTGTGATAGAAGGAGGAGTCCGGAGATCTCTAGGGTCCCTATGCGTCTGGCACTTCCTAATTCTGTGATTCTGCTGGATTCCTCTGACTGTGCACTAGAGCTTCCTGATCTTTTTTTTTTTTTTTTTTTTTTTGAGATGGAGTCTCACTCCGTTGCCCAGGCTGGAGTGCGGTGGCGCAATCTCAGCTCACTGCAACCTCTGCCTCCCGGGTTCAAGCAATTCTTCTGCCTCAGTCTCCCGAGTAGCTGGGACTACAGGCACGTGCCACCATGACCGGCTGATTTTTTGTGTTTTTAGTAGAGACAGGATTTCACCATGTTAGCCAGGATGGTCTTGATCTCCTGACCTTGTGATCTGTCCATCTTGGCCTCCCAAAGTGCTGGGATTACAGACATGAGCCACCGTGCCCGGACGGCTACCTGATCTTTTCTTTGCATGTTAACAAGGAAACCACAGAAACTCATTTTATACAAATGAAACTCTTGAAATCCATTTACTCCACCTTCAGTTACATTGTATTGGGAGTTACATTTATAGGGACATAACGCGTTGTCACATTTCATAAATACACATTCATACCATTTGTCTTGTACCATTCCTGGTAGCAGAAATTAATAAAGGACCTCAGGGAGACCAGGGGCTGGGTATGAGAATGAGAGAGGATCCCAAGATATTTTAGGACTCTGAGTAGTGAAGGAAAGAGCTGGGGCAGGGACAGGGGGCAGATGATGTGAAATCTGAGTTCTAGAAGGAGTCCCTAGTTTTTTTTTGTTGTTTTTTTTTTTGAGACGGAGTCTTGCTTTGTCACCCAGGCTGGAGTGCAGTGGCACGATCTCGGCTCACTGCAAGCTCCTCCTCCCAGGTTCACACCATTCTCCTGCCTCAGCCTCCCGAGTAGCTGGGACTACAGGCGCCCGCCACCACGTCCGGCTAATTTTTTGTATTTTTAGTAGAGATGGGGTTTCACCATGTTAGCCAGGATGGTCTTGATCTCCTGACCTTGGGATCTGCCCGCTTTGGCTTCCCAAAGTGCTGGGATTACAGGCGTGAGCCACCGCGCCCAGCCAGGAGTCCCTAGTTTTGACCATCCCCGGGTTCTCACAGGGTTCAGAGGAAGAAGGAGAAGGGGAAGAAGAGGAGGAGGAAGGAGGAGAGTCTAAGGCAGATGATCCCTATGCTCATCTTAGCAAAAAGGAGAAGAAAAAGCTGAAAAAACAGGTAAGACCTTGGTTCTTAGCGGTCAAAAGTAGGGGATTTTTAAATACTTCAACTAGGGGACATGCGATTGGGGACACGAAGGAAAGGTTTGGGGGCTACTCCAAGTAAAACAATCGGAGTAAGAAAATAATTGTGTTCTGTGAACCTTATCTCAATGTCTGATGACATGGGCTGTTTCACTTTGGGGTTTTTTGTTTATTTTTTGAGACAGGGTCTCACACTGTTACTCAGGCTGGAGTGCAATGACGTGATCTCTGTTCACTGCAGCCTCAACCTACCAGGCTCAAGTGATCCTCCCACCTCAGCCTCCCGAATAGCTGAGACTATGGGTGGCACCACCATGCCTGGCTAATTTTTGTATTTTTTGTAGAGACAGTATTTTAGCATGTTGGCCAGGCTGGTCTCAAACTCCTGAGCTCAAGAGATCCACCTACCTCAGCCTCCCAGAGTGCTGGGATTACAGGCGTGAGCCAGCATGCCCAGCCAGCATGGGCTGTTTCATGGTGATGGGAAACTGGTAGACTGTGGCTTCAAATGTAGTTTTTCCTACCTTCTCAGATGGAGTATGAGCGCCAAGTGGCTTCATTAAAAGCAGCCAATGCAGCTGAAAATGACTTCTCCGTGTCCCAGGCGGAGATGTCCTCCCGCCAAGCCATGTTAGAAAATGCATCTGACATCAAGGTAAGGTCTCAAGGGGCCCCTTCCAGTCCACTTACCTAGGGAAGAGCCAGTTCTCTCATCTTCCCTGAGTGGCTGTGGTGTGTGAATGGGTTAGTTCAGTGGGAAGAAAGATTGGAGGCATTTTCCACACCTTAGGTTCTGCCAACTTGAGCAAGAAGATAGAAAAACCAGTAGAAGTGGGGTCCACCCTTGGCAGAAAATAGTGTGGGACAGACTAGACTAGCTGAGGATGCATGGGGCTCCCATTACAGGCAGCGAACAGGGCGGGGACCGGCTGTGGGGAGAGGAAGGGGATTATGCTGGAGGTAGCGGTTTGTCAGAGGCTTCCCTGCAGGGAGAAAGTGGCCGCTCCTGTCCCAAAGGGAGAATTTTCATGTGATCATCCCTTCCCTCTGCCACCTCTTTCCTGATGGCTGCAGCTGGAGAAGTTCAGCATCTCCGCTCATGGCAAGGAGCTGTTCGTCAATGCAGACCTGTACATTGTAGCCGGCCGCCGCTACGGGCTGGTAGGACCCAATGGGTGAGAAGAGGAGGGAGCTGGAGGCAAAAAAGGGCCTGGAGGGAAAAGAAGAGATTTCTCAGTGGTGGCCAGGTCCTAATAGCTTTTATTCCCCAGCAAGGGCAAGACCACACTCCTCAAGCACATTGCCAACCGAGCCCTGAGCATCCCTCCCAACATTGATGTGTTGCTGTGTGAGCAGGGTGAGACCACTGGGGAGAAAAGGGGCTTGGTGGGGTGGGCAGTTGGGTAGAAAAGCCAGCCAGCCAAGAATAGAAGAAATTGTGGCTATGGAGTTGGAAGGGATGTGGAGGGAGACTGGAGACCGGGAAAGGGATGCTAAGGAAAGGAGGGGAGGGTCAATGAGGAACTTGAGAGTGTTTTATTTGGAACAAGTACAAAGAGCTGGGCAGGGTCAGGCAAAACAGAAATGTAATTGAAGGGAAAGAAAGATGAGACTCTTGGCTCTTGAGGCTGCCTGACTGTTCTCCCTCTGCCTCCCAGAGGTGGTAGCAGATGAGACACCAGCAGTCCAGGCTGTTCTTCGAGCTGACACCAAGCGATTGAAGCTGCTGGAAGAGGAGCGGCGGCTTCAGGGACAGCTGGAACAAGGGGATGACACAGCTGCTGAGAGGCTAGAGAAGGTAGAGGAGATGGCGCAGGGGACACGGGCAAAGACTTGGGGGTTCCTGGGACCCTCAGACGTGTGTCCTCTTCTCCCTCCTCCCAGGTGTATGAGGAATTGCGGGCCACTGGGGCGGCAGCTGCAGAGGCCAAAGCACGGCGGATCCTGGCTGGCCTGGGCTTTGACCCTGAAATGCAGAATCGACCCACACAGAAGTTCTCAGGGGGCTGGCGCATGCGTGTCTCCCTGGCCAGGTGGGCCATTCACCTCACTGCCCTCCCTTCCAGCCTCAGACCACCGGGGCCCTTTTCCTCTTTCCCTTCTCATTCTTCCAAGGCCAATAGGGAGGCTCAAGGCTTACCTCTCCCTCCTTACTATCTGTGTTGTGAGAACTTAGGGTCTTTCTCTATTTATCTCCCTACTTGGTGGTGAGTTCTCATCAACATACCCTGCAGCTGGGTGCAATGGGTCACGCCTGTAATCCCAGCACTTTGGAAGGCAGAGGCAGGAGGATTATCTTCAACCCAGGAGTTTGAGACCAGCCTGGGCAATATAGTGAGACTCTATCTTCACAAAAGGGGGAAGAAAACATATCCTAGCCTGGGCAACATAGGGAGACCCTGTCTCTACAAAAAATTTAAAGATCAGCTGGATATGGTGGCGCACGCTGTGGTCACAGCTACTCTGGAGGCTGAAGTAGAAGTATCACTTAGACCTGGGAGATTTAGACTACAGTGAGCCCTTATTGTGCCACTGCACGACAGCCTGGGCAACAGGGCGAGACCCTGTCTCAAAAAAATTAAACCGTATCCTGCCCGAGAACTTCTCTGAGGAGAGCTTGGGAAGGAGTGTTCATGGTCTCAGGCTCTATCTCCGAGTTTTCTCTGGGGTTGTCTGAGCAAGGATCTTTCTCTCCCTGACCCTGCCCTCTGCTACCCACCCTCTAGGGCACTGTTCATGGAGCCCACACTGCTGATGCTGGATGAGCCCACCAACCACCTGGACCTCAACGCTGTCATCTGGCTTAATAAGTGCGTTACGGCCTTTGCATCATTGGTTCCCATTCTGCACTTTCTTCCCCTTCCCTCCCTGCCCTGTTTTCCTTTAGCCCTTCTCCACTGTGCCTGTGAGTGGAGCTCTATTCAGACCCCCCTTTCCCTCCCAGCCCCCGTTGTCTGCCTGCTTCCTCTGAATTCTCTCTCACTTGACCACTGTGACACTTACACCCTGTTCTCTGAAACCCAGCTACCTCCAGGGCTGGCGGAAGACCTTGCTGATCGTCTCCCATGACCAGGGCTTCTTGGATGATGTCTGCACTGATATCATCCACCTCGATGCCCAGCGGCTCCACTACTATAGGGGCAATTACAGTAAGTAGGATTGTGTGTGGATGCAGGGAAGAGATAGAACCTCGAAAAGAGGCCTGAGTGGGAGGGCCTATTTAGATAAACTGAATCCTGTCAGAATTCCAGACAGTGATGCCTACCCCATCACCACCAGTCCCTGGTTGTCCCTTTGCTGGGAAGAGGAGCAACCACTGATGCCTGGTCCCCTCTTCTGCCCCAGTGACCTTCAAAAAGATGTACCAGCAGAAGCAGAAAGAACTGCTGAAACAGTATGAGAAGCAAGAGAAAAAGCTGAAGGAGCTGAAGGCAGGCGGGAAGTCCACCAAGCAGGCGGTGAGCACCTGAGGGACTTCTGGGCTGGGGGCCACTGTTCTCTCCTGGCAGTGGAGGAAGAAGGAGACTCTGGAACGCTGGCCTACATTTCAAGGACTGCCGCGCAGGGCTCAGGTTTCTCTTTTTTCCTCTTCCTCTCCAGGAAAAACAAACGAAGGAAGCCCTGACTCGGAAGCAGCAGAAATGCCGACGGAAAAACCAAGATGAGGAATCCCAGGAGGCCCCTGAGCTCCTGAAGCGCCCTAAGGAGTACACTGTGCGCTTCACTTTTCCAGACCCCCCACCACTCAGCCCTCCAGTGCTGGGTCTGCATGGTGAGTGCCGCGGGCCTCTGCTGCTCCACAGGAAGCACCGGAAGCATGTATGTGCACCCTAAATTCTCCACCAAGGCTGAGATTGCTCCTGTTCTCCAAGGCCAGCACATGAGAGGGACTTTGCAGGGACTGAAAAGAATATAAATTGCTTCTTTTCGTGGCTTTCAGGTGTGACATTCGGCTACCAGGGACAGAAACCACTCTTTAAGAACTTGGATTTTGGCATCGACATGGATTCAAGGAGTGAGTTGGCGGGGTTGCCTCAGGGATGTGTAGCAGGAGCCACAGGGAGAGTCTCTGGGGACCTCTTTGACCACCTGTCTTCCATCTTGCAGTTTGCATTGTGGGCCCTAATGGTGTGGGGAAGAGTACGCTACTCCTGCTGCTGACTGGCAAGCTGACACCGGTGAGTCCTGGAGCCAAGGAGGGAGAGCATGAGAAATGTGAAGACACAGCTGCTTTTGCCAGAAGCTGGAATCAGGGAGCCTCTCGAGAATGTAGAGTTAAATACAGAACTCATGATAGATGATTCATTTCCCTAAGAGGGGCAGTAGAGGAGGAAAGAGCTTAGATCAGTTCAGGGGGGAGAGCTAAGAGAATTAAGATAGAACTAGGGGGCACACCCACGTGTTTTGGTTATACAAGAAATATATGTCTTTTATAGAACGATTAAAAATTGCATAAACGGGCCAGGCACAGTAGCTCACTCCTATAATCCCAGCAGGGATCACCTAAGGTCAAGAGTTCCAGACCAGCCTAGCCAACATAGTGAACCCCGCCTCTACTAAAAATACAAAAATTAGCCGTGTGCGGTGGCGCGCACCTATATCCTAGCTACTCAGGAGGCTGAGGCAGAATTGCTGGAACCTGGGAGGCGGGGGTTGCAGTGAGCTGAGATTGCACCATTGCACTCCAGCCTGGGCAACAGAGCGAGACTCCATCTCAAAAAAAAAAAAAAAAATTGGCCTGGCGTGGTGGCCCACGCCTATAATCCCAACTCTTTGGGGGAGGCTGAGGCAGGCAGATCACTTGAGCTTAGGAGTTAAAAACCAGCCTGAGCCCAGTGTGGTGGCTCACACCTGTAATCCCAACACTTTGGGAAGCCGAGGTGGGAGATCACCTGAGGTCAGGAGTTTGAGACCAACATGAAGAAACCCCATCTCTACTAAAAATACAAAATTAGCCAGACGTGGTTGCACATGCCTGTAATCCCAGCTATTTTGGGAGGCTGAGGCAGGAGAATCACTTGAACCCAGGAGGCAGAGGTTGCAGTGAGCTGAGATTGCGCTATTGCACTCCAGCCTGGGCAACAAGAGCAAAACTCCGTCTAAAAAAAAAAAACAGACCAGCCTGAGCAACATGGTGAAATCCCATCTCTACTAAAAATACAAAAATTAGCTGGGTATGTTGGTGCACGACTGTAGTCCCAGCTACTCGGGAGGCTGAGGTAGGAGAATTGCTTGAGTCCAGGGGGCAGAGGTTCCAGTTAGCCGAGGTCGTGCCACTGCACTCCAGTCTAAGTGACAGAGTGAGGCTCTGTCAAAAAAAAAAAAAAAATGCTTAAGTCAAGAGAAAAATCTGGAGATAACCAGTTTTTTTTTTTTGTTATTTTGTTTTGAGACGGAGTCTCACTGTCGCCCAGCCTGGAGTGCAGTGGTGCGATCTTGGCCCACTGCAACCTCCACCTCCCAGGTTCAAGATATTCTCCTGCCTCAGCCTCCTGAATAGCTGGGATTATAGGTACGCCCCACCATGCCCAGCTACTTTTTGTATTTTTAGTAGAGACAGGGTTTCACCATGTTGGTCAGGCTGGTCTCGAACTCCTGACCTTGTGATCCGCCCGCCTCAGCCTCCCAAAGTGCTGGGATTACAGGCGTGAGCCACCGCTCCCAGCTGAGATAACCAGTATTAATGTTTTAGTGGATATCTTTCTCCTTTTTTCTTTGCAAATGTGCATATAATTTTTAACAAAAATGGGCTGTCATATGAGTTGTTGTGTAGCTAGATTTTTCCAAATATATCAAGCATTTTTCCATGCAATTACTTATTTCATATGAGTCTACCTTTTTTTTTTGAGACAGAGTCTCACTCTGTCACCCAGGCTGGAGTGCAGTGGCACAGTCTTGGCTCACTGCAACCTCCGTCTCCTGGGTTCACGCGATTCTCCTGCCTTAGCCTCCCGAGTAGCTGGGACAACAGGCGCGTGCTACCACGCCCAGCTAATTTTTTGTATTTTTAGTAGAGATGGTTTCACCGTGTTAGCCAGGATGGTCTTGATCTCCTGACCTCATGATCTGCCTGCGTCGGCCTCCCAGAGTGCTGGGATTACAGGTGTGAGCCACCACGCCCGGCAAACTCTACCATTTTATTTGAACTTTTGTAATATATTGCCATCTAGTGTGTTAGAAAGTTTGTAGCCATTTCTGCTCTCTCTAGCAGTGTTGAGAGGCCATTTTCTCATATCCAGAGATTAGATCTTTAGAAAGGTATTATTAGATTCTCCCCAAAACACTAAACTTGCCACATGAGGCCCTTACGATGTACCATTCGTGAGTCTCGCTGTATGGAGAGCAGGTGTTCTTTGGCTGTGGTTAGTCCCTCCTGCTTGTCCCTCTTGTCCTCCATTTTGCTTAACTCCCCTTTTGTCCCTTAACTCTTTTACTTTGCTCACCATGCCTTTGTCATATTAGGGGAACATCCCTGTTCCTTTTCTTTTTTGAGACAAAGTCTTCCCCTGTCCCCGAGGGTGGAGTGCAGTGGTGCGATCTCAGCAACTTCCACCTCCTGGGTTAAAACCATTCTTGTGCCTCAGCCTCCTGAGTAGCTGGGATTATAGGCATGTCCCACTATGCCCAGCTAATTATTGTATTTTTAGTAGAGACAGGGTTTCACAATGTTGGCCAGCCTGGTCTCAAACTCCTGACCTTAAGTGCCTCCTGACCTGCCTTCCTTGGCCTCCCAAAGTGCTGAGATTACAGGCATGAGCCACCGTGCCCAGCCCCTATTCCTTTTCTTATGCATACTTGTCCCTGGCCCATTTCTGGTGTTTGTCTCTCCTTCAGAAAAGTTGGTGTATGGACGAGGTCAGGAGATCGAGACCATCCTGGCTAACATGGTGAAATCCCGTCTCTACTAAAAATACAAAAAATTAGCCGGGTGTGGTGGCAGGCACCTGTATTCCCAGCTACTGGGGAGGCTGAGGCAGGAGAATGGCGTGAACCCGGAAGGTGGAGGTTGCAGTGAGCCGAGATCGCGCCACTGCACTCCAGCCTGGGGGACAGAGCGAGACTCCGTCTCAAAAAAAAAAAAAAAAAGTTGATGTATGGAGCTGCAGCACCTTTTTCCCTTGCCCTCCTCTTAACTACTTTGTCTTCCCTTGCAGACCCATGGGGAAATGAGAAAGAACCACCGGCTGGTAAGTTGGCATTGGGATTTAGGGAATGATAATCTGATGGAGGAAGTGTGACTTTAACCGACCACCTCCCTCTCTTCTCGGGCAGAAAATTGGCTTCTTCAACCAGCAGTATGCAGAGCAGCTGCGCATGGAGGAGACGCCCACTGAGTACCTGCAGCGGGGCTTCAACCTGCCCTACCAGGATGCCCGCAAGTGCCTGGGCCGCTTCGGCCTGGAGAGTCACGCCCACACCATCCAGATCTGCAAACTCTCTGGTACCACTTCAGGGGCCAGGGAGGGTGCCCTTCACCTTATCATTCATGTCTACAAACTGTACCTAGAGGAACCGAGAATGAGGGAGCCTCAGCTCACAAACTGGCACATCTTGAGGGTTTGCCTTCAGAATGTGAGGTGCTAGGTGTGACAGCCCTCCCCTTCCTTTGCTACAGGTGGTCAGAAGGCGCGAGTTGTGTTTGCTGAGCTGGCCTGTCGGGAACCTGATGTCCTCATCTTGGTGAGTGAGCTGGGCTGTGGGAAAAGGGATAAGGGTAACAGTAATGGAAGACGGGAGTTGCAGTGCTCAGTCATGGAATTCCTCCTATGTAGGACGAGCCAACCAATAACCTGGACATAGAGTCTATTGATGCTCTAGGGGAGGCCATCAATGAATACAAGGGTGGTAAGTCAGCTGAGAGTGTGCCCTCATCCCTGCTCCATGGGGACCAAGCTGTAGTGTCCTTCACTACAGAAGGGCCTAGGACTCCCTTATTTCATGTTCTGATTCCCCTCTTTCTCCTTTCTTCCTGCCCTCTGTTGTTGCTATCTTTCTTCAAAGCTGTGATCGTTGTCAGCCATGATGCCCGACTCATCACAGAAACCAATTGCCAGCTGTGGGTGGTGGAGGAGCAGAGTGTTAGCCAAATCGATGGTGACTTTGAAGACTACAAGCGGGAGGTGTTGGAGGCCCTGGGTGAAGTCATGGTCAGCCGGCCCCGAGAGTGAGCTTTCCTTCCCAGAAGTCTCCCGAGAGACATATTTGTGTGGCCTAGAAGTCCTCTGTGGTCTCCCCTCCTCTGAAGACTGCCTCTGGCCTGCAGCTGACCTGGCAACCATTCAGGCACATGAAGGTGGAGTGTGACCTTGATGTGACCGGGATCCCACTCTGATTGCATCCATTTCTCTGAAAGACTTGTTTGTTCTGCTTCTCTTCATATAACTGAGCTGGCCTTATCCTTGGCATCCCCCTAAACAAACAAGAGGTGACCACCTTATTGTGAGGTTCCATCCAGCCAAGTTTATGTGGCCTATTGTCTCAGGACTCTCATCACTCAGAAGCCTGCCTCTGATTTACCCTACAGCTTCAGGCCCAGCTGCCCCCCAGTCTTTGGGTGGTGCTGTTCTTTTCTGGTGGATTTAATGCTGACTCACTGGTACAAACAGCTGTTGAAGCTCAGAGCTGGAGGTGAGCTTCTGAGGCCTTTGCCATTATCCAGCCCAAGATTTGGTGCCTGCAGCCTCTTGTCTGGTTGAGGACTTGGGGCAGGAAAGGAATGCTGCTGAACTTGAATTTCCCTTTACAAGGGGAAGAAATAAAGGAAAGGAGTTGCTGCCGACCTGTCACTGTTTGGAGATTGATGGGAGTTGGAACTGTTCTCAGTCTTGATTTGCTTTATTCAGTTTTCTAGCAGCTTTTAATAGTCCCCTCTTCCCCACTAAATGGATCTTGTTTGCAGTCTTGCTGACAGTGTTTGCTGTTTAAGGATCATAGGATTCCTTTCCCCCAACCCTTCACGCAAGGAAAAAGCAAAGTGATTCATACCTTCTATCTTGGAACATGGGTCTCTTTCCTTTTTTTTTTTTTTTTTTTTTTTGACAGAATCTTGCCCTTTCACTCAGGCTGGAGTGCAGTGGCATGATCTTGGCTCACTGCAGCCTCCACCTCCTGGGTTCAAGCAATTTTCCTGCCTCAGCCTCCCGAGTAGCTGGGATTACAGGCACACACCACCAGGCCCAGCTAATTTTAGTGTTTTTAATAGAGACAGGGTTTTACCATGTTGGTCAGGCTGGTCTCGAACTCTTGACCTCAAGTAATTCACCTACCTTGACTTCCTAAAGTGCTGGGATTATAGGGATGAGCCACTGTGCCCAACTTCTTTTTTTTTCTCTTTTCTGAGACAGGGTCTTGCTGTGTTGCCCAGGCTAGAGTGCACTGTACCCTCAACCTCCTGGGCTCAAGCAATCCTTCCACCTCAGCCTCCTGAGTAGCTGGGACTACAGGCATGTGCCGCCACACTCAACTAATTTTTTTTTTTTTAATTTTTAGTAGAGACAGTGTCTTGCTATGTTGCTTAAGGCTGGTCCTGAACTCCTGACCTCAGGCAGTCTTCCTACCTCGACCTCCCAAAGTGCTGGGGTGCTGGGATTATAGACGTGAGCCACGACGCCTAGCCAGAATTTGGGTCTCATTGTCCAAGTTAATCTCATGAATGAGGAGGTGCTCTGCCCTGTGGCCAGGGACCAGGGTATTGATTCTCTCAAAAATTATTAAATCATCTAGCCAAAATGTACGGTACTGTGGGGTATATAAGAAGGGAAGAGACAAGATCTGCCTTCATTAATAGTCTGGTTAGAGAAGACTTAAAAGTAAGCATGAATAGATAATTAATTTGATCAATTGTCTAATATGTCGTACTCTAGATTCTAAGTTGCCACATACTCAAAAAAGGGAAAGATTATCCAGGGCCTGATTATTTGACAGGGTCACTTGAGGGTAGATCTTGAAAAATGATGATTTGACTAATCAGGGACCAGGGAGCCATTTTTCAGAAGTAGGAAAAGAGCAGATCTCAGGCTTGGGGGGAAGAACAAGCTACTTGGGAGTTAATGGATGATAGCTGCTGTGGCCATTTTTCTTAAGAGTTAGACTGGGGAGATGGGTTTGGAAAGTAAAATGCAAATGGTGGGTAGTGGTATTAGGTGGTGATGTGCAAGGCGTGCTGTAGAAACCTGCAGGGTGAAGCCCATAACTTTTGTTACGGGAATGGGGTAACTGAATCCTAAACTAGCTAGGGGAGATAGGGATGGAAAGAGCAGATGTGGAGGTTGGGGAGAAGGGAGTGACAGGAGATATATCCAGTTCCAGAGGGAATAGGGAGAGCTGTGTGGCTAAGATTTAACTGTTTGGACATTTAATTTGGGGAAATTGTTTTCCAGCCAAGTGAATAAATAATACTGGACTTCAAGTACAAGCTTCATACAGGAAGTGAAGTTTTGGTGTGGAGATAGCTGCATAGTCAGGGAACACTCTAAATTAAAAATAAGGAGGCCGGGCATGGTGGCTCATGCCTGTAATCCCAGCACTTTGGGAGGCGGGCAGATCATGAGGTCAGGAGTTCGAGAGCACCCTGACCAACATATTGAAACCCCATCTCCACTAAAAATACAAAAAAATTAGCCGAGCGTGGTGGTGCACACCTGTAGTCCCAGCTACTCAGGAGGCTGAGGCAGGAGAATTGCTTGAACCCGGGAGGCAGTGGTTGCAGTGAGCCGAGGTTGCGCCACTGCACTCCAGCCTGAGCAACAGAGCGAGACTCTGTCTCAAACAAAAACCAAAAGACATCAGGAAACATGCCTCTTATGGAATTTGAGGGGGAAAAGTCAGGGTCTTGGCAGTGACCTTGGACAAGCCATTAGCCTCTTGATACCTCTTTTCTCATCTGTAAAATGAAGGTGGTAGTTACCTACTTCACAGGGTTATTAGGGGATTCAATGTGTAATAATACGTAAAGTGCCTTAAATTCTGTTGCTTTTGTTATATGTATTTCATATTATATATATATATATATATTTTTTTTTTTTTTTTTGAGATGGAGTCTTACTCTGTTGCCAGGCTGGAGTGCTGTGGCGTGATCTTGGCTCACTGCAACCTCTGCCTCCTGGGTTCAAGTAATTCTGCTGTCTCACCCTCCCAAGTAGCTGAGATTACAGGCACGTGCCACCACGCCCGGCTAAGTTTTGTACTTTTGGTAGAGATCAGGTTTTGCCATGTTGGCCAGTCTGGTCTCAAACTCCTGACCTCAGGTGATCTGCCCACTTCGGCCTCCCAAAGTGCTGGGATTACAGGCGTGAGCCACCGCACCTGGCCTATACTTTTGCATTTTTAAGTTTTTACTTCGCTAGTCTAGTTGAGATGATACATAAAATATATAGGAATGTTATTTATAAAGTGAATACCAGCTTGCATTTCAAATATTTGGTCACTAATTTCACTACTTCAAACATAAGTGAGAAAAGTACTTTAAGTACTCCAAAATAACTTTCCGCCACAGGCATAAATTTCATTTCTCTCTCTGTTCTTTTTTTTTTTTTTTTTTTTTAAAGATGAGGCCTTGCTATATTGCCCAGGCTGGTCCCAAACTCCTGGCCTCAAGCAGTCCTTTCTCCTAGGCTCCCCAAAGTGCTGGGATTACAGGAATGAGCCACGGCACCTGGCCACAAACTTTATCTCCTCCCGTGTATGTTTTAACTTCTGTGATCCCTGTAGCCGATCATATGTGCTGTTAATGGAATTAATAATTCACCTAAATGTGGGCAAAAGTATGCCCTCCAAAAAGCAGCATAGAAATGGAACACGAAAGGGAAACATTTCCATGGTAGCGCATGGAAATTTCATTAACCAAATTAAATTGTTTTATTTATAAACAGCTTATTACCTACAAGTGATGCACATATGTGGTACACAGTAAACATCGTAGAAATGTGTTTTTTGTTGTTTTGAGATGTGGTCTCCCTCTGTTTCCCAGGCTGGAGTGCAGTGGCACAATCATGGCTCACTGCAGCCTCAACCCTCTGGACTCAAGTGATCCTCCTACCTCAGCTTCTCAAGTAGCTGGGACTACAAGTGTCCACCAACATGCCCAGCCAATTTTTTAATTTTTTTGTAGCAAAGAGGTCTTGCTTTGTTGCCCGGGCTGGTCTCAGACTCCTGGGTTCAAGTTATCCTCCCACCTCAGCCTCATTAAAGCCAAAGCCTGAAGGTAGGAAAGGAAGAGCCTTCAGGGAAGGGACCAAAATGTGCAAAGACCCTGAGGCTGAAAAGAGCTGAACATGGTCAAGGAATGGCTGGAGCTGAGAACTTGAGCATGCGCCAATACACACGGGGCCTTATATGCATAGACAGCAGGTTGGGATGTGATCAGGAGAGGCTGAGCAATGGGAGGCCATTGGTTCTGTTTAGCCAGGAGTGCAAACTGATTCAGTTTTCATTTTTACAAAATTGCTCCTGGCTGCTAGGTGGCAAATAGTGGGTGTGGGGAGACAGGGAAAAGAGATGCCAGGAGAACAGCTCAATATTACTTTGGAAAGAAGATTCTCTTCATCTAAGAATGGAATGGAAGGGAGATAATGTAGACTCAGATATTTCCATGTGAAGGGAAGGGAAAATGTTGCTCACAGTGGATGGGACTCACTTTTTCCCAAGCTTTGGTGCCAGAGAATCAAGAAGAGTAGGCCGCGCACGGTGCCTCATGCCTGTAATCCCAGCACTTTGGGAGGCCGAGGCAGGCGGATCACCTGAGGTCAGGAGTTCGAGACCAGCCTGACCAACTTGGCAAAACACCGTCTCTACTAAAAATGCAAAAATTAGCCAGGAGTAGTGGCACGCATTTGTAATCCCAGCTACTCAGGAAGCTGAGGCAGGAGAATTACTTGAACCTGGGAGGTGGAGGTTGCAGTGAGCGGAGATCATGCCATTGGACTCCAGCCTGGGCAACAAGAGCAAAACTTCGTCTCAAAAAAAAAAAAAGGTTTGCTGAGCAGCAGTAAGTGTAGAATCAATGCTAACATTAATTTGTACTGGGCTAAGATAGTAGGATTTTGTGATTTTTCAACATTAGGTCTACTGCCCAGGAGTAGGAATGAAAGAAATAGGATAATGATTCTGAATTGAAGATAGACCCCGTTGCACCTGGGGAAGGATTGACAGAAAGAGAACGTTGAATGTCACAAGGGTATTTTAGAGGGAAAAAATGGAAGCAGAAAGGAAAAACAGACTGAAACGGTAGAGAGAAAAGTGCCTGCAGGGAGGGCTTGGTGAAGAAACATCATTGTAGTGAAATGAATGAAATGTTCAACCTCTCTCCCCCTGCAAAAAAACAAAAAACAAGGAAAATCTTCTCTTTATATAATCTAAAGTTTTTACGTAAGTAAAAAGGAACAGGTAGGCCGGGTGCCGTGACTCACACCTGTAATCCCAGCACTTTGGGAGGCCAAGGCGGGTGGATCACCTGAGGTCAGGAGTTCGAGACCAGCCTGGACAACATGGTAAAACCCCATCTCTACTAAAAATACAGAAATTAGCCAGGCGTGGTGGCAGGTGCCTACAATCCCAGCTACTCAGGAGGCTGAGGCAGGAGAATCCTTGAACCCAGGGGGCAGTGAGCCAAGATCGTGCCATTTCACTCCAGCCTGGGCAAAAGAGTGAAACTTGTCTAAAAAAAAAAAACAGGTTTCTTTGAATTTTTTTTTTTTTTTTTTTTGAGATGAAATTTTGCTGTCACCCAGGCTGGAGTGCAATGGCACGATCTCAGCTCACTGCAACCTCCGCCTCCTGGGTTCAAACGATTCTTCTGCCTCAGCCTCCAGAGTAGCTGGGATTACAGGCACCAGTCACCACGCCCGGCTAATTTTTTGTATTTTTAGTAGAGACGGTTTCACCATGTTGGTCAGGTTGCTCTCGAACTCCTGATCTCAGGTGATCCACGCGCCTCGGCCTCCCAAAGTGCTGGGATTACAGGCGTGAGCCACCACGCCTGGCCGAATTTTCATAAATGATTTGAAAGAAAATGAGCTCATTCTTTCTTTTTTTTTTAGACGGAGTCTTGCTCTGTCGCCATCCTGGAATGCAGTAGCGTTATCTCGGCTCACTGCAACCTCTGCCTCCTGGATTCAAGCGATTCCCCTGCCTCAGCCTCCCAAGTAGCTGGGACTACAGGTGCGTGCCACCACTCCCGGCTAATTTTTTTTTTTTTTTGAGACAGAGTCTTGCTCTGTCGCCCAGGCTGGAGTGCAGTGGCGCGATCTCTGCTCGCTGCAAGCTCCACCTCCCGGGTTCATGCCATTCTCCTGCCTCAGTCTCCTCAGTAGCTGGGATTACAGGCACCCGCCACCACACCCACCTAAGTTTTTGTATTTTTAGTAGAGAAGGGGTTTCACCTTGTTAGCCAGGATGGTCTCCATCTCCTGACCTCATGATCTGCCCGCTTCGGCCTCCCAAAGTGCTGGGATTACAGGCGTGAGCCACCGCGCCTGGCAATTTTTGTATTTTTAATAGAGACGGGGTTTCACCATGTTGGCTAGGATGGTCTCCATCTCCTGACCTTGGGATTTGCCCGCCTCGGCCTCCCAGAGTGTTGGGATTACAGGTGTGAGCCACCGCGCTCGGCCGAGCTTATTCTTAAAATACAGTAAAAACTTTAAGCTCTCTTTTAAGGTTCTTGTGGCTTGTTGCAGGAGATAGAAGAAAGGTGAGAAGCAGGCAGTAAATGGAAGCAGAAAGAGACACAAAGTTGTGACCACTAGGTTGTGACATGTTTGGGTTTTTTCACTTGAGCTGTATACTTCTTTGGTATTTCACGCCCTAGCCTGGTCCTTAGATTATGTCTTCTCAGGTCTTCTCCCAGTGCACACAGCAACAACAGACTGACCTGAACACCTCCGCCCACACACACCAAGCCTGGGCAAGGGGAAGGTAAAACTACCCACTTTGGGCCTACATGCAGTGAGGCCTTTCAGATACTGATAAAACATTGTTGCCCCCTCATGTGGCCAATGCTGGAAATACAGCTGAGACACGTATTCCAGGGCAGTGTAGCAGCCTCAGCAACTGGGAATTTGTTAGAAATGCATATCTCGGGATCCATCCTGACCTACTAAATCAGAATTTTGCTGGACCCTACCCCCAATCTGTCTGTTTTTTCTTTTTGTTTTGTTTTTGTTTTTTGAGATGGAGATGGAGTCTGGCTCTGTCACCCAAGCTGAAGTGCAGTGGTGTGATCTCTGCTCACTGCAACCTCCACTTCCCGGGTTCAAGTGATTCTCCTGCTTTAGTCTCCCAAGTAGCTGGGATTACAGGCGCGAGCCACCATGCCTGACTAATTTTTGTATTTTTAGTAGAGATGGGATTTCACCATGTTGGCCAGGCTGGTCACAAACTCCTCACCTCAGGTGATCCATCCGCCTTGGCCTCTCAAAGTGCTGGGATTACAGGCATAAGCCACTGCATCCAACCCAAATTTGTTTTTTTTTTTCTTTCTTTTTTTTTTTTTTTTTTTTGAGACCAAGTTTCGCTCTTGTTACCCAGACTGGAGTGCAATGGTGCGATCTCGGCTCACCACGACCTCCACCTCCCGGGTTCAAGCAATTCTCCTGCCTCGGCCTCCCGAGTAGCTGGGATTACAGGCATGCGCCACCACGCCCGGCTAATTTTTGTATTTTTAGTGGAGACGGGGGTTCTCCATGTTGGTCAGGCTGGTCTCGAACTCCTGACCTCCTGATCTACCCGCCTTGGCCTCCCAAAGTGCTGGGTTTACAGGTATGAGCCACTGCACCCGGCCCCAGATTTGTTTTCTAATAAGCTCTTCAGATGATCCTGATGAATGCTAACAGACTTGAAAACCGCCATTCTCAACCCACATGTTAAAACATGTTAATATCTTCAACTGCCCCATATCTGCCACACACACTCCCCCCAGAGTGATGTATCCTTTCTTTTTTTTTTCAGATGGAGTTTCACTCTTGTTGCCCAGGCTGGAGTGCAGTGGTGCAGTCTGCAACCTCTGCCTCCTGGGTTCAAGCGATTCTCCTGCCTTCCGAGTAGCTGGGATAACAGGCGCCAGTAACCACACCCAGCTAATTTTTGTATTTTTAGTAGAGATGGGGTTTCTTCATGTTGGCCAGGCTGGTCTCGAACTTCTGACCTCAGGTGATCCAACTGCTTCGGCCTCCCAAGGTGCTGGGATTACAGGCGTGAGCCACCACGCCCAGCTTTAATTTCTGGTTTAAGAGTGGAGGCCAGGCGCGGAAATGGGGAAATGGAGTTTCCCTATGTTGCTTAGGGTAGTTTTGAACTCCTGGGTTCAAGTGATCGTCCCATGTGGGCCTCCCAAAGTGCTGGGATTACAGGCGTGAGCCAACATGCCCAGCTTTAATTTCTGGTTTAAGAAGAGTGGAGGCCAGGCGCGGAAATGGGGAAATGGAGCTTCCCTATGTTGCTTAGGGTAGTTTTGAACTCCTGGGTTCAAGTGATCCTCCCATGTTGGCGTCCCAAAGTGCTCGGATTACTGGCTTGAGCCACCATGCCTGGCCAGAGCCACTTTGGGAAGAGCAGTCTATACTTACCCTTTGTTTTTTTGTGACGGAATTTTGCCCTGTCACTCAGGCTGGAGTGCAGTGGCATGATCTCGGCCCACTGCAACCTGCACCTCCTGGGTTTAAGGGATTCTCCCGCCTCAGCCTCCGGAGTAGCTGGGTTATAGGCACCCAGCTAATGTTTGTATTTTTAGTAGAGACGGGGTTTTGTCATGTTGGCCAGGCTGGTCTCCAACTCCTGACCTCAGGTGATCCACCCACCTCGCCTTCCCAAAGTGATGGGATTACAGGCATGACCCAATATGCCTGGCTTTTTTTTTTTTTTTTTTTTTTTGAGACAGGGTCTTGCTCTGTTGCTCCGGCTGGATTGCAGTGGTACAATCATAGCTGTGAGTTTGAACTCCCAGGCTCAAGTGATCCTCTCGCCTCAGCCTCCCAGGTAGCTGGAACTAAAGGCATGTGCCACCATGCCTAATATTTTTTGTATTTTTTGTACAGACCTGGTCTCCCTATGTTGCTCAGGCTGGTCTCAAACTCCTGGGCTCAAGTAGTCTTCCCACCTCGGCCTCCCAAAAGTGCTGGGATTACAGACATGAGCCACTGATACCCAACACTAACCTGGCTAAGGTCACCCAGGCTGTAGAGAGGTAGAGCTGGGACAATGGCCTTTATCTGACTCCAGCATCCTCAGGATTTCCTCCCTTATCTGTAGAATGTGGATAAGATGACCAAGAACACATCCTAGAGGGCACGATAGCCAGGATAGGACTGTTCTAGGAACACACACGAGGCGTGTTAAAGAAGACTCAGAAAGATGAAAACCAGGAAAGAGCCCTGTGGCCGAGATCTACTCTGTATCCTAGAGTATTTTATGTACTTTTTGAAGCATTTTTTCACCAGTACTTAATAGCAACTGTTAGATCAAGCATTAGCTCCAGAGGAGTAAAAATCAGATTCCACAGATTTGTACTAATGTATCTAACACAGGTGGTAATGGCTTTTAAAAAAAAAAAATGAAAAACAGTCCAGGCCGGGCGCGGTGGCTCACGCCTGTAATCCCAGCGCTTTGGGAGGCCGTGGCGGGCAGATCACGAGGTCAGGAGTTCCAGACCAGCCTGGCCAACATGGTGAAACCAAGTCTCTACTAAAAATACAAAAAAATTAGCCAGGCATGGTGGCAGGTGCCTGGAATCCCAGCTACTCAGAAGACTGAGGCAGAAGAATCCCTTGAACCCAGGAGGCAGAGATTGCAGTAAGCCAAGACTGCACCACTGCATTCTAGCCCAGGCAACGGAGCGAGACTCCGTCTCAAAAAAGTCCAAACACACTAGGGGTTAAATAAGCTGCTTCTCTTTCCACTGTTTATTATTAATGTACAAAATATACAAAACCAAAAAAAAAAATACTCATCCTCAAATCCATTTTGGCTCTAACCCAAGACCCTGCACAAAACCCAACCAATCCACTGTTTTCATAGAAAACAACTGATGCCAAAGTGAAGGAGAGAACTGGGAAAGGGCAAAATCATCTTGTTGAATCCACCCAGGAAGGCGCCTGGTGGGGATTCAGAGGTGGTTGACAGGGTGAAGTACCTGGAAGCCTCCTTCACGCTGGCAAGGTTCCAGGTGGGAGCAGGGAGTGAGCTGACTCCCAAAGGCAGTGCATGTAGTGTGACTTTCAGGCCCAGCACGCCGGGCCCAAGTTGATGAGAAGCTGGTCTCACTGAAGTATTTTATCAAGTCTCCAGACTGGCTATAGTTGGCAAAGGCAGACCAGCACCACCGGTCTCACCTCTGCCAGCTAAAACTTGCACCGGATGCAGATACGAGTTCGCCATCATCGAACCTAGCAGACCCAGGACGCAGACTGGGTGTTCACAGAAAGTTGAAGGTCCCACTTGAGAAAGGACTAAGAATGGTGAGCCCACGCTGGGGGAGGGGTGGGGATGATGTGTGTTCCAGAACTCAAATCCAGCTGATTGAGCCCTCTCAGTGCAGTGGGATATACAATACCCCTTTCAGCATCTCCCCACCCCATGAGGAATAATGAACTTAGCTGGGATGATTTCTTAAGTGCAGCTGATCCTGTGTCAGAGTTCTGTGTGCATGTGGGGACCCGCAATAGAAGGGTAGGGGTGTTCGCCAGGATAACCAGCTTTAGGTTCTCAAGCATTAAGGGTAATACTGGAAAGGGGTTTGGGGTACAGGGCGAATCTTCTCAAAAAGTGAAGCCAACTGGGTCTCCTCTTCAGCAGTCCAGGAACGTTTCCAGTCTCTCTCCTCCCCAGACTGGAGGAAAATATGTACATCAATGCGCACCAGTGATCAGAAAACCCCCAGGAACCCAAGCAAGTGGGAACTGAGGGGGCCGGCTCCTCATCAGCTGGGGAAAAGGGAAAATGGGCCTCACAGAAGCCATAACAGGGTGGAAAGAGCGAGGCTGCAGTCCACAGGGGTTGTGTGAACAGGGCAGGCAAATGGTCCCTAGGGCAGGGGGGGCCCATTGACACCCGGGTGGTAGAAGGCACAGTTGTTCTCATAGCGGCAGTTGCCCTTCATCATGAAATGTCGGCAGACAGGGCGGTTTGACATGTCTGTGGGAACGATGGCAAAACAGTTAGACAGGAAATAGCTGAGGGCAATGCCACCCTCACCACCCCTTGTCCATGACATCCTGAGAACTGTCTTTCAGAGACAATCTTGGGGATTTGGGGGAAGGGCATAGAGTAGGAACTGCTATGCATACTAGGACATCAAAGAGACGGGTACCTCACGTTCTGCCTAGCTACCAACAGTAGTGACTCTCACCCACTCCCCAAAAGCTTGTATGGGACAACCAAAAGGCATATGGGGGACAGGGAGCATCCTCACCTCCTCCATGGCTGTGGCCTCCATCGTGCCCTCGGTGGCCCCCTCCCCCGTGGCCAGGACCATCATGGCCACGGTGCTCATGAGGTGGCGGCCCTCGATGGTCATGGCCTCGGTGACCAGGGACATCATGAGGCCGGTGGCCATGGGGCCCCCCGTGTCCAGGGCCTTCATGGGGACGATGTCCACCACTTCCACCCATGCTTCCGCCAGGGCCTTCGTGGGGGCGATGTCCACCACCGGCACCCATTCCTCCGCCAGGGCCTTCATGGGGACGATGGCCACTGCCACCACTGATGCCACCGCCAGGGCCTTCGTGGGGACGATGTCCTCCACCCCCACCCATGCTACCACCAGGGCCTTCATGGGGGCGATGCCCACTTCCCATGCCACCGCCAGGGCCTTCGTGGGGACGATGTCCACTGCTGTTGCCCATGCCCCCACCAGGGCCTTCGTGAGGACGATGCCCACCACCTCCAACCATGCCCCCACCAGGGCCCCCTCGTCCATTTGGGGGTCCTCCTCCAGAGCGACCTCCTCTGGCGCCTCGGAATGGAGGAGGAGGAGGAGGAGGTTCGTTTCCTCCTCGGCCACCTCGGCCTCTATGGTATGGTCCAGGACCTGGTCCTGGACCCCCCCGCATTGGGCCACCCCGCATAGGGTCGCCCGGGCCATCCCAGAAGGGATCACCTCCCCGGGGAGGGGGTGGAGGACCCAGAAGACGTGGACCCACTGGCCCACCAGGGCCTCCATGGGGACCTGTAAGGGGACAAAAAAGAGAGACAGTATCAGCTACCAGGAACTGCCATCTCCCAACCTAAACCACCACCTCCCACCTTCCAGTCAATCCTATACTATTATCAGACTGAAATTAAGCAGATAAGCCCATTCCAACCTTTTACTCACCACCTACCTGGCATAGGTCCCCCAGGTCCAGGGGGAAAGTGCTGCATGCCCTTGGGGCCCCCAGGACCCCCTGGTGGGAAACCATTGGCTATTGGGCCAGGGCCTAGGAGTCCATGTGGCACTGTTAATGAAAACAAGAGTAACACAGCATGAGCACTCTAGAAGACTAGCATGATCTCCCATTTAGGTGCAACCAACTGACCCTCTCAAACCAACCTGGCAGAGCAATGCTCTCTCTGTCCAGTCTTCCCCTCCCATTTCTTGCCTAGTGGCCACAGCCCTGTATTCTTCTGCATCTTTGAAACCCTGCTTCCCCCAACTCCACTGCAGGCTTCCTCCCCCAGTCCCCTGGGGCTGGCCCTGAAGATTACCCAGCATCTGCTTGATCTTGTCCGAATAGTCTGGTTGTTTCAGTAGTTCCTCTGAAGGATGACTGTTTGGGCTACCCTGTGAGGATGTAAGAAGGCAAAGTCAACAGACAGAAAGGGTAACAACCATGGCGAAAGATAGCGCCAAAGATTAGGGGTAAGTGGGTAGATGTGGAGAACTGGGGTAAGGCGAATGGGAGACAGTGAGGAGAGCGAGCTTAAGGAGGCTCCACAGAAGGTGGAAAAGGGGAAGGAGGGTGCGTACCATGATGGAGGTGAGGATCTCTTGGACATTAATGCCTCCTCCTCCAGGGCCTTGGGGGCCCTTTCCAGCACCCATGCTTCCCATAAGATTGGCCAGAACTGGAGGCAACTTGGAGCCTCCTGCCCCATCAGGTGAGCCACCTGACCCCCCAGGTTCCAGAGTCTCAACATACGGAGTCTCATCCATGGAACACTCCTGAAAGAAGAACAAAAAAAATCAGGATTGACAGAACAGAGACATTCTCATATGAAAGATGCACCGAATTCAATGACCATCACAACTTCCATCATCACAGAACATTGACTTACCTCATCTAGGGGGATGAGTTTAGGGGGTATGGGCTCGTAGGGCTCAGGATCAGGCTCATGAGGACTATCAGGAACAACACAGGTGAGAGAAAAAAGAATGATAGTCAAGTTATTAATTCAGACCCTGAAAGTAATTTCTAACCTCCACCCCGTAATTACCCCAGCTCATGTTCCCTCAGGAGTGTCCAAGCACTCAACATCCCAGGGCACGAACCCCACTCTGCTCACCTCTCCTTGTTCAGGAAGAGCTCCTGAAGGATTCCCTTCTCCCGCTCAGCCTGGATATATCGCTCCTGACTATTGCTTCCAGGGGTGACAAGAGGTGAGGGCAGAACCAGGGGCCGGGGGCACACCCAGGGCACCTTCTCCTCCATGTTATCATGGCTCAGACGCCGCGCTGTCTCAAATGCATGTCGGTCTGACAGTATCTCTCGCTTAGCCGCCTCACCAAAGTCCTTGATCTTATTCACATTTACTGTCGGCAGGGGAAGAAAAGCAAGAGGGAAAGTAAGCACAACCAAGTCCTTTCAAAATCCCTTAAACACACCTATTACGTAGGAAATGACCTCTTACCTCGTTCAGTTTCATCCAATTCAAAATAGAAATATTCTCTCAGTTTGCCTTCCTCAGGCCATGTCACACTTTTCCTCTTCCTGCCTTTCCGGGTCAGTTGGTTAGGATCTCCAGGACTCTCCACTGGCTTGGCATCCAGAGCTCCTGGCTCCAAAGAGGCTGGAAGCAGAAGAGGTTTCAGACCCAGATCCCTCCTTTCAGAAAACCCCCCAAACTGAACCAGTTTCTAGATTACCTGTATCCATGAGCTCCGGGACTTCAACAGGGGGAACCGGGGTGCCTGGACGGTCTGCGTCCATTGCCTCAGAAGGTGGTGCTGGTTCTGGGGAAGAAGGTTTGGCTGTGCTTGGTTCTGTGCTCGTTTTCCCTTCAAAGGGGCTTGGCTATTGTGAAAGAAAAGGAAGTTAATGAACTGACTGGAAAGCCAAGGGCAAGGCAATTAGTCCAGGGTCCCAGGCACAGTCCCCCAACAGTTCCTATATAAAGGAAGACTCTGTCTCCACAATGTCTCACCTGCACCAGTCTATATCCAAGGCAAAACGCCTCTTGTTGTCCTCCCCGACAACTCCTAGCTGCTGTGCCCTTTCTTCTACTTTACCTTTTATACTCTGTCACTGAAACCTACTTCTGGGAGCCCATACCTTGGCAGCCGTAGGTGACAGTACTTTTTTTTTCTTCTTAATTTTGATGCCTGGAACAGGGGCTGAATTAAGAGCATCCAGAAAGCCCAGGCCCTCCATAGCTACAAAAAGAAAGAGCACCAAATGGCATCATCAGACCTCCTTCATAATCCTACACCTGCAAACACAGTCCAGGCATAAAATGAGCCAGTGAAGACCCTGCCTCAACTTAGGACACGATAAGCTCAAGAGGACCAGGAAGCACATGCAGGAGGATTCACACAGGATATTCTTGTTGTTATTCTAGGTTTCTCATGGCAGGCAAGCCATAGCTTTGGATGTGAATTATAGCTCAGGTAGCTGACGAAGTGAGCCCTTGTGAACATGACAGATCACCTTACCAGGTGCCCCTGACCAGTCACAGAATGGCACACGTCCCTATCTTATCTCTAAAATTACTCCTAAGTGACCCCTGAAACGGGAGTTCCAGAGGTACAAAAAGTAAGGGATACCAAGAAATCAAAGGAAAATGGAGGGAAATAATAAAAGAGAAGGGAAAAAACTTCTCGTTCCCAGGGACATTCATTCCCATAAGAGTTTGCTCCTGGCCAGGTGCGGTGGCTCATGCCTGTAATCCCAGCACTTTGGGAAGCTGAGGTGGGTGGATCACGAGGTCAGGAAATCAAGACCATCCTGGCTAACATGGTGAAACCCCATCTCTACTAAAAATACAAAAAATTAGCCGGGCGTGGTGGCGGGCACCAGTAGTCCCAGCTACTCGGGAGGCTGAGGCAGGAGAATGGCGTGAACCCGGGAGGCGGAGCTTGCAGTGAGCCAAGACCGTGCCACTGCACTCCAGCCTGGGTGACAGAGTGAGACTCTGTCTCCAAAAAAAAAAAAAAAAAAGTTTGCTCCTAATTCAAAGTACATCTTCCCCACTTTAGACTCACGCTGTGGCGGGATGATCTTCACTTTGATCTCTTTGGTGGCATTAGGTGTTGTGTTGAGTGGCTTGTATTTCTTCTCTGCAGGGGGAGTGGCATCTCCTGGAGCAGCTACGTTGCTGTCAGAAGAGGAACTGTCATCAACATCTCCGACTCACCCCCTCCTGCTCCCTTGTGTCCACAGATCCACCCCATTCAGAGCCTGAGAATATGGTCCATACCTCTGACGTTTGAGGGGGATGGGTTTAAGGTTGTACTTGTCAGAAACCACCACTGTGCTGGCATTCTTCTTCACAGGCACCAAGGATGGTGTCTCCAGCTCTAGTCCTGGGGAAAGAAGCACGGTGTGGGCAGCTGAACTCAAACCCCAGACCCCCGAATTTTCCTCCCGTTCTCACCCGCAAATGTTCTTCTAGCCTTGTAACCAAAGCTTCCTCTGCTAGTCTTCCCTCTTCCTTACGATTAACATACCACACATCAAATGATTCCCCCATAAGGCTCTGGGTGTGCACATGCCCATGAACCCTCCAGAGGCCAGCCGCCAGTCTTACCAGTGGAACGGAACTTGGCATGACTGGGTGCTGTGGTGCGAAGAGACTTGGGCTTCTCCCTCTTCTTCTCTGGGGCCTCCTCAGCCCGGGTCTCAGCCTTCACCTCTGTCAAAGGTCGCTCAGGAAGGGTAGTTCGACTTTTTCCTTCATCTTTACGTTTCTTCTTATCTTTCTCTGTTGTGAAAAAACAAAGCAGAAAAGGATTTTATTTAGATGAACACTGTCAGAGGTGAAGCAGACTGGGAGCACCTAAAGGCCACATCCCAATAGGAAAGAAATAAATACAAAGGATAAAGGACTAAGGAGCTTACCAGCAGGCTGGGTACTGCTCTGAGAGCGGATGACAGCCATCCAGTCGCTGACAAGGACTGAGGCCAATTTCCGGAGCTCTGCAGGTGACAGAAAGGGGAAATGCCTAAATAATGTAAAGTAACATTCTTCCAGGAACAGAAAATGGGAGGTTTGAGAAAATATTGTGAAAATTTATGTAACGGAGAAAGTAACCCAAAGTTTTAAGAAGAACATGAGATATGCTTAAAAACCAAACCCTTAAAAAATGGAACAATGAATTAGAGTTGTGTTCTACTTGGATAACTTTCAACTCTGATGTCATCACACCACTCTGGAGTAAAAAGACCTAATATTTCAGAATATGTGGTTAAAATCTACATTAGTAAAAGACTACACGTTGGGTGCAGTGTACACTGCTTGGGTGATGAGTGTACCAAAATCTCAGAAATCACCATTAAAGAACTTATACATGTAACCAAAATCCACCAGTTCCTCAAAAACTGACATTTTTTTAAAAAGCTACGTTAGTTGCTTTATGTATAACACACCTAATTGTTACAACAATCTGAAGACTTTTTATTTTCCTTTATAGATGTGAAAACAAGAATAAAATTTGTTTCTAAATATATGAAAAAATACTTTGTAACTCTTTCCTTTTGTACTTGGCAAATAACATCTCTGATCTATGGCACCTCTCTTCTGGCCAACATTTCCACTTATAAACTCATTTCATAATTTATCATTTAGTAATAGGAGTTTCACAGATGAGACACGCTAGGATGATACTATTTCCCACAGCAAATTTTAAGTGTATGTGTTTTATAACAAGCAATTTTAGGAATCAGCTTCCAGTTAAAGTATGGCACCTTATATTCAGCAACAGAGAAATGAACAACTTTGGAATTGAGAACAGGAAAGAGGGTACAGGTTAGAGGAACTTTCTCTTTAAAAGAAGGAAAAAAAGCAAGGTGAGGTAGAAAGAGAAAAGTGAAGGGACAATCCAAGGATGGGAAAAGATATTAAGGTAATTAAGTGGAAGTAATAGAGAAAAGCCCATGAGAGAGCAGAAGTGGCACCCTACCTTCATCCTCACTTGACTTGCTCAGCTGCTTCACCAGTTTAGCTGTGTTGTTCTATGAGAGATGGGAGCAGCAGAAAGGTAAATGCCAGGAGGCAAATAATTCCACTTAGAGCTAAAAACGACAAAAGTTACAGTCCTCCCTGCTTTTTTTTTTTTTTTTATTTTTTGAGACGGAGTCTCACTCTGTTGCCCAGGCTAGAGTGCAGTGGCGCAGTCTTGGCTCACTGCAGCCTCGACCTCCCAGGCTCAAATGATTCTCCCACCTGAGCCTCCTAAATAACTGAGACTACAGGCATGCACCACCACATCTGGGTAAATTTTTTGTATTTTTTGTAGAGACAGAGTTTTATCATTTTTGCCCACGCTGGTCTTGAACTACTGGGCTCAAGCAATCCACCCACCTCAGCATCCCAAAGTGTTGGGATTACAGGTGTGAGCCACCACACCTGGCTGACACATTCCTTTTTTTTTTTTTTTTTTGAGACGAAGTCTCACTCTGTCGCCCAGGCTGGAGTGCAGTGGTGCGATCTCGGCTCACAATAACCTCCACCTCCTGGGTTCAAGCGATTCTCCAGCCTCAGCCTCCTGATTAGCTGGGACTACAGGCGCATGCCACCATGCCTGGCTAATTTTTTGTATTTTTAGTGGAGACGGGGTTTCACCACGTCAGCCAGGATGGTCTCAGTCTCCTGACCTCATGATCCGCCCGCCTCAGCCTCTCAAAGTGCTGGGATCACAGGCGTGAGCCACCGTGCCCAGCCGCCACACACCTATTAAAGGAGATAAATTCAAACCAAGTCTTCTTCTTCTAAATTCCTATTTTTTTTCTGCTGTTCTACCTCACAGGCCCAAGATTACAGCCACATCAGTCAGTTTGAGTTTTTCATCCATTAGACTAAACCAAAAAAGGAAGAATCAGGGTTTAAAGACTAAAGGTACCTGCTTGAGATGGTCTACAGTGAGCGGTAGATGCTGCAGGGTCAGTAGAATTTGCTGGAGGAGGGGAATGTTGTTGGTTGTCTTTGAATACGTCAGCCAATTGTTAAGAAGTTTGTAGCCGCCAACGTCAATAAATCTGCAGGCAGGCAGGAGAGTCTATCAGTAATGCCCTTTCTAGGTTTTGACAGTACCACATCCTACAATCCCAGTCTCCCATCAATGACCGAGGAACCCCATGCCTCACCGCCCCATCTTTTCGCTACACCTTCCCATTCCAACCATCCAGATCCCCACTTACTTGACCAATATTTCTGGTGAACGGGTCTGCAGGAGAATGTTCAAGTAAGTGCATCGACTCACCATCTTTCGTGCTTCCTTCATCAAACTGCAGAAGATGAGTTAGGGTTAGAAATGAAGCAGCCAGTATCTCTTCTCTTAGCAAAAGCGCCTCTCTGTGAACTGCCTAGAGATTCCTAATGACTTGGGACTTTGCTCCAGAGAAGGGGAGTCACATATACCTCTAGGAAGATGGGATGGATCCAGTGTGACATGGAAACTTATGGGAGAACAGAGACACCGCAGTCTCTGACCTGGGGAGGAGAGCATCGCTGCCTCCGTAACACACAGGATGAATTCCATTCTGCCTCCAGGTGATAAGGCTATCCCTCAACAACTGTCCCTAATAGTCTGTTCAAGACTGGCTTAGTTATTTACTCTCCCCTGAAAAACCTGAGAATCCCTGAAGGAAAATAACATTATGGGTAGGTGGAACACGAACCAAAACAATCTAGAATTCTGTTACCAGGCTACCCTGCTCTCATTCCAAAGCATGACTCCCTTGGGACCGTGGACGTCCAAATCTCCAGTTTCCATTATGGTCAGAAACAAGTGATCATCTTTTCCTATCCCTTATCCTAAAATTGTTACATTTTAATCCTATTGCACTGACTATCTTTCCCTTTCCTTTCCAGGATCATTCCAGTGTGCCTCAACTGCAGCCATGTTTTAACACACAATATTCTCTACTCACAGTGAATACAAAAAGGGGTAAAGACTCACCTGAAGATCTTGGAAATCCCATCCACACTTTTGACTTCCCCATCTCGGTTAAGGAAGCTGTCCAGGCCCTTGAGAAGTTCTTTGGGGTCTATGGGACCCGAACCCATGATGGTGGTTTCTATGGTAAGAGGACAAAACAAACAAACCCACAGAATAAATGGGTGGCAAGGACTACCCGAGTAGGCCCTCTAATAAACCACATCTCTATATTTGACAAAGTATAATGACTAATTATTCAACTATGCTATTTTTTAGATATGAAAAATCGACACAGACCACTTGCCACTACTGAGAAAATAGCCCTGGCAAGTTAAGCATGGGGAGCATATGTGACTGAACAGGAAAGCAATTCGATTGGAGGAGTAGGGCAGCACACCTGTCCCTCCCTCCCAGCAGCATCCTTCCTAGGATGGCTGAACTTCACTAGATCGTATTAAAGCTAAGATCAGTTCCCATAACAAGATGTTCAACTCTCCAGGGCATTTACACCTATCGTTAAGTCCTGTCTTCCCTAGTTGCTGATAAATTTGGCTTGAAAAACAGCCTATAGCTTGATAGAAATTGGGCCAATCTTGGGTGTTTGAGCTAAATGTCTTATAAGACTTGAGTCCTTTTTATCTTAGCCCATTAAGAGTCATAATCACTACACATGGCAAGATATGTATCAGCTGAAGTGGTAGATGATGGAGAACAAAACAAAACTTGAAAACAGAATCCCTCCCTAAGGAGATCTGGGAGTAGGTGCCAGAGATTGAGACAAATGGATGCATGGAAATCAAGCAGGTCCTCCTAGACCTTGAATAGACTGTCACTCATTAGCCAAACACTACACAAGTTTTTACTGTCTCTAAGTTAAAAGGAAGCTAGTGGTTTGTGCTTTCAAAAGCAAAGATGCGAATCTGGTCCTCTCCTCAAAAATCACGCTGTACAAGATCCCCTAGGAAAGCCTAAAACTGAAAACCATGGAACCTAAAAAGGGAACAGATAAAGCCAAATGCTAGAAAAATTCCCTTTTAAGCAGCTGTTTTAGACCAGGTTGGGAAGGGAATTAGTTAAAAGCTAAGCTCCTTTTATGGAAGGGACAAGCCAGAACTGAAGTTCCAGAAAGGTAATTTAGGATCAATATGGTTCTGATTGGGATTTTTATCTACACTGCCTCTAAATACTTGCTTCTAAGACCCAAAAAAGAGGCTGGGTGCAGTGGCTCATGCCTGTAATCCCAGCACTTTGGGAGGCCAAGGTGGGCAGATTCCTTGAGCGCAGGAGTTTGAAACCAGCCTTGGCAACATGGCGAAACCTCATCTCTACAAAACATAAGTCGAGTGTGATGGTGTGCACCTGTAGTCCCAGCTACCCGGGAGGCTGACGTGGGAAAACGGGAGGACTGCTTGAGCCCAGGGATACTGAGGCTACAATGAGCTGTGATTGTGCCACTGCACTCCAGCCTGAGAGACAGAGTAAGACGCTGCCTCAAAAACAAACAAACAAAAAACCACCAAAAAAGAAAGCCACTTCAGCAATATCTGCCTTTGGGCAATAAGGCCCACACTGAGTAGCAAGGAAGAGGCAAGAACAAAACCTTCCTCATCCTACATCTAGCACAGAAGTAACAGACACAATCCCAGCAGAAGGGTAGAAAAATCAGTATTTTACAAAGATGAGTAGTTTTGTGCCGGAAAAAACACAGGTTTCTTGTAAGACAATGCAAATTAGTTCTACTTGTTCTCAAACAAAAGAAAAAACATAGCATAACAATCTCAGCCTTTTTGTCCTCCCAACAAAAACGTCAGTAAGTTTCCAAATGTGTAGGTCCTAACAACCTAGGCGAGCAGCAGCAGAAGCAGGGAGGAGGCAGCCAGGAAGGGTAGGAGTATAATCTTGGCTCTGGAGATCATAACCTGTGGGCTGAACAGAGGGAGAGATGAGGCAAGAAATGTTGAGAAGTCGCTGCTGCCCTGGAACCTCCACAAATACAAGTGGAACCTGAGGTCAGAGAAAAAACATTCAAGGAGAATACTGGAAAAGATTAGATGTCCGTGGGCCAAATCCACTCAAGTGTGGTGATTCCTACACACACAGAGACAGACACAGAAATAAAGGTATTCTTCCCATGTAGTGAGATACTATAAAGTGATCTATAGAAACTATAAAGAGATACGATAAAGGGACACATAAAACAGATATCACATCTGTTGGAGACTGGAAAAGCAATGTATGGGTTCCAATAACAACATATCATAAGCAATCAAGAGACTAAGAAATTTTTAAAACTCCCTCTCTCTATATATACACACATACCTACCATTAGATTCCTAAAGCAAAATATATGCAATTTGACAAAAGGCCTTGAATTAAACATCATTTCAAACCAGTTACCCTTGACTGATTCAAACCCAGAGTTGAATATATATAACCCTGGAGAATTCCTTTTTGCATATCCAACTACAAGCTAAGCCAATAAATAGACCTACTACCCCTATTTCCTTCAGACACTAAATAAACTGTCATCTGAGCTCAAGTGTTCCTTAAGAGGATGGGAGACAAGAAAGAAGAGCCAGTCTTAGAAAAATGGACCAATGAGTACAAAGCTAAATTCTGTCCAGTGCCCTCTGCTGGAAATGGGATCCAGGGACTTTTTTATTCCCACATGTATAAACAAGAATAAAAGACATTAATAGTCAAAGGGAAGCTAAGAGACAAAGCAAAATTAGCGTTAAATATTCATTTTCCACTACTTATATTTTGGAAATATAAGTGAAATTTTGTCTCATGAGCACCAATCTTGATAAAATGTAAGTGGGTTTTCTCATGATGGCCTTCCTTCAGGAAGATTAGTTCTTATTTAAAATTAAGGACCCCAAGTGTCTTATAACCTAGTTTCCTTGCTTTGAAGTCAGTATATTTTGGAAAAAAACCAAACAATTTCCAAGGCGCTCAAGTGGAAAGGAATGTAAAGTCCAACATTTCGGGCACAGGGCTACAGCAGAGAAGGCAAACTGAGTTGATGAAGGCAGGCAGGGGCCGTGACTAAGTGTTGTAACATTACCTACTCAAGATCTGGAGTCTAGAATGAAAGCTTAAGAAAGCTTTCTGGAACCACAAGTAATCCACGGCATGATTATGTCTTCTTTTAATGAGCTGCTATTTTCTTGACTGCAGAACATACAGAAGGTGGGGAGTGAGGTAGCAACCCCCTGGCCTACCTCCACCTCATCCTAAGCTATGCGTTCCTTATGGAGAATGTTTCAGGCAGAGCCATACTCTACTGGCACAAGGCATTGGGGAATTTTCTACCATTTTTACCAGAGATAAACGTCTGTGACACCAACTCCTGCCTTCAAAATGAATTTTACTTGAGGGTTATTCAATTAAATAGGGTGAAAAAATATCCAGCATAGCTAAAGTTATTCCACACCCATCACCAATGAAACAGGACTGAATTGGTTCAGGATAAAAATTCTGTGCAAGTCAGAGCTCTTTAAAAAATAACTGTCTTCTAACAAAAGGAGAAAAAAGTCCCAAATTTACCTTAATTTAGAGGCACTTCTGGAAATGAAAATGATTTGTACCTAACCCCTTATGTTCCCCTTCCTTTCTTCAGTGTTTTAGGCACTTCCTAGTTTGACACAATAGTGGACTGAATTATGTCTCTCAGGTGATTCATCACAAGGTCATAGCTTTCTTCCAAGTAGTAAGCCCCTACCCCTCAGTCATTTTGCAAACCTGATACATGAGCTCCTCAAAAGCTTATCTGCCTTCCAATAAAGATGCAAAATGATATACCACCCTGACTCATAGAAAAAGACCCCAGACTAGAACTCTGGCCACAAACTACAAGGATCAGGTTTTCCAAGATTTTCTGAATGGATGTGGTTCCCCTAGTAGACCTGGCTTCCCATCTCCCATGTTAAGGAAGATCTTCTTTATTAATCCCCTGGCTCACTAGAGATCAGGAACCCCAGTGGGTAGAATGTTCAGCTCCCAAGGAAGATATGCTGCAGAGGCACATGGCAAACTGCTTAAAAGAAAAAAACAAAACAAAACAAAAAAAGCTTGTAGTCAACAGACATGTGAAGAGTCCCTCCCATCCAATCCAGAAGCTTAAGTAATAATTTGAGAATCTGTACCCAGTAGGAAGTTAGCCCTAAGTCTCACCCAGGTCACCAGAGGGCAGTTATACTTTCCAATTCTGCCTAGAACCTCCACGCTTCAGTGCAGGACTTTTAAAAATTAAAATTATATGGAGAGTCTGATAAAGATTTGACTTTGAAAAATTTGGGGGAAGAAAGGAACCAGACACCCAATACCACCCTCAGATAGGGCATGGCTTCTGAACATGCACCAAATGCCACAGCACTGCATGAGTTGAAAAATGAAGAGGACATCATTTTTTCATTAATGCTTTTAGGAATTTCTTTTAGAAGGGAAGGAAAAAGAAATTCAAAAAAGGTGGCTCTTTGGGGAAAAAAAAAAAATGAAAGTTGTGAAATGTAATACCAGAAAGGTTTTGCTTACCAGAAACCGTAGCTTGATTCCCCCTGCCTTGAGTTTACAACTGCCGCCTCCTTTCCTAAAGATTCACTTCTTATCCTAGTACCAATGTACAGGAACTAATCAAGTGCAGAACGTGATACAGCACTGAATACAGTTTATCCCCAAACTGAGAGGTGGGAATGAGGGCGATTTAGAAGAAAGTCCTAAAAGTACCCACCTTCCCCCGATTCTCATTACACAAAGCGACCAAATGCAGGAGGCCCACTGGTTCCTAAGCAGAAATGGCACACTTCAGTGTCATTAGGCCCGTTTATCTCCAAGTTACTCTTGCAAGCCCTTGTGTCTTTCCCATCTCCCTCTACACACATATATACATACACACACGCTCACACACATCCTCAAAGCTTCCCAGTCTTAGGTTTGCCTGTTTTTTCACCCCTGGCAGCTGAAGTGGGGAAAAATTACAAGCAGTTGTGATGAGTGAAGGAAAGTGAAAATAAAAACTGGTTCTATAAAAACTAGAACTACACAGAGATGGACAGCCTTGATACTTAATTCCTATAAGCTCCTATCCCTTTAAGATATTTTATATAATGAAAATAAGGAAAATGTCTTCTCCCTAGCAGCAACGAGCACAGGCAGTGCAAAAGCATCTGCTCAGGGGTGGAGCTTCAAGAGGGTGGAGAGAGGAGGAAGAAAGCTGATTACATCACCTTTCAAGGCTGCTCCTCCCACTTGACCAAGTTTCTAGGGCGGCCCTAAGCTCAGGATGGCAAAAGGGGGAGAAAAACAACAAAGACGGAGGGACGCCATTTTGTAATGGAGAAAGAGGACTTAAACTAAAAAGCCACCCGGCTCTGCCGGTAGCTTCAGTTACATTATAAAACACCTTTTTAGTAAAAAAAAAAAAAAAAAAAATCAAAAACCAGTTCCCCATCGTGAATAATCTTTGACCTATTTTGATCAGTAAGAGCGTAGTGAAAATTAAAGCAATTAAAATATTAAAAAGAACAATTTTCTGCAGGGAAGAACTGAATTTGCAACGGAGGTTCAACCGGCTACCATCGACCACCCCCATCCTCCCTATAGAGGGAAAGGGGGAGGAAGGACTTGGACCCCTCTCAACAAATAGGGTTGAGGTGGGAGGACAGGAAAAAAAATGGGTCAAGACACAACCTGCAACGCCGCTTGGAAGACAAAAGGACAAGGAAAGTCGCCATATTGAAGCAGGGAAGAAAAAAATTCCTTTTAACGACACAAATCTTTTAGAAAGCTAGCATTCAATTGCACTAAATGGCTTTTAAAATTATACTCCTAAATTCCACATTTCCCAACCTTTCCACCCTCTATTTAACTGTACCTCCCCCACCAAAAAATATCAAGTTAAAATGTTAATCACTCTTTTGCTTTTAAATACCTATGCAATCTGCAACAATTATAAGACATTCTTTACCTCCCCAACTATTATCTTGTATGTACTGGCACTAAGATTATATTTTGTCCTAAGTGTCTTGCAATCTTTATTCCTAGATTGCCACCTATTTTAACCACACAAATATACCCCAAGCAAATTACATTAAAATTGAGAGGATTTAACAGTCATTTAAAAAGTTATAGCGAGCTATTACTTCTCTCTGCCCATCTCCTTACCCTGCAATCTTTATGTACAGATTGCTTATTAATCTGGCAAATTGAAAGGCACCCTGCTTGTCTCACACACAAAGAAGTGGTACTTCTGGGCCACAAGATCCACCATCTCTTGTATGTGAGCTCATTAACCCTTTTGAAGACTGCTGCTAACCAGAGGAAGGTAACCATTCCTCCTTATATAAACACATATGGCTTTGGCAGTCTGGAAATTGGCTGGATTACCAAGGGTTAACCATCAAAATCCTCACTTGCTGGCCCTCCCTCCACCCTCTCTTTGCCTGCAGCAAGGCAGGGAAGAGATAGGTGGTAGGGGAGAGAGAACAAGACTGTTTAGACCCACAGGCCCTTTTTAATGGAGATTAAGTGACCAGATTGGTCCTTCTCCAGTTCTCTATTTGTTCTATGGTCTCATTTCTTCCTCTCATTATTTTTGGTTTCACAACGGGAAACGTTGATTTCTTGTTGCAAGGCTGGTTTTTGAAAATTCGACACTTACTATCCAATTTTTTTGCGACGTCAGCACCTCGGGCTCAGGGGGGAGGGGGTAAAATTTTGGAGGAAAAAAAATAAAACAACCAACCAGGACCCAAAACTCAATTATTTAGGGGGCCTCATTGGATCAAAAAGTCTTTTAAAAAATAAAGGCCAACTCAGTATTCATTTCCCCCCCACCCAACTCCATTTAGGGAGGGGGGTCGCAGAAAAAAGTTCTGAGTGGATTCAAAAAAGTAAACGCTGGATGAGTGAATTTGGGTGGTTTGGGAAGGGAGGGTGGTTGATTATTTTTGAAGTTATGTAGTGACGGTCCTTCGGCCACAGATTTCAAGTCCCAAGCAGCGTGGGCTGGTGGGGTGGGCAAGATAGGTGGGAAGGGGCAGAAGACACAAGTGGTTGGGCTGGTGGCTGCTGTTTTCCCTTTCCCCCCTCTCTCAGGATCCTTTCAAGGGCTTAGATGTTGCTGCGGCTTGTTTCTGTTTTCCTCGTGGCCGGCCTGTCTTTCTCCGAGAAAATTCAAACCTGGGATAAAAGGAACACAAGGGAGAAAGATGTAATCAGTACGGGTTGCTTCAAAACACTCACAAATGCCATCTTTGTTGTCCCCAAACAAACCTGTGTCCCATCCTGATCGCAACCGCTTTAAGCCGTGGCTCTCAAATGAACCCATCCATCCCTATCCCGCTTCCCAGATCCAACGCTCTCCGCAAAATTTTACCCACTAGACGACAAAGTAGGCAAACTTACCTCTAAACGAACCCCAGAATGGCGGCCGCCCGCTCGGGTGGAGTCTTTTATACCCGGACGCCGCCCAACGCGCCCAAACGTGCTAGTGAAACGCCCTTGTCGCGAGACATTATACGCGAGGCGTGAACTCATTGGTCAACCCAAATGACAACTCGCCAACTGATTGGCTACTCTCACTTCACCTTTGCTCCGCCCCTTTCCCTGGCACTCTCTTCCGCCTCCTTCCTGCCTCCCTGTCGCGTGCGCGTGACCAGGAGCCTAGCACCTCCCTTTCCTCTGCTTCCGCCACTTCCGCCCTGGAGAACATTTCTCACCCAGGATTGGTAGAAACCTAAGAGCGCATGCGCACTGAGAGGATACCGCTAAAAATCGCCTTCAAAATTGCTTAAAAGGCAAACTTTAACAATGCGATCTAAGAGTCGTAGTGACTGGCCAAAAAAAACCGCAATTTTGGGGTCTAATTCGATTGTGACGCAGTTGAAATTAGCTTCTCCCCCATGCCTTCCCTTTCACGCTTCCGTCCTGACGCAAACGTGGGGCCGCCTTCCGCACTGCGGGCTTGTCCTTGGCCCTGCCCTACTCAGTTTCCTGAAGCATGCGCAGTTGCCTTTCCGTCAATTCCTGTCCTGGGCGTACGTCAAGATGGCGGCGTCTGTATTAAACACCGTGCTGAGGCGGCTTCCTATGCTATCTCTCTTCCGAGGTTCTCACAGAGTTCAGGTAACTCTTCGAAAGACATTTTGCACAACCTCAAGTTGGTTATACCTTCTCGAGGTTGTCGCTCCACTGTCAGGAATCCACGAGTGGAGACCTTCCCACGTGTGTCTTAGCTGTCTAGGCAGTACTTCCTGCAACCCCCCCCCCACACCCCGCGCATTTTCTAATCCCGAGCCGAGGACTAAACGCCAGGGTTAGGTATCATCCTTTTTCCAAAATGCCATTTCAGTAAAATAACTTAAGTGATGGAATTGACCCCTGTCCACCCTCAGTCATGCATAACCAGCTTTTTAAAAATTATTTAACTAATTAAGGGGCCATGCTAATCTCTGTATCGTTGCAATTTTAGCATAACATATGTACTCCCCAAGCGAGCGCCACAACCAGCTGTTAACTATGCAAGTGGTGACTAAATCTGTGTTGCTCTGGAATGTCCTTGGGGAAATTAGGGATCCCAATTTCTACCAACCTTGCTATTTCTCAATAAGGTCAGGATATATTCTTACGACCTGAGGACAGTTTCTCAGCTCTCTTTATTAAATCAGTTTCTTATCGGAGTTATGAGAGCTTAACTCCGTCCTTTGAATTGAGGTTTCCCTCCAGTCTTGTGTACTCACCTCTCTGGAGGTTCTTGGTGGGGCACGGTGAGATAGGAAGGCTTGCCCAGCTGCCACTCCCTAAAGTGGGACTGAAGAGTGGTGACAGAGGTCAACACAGAAATAATAACAGCCTTGGTAGCTTTAAAACTAGCGTTAGGACTCAAGTTTGTTCTGCCCTGTAGAATGTTGACCTTCAGCTTTTATGAAAATGGGCAACTCAGTGACTTCATTGGATTGATTTGGAGACTCACCTGTCTTCTGCATCCCCTCCCCACCACACATCTTAGTTCCAAGAACCTAGATATCCTTCCTCTTACTTTATTCTTCCACCAGAGTCAATTTATTTCCAAAAAGCAAGAATACCTTTTATGTACTAGATTTTTTTTTCTTTTTTCTTTACACGAAATCTCACTCTGTTGCCAGGTTGGAGTGTAGTGGCGCAATCTTGGCTCACTGCAACCTCCGCCTCCCGGGTTCAAGTGATTCTCTTGCCTCAGCCTCCCGAGTAGCTGGGACTACAGGCGCATGCCACCACGCCGAACTAATTTTTGTATTTTTAGTAGAGATAAGGTTTCACCATGTTGGCCAGGATGGTCTCGATGTCTTGACCTCATGATCCGCCTGCCTGGGCCTCCCAAAGTGCTGGGATTACAGACGTGAGCCACTGCGCCCGGCCTTGTACTAGACTTTTTATTTGTCTTCTGAAATAAGATTGTTTTTTAGGCATATATCCCCTAACTTAGCTTTTCTTTCAGGATCCAATTGTAGAAAAGGAGAGTGGTTGTTGATTTATGTCAATTTAAACCCAACAAAAATACTTAACTTACATATGCATTCCTGTTATATTCCATTAATGCAGTATGTGTGCATTCCTCCTTTCCAAAGTGTGATAAGCAAAACAATTTAGTCCTTTCCTTAAACTCATTCTTTTATTTTTTTCTTCTCCTTTGTAGGTTCCCCTCCAGACTCTTTGCACCAAAGCTCCCTCTGAGGAAGATTCTTTGTCCTCAGTTCCCATTTCTCCTTATAAGGATGAGCCCTGGAAATATCTGGAATCAGAAGGTACCTCTAAAGGGGGAAAGGGAGGGTCAGATAGGATTTGAGATAAGTGGACAGAGCCACCCACTACACTCCCACCCAGGAATAACTTGTATGATCTTTCATTTCAGAATACCAGGAGCGATATGGTTCTCGCCCCGTCTGGGCTGACTACCGCCGCAACCACAAGGGTGGTGTACCCCCACAGCGGACTCGGAAGACATGTATTGTGAGTTTCTGAGAGTGGGATGTGGAGTGCGGGGAGGCCACAAGTAACAGTAACAGCAGCACTTTTTCTGACGTGTTTGAACATCCTTAACTGCTGTTTTTTTTCTCTCTACAGCGTCGGAATAAAGTTGTTGGGAATCCCTGCCCCATCTGTCGAGATCACAAGTTGCATGTTGACTTTAGGGTAAGGAGAGTCTTTTCTTTTTAGGGTAAGAAAAATAAAGATTAGGGGCTGGGCGCGGTGGCTCACGCCTGTAATCCCAGCACTTTGGGAGGCCAAGGCAGGTGGATCATGAGGTCAGGAGATCAAGACCATCCTGGCTAACACGGTGAAACCCCGTCTCTACTAAAAATACAAAAAATTAGCCGGTTGTGGTGGCGGGCGCCTGTAGTCCCAGCTACTCAGGAGGCTGAGGCAGGAGAATGGCGTGAACCCGGGAGGCAGAGCTTGCGGTGAGCTGAGATCGCATCACCGCACTCTAGCCTGGGCGACAGAGTGAGACTCCGTCTCAAAAAAAAAATAAAATAAAATAAAAAAAATTAAAAAGAAAAATAAAGATTAGGAGCCCCTTTGCAGTGCCAAAGAGATTACTGTAGGTGCCCCACACTTCGTATATCCAGGAGGCCCTACAGTCCGTTTTATAGTAACTGTTTCTGGCATTATAAAAACATCCCTCCAGCCTTTTACCTTCTACTATGGATTGTACTGAAAGTTTTATCCTATGCCTATGAAATTTACAGTCTAAATTGGCAGGTAAGAGAAATGGCTGTTTTTTTTTTTTGAGACGGAGTCTTACTCTGTTGCCAAGGCTGGAGTGCAGTGGCGTGATCTCAGCTCACTGCAACCTCCGCCTTCTGGGTTCAAGCGATTCTCCCGCCTCAGCCTCCCAAGTAGCTGTAACTACAGGCTTGTGCCACCAAGCCCAGCTATTTTTTGTATTTTTAGTAGAGACAGAGTTTCACCATATTGGCCAGGCTGGTCTCAAACTCCTGACCTTGTGACCCACCCGCCTCGGCCTCCCAAAATGCTGGGATTACAGGTGTGAGCCACCACACCCAGCCAGCGAAATGGCTATTTCTAGTGGGAGAGCCAATATCCAAAGATTCGTTTGTATTCATTACAGTTATTACCAAATATATTGGCCCACTTTCTTCCTGAGGTTTTCTTTATTTCCTTGTCAATGTTCAGTGCCATGCTGGCACCTGGGGCTGGAGGGCAGGTATATGAAGCAAGATAGAGTCCATTATTTTTCAAAAAGCCTTCAATATGTGAGAAGGACAGGATTTGCTCCTTAAAGAATTTGAAAACATATTGGCTGGGTGCGGCGGCCCATGCCTGTAATGCTAGCACTTTGGGAGGCCCAGGCAGGTGCTTCACCTGAGGTCAGGAGTTTGAGACCAGCCTGGCCAACGTGGTGAAACCCTGTCTCTACTAAAAATACAAAAATTAGCCAGGCATGGTGGCAGGCGCCTATAATCCCAGCTACTTGGGAGGCTGAGGCAGGAGAATTGCTTGAACCCGGGAGGCGGAGGTTGCAGTGAGCTGAGATTGCACCACTGCACTCCAGCCTGGGCGAAAGAGTGAAACTCCTCAAAGAAAAACAAAACAAAAAGAATTTGAAAACATTATATCAATAAAACAGATAATGGGAAAGTGTTCTTCTGAGCTTGCAGCAAAAGTATTAGAGCAGAAGCTATATGGCTGATCATCAGGGAAGTAGTAGAGCATTTGGATAACAGTCAGAAAATGGGGGTATTTGACTGCAATAAGAACCCTTCTAACACAGGTTATTTAGGAGTCCCATAGATAATTTCCCAGTTTCAATTGCATATAATTGGTTATAAAAAGAGATTATGGCCAGGTGCGGTGGCTCATGCTTGTAATCCCAGCACTTTGGGAGGCCAAGGTGAGTGGATCACTTGAGGTCAGGAGTTTGAGACCAGCCTGGCCAACAAGGTGAAACGCCGTCTCTACTAAAAATACAAAAAAAATTAGCTGGGTGTGATGGCGGGCGCCTGTAGTCCCAGCTTCTCAGGAGGCTGAGGCAGGAGAATCACTGGAACCTGGGAGATGGAGGTTACAGTGAACCAAGATTGCACCACTGCACTCCAGCCTGAGCAGCAGAGCGAGACTCCGTCTCAAAAACAAAACAAAACAGAGATTATAATTAATTACATAACTGAGAGAGAGAAATGTTACAAATTTAGTAGCATGGGTGATTCTGCTTGCATTCTACTCTACAATGTACCTGCTTTTTTTTCAAGAGTCTCATTTCCTAGTTAATTTGCTGAGAGAGAGTTCTATGTAAATTGTAAAATTATTCTTAGTATATAAATTATATTCAGCATACTATTAAATACATTAGTTGTTTATACATACACATTACAATATCATTTTTTGGGTGATTTCTGGGATTTCCAATGACCAGCCCCAGTTTTTCACCTAAAGGCTGACGTTAGAACTTAACCTCTGCAGCCCAGGCGCGGTGGCTCATGCCTGTAATCCCAGCACTTTCTGAGGCCAAGGTGGGTGTATCACTAGGTCAGGAGTTCAAGGCCAGCTTGGCCAAGATGGTGAAACCGCATCTCTACTAAAGATACAAAATAATTAGCCAGGTGTGGTGGCAGGCGCCTGTAACCCCAGCTACTCGGGAGGCTAAGGCAGAGAATTGCTTGAACCTGGGAGGCGGAGGTTGTGGTGAGCTGAGATCGCGCCACTGCACTCCAGCCTGGGCAACACAGGGAGACTCTGTCTCAAAAAAAAAAAAAAAAAAAAAAAAAAGAACTTAACCTCTGCATAAGAGATTTCTATGGGAGCACAGTGACAGAATATGGGATGTGCAAGGATGGATTCAGTGAATTGATGAAGCCAAACTGGGACATGAAGGAGGATGGCATCTGGAGAGCTGTAGAGGGGTGAAGGTGGTCCATGTGGGTGTGTAGGGATTGTGTACTTTCGATGTCCAAAGATCCTGCTGCTCTCCCTGCCTCTTTTCCTCACGTTTCTCTACCACTTTCCCCCACAGAACGTGAAGCTCTTGGAGCAATTTGTCTGCGCCCACACGGGTATCATCTTCTATGCTCCATACACAGGTTAGCCCATCATCCCTGCACCACCAGAGAGCTTTTCCTTGTGGCATGCCTTGTTTATGTAGTTGGCCAATAGGTATTTGTTCAGTGGCTCCTGCTTATAGCCTAAAAGGTCTGGCTGAACCTTTTGGAAATCTTGGCTTGCTGGGGGCTAAAGTAATTAAATGTGGACAAAAGAAAACAACAAATACAGCCAGGCGTGGTGGCTCATGCCTGTAATCCCAGCACTTTGGGAGGCCGAGGCGGCTGGATCACCTGAGGTTGGGAGTTCGAGACCAGCCTGACCAACATGGAGAAACCCTGTGGTGATGCATGCCTGTAATCCCAGCTACTCAGGAGGCGGAGGCAGGAGAGTCGCTTGAACCCAGGAGGCACAGGTTGTGGTGAGCCAACATTGCGCCATTGCACTCCAGCCTGGGCATCAAGTGAAGCTCCATCTCAAAAAAAAAAAAGGAAAAAGAAAAAAACAAGTACTTCTGTAAGCAAACTATCTAAATGTAGTTTTTAATTGATAAACAGTGATTAATTCCTTTCTATAGGGTCTTTTAACTTTTACAAAAGACTTCTCACAAATTGTCACATAAGTTATTTTATATCATTGTCAATTGGATTAGATTTTCCAAACTTGGAATCGTAAATTTAACAATTCAGAATTATATTTATTCCCTAACTACAGTCACAGGGCAAATCTGGCCCACTGTCACGTCCATTTGTTTTCATATTTTCTGCAATTGCTTCCATGCTACAATGGCAGAGTTGAGTAGCTGAGACAGAGACCACAGGACCTGCAGAGTTTAAAATATTTACTATATGACTCTAGACAGAAAAATTTTGCTAACCCCTGCTCTGAAGCAAGACAAATTTGCAGAGAATAATTTTTTGTTGTTTTTTTTTTTTGAGACGAAGTTTCACTCTTGTTGCCCAGGCTGGAGTGCAATGGTGCAATCTTGCCTCACCACAACCTCTGCCTCCCAAGTTCAAGTGATTCTCCTGCCTCAGCCCCCTGAGTAGCTGGGATTGCAGGCACATGCCACCATGTCCGGCAAATAGAGATGGGGTTTCTCCATGTTGGTCAGGCTGGTCTCGAACTCCGGATCTCAGGTGATCCAGCTGCCTTGGCCTTCCAAAGTGCTGGGATGACAGGCATGAGCCACCGTGCCCGGCAGAGACTAATCTTTGTTTTTGTTTTTTTTGGGGGGGTGTGGGTGGGGGGATGAAATCTCATTTACTCTGTCACCCAAGGCTGGAGTGCAGTGGCATGATCTTGGCTCACTGCCGTCTCCACCTCCTGGGTTCAAGCAGTTCTCCTGCCTCAGCCTCCCAAGTAGCTGGGATTACAGGCACGTGCCACTGTGCCTGGCTAATTTTTTTTGTATTTTTAGTAGAGACAGGGTTTCACCATTTTGGCCAGTCTGGTCTTGAACTCCTGACCTCAAGTGATCCTCCCACCTAAGCCTCCCAAAATGCTGGGATTATAGGCATGAGCCACCGTGCCTGGCCTTGCAGAGAATAATCTGAATTCACCATTGTTGGGGGTGGCAGTACAATCAGTGTTCAGTTTGTCAAGAGTTTCTTATAGTCAAGCTGTAAAGGCTGAAGGGACTATTATTGTTACTCTCTCAGATTGCCTTCCCCAACTCTGAAATCTCTTTTCCCTTTATTGAATCTTTGTGGATTGTTCAACTCAACCCTCTAATTAACCACACTTGCCCATTAAATTGTGTTCTCCCTGTCTTGGAGGTTTTACCATTAAATGGCTTCTCTATAGTGGCTAGACCCTCCTAAATCTTTATCCCAGCTCTCCAAAAGATGGGGGAGATTCTTTCCTTTGGGCAGATGGGGAAACTGAGGTCCATGGAGGGGTCAGGGGAAAGGGGTCATTAGGTAAAGCCAATCCTTCCCAATCTACCCCTCTGTCACCATATGGAAGCAGTTGTGTTCTATTATTTACTGTGCCTTAAAGAACAAGATATTTTTCTCCCCACAGGAGTCTGTGTGAAGCAGCACAAGCGGTTGACCCAGGCCATCCAGAAAGCCAGGGATCATGGTGAGCATGAGACGGGGCACACAGCAGTTTTGTTTAGGTATAAGGAAGATGACTTAGGGCTAGAAAATGGATATAAATGCTCACACCTGTTCAAGATGGTAGCACCCAGCATGTTCTTCCTGACGTTACATTGTCCCCTGTCCTTTCTCCTGAGTGTCTTACTTTATCATTGTCCTGTCTCCTTGTTCTTTGTCTTTCCATCCTTTTCCCTCCTATTTTACAACTGCTGGTCTCAATGCCTTAGGAAGTTCTTTATATAAATGTCTGGCCCTGGACTACATGGCACTGCTGCATAAGTTAGTAAAAAGTATACCCCTCTGCTAGGGCAGATGCAGCTTCATAGTCCTTGTTCAGCACTGCACAGCTTTGTAAGCAAGAGCCCCAGCAGTATGTCAGCCCACACTTGCCCTCTGGGCCGGTCACCTGTTTGCAGTATACAACATGCATAAATGTACCTGGTGGCTCTGACTGGTCCTTCCCTTTATAATCCTTTTTCTTACTTCATCTAAACCACCCTCCTCATTGCCTCTTAAATTTCTTTTCTTTTTTAATCCCTTAGGTCTCCTCATTTACCACATCCCCCAGGTTGAACCACGGGACCTTGACTTCAGTACCTCTCATGGGGCTGTGAGTGCTACTCCGCCAGCCCCCACCCTGGTCTCAGGTGACCCCTGGTACCCATGGTACAACTGGAAACAGCCACCGGAGAGAGAACTGTCTCGCCTTCGCCGGCTTTACCAGGGTCATCTCCAAGAAGAGAGTGGCCCCCCACCTGAGTCAATGCCCAAGATGCCCCCTAGAACACCAGCGGAAGCCTCCTCCACTGGGCAGACAGGCCCTCAGAGTGCTCTGTAGGAGCTGTAGACTGGGAAGAGAGGCCAGGCGTGGTGGCTCACTCCTGTAATCCCAGCACTTTGGGAAGCCAAGGTGGGCTGATCACTTGATCCCAGGAGTTTGAGACCAGCCTGGGCACCATGGTGAAACCTCGTCTTTACCAAAAAATACAAAAATTAGCTGGGTGTGGTGGTGCACACCTGTAGTCTCAACTATTGGGGAGGCTAAGGTAGGATCACTTGATCCCAGGAGGCGGAGGTTGCAGTGAGTTGCAGTCACACCCCTGCACTCCAGCCTGGGTGACAGCTAGACCCTGTCTCAAAAAAAAAAAAAAAGACTGGGAAGAGAGCTAGAGGGACTAGGAGATAATGTGTATGTAGGTTTATGTGATGGGATATCACCCTGAAGAGTTGTGTCTTTTGTGGCCAGTGACAAATCCAGGAAATGAATGTTGCTGATAGGGATAAATCTTGAGGCTGAGGGCGGGTGGTACAGATGTGTATGGGAAACCCCAACCCCTATATATTGTAAATAGATGGGCTGGGCTAAACATTGTTGCCGTTTCATACTTCTACCAACTCAGCTTTTACACAATAAAGCTCTACTGTCTCTGGTTTGCTTTGGGCTGTTTCCGATGAATGCCATTAGCGGGGGGTGGGCTGAGTGATGGTCTTTTCATATAAGCAATTGGGTGATGCTGTGGGGAGATAAGTGGTCAGGCTTAAGCCAGCCTTGCCTGTGACGCCTGGGACTAGAAGCCGGGGATGGGCAGCTGTGCCACTCTGTCAAGATGCCTTGTGGGCCCCCACTCCACAGCATGGCCCACTGTTCACTGAGGGGATAAAAGGTTGGACAGTGAGACACTGGGCCAAGGAAGACTACGTTGCCATGGCACTCACTGCCGTGGGATGCAGGGATGGAAAGGAGTGGCACTGCTAGGGGCACAGCTGGTTTGGCAAGAAAAACGGGGGCCCTGTCAGTTGCCAGGACGCTAGGGGGCAAGGTCTACAGGCGGGGCTCCTGGAAATAAAGACTCCGAGAGGCGGTGCGGCGAGAGGAGGGGCGGAAGTGACGTCGTGTGGGGCGGGTCCGACCGCGCACAATGGGCCATGGAGTTCCCGTTCGATGTGGACGCGCTGTTCCCGGAGCGGATCACGGTGCTGGACCAGCACCTGAGGCCCCCAGCCCGCCGACCCGGAACCACAACGCCGGCCCGGTGACAGCTCAAACCCACCCTCTGGCCCTTTTCTCCCGGTTCCTCTCCAAACCTGGTCCAGGCACCACGCCCCCTTCTCACTGACTAGTGATCGCCCCTTTTGATGTCCAGGCCTGCCTTTTTGGTGACCTCTGACCCTGGGCCTAGTGGGATTGATCAGCGCTTGGATCTGTGACCTTTCACCCCGGGCCCAAAATGTCCCAATCAAAGGATGTGGTTGACCTGGCCTTTCTGCTTCCTCACAATAACCTTAAGGGAGGAGGGAGTGTGCCACCTTGAAAGGTGTGACAGAAGTTTGGGTTTCAGAAGGGTGGGGTGGGAAATCAGATTGGAAGACTCCCAGGCAAAGGCAGGGAGCCTTCAGTGTTAAACCTGGGTTGGAGTTGTGGCCCAGGTTCCCAGGACTGACTGCCTAGGACCCGCTAATTTAGTGAGTATCTGACTCTTTATTTCTTCTCTTTCTCTAGTGTTGATCTACAGCAGCAAATTATGACCATTATAGATGAACTGGGCAAGGCTTCTGCCAAGGTACTGGAGAGTTTTTAGATGGAGTAAAGGGAGGACCTCTGTGGGGATGGTATATAAGGGAGGCCTGGGTCCTTCGGAGAGACTTGCAGAAAGTCTGACTTAATCTTCCCTGCAGGCCCAGAATCTTTCCGCTCCTATCACTAGTGCATCAAGGATGCAGAGTAACCGCCATGTTGTTTATATTCTCAAAGACAGTTCAGCCCGACCGTGAGTGCCACATGCTCTTCCATCCCATACTTAATTCCTTCCTTCCTCAGCCCTTCCCCCATCTTTGACTATCTCTTGCAGATAGATACCACTAGCCTGTTCATTATTTTCCCCGTCCTACAGGGCTGGAAAAGGAGCCATTATTGGTTTCATCAAAGTTGGATACAAGAAGCTCTTTGTACTGGTGAGTGTTATTGGATGCTAGGAGTTCGTATACCTTGGTTTCTGAGAACAAAAGTGCTGGAGGTTAGGGGGCAGCAGAGATGCCGGGGTTCCTAAAACATTTTTATTGTTTCTCTCTTAGGATGATCGTGAGGCTCATAATGAGGTAGAACCACTTTGCATCCTGGACTTTTACATCCATGAGTCTGTGCAACGCCATGGCCATGGGCGAGAACTCTTCCAGTATATGTTGCAGGTATCACTGACCTCTTCACTGGTTCATCCAAACTAGGGGCTCCTTTGCCCTGAGCCCTTCCAGAAGCCCTGCCTCCCACCCCCCATGTTCCCATGTCATTCTATTCCCTTCCCAGGCTTCTGGCTTCCTGTTGGCATGCTTTCCCCATACTTCCTCCTACCCTGAGTCTCCTTTTCCCTGCAGAAGGAGCGAGTGGAACCGCACCAACTGGCAATTGACCGACCCTCACAGAAGCTGCTGAAATTCCTGAATAAGCACTACAATCTGGAGACCACAGTCCCACAGGTTAGAGGTTTCAGAGAATAGATCCCCACTGAGCATTCCCATTGAATTTATTTGTTATTTATGGCAAAGAAGTAGTGACTTATTTCCTATCACATAGGTTTCATTTTCTACAACCAGGCTCTTTCTTTCTCTTGTGGTACCATCTCTCATCCTGTAGTGACTTCTTTCTCATCTATTTTGATTTTTTTTTTTGAGATGGAGTCTCGCCATGCTGCCCAGGCTGGAGTACAGTGGCGCAATCTCAGCTCACTGCAACCTCCACTTCCTGGTTTCAAGCGATTCTCCTGCTTCAGCCTCCTGAGTAGCTGGGACTACAGGCACCCACCACCACACCCAGCTAATTTTTATATCTTTAGTGGAGACGGAGTTACACCATACTGGCCAGGCTGGTCTCAAACTCCTGACCTTGTGATCTGCCCGCCTTGGCCTCCCAAAATGCTGGGATTACAGGTGTGAGCCACCGCATCTGACTTTTTTTTTTTTTTTTTCAAAGCAGAGTCTCCTGCTGTTGCCCAAGCTGGAGTGCTATGGCAGGATCTTGGCTCACTGCAGCCCAACCTTCTGGGCTCAAGCGATACTCCTCCCTTAGCCTCCTGAGTAGCTGAGACTACAGGCATGCACCACCATGCCTGGCTAATTTTTTATTTTTTGTAGAGATGAGGTCTCACTATGTTGCACTGGGTGGTCTTGAACTCCTGGCTCAAGAGATCCACCTGCCTCAGCCTCCCAAAGTGCTGGGATTATAGGCGTGAGCCACTGTACCCAGACTTATTTTGATTCTTTACCACAAGTTGTTTCCTACACCTAATTTTTCTTTTTTTTTTTTTTTGTGAGATGTAGCCTTGCTCCATCGTCCAGGCTGGATTGCAGTGGCACGATCACAGCTCACTGCAACCTCTGCCTCCGGGGTTCAAGTGATTCTTGTGCCTCAGCCTCCTGAGTAGTAGGGATTACAGGCATGCACCATCATGCCCAGCTAATTTTTGTATTTTTAGTAGAGATGGAGTTTCACCATGTTGGACAGACTGGTCCTGAACTCATGGCCTCAAGTGATGTGCCCACCTCAGCCTCCCAAAAGTGCTGGGATTACAGGTGTGAGCCACCGCACACAACCCTTATGCCTAATTTTCTTTTGAGACAGAGTCGCTCTGTCACCCAGGCTGGAGTGCAGTGGCACGATCTCAGCTCACTGCAAGCTCCGCCTCCCAGGTTCACGGCATTCTCCTGCCTCAGCCTCCCGAGTAGCTGGGACTACAGGTGCCCACCACCATACCCAGCTAATTTTTTGTATTTTTAGTAGAGATGGGGTTTCACCGTGTTAGCCAGGATGGTCTAGATCTCCTGACCTTGTGATCTGCCCGCCTCGGCCTCCCAAAGTGCTGGGATTACAGGCGTGAGCCACCGTGCCCGACCCCTTATGACTAATTTTCAACCCAAACATAGCCAGCTCATTTTCACCTCCTTGTTTTCACATAGTTCATTACTCATCTGGTCAGTCAGTATTTATTAAGGGTCCAGAATAATATGCATTCCCTGTCCTCATGGAGCTTTGGCCTAATATAGGGAAGGAAGTCTTGTTTATAACTAAGTGCAGCAAAATGTTACTAATGCTACCCATTCATCCAATAAACATTGAGTGCCTGGCAGTGTTCTGGGCACTAGGAATGGTTTACTCAATGAAACAGACAACAGCCTGGGCAACATAGCGAAACTCTGTCTCTACAAAAAATACAAAAAAAAATTAGCCAGGCGTGGTGGCACGAGCCTGTAGTCCCAGCTACTTGGGAGGCTGAAATGGGAGAATCGCTTGAGCCTGGGAGGCAGAGGTTGCAGTGAGCCAAGATCGCGCCACTGCATTATAGCCTGGGCAACAGAGAGAGACCCTGTCTCCAAAAATGAAAACAAAAACAGAAAAAAAGGCCAGGTGCGGTGCGGTGGCCCATGCCCGTAATCCCAGCACTTTGGGAGGCTGACGTGGGCGAATCACTTGAGGTCAGGAGTTTGAGACCAGCCTGGTCAACATGGTAAAACCCCGTCTCTATTAAAAATACAAAAATTAGCGGGGCATGATGGTGGGTACCTGTAATCCCAGCTACCCAGGAGGCTGAGGCAGGAGAATCACTTGAACCCGGGAGGCAGAGGTTGCAGTGAACCAAGATTGCACCACTGCACTCCAGCCTGAGCGACAGAGTGAGGACTCCATCTCAAAAAAGAAAAAGAAAAAGGGCCAGGCATGGTGGCTCATGCCTGTAATCCCCACACTTTGGGAGGCCAAGGCAGGAGGATCACCTGATATCAGGAGTTCGAGATCAGCATGTGGAACATAGTGAAACCCTGTCTCTACTAAAAATATAAAAATTAACTGGGCATGATGGCGTGCGCCTGTAATCCCAGCTACTCGGGAGGCTGAGGCAGGAGAATTGCTTGAACCCCGGAGGCAGAGGTTACAGTGAGCCGAGGTCCTGCTACAGCACTCCACCCTGGGGGACGAAGCGAGACTCTTGTCTCGGAACAAAAAAAAAAAACAGAAAAAGAAGGGAACAGACAAAAGTCCCTGTCTTAGTGGTGGAGCTTATATTCTAGCTGGAGAGACAAACAAACATAATAAACAATATGGTTAATAAGTGCTCTGGAAAAATGAGAGCAAGTAAGGGTTTGGGAGTACTCAAGTAAGGTGGGGATGGGAGTATGTGGGATTGCAGGTTGAAAGGGGATCATCACTGAGAAAGTGTCATTTGAGCAATAACTGAAAGGAAGTAAGAGTAAAAACTGGCCGGGCACGGTGGCTCATGCCTGTAATCCCAGCACTTTGGGAGGCCGAGGCGCGCGGATCACGAGGTCAGGAGATCTAGACCATCCTGGCTAACATGGTGAAACCCTGTCTCCACTAAAAAAAATACAAAAAAATTAGCTGGGTGCCTGTAGTCCCAGCTACTCGGGAGGCTGAGGCAGGAGAATGGCGTGAACCTGGGAGGCAGAGCTTGCAGTGAGCCGAGATCGCGCCACTGCACTCCAGCCTGGGTGACAGAGCGAGACTCCATCTCAAAAAAAAAGAATAAAAACCAAGGCTGGGCGTGGTGACTTACATCTGCAATCCTAGTACTTAGGGAGGCCGAGGTGGGTGGATCACTTGAGCCCAGGAGTTCGAGACTAGCCTAGGCAACATGGTGAAACCCCATCTCTACAAAAAACACAAAAATTAGCCAGGTGTAGTGGCACGCACCTGTGGTCCCAGCTACTTGGGGGTCTGAGGCAGGAGGATTGCTTAAGCCCAGGAGGTCGAAGCTGCAGTGAGCCGAGATGGTACCACTGCACTGCAGCCTGGGTAACAACGTGAGACTGTCTCAAAACAAACAAACAAAAAAAAAGAGTAAGAGCCAAGAAATATCTGGAGAGAGAGCATCCCAGACAGAAGGTACCACCAGTGTATGGCCGTGAGGTGGGAGTGTGCCTGAAAGAGCAAATTGGCTGTGTCCAGAGCAGCATGAGTCAGCGGAGGAGTATGGTAGGAGATGAGACCAGAGAGGTAATGCGGAGGAGGGGCCTTATAGGCTACTGCAAAGACTGGCTTTTATTTTAAGTAAAAAATAAGATCAGGCCAGGGGTGGCGACTCACACCTGTAATCCCAGCACTTTGGGAGGCCGAGGTAGGTGGATCACCTGAGGTCTCTACTGAAAATACCAAAATTAGCTGGGTGTGATGGCAGGTGCCTGTAATCCCAGCTGTTTGGGAGTCTGAGGCAGGAGAATCACTAGAACCGGGAGGCGGAGGTTGCAGTGAGCCGCTGAAATTGTACCACTGCACTCCTGCCTGGGCGACAGAGCAAGACTCCTTCTTAAAAAAAAAAAAAAAAAAAAATAGCGCCAGGTGTGGTATCTCATTCCTGTAATCCCAGCATTTTGGGAGGCCCAGGCAGGTGGATCACAAGGTCAGGAGTTCGAGACCAGCCTGGCCATATGGTGAAACCCCATCTCTACTAAAAATACAAAAATTAGCCGGGTGTGGTGGCGGGCACCTGTAGCCCCAGCTACTTGGGAGGCTGAGATAGAAGAATCGCTTGAACCTGGGAGGCAGAGGTTGCAGTGAGCTGAGATCGCACTACTGCACTCCAGCCTGGATAACAGAACGAGACTCCATCAAAGAAAAAAGAAAAAGATCATTTTGGCTGTGATCTTGATTTTTTCCTTTTTAACAAGATCACTTTGGCTGTTAAGAACAGGCAATAGCCGGGCACAGTGGCTCACACCTGTAATCCTAGCACTTTGGGAGGCCGAGGCAGGTGGATTGCCTGAGGACTTCAAGACCAGTCTGGCTAACATGGTGAAACCCCATCTCTACTAAAAATAGAAAAAAAAATTAGCCAGGTGTGGTGGTGCTCGCCTGTAATCCCAGCTACTCGGGAGACTGAGGCAGGGGAATTGCTTGAATCAGGGAGGTAGAGGTTGCAGTGAGCTGAGATTGTGCCACTGCACTGCACTCTAGCCTGGTGACAGAGTAAGACCCCATATCAAAAAAAAAAAAAAAATGGAAACGGCAATAAGGGAGCCAGAGTAGAAGCAAGTAGACTAATTAGGCAGCAACAATCCTGGCGAAAAATGGTGGTGGCTCAGACCAAGGTGGTAGCAGTAGTGATGGTAAAGAGTGGTCAAATTTTAAATATTTTGAAGGTAAAGCAAGTAAGATTTCCTGACAGATTGTATGTGGAGAAAGAGGACTTTAGGACAATGCCAAAGCCTGAGCAGCTGGAAGAATGAAGTTGCTTTAACTGAGATGGTAGGTAGACCAGCTTTGGGGGAAATACTAGGAGTACATTTTTAATATGTTAATTGGAGATGTCTGTGATATGTCCAGGTTTGAGTAGACAGTTGGATACTTCCCTGGAGATCAGGGAGGAGGTTTGGGGAGGAGAGTTTTCAGCATACATCTGGTATCTAAAGCCAACAGACAGGATGCGATCACCATAGAAAGATTATAGATAGAGAAGCTGCCCCTTTGGGCCCTCTTTAAGAAGTGAGGACCCCCAACTGGCTGCTCTGAAAAGCCATCTTTGCATTGTTCCTGGTTCGGTGTCCTGCTCACCACAGCCACCTCCGCCATGCACTTCCTCTGCTGCCTCAGAGTCTGGCAGCTTAATCGACATAGTCCCCAAACTCTCACTTTCTTCTTAATCCCTTGCATCGGATCACCGCTGTGCCCCACCATGTCAGAGGCAGTTGTGGACACAAGCTCCGTGATCACCACCAAGGACTTCAAGGAGAAGTTGTGGAGGAGGCAGAAAGTGGAAGAGACGCCCATGCTAACGGGAACGCTAATGAGGAAAATGGGGAGCAGGAGGCTGACAACGAGGTAGATGAAGAAGAGGAACAGGGTGGGGAGAAAGAGGAGAAGGAAGAGGAAGGTGATGGTGAAGAAAAGAACGGAGATGAAAACGAAGCAGCTGAGGCGGTATGGACAAATGGGCAGCTGATGATGATGAAGATGACGATGTTGATACCAAGCAGCAGAAGGCCAGTGAGGATGATTAGACAGCAAAAAAAGAAAAGTTAAACTTTAAATTAAGGCCACCGTGACCTATTCACCCTCCACTTCCCATCTCAGAATCTAAACATGGTTGCCCTCGAGAGGCCTGCTTGCCCTCCACAGACAGTGCCACTGCAGATGACAGGCACTCACCACCACCCAACCCAAACCAGAGAATTTGCAACAGAGGAGGAAAAAAGAACCAAAACTTCCAAGGTCTTGCTCTTTTAAAAGTACTTTAAAAAGGAAGTTTGTTTGTATTTTTTATTTACATTTTATATTTTTGTACATATTGTTAGGGTCATTTTTTTTTTCTTTGAGACGGAGTCTAGCTCTGTCGCCAGGCTCAAGTGCAGTGGTGCGATCTTGGCTCACCGCAAGCTCCACCTCCTGGGTTCAAGTGATTCTCCTGCCTCAGCCTCCTGAGTAGCTGGGATTACAGGCGCCCGCCACCACACCCAGCTAATTTTTGTATTTTTAGCAGAGACAGGCTTTCACCAGGTTGGCCAGGATGGTTTCTATCTCCTGACCTTGTGATCCACCTACCTCGGCCTCCCAAAGTGCTCGAATTACAGGCGTGAGCCACCGGCGCCCAGCCAGGTTCAGTCATTTTTAATGATCTCAGATGACCAAGCCAGCCTTTGGAGGGTTCTCTGTCTTACTTCTGACTTTACTTGTGGTGTGACCATATTCATTATAATCTCAAAGGAGGAAAAAAAAAAAAAAAAAAAACCTTGTTTAAAAAAAAAAAAAAAGCCTGGGCGCGGTGGCTCGCGCCTGTAATCCCAGCACTTTGGGAGGCCGAGGTGGGTGGATCACGAGGTCAGAAGATCGAGACCATCCTGGCTAACATGGTGAAACCCCCTGTCTACTAAAAATACAAAAAATTAGCCAGGCGTGGTGGCGGGAGCCTGTAGTCCCAGCTACTTGGGAGGCTGAGGCAGGAGAATGGCGTGAACCCGGGAGGCAGAGCTTGCAGTGAGCCAAGATTGTGCCACTGCACTCCAGCCTGGGCAACAGAGCGAGACTACATCTCAAAAACAACAACAACAACAAAAAGTCTCGTTCTGAGCATTCCAGTAGCTTCTTTAGTGTATGTAGTTAGTTGTACCATAAGTAGTTGGTTTGTGTGAGATGGTTAAAAAGGCCAAAGATAAAATGTTTCATTTATTTGCCTTTTTTGTCTATGAAATGGCTGCTTATTTATTTAGGCCTATTTGATGTATGTGTGAAACAATATTGTGCAACAATAAACCCAAATTTTATTTTGCTGAGTTGTTCTAACAGCAACAAAAAGAAGTTAAGGAAGAGAAGAAGACCAGCAAATGCAACCACAGAGTGACTAGTGAAGTAGATGAAAACTGAGGCCGGGTGTGGTGGCTCACACCTGTAATCCCAGCACTTTGGGAGGCCGAGTCGGGTGGATCACCTGAGGTCAGGAGTTCAAGACCAACATGGTGAAACCCCATCTCTACAAAAAATACAAAATTAGCCAGGCGAGGTGGCTCATGCCTGTAATCCCAGCTACTTGGGAGGCTGAGGCAGGACAATCACTTGAATCTGGGAGGTGGAGGTTGCAGTAAGCCGAGATCATGCCATTGCACTCCAGCCTGGGCAACAAAGCGAAACTCCATCTCAAAAAAAAAAAAAAAGAAAAGAAAACTGAAAAGTAAGGTGACCTCAAAGGCCACTGAAGAAAGTGTTTCCAGGAGGAAGGAATGGTTTACTTGGTCAAATGCTGCTGATCAAGGAGCAAAGAGGTCTGAGAAGTTACCATTGGATTTATCTGCGTTAGGCCATTGGTGATCTTAATGAGCAGTTTTGGTGCAGCGGTGTTTGGAAGCCTGGATGCAGTGGGTCTTGTAGACTGAGAAGCTAGGAACACAGCAAGAATAAGCTACTCTTTTAAATCCTGCTTTAATGGGAATAGAAATAGAGCAAGAGCTGGAGAGTGAAGTGGATCAAAAGAGTTGATCTTTTGCAGATGGGAGAACAAATAGCATTAGAATGATTCAGTAGAGAGAAAATATTATTATGTCAGAGAAAGTGGGGAGAACTGTTGAAGTGATGTCATTGAATGGGCGGCGGGGGCGTTGAGATTTGGTTGACAAGTTAGCCTTGGATAGGAACATGGACAGTTAATCCATTGTAACATGATTTGATAGATGTGATTACAGAGGAGGCATAAGGACATGGATTTGAGTGCTATCTTGGGCTGGGGGTTGGGTAAAGAAAGATGACATGTCTAATCTTGAAAGGCAAGTGTTTGTCAGGTGGACAAAAGGCTAAAGTGCATTTCATGTAGAGGAACAGGCATGAGCAAAGGCAGAAAGGTATTAAACCACCTTTCAGGCCAGGCGTGGTGGCTCACACCTGTAATCCCAGCACTTTGGGAGGCCAAGGTAGGCGGATCACAAGGTCAGGAGATCGAGACCATCCTGGCTAACACGGTAAAACCCCGTCTCTACTAAAAATACAAAAAAAATTAGCTGGGCGTGGTGGCAGGCGCCTGTAGTCCCAGCTAATCAGGAGGCTGAGGCAGGAGAATGGCGTGAACCCAGGAGGCGGAGCTTGCAGTGAGCCCAGATCATGCCACTGCACTCCAGCCTGGGCGACAGAGCAAGACACTGTCTCAAAAAAAATAAATAAATAAATAAAAATAAACCACCTTTCAGGACACTACAAGCAGTGTGGTGTGGTTGGAGTGCTGGGCATGTGCTTGTTGGGGGGTGGGGGTGATGAGGATGGGCTGGTAGACATTACAACAAGGTCAAGGCAAGGGATAGGCAGGGTCTTCCTACAGTATATTTTTCCATTAAGAGGCAACAGAGAGCAGTGGAAGGAGCACAGTTTTTTTTTGTTTGTTTGTTTGTATTTTGAGATGGAGTCTCAGTCTGTCGCCCAGGCTGGAGTGCAGTGGCACAATCTCAGCTCACTGGAACCTCTGCCTCCTGAGTCCAAGCAATTCTCTTGCCTCAGCCTCCTGAGTAGCTGGGATTAGAGGCGCCCACCACCACACCTGGCTAATTTTTGTGTTGATGAGGTTTCACCATGTTGGCCAGACGTCTCGAACTTCTGACCTCAAGTGATCCGCCCACCTCGGTCTCCCAAAGTGCTACGATTACAGCCGTGAGCCACCATACCCGGTCCTGGAGCACAGTATTCGATATGAAACACATTACCCAGTTAACATGTAAGGCCAGAGCAGTATAGAGTGTAAATAATAATTCACATTTCATGGGCTCTATGTGGTATCTATATGCATCATCTCAGTGGATTCTTGCACATCTTTTTGAGGTAGGTACTATTATTAAACCTATTTTGGGTTTATACAAATTAATGACTTAACCAAATTCACACAGCCAGTAAATAGTAGAGTCCACATTTGAACCCATAGCCATTTGCACCCAGTGAACTTTTTTTTTTTTTTTCTTTTTGAGGCAAGGTCTTGCTCTGTTGCCTAGGCTGGAGTGCAGTGGCACGATCACGGCTCACTGCAGTCTCTACCTCCTAGGCTCAAGAGATCTTCCCTACCAGCCTGGCCAACATGGCGAAACCCCATCTCTATTAAAAATACAAAAATAAGCCGGGCGTGGTGGCATGTGCCTGTAATCCCAGCTACTCAGGAGGCTGAGACAGGAGAAGAGCTTGAACCTGGGAGGTGGAAGTTGCAGGGAGCCGAGATGACACCATTGCACTCCAGCATGGGCAACAGAGTGAGATTCCATGTTAAAAAAAAAAAAAGGCCGGACGCATTGGCTCGCGCCTGTAACCCCAGCACTTTGGAAGGCCAAGGCGGGCGGATCACGAGGTCAAGAGATCAAGACCATCCTGGCCAACATGGTGAAACCCTGTCTCTACTGAAAATACAAAAATTAGCTGGGCATGGTGGCGCATGCCTGTAGTCCCAGCTGCTCCGGAGGCTGAGGCAGGAGAATCGCTTGAACTCAGGAGGTGGAGGTTGCAGTGAGCTGAGATCTTGCCACTGAAGTCCAGCCTGGCAACAGAGCGAGACTCCATCTCAAAAAAGATCTTCCCACCTCAACCTCCCAAGTAGTTGGGACTACAGGCGCCCACCACTATGGCTGGCTGATTTTTTGTATTTTTAGTAGAGACGGGGTTTCACCGTGTTAGCCAGGGTGGTCTCGATCTCCTGACCTCGTGATCGGCCCGCCTCGGCCTCCCAAAGTGCTGGGATTACAGGCTTGAGCCACTGGGCCCGGCCCACGCCTGGCTAATTTTTAAAAATATTTTTGTAGAGATGAGGTCTTGCTATATTGCCCAGGCTGGTCTTGAACTCCTGGGCTCAAGCTATCCACATGAGCCACCATGCCCAGCCCCCATTAAACTTTTTTTTTTGAGATGGAGTCTCACTCTGTCACCCAGGCTGAAGTACAGTGGTGCAATCTCAGCTCACTACAGCCTCTCCCTCCTGGGGTCAATGGATTCTCCTGCCTCAGCCTCCTGAGTAGCTAGGATTACAGGCGCACGTCACCACACCCAGCTAATTTTTGTATTTTTAGTAGAGACAGGGTCTCGAACTCCTGACCTCAAGTGATCCACCCGCCTTGGCCTCCCAAATTGTTGGGATTACAGGCGTGATCCACCACGCCTGGCCCCCGAGTTTTTTTTTTTTTTTTGAGACGGAGTCTCTCTCTGTCGCCCAGGCTGGAGTGCAGTGTTGCCATCTCGGCTCACTGCAAGCTCTCCTCTTGAGTAAACTCTTAATGGCTACACTATTTTCCTGGCTAAAACACTGCAGCTGGAATCAGAAGTCTGAAAGTTGAGGCCCAGCCCTGCCACTTGTAGCTACTTGGCATTGGCCAAGCGAAGCCATGTCTCCAAGGCTGTATTTCCCCCAACCTTCTTTCAAATAGTGACTTCCAGGATTGTGAAGGCCAAATTAAATGTGAAAATATAATGAAGTAACTCTAAAATTAATAGTTACTAGTTATCAAAGTAGCATCCTGGCCTCCAGCATGTCTTCCCCTGACTTTCCCCACCCCTTGGAACCCTGCTGAATTTTTTATTTATTTATTTATCCTTTGAGACGGAGTCTCATTCTCTTGCCCAGGCTGGAGTGCAGTGGCACGATCTCAGCTCACTGCAACCTCCGCCTCCTGGGTTCAAGCGACTCTCCTGCCTCAGCCTCCCAAGTAGCTAGGATTACAGGTGCACACTGCCATGCCTGGCTAATTTTTTGTATTTATAATAGACACAGGGTTTCACCATCTTGGCCAGACCGGTCTTGAACTCCTGACCTCAAGTGATGCCTGCCACAGCCTCCCAAAGTGCTGGGATTACAGGTGTGAGCCACTGAACCTGGACTTTAGCACCTTTTTATGTGCTTATTGGCCATTTGTGTATCTTCTTTAGAGAAAAGTTTATACAAGTCCTTTGTCTGTTCTTAAATTGTGTTCTTTTTTGTTCTGAGAGTTTTTCATATATTCTAGATAGAACGCACTTATCAGATGTATGACTTGCAAACATTTTCTCCCATTCTGTAGATTGTCTTTTCACTTTCTTTCTTTTTTTTTTTTTTTGAGACGGAGTCTTGCTCCATCGCCCAGGCTGGAGTGCAGTGGCACGATCTCAGCTCACTGCAAGCTCTGCCTCCCGGGTTCACGCCATTCTGCTGCCTCAGCCTCCCGAGTAGCTGGGACTACAGGCGCCCGCCACCACATCCGGCTAATTTTTTTGTATTTTTAGTAGAGATGGGGTTTCACCATGTTAGCCAGGATGGTCTCGATCTCCTGACCTCATGATCCGCCCGCCTCGGCCTCCCAAAGTGCTGGGATTACAGGCGTGAGCCACCGCACCTGACCTTTACTGTACCTTTTCTGTGTTGAGGTATGTTTAGATACATCAGCTGAACCATTATGTTAGAATTGCCTACAGCTGGCTGAGCATGGTGGCTCACGTCTATAATCCCAGGACTTTTGGAGGCTGAGGCAGAAGGATCACATGAGCCCTGGAGTTTGAGACTGGCCTGGGCATCATAGTGAGACCCCCATCTCTACAAAAAGTTAAAAAAAAATTAGTAGCCAGATGTGGTGGCATGCACCTGTGGTCCTAGCTACTTGGGAGGCTGAGGTGGGAGGATCATTTAAGCCCAGGTTGATGCTGCAGTGAGCTGTGATGGCACCACTGCACTCCAGCCTAGGCAACAGAGCGAGACTCTGCCTCTCAAAAAAAAAAAAAAATTGCCTACAGCATTCAGTACAGTAACATGCTGTACAGGTTTGTAGCCTAGGAGCAATAGGCTGTATGATATAGTCTGGGTGTGTTGTAGGCTATAGTGTCTAGGTTTGTGTAAGTACACTCTGTGATGTTCACACAATGAAATCACCCAATGACGTATTTCTCAGAATGTATCCCCATCGTTAAGTGATGCATGATTGTATTTTGTTTGTTTCATCTTCCAGGTGAACAACTTTGTGATCTTTGAAGGCTTCTTTGCCCATCAACATCGTAAGTTTTTGCATTTTGTTGGTCACGTAGTCGGGGTGAGGGAAAGGAAAGAGCTGGACTCTTGGTCCTGCCGACCCCTCACTGAGGGGCCCCGCCGCTTCCTTCCTCACAGGGCCCCCTGCTCCCTCTCTGAGGGCAACTCGACACTCTCGTGCTGCTGCAGTCGATCCCACGCCCGCTGGTAAAGCCTGTATTGAAGGGGTGGAACTGTAGTGCAGTGATGGCTACTTACTCTAGATGCCACGGGGTACAGTGCCATCTGTGGGCAATTTTGGAAAATTCTAAAGCAACCCAAGTCTCCAGCAGTCATGACTGTTTGCCTTTGCCCTCATGGGAGCTCAGTGCATTTTATATTTGGCAAGACTTTTAACTAAGCAAGCTCATTGGGAGCCTGTTTGACAGCTGATATCAATGGACCCTCTTGCCAGTTCAGGTCCGTCAACATAGGCCAGAGTCAGGCTCCTTTGTAAACCCCAGGCTTCTGTTAGCCAGTGAGGGACAGGCTGGTGCAAACAGCCCTTCCATTTGCAGTCACAGAATAGTGACACAAATGGCCCAAAATTTAAATGTTACTTTTAGAAGATAACACTCAGAGTTTATAACATTTCCAACCAGATAATGAAATTGATATGGAGAAACCAAACCTCAGAGGCACTAAAATGCTGTCCAGATTCCCCATCCCATATACACACACACACACACACACACACACACAAACACACTTACTGACAGTCTGAGCCCCACTCCTTCCTCTTCCTCACCACCTCCACCTTACCAACTTCTGACAGCTGTACAGTGCTTGCTTGCACAGAAGAGCCCCCTTCCTGAGCTGGCTCTGTGGCCAGGAAAGGATGTAACCACCATCCAAACAGCAGTCTGTAACCAGCTATGAGCATCACAGTGTCAGGCACTGAGAGGCACCTCAACTCGCTTTGGTTTCCAAGGCTTCTCCCATTTAGCTTGTTCAGAACCACAGGCTGTGAGAGGGACTGAGGGCCAACAAGGATGGTGAGGTCTCAGGCCTGCAGGGGAGGGTGCTGTGGATAAAGCTTAAGTGAATTTGCTGAGAAGTCTTTCATTTGCCACACATACATGATGGAGAATCTCTTGAGAGGGAAAGCCGGGAGCAAGTAGAGAAGTGAGGAGGGGGAGGCTGAACTTTGGACATTACATCAGCCTCCTGCTTACTCTGATAGCTCCCTTTCAGATGCCCATATTTATTTTCTTTTTTTTTTTTAACCTAATAAAACTTCAGTCTCTTCCCATTTTCGTATAGGAAGGAGAGATTGTGCCCTCCTTCCAAACCTCCCCTGACCTCTCCAGAGCAATTCCTGATTAACCAAGGGCTTTGTCCATCTCATCCAGAGGAACCCAGGGTCCTCGTTGGCCCGGCTGGGACCATTCCACTGCCCCAGAATACCAGGGGGCCATGACAGCACCCACTGACAGTAAGAGCTCACTTCCCTTGGCTGCCCTTCTCCTGCATCTCCCAGGCCCCCAGAGTCTCCCCTTCGATCTTTCTCCCTAGCTCTGTGTTTGGCCTACTCCTTCTGGCTTTCCTCAACAGTGTTCCACATTCCCCTCAAATTCCCTTTTGGTGTGCTGGCATTGCCATGGTGCTGCTCCTGCAAGTTCTCAGGAGGAACTGTGGTGTCAGGGAGCAGAGGTTTGGGGTTGGGGTATAGTGGCTGGGAGGAGGGGTGCAAAGTATGTCTCCTAACGCTTACCCTGCCTATGTCCCCTCCACTGCCAGCTCCAGCAAGGAAGCTGCCACCCAAGAGAGCAGAGGGAGACATCAAGCCATACTCCTCTAGTGACCGAGAATGTAAGAGGGGCAAGGGTCGGGTGTCTGGGCCTGGGGTACCTTAACACAAGGGAAGAGAATGCTCAGGGGACCCAGGGAAAGGATTCGTTCTCTCTAAAGACTCAGATTTCTTGGGCTGGGCATGGTGGCTCATGCCTGTAATCCCAGCACTTTGAGAGGCTAAGGCAGGCAGATCGCCTGAGTCCAGGGGTTCAAGACCAGCCTGGCCAACATGGTGAAACCCCGTCTCTACTAAAAATACAAAAATTAGCTGGGCACGGTGGCACGTGCCTGTAATCCCAGCTACTTGGGAGGCTGAGGCAGGAGAATGGCTTGAACCCAGGAGGCGGAAGTTGCAGTGAGCCAAGATCGTGCCACTGCACTCCAGCTTGGGTGACAGAGTGAGACTCCGTCTCAAAAAAGAAAAAAAAAAAAAAGAAAGACTCAGATTTCTCTTTTTTTCTACCAAAACCTTTGCTGTCATGACTCTCTTCCTTTTTTCTTCTTTTTCTGTCTTGCTCTTCATTCTCCCTGTCCCCAGTTCTGAAGGTAGCTGTGGAGCCTCCTTGGCCCCTAAACAGGGCCCCTCGCCGCGCCACACCTCCAGCCCACCCACCCCCCCGCTCCAGCAGCCTGGGAAACTCACCAGAACGAGGTCCCCTCCGCCCCTTTGTGCCAGAGCAGGAGCTGCTGCGTTCCTTGCGCCTCTGCCCCCCACACCCTACCGCCCGCCTTCTGTTGGCTGCTGACCCTGGGGGCAGCCCAGCTCAACGTCGTCGCACCAGGTAATAGGAGTTGAAGGGCTAAGGAGCCTCACAGCTATAAAAGAGGATGTTAGAAATGGCAAAGGGCAATTTGAATCCATCAGAGAGATGGATCAATAAGATGGGTGGCTTGGGGGGGGTCCTGAAACCTTTCAAGAAAAATATTTGTGCAAGTGATCTGGGAAAAAAATGCAGTGAAGGAGCAGAATAGGACCTTATATGGAGCCTAGGGACCCTGGCTTTAATGTGAGAGTTATGTGGAATGGTAGGAAGAACACCGAGATCCATCGAGTTGGGGGAACAGAGCCTTCTAAGATTGGGAAAATCTTCGCTTAATACTTGCTGGGGAAGGGGCAGTGTCTGACAGAGAGTGGGAAGCCACTGGCTTGTGTGCCAAGAGTCCATCGCAGCAGGCAGGGAGTGGGCATTTCCTTTATTTCTCTCCCTTTCTCTTCACCTCTGACTTCTCTGTTTTTCTCTCCCCCGCCCCCCGCCATTTCCCATCTCCCTTCCTCCCATCCATAACATCCTTCCACAGCTCCCTTCCCCGCTCTGAGGAGAGTCGATACTAACAGCTACCCTCTCCCTGCCCTGGGAGACCTGGGGTGGGCAGGGAACCCCTCCCTGAGAACCTCAGACCCACTCTTCCATTGCATCCTGTAGGACCCAGTGGAACCTGACAGAGCCCATAGGATTCCCTCTTCTACTTTCTTAGACAGCAGGGATGTCAGGGTCTCAAACTGCCTAACACTTTGTAGCTTTTCTTAACACAAAAGCACCCCTTCTCTCCTAACTTGGGCTCTGAATACTTTCCCAACAGGAAGTCTGATCTGTTGCCAGACTTCTTGGTTAGATGGCTCATACATTTATCTAGAGAAGCACACTCTTGCTTGCTGTCAAACTTTAGACCACCATGGAAGGTCTAAGGGCATCCTGTGCCAGGGAAACTTTTTAAGGAATTTTATCTATGGGATAAACCCCATATTCCCTCTAGTGTCTACTGGTGGCTCTAATACTGCTTTGTGCTGCCTGCCACACTTGCCCTTTGAGCCTGCGAATGGCCGCTAGTGAGCAAGCTCTGCTTCAGAGCAGTCTAGTTAGGTAGAACAGGGACTTACCAGCTTCCCAAAGGGATCTACTCACCATTGCCAAACTCTTCATTTCCACATTTTGTGTAGGTGTCAGGGAACCCCAAACTGGTGTTGCTTTGGGGTCTCTAAAGGAGATTGGCTGACACCACCATTTCCCCCAGATCCAGATTCTCTGAGGGAGGTTGTTTCTTGAGAGTAGATCCAGAGTGTCAAGGATCTGTTAGATCCTGGAATCCCTTCTTGCATCCATCCCTCCCTGGTAGCTAGGTCCCGATATACTCCTGTCTTGTGAGATTGTCGAGATGAGATGGGGGACCACTCTTCCTCTGTCCTTCCTCTCTCCTTTCCTCCATAGCAAGGACGACCTTCCCTGCTCCATGCCCAGAGTATAGCTAGATCCCTTCCCCTCCCTACCCTCTGAATGTGTGCTAGATCAGGTGCCCCACTGTGTTTCCTGAAATCCTTGGGAGCCGGATCTCCCCATCTCCCCTACTCACTCTTCCCTTTTCTTCTCTCAGTGTTGTCTGAATAAAGTGTGAAATCTTTTGTGTTTTCTAAATTGACATTTTCAATGAAAAAAAGAATCACAAAAAAAAAAGTTGTCAGCCTCATTTGTGCGTCATCCCTTATTTTCCTGGGATCTCAGGACCTCTGTCCCTCTCATTTCTCACTTCTGAGATCTGCACATCTTTTACCCAGGAGCCTCAGAGCTCCTGAGTCTGGTGTCTGCCTATCCCCATCTTCACTGTTAGTCCTCCTGCAGATTCTGTGTCTCCTTTCATGTAGGTGCTGGATCCCTGTGTGTGGGCTTCCGTATCTACTCCCTCATTCCCTCCAGGAACCTCCAGCTCTCCCCAGTGACTTCTACCCTTTACTCTGGGCGTGCCTTTGCCAAGATGTCAAAGCTTACCAACATCTCTGGATCCACTAATTACCTCCTGCCTCCTGTATTCGTCTTCCCACTCTGATTACCTGACGTCTGCTCCACTAAACCGCTGGATCTCTCTCAAGACAAACCCTTACCTCCATTGAGAGTGCAACACAGTCTGTCACCCTATTTACAGAGGCCCCCTTCCTTTTCCTCCTAAATTCAAAATTCAGCCTTGTCACTTCCTATTTCCCTCTGGTCTAAGGAATCTTTTTTTTTTTTTTTGAGATGGAGTCTTGCTCTGTCGCCAGGCTGGAGTGCAGTGGCACAATCTCAGCTCACTGCAACCTCCGCCTCCTGGGTTCAAGCGATTCTCCTGCCTTAGCCTCCCAAGTAGCTGGGATTACAGAAGTGCACCACCGTGCCCAGCTAGTTTGTGTATTTTTAGTAGAGACAGGGTTTCACCATGTTGGCCAGGTTGGTCTCGATCTCCTGATCACGTGATCTGCCCGTCTTGGCCTCCCAAAGTGCTGGGATTACAAGCCTGAGCCACCGCGCCCAGCCTGGTCTAAGGAATCTTATAGTTAAGGTAACCCTGTTTTCCAAACCAAACACCAGAGTACCCGATCCAACACATTTTTGACCACATGTGAGTCTGTTCTTCTGACATGATTTGGATCACACCTAGCCATAGATTTAACACATTACCTCAACTAGAAAGAATAGAGCAATAAATCAGAAGCACTCCAGAAAATCTTGGGTATAAAATGAACTTCCCCCGCCCTTTTCTGGGGCACAGCTTTGATTAAAACCTGTTAGGAATGATAATTACCCCCTTCTCTTTGTTCCTGTGCTATTCCTTTTACTCCTCTCCTCTGATTCCTCCATACCCACCCATCTTTCATCCAGTAGCCTCCTCCCCATCATCTCCCATTTCTTCTACAGGGGGACTCCCCCAGGTCTGGTAGCCCAAAGCTGCTGCTACAGCCGCCATGGGGGGGTGAATTCCTCATCCCCCAATACAGGTAAGTATTCACTCCTCCCTACCCTCAAATCAAGTAGGCCACATTCACTGTCTACTCCTGCCTTCCCATTCACATGCCTGATATTTCCACAGGCAACCAAGACTCCAAGCAGGGAGAACAGGAAACAAAGAATAGGTGAGGTCTAAACCCCTCCCCTAACAGCCTCCCACCACCATCTGACTCCCTTCCTAACATCATTCTCAGTCACTTCCTACTCTTAAATCTTATTGTATGAACTGGACACCAGCTCCTCCCACAATTCCTTCTACCTTACATCCTGCAAGCCCCTTTCCCCCACAGGTTCAACTCTGGTACTTCCCTTTGGAATACGGATTCTCTGAGAGGTTTTAAATTTGGACATAGCACTAATGGTTCCAGCTTCATACCCATCATGTGTCCTACATTAAAACCTGGCCCGAGACCTTGAAGAGTCTGTAATCTTAATTTCCTCTTTAGTATTCCTATAACCCACTCTCCATCTCCCCACCTACCAGGTCTGCCAGTGAGGAGCAGGCCTTGTCACAGGATGGGTCTGGGGAGAAGCCCATGCACACAGCTCCTCCACAGGCCCCGGCCCCGCCAGCCCAGTCCTGGACAGTGGGTGGGGACATACTCAACGCCAGGTTCATTCGAAACCTGCAGGAACGTCGCAGCACCAGGCCTTGGTGACCGCAGCCCCGTCAAACATCTTCAAAGTATTATTTCTCCCTCACTACAGGAAAGAGCCAAAGCCCAACCCTCATAATAGATGGATACATTCATTCATTCATTCATTCAGCAGGCTTATCAGATTCAAGTCATTTGTATCTTTTAACCAGACCAATAAAAGTATTTATTTTTATCACAAGAGCTGTTGAAAAATTTGACTCATTATTTCAGCCGCCTCACCCCTCACTGTCGTTGCACCCATTCAGCCTTCAGCCCTGTTTTTGCTCAGCTTTTTGCTCAAAGGCCTCAGCTGTGAATACAGCGCTTGGGGGGGCGGGGGAGGCTGTAACTTGCGCAAGCGCACTCAGGCAGTCTCCGAGCCCGCGGGCGCAGGCGCGCTTACAGCCGACAGAGCGCTTCAGCCGCTTCCCTCGAGCCTGCAGTGCGCAAGCGCGGGACATCTCCGTTTCCCTCCCTCAGCCCCTTCCCCCCCTACCCCCCCGCCCCGGCCTCCTTTCCCCTTCACGAAGCCGGCTCTGGGGCGCGCTCACCCCTGTGAGGAGGCCGGAGGTCGGACTCAGGAGGCTCCTTCTCCACTCCCGGAAGATCATGTACCAGCCCAGCCGGGGTGCGGCCCGGCGTCTCGGCCCTTGCCTGCGCGCCTACCAGGCTCGACCCCAGGTGAGCGGAGGAGAAGAGGGAGGGAGGAGAGGGGGCGGGGAGAGACCCTCCTCAAAGCCGGTGCGTGGGGCGGAGCGCGCGCTGGGTTCCGCGCAGGCGCAGAGACACCCGCCGCCCCTTCCCACCTGTGCCCTGCAGCGCGTGGACAGGCTAGGGGTCGCGGAAGCGGGAGGGAGGCGCTGCCGGGCCTGTCGCGCAAGGACGTCGGTCCTCCCAGGTTTGAGGGCGGTCAGGCGGGGTCAAGGCCAGGCAGCGGGGCGCGTCTGCGTTGCGCCCGACTCTCCGCGGTTACCTGTGCCTAGAGGTGATTTGAAGGGCAGGGGCCGAGAGATTCGTAGCCCTGCTGCGGCGCCGTCCCGGAGTTCCCCGGCCCAGACCAGACCCGCGGGGCGCCCTCAGCAGCCCGCCCGTCTTGCACTCGGAGAGCGGTCCTGGCAGGAAGGCCGGCCAGTGTGCACCCGGTTCGGGCCCCTGCGCCCGGGCTGGCAAGATGGCCACGCCCCCAGCAGAGACGGCGCCTCTAGGACACCATCGGGGACCGAGGTACCCGAGCGGTCCGCCCGCCTTCCCTGCAGTGAGACGATCCCCTGGGGGGTTCCTTGGGAGCGGAGGGACTCGGGTGAGGCCTAACTTTGGGTGACCTCCCCTTGCAGTTTCAACGTCGGTAAACCCAGGAGAGTGAAGGCCAGCCTTTAACTGTCTCCTGAGGTTGTGTCTGTCATTAGAGGGGCCCGAAATGATAATAGCTTCCATTTATGTACTGCTTTCTAGGTCGCTACGTTTTGTTTACATTCATTATTTCATATAGGCCTCATAACCCAGTGAGGCTTTATTGTTCTCATTTATAGGACATTTGTAGGAAGCGGAGGCATAGGGAATGAGAATGCCTAAAGTTACATGATAGAATTCAGATTCCTAGCTTCAGCTGGATATTCTTTTTTCTCTGTACATTTGCCTCGCACACTTAATCATGGAGATGTACAGGCCACAGCATTTAATCCACAGTACAATAAAACCTGTTATTCGTTAACTCATCAAGTATGTATTACATGATTCTTGCGATAAGAGAGGTGAAACTGCCCCCAGTGTTGGAATCTTTTTTTTTTTTTTTTTGAAATGGAGTCTTGCTCCGTCACCCAGGCTGAAGTGCATTGGCACCATCTCGGCTCACTGCAATCTCCGTCTCCTGGGTTCAAGCAATTCTCCTTCCTCAGCCTCCCGAGTAGCTGGGACTACAGGCTCCCGCCACCACACCCGGCTAATTGTTTTGTATCTTTAGTAGAGATGGGGTGTCACCATATTGGCCAGGCTGGTCTCGAACTCCTAGACCTCGTGATCCGCCCGCCTCGGCTTCCAAAGGCTGGATTACAGGCGAGCCACCGCGCCCGGCCACATTTCTTTAAGATTCCAACACTGGGCCGGGCACGGTGGCTCACGCCTGTAATCCCAGCACTTTGGGAGGCCGAGGTGGGCGGATTACCTGAGGTCAGGAGTTCGAGAACAGCCTGGCCAACATGGTGAAACCCCATCTGTAACTAAAAATACAAAAATTAGCCGGGCGTGGTGAAGGGTGCCTGTAATCCCAGCTACTCGGGAGGCTGAGGCAGGAGAATGGCTTGAACCCAGGAGGCGGCGGTTGCAGTGACCCGAGTTCGCGCCAATGCACTCCAGCCTGGGCGACGGTGAGACTTCGTCTCAAAAAAAGAAAAAAAAGTAAAATGTCTGCTAGGTTTTGGGAGGTGCCGGTATTTATGTCACATAAAACAGTTTGCTCGGCTGGGCGCGGTGGCCCACGCCTGTAATCCCAGCACTTTAGGAGGCAGAGGCGGGTGGATCACGAGGTCAAGAGATGAAAACCATCCTGGCTAACATGGTGAAATCCTGTCTCTACTAAAAATACAAAAACTAGCTGGGCATGGTGGCGCGCGCCTGTAGTCCCAGCTACTCAGGAGGCTGAGGCAGGAAAATCACTTGAACCCGGGAGGCGGAGGTTGCAGTGAGCTGAGATCGTGCTACTGCACTCCAGCCTGGCAACAGAGCGAGACTCCATCTCAAAATAAATAATAAAATAAAATGGTTTCCTCCTGTTTTCAGTAGAGATGGAGATGAATCCATCCCTTTTTTCCTATAGTAATTCCATCCATTCTGTCAGGAGGAATAGGTATTGGAAGCCTGTTGAGCATCCAGGGGATCAAGGGGTGTTAGACAAGTGGATTCTTATCTTTCTCCCTTCTGTTCTTTCTCCTTAGGACCAGCTTTATCCAGGGACTCTACCATTCCCACCCCTTTGGCCCCACTCCACGACAACCACTTCCCCATCTTCTCCTCTATTCTGGTCTCCCCTGCCCCCACGCCTTCCCACCCAGCGTCTTCCCCAGGTTCCCCCACTACCTCTCCCTCAGATCCAGGCCCTCAGCTCAGCATGGGTGGTTCTCCCTCCAGGAAAGGGGGAGGAGGGACCAGGACCTGAGTTGCATAGCGGCTGCCTGGATGGGCTTAGAAGCCTTTTTGAGGGACCTCCCTGCCCCTATCCTGGGGCTTGGATACCTTTCCAAGTCCCTGGAACTGCCCACCCTTCCCCTGCCACCCCGTCAGGAGATCCTAGTATGGAGGAACATCTGTCTGTCATGTATGAGAGACTGAGACAAGAGGTAAGTCAGTGCAAAAGTGGCCTTCGTCTACAGTGGGAAGGATGTGGGTAATCCTTGGACGTACAGGGATAGTCAACTGGATTCTTTTTTGGAACCATGAGGCAGGCATAGAAATATATTATAAACATTTTCCTGAGAAAATGATGTTCCAGCCAGGCACGGTGGCTCAAAGTGCTGTAATCCCAGCACTTTGGGAGGCTTAGGCAGGTGGATCACCTGAGGTCAGGAGTTCAAGACCAGCCTGGCCAACATGGTGAAACCCCATCTCTACTAAAAACACAAAAATCAGCCAGGCATGGTGGCAGACGCCTATAATCCCAGCTACTCAGGAGGCTGAGGCAGGAGAATCGCTTGAACCCAGGAGGCGCAGTGAAAGGAGATATCTCCATTGTACTCCAGCCTAGGCAACAGAGCGAGACTCCGTCTCAAAAAAAAAAAAAAGAAAGAAAATGATGTTCCTCATTTTGGGTTAAGGGAGGTTAATCATGGGATGAGATCTTTCACTCCAAGATGGGAGTAAGGAGGCCTTAAAAATAGAAAACTGGGCCTGGCACATGGCTCACGCTTATAATCCTAGCACTTTGGGAGGCCGAGGCAGGCGGATCACAAGGTCAGGAGTTCAAGACCAGCCTGGCCAACACAGTGAAACCCCGTCTCTACTAAAAATACAAAAATTAGCTGGGCATGGTGGTGGGTGCCTGTAATCCCAGCTACTCGGGAGGCTGAGGCAGGAGAATCGCTTGAACCTGGGAGGCGGAGGTTGCAGTGAGCCGAGATTGTACCTCTGCACTCCAGCCTGGGCGACAGAGCTAGACTCCATCTCAAGCCTGTAATCCCAGCTACTCGGGAGGCTGAGGCAGGAGAATCGCTTGAACCTAGGAGGCGGAGGTTGCAGTGAGCTGAGATTGTACCTCTGTACTCCAGCCTGGGCGACAGAGCTAGACTCCGTCTCAAAAAAAAAAAAAAATTAGAAAACTGAAAAATAGGATTATCTTTTCTTTCCCACTGGGTTGATGCCATCTTCTTCCACCTAGCTTCCCAAGCTCTTCCTTCAGTCCCACGACTACAGTCTGTATTCCTTGGATGTGGAATTCATCAATGAGATCCTCAACATACGTACCAAGTGAGAATTGGGGCACAGGTAGGGCACTGGGGAGGAAAAGCACCCAAAGGTATATACATGACCCTTTTCACTTCCCAGAGAAGTTCCTAGACTGCTTCTCACAGCTGTTCCCCATTCCTTAGAAGCCAGTTTGGTTTTCTAATTCTGCCATCATGAGATTTCTTTCCCATCCCTTCTTCACAGGGGCCGGACATGGTACATTCTTTCACTGACCCTCTGCCGTTTCCTGGCCTGGAATTATTTTGCACACCTTCGTTTGGAGGTTTTACAGCTGACCCGCCACCCTGAGAACTGGACCCTGCAAGCCCGGTGGCGGCTTGTGGGGCTGCCCGTCCACTTGCTCTTTTTGCGGTTCTACAAGCGTGACAAAGACGAGCATTACCGGTAAGAGAGAAATGAGAAAGGACCCAAACTATAATCAGTTCCTTTTTTTTTTTTTTTTGAGACGGAGTCTCACTCTGTCACCCAGGATGGAGTGCAGTGGCGTGATCTCAGCTCACTGCAGCCTCTGCCTCCCGGCTTCCAGCAATTCTCCAGCCTCAGCCTCCTGGGTAGCTGGAATTACAGGCACACCATCACACCCGGCTAATTTTTGTATTTTTAGTAGACAGAGGGTTTCACCATGTTGGCCAGGCTGGTCTCGAACTCCTCACCTTAGGTGATCCACCTGCCTTAGCTTCCCAAAGTGCTGAGATTACAGATGATCTAGTCTCCCAGACAACCCTTGACCTATCCTCACTTGACTGTTTAAGGACAGGGATCCTGTTTAGTTTATGTTAATGTTAAAAAAAAAATAGAGACTGGGTATATTAGAAAAACCTCTGAGCTTCAGTTTCTTCCTATACAGTGCCTAGCACATGGTAGGTACTCAAATACTTACTGAACAGACTGGGTGTGGTGGCTCATGCCTGTAATGCCAGCACTTTGGGAGGCCGAGGTGGGCGGATCACTTGAGGTAAGGAGTTGGAGACCTGCCTGGCCAACATGGTAAAACCCAAAAAAATACAAAAATTAGCCCAGTGTGGTGGTACACACCTGTAGTTCCAGCTACTTGGGAGGCTGAGATGAGAGAATCACTTCAACCTGGGAGGTTGAGGTTGCAGTGAGCCGTGATCACATTACTGGACTCCAGCCTGGGTGACAGAGTGAAACCCTGTCACACACACACACACACACACACACACACACACACACACACACAAAAGTACTGAACAAATGAAAAGTCCTGTCTCATATGTTGAGCCTTACAACCTGGTAAATTTCCGCCTGGGAGTAGAATCCCAATAAATTGTTAGACTCAGCCACAAACATTGGATATAAGTTTTTAAACCAGCAGTTCCCAAACTGCTGCACAGTAGAAATGCCCAAGGATCGTTAAAAAATATTGACGCCAAACACTCTGATTTAATTGAGACAGGGCACAACCTAAGCACTGAGATGTTTGTAAGTTGCCCAGGTGATCTAATATGTAGCAGAATTTAGGGACTACTCGTTTAAACAAATGCTTGAATTCAGCTTTGGGACCAGTCACCTTCTCCCTCAGTAAGCCTCCCTCTATTCCCCAGGACCTATGATGCCTACTCCACTTTCTACCTGAATTCCAGTGGCCTCATTTGTCGCCATCGTCTAGATAAAGTGAGTCCTAGGTAGGGCTGGGTGGGGTAAAGGGTAGAACATTTGTGTGCCTCCCCCAACTGGCATTAACCTTTCTCCCTGCAGCTGATGCCTTCACACTCACCTCCAACGCCTGTGAAGAAGCTGCTAGTGGGAGCCCTGGTGGCCCTGGGGCTGTCAGAGCCAGAACCTGACTTAAACCTGTGTTCCAAGCCCTGATCCTTGACCTTGGAGTGGAGGCAGCACTGAAGACTGCTACGCCCAAGAGAAGGAGGTGGAGGCAGCCAAGAATCTCAGGAGCCAGCTTCCTCTCCTCGTTTCTCTCCTTCCTTCCTTTCCATCTCATGCTGTGTAAAGCTGCTGTGTAATTTAACTTGTAAATAATAAAGTTTAACTGACTATATGAGATAGAATTTCACATATCACTTTCTCTAGATCCCAAATGTTCCCACAAGCTTTATTCCAAAAATAATTTTATTTAATAGGTATTAAATAATGTATAGAAGGAAAAGGAGCTGGTGTCAGGTTCTGTTTACGTCCTTCTCTTACCCTAGCTCTTCTCGTGTTTTGCCTATTTTTTTGGGCATTTTCTTAGCATGGGGATCTTCTAGCTCCTTGGCCTTATAATAATGGGGAGCCACCTCCAGAAGCCAACTGCTCTCAATCTCCAGTACCTAGGAGAGAGAAAAGATCAATGGAGTTCCCTTCTTTCCAACATAGATCTTTTGTTGTTGTTATTTTTTTTTCTTAAATTGAAACAGAGTCTTGCTCTATTGCCCAGGCTGGACTGCAGTGGCGTATCATGGCTCAAAGCAGTCCTACTGCCTCAGCCTCCCAAGTAGCTGAGACTACAGGCACACATCACAGTGCACCATTAATTTTTTGTATAGTTGGGGTCTCACTATGTTGCCTGGGCTGATCTTGGCCTCCCAAAGTGCTAGGATCCTGCCTTGGCCTCCCAAAGTGCTGGGATGGTTTACAAAAATGAGCCACTATGCCCAGCCCCAACCTAGATCCTTATGTGTATGGTCAAAAGTTATCTTTCCTCTTTGACTGCAGGGCTAGGTGTAAAGGTGCCTGGCTCTATTATTATATACCCAAAGGGCAGATACACCTCTGTATGTTATTCAAGATACCAAATAAGCTATTCCCAAGAAAAGTCTAGAACAACATGCCAGGCACAGTGGCTCACACCTGTAATCCCAACACTTTGGGAGGCCGTGGCAGGCGGATCATGAGGTCAGGAGTTCGAGATCAGCCTGGCCAACATGGTGAAACCCAGTCTCTACTAAAAATATAAAATTAGCTGGGCGTGGTGGTGGGCACCTGTAATCCCAGCTACACTGGAGGCTGAGGCAGGGGAATCACTTGAAACCGAAGGCGGAGGTTGCATGAGCTGAGATGGTGCCACTGCACTCCAGCCTGGGCTACAACAGCACGGAACTCTCAAAAAAAAGAAAAGCCTAGAACATAAAGACTATACTCTGTGAGACCAGAGACTGCTTTGTTCATTATAGCCCCAGCACCTATACAGTAGCCATTCAAATATTTATTGAATAAGTGTCTAGTTCTCAGATCTTGGAAGATGCTGACACACCTGTTAGAAAGGATGTCTTTGGGCTGGGCATGGTGGCTCACACCTGTAATCCCTGCACTTTGGGAGGCCGAGGCAGGCATTTGAGACCAGCCTGGCCAACATGGTGAAACCTCATCTCTACTAAAAATAACAAAAATTAGCCAGGCCTGGAGGCTTGCGCCTGTAATCTCAGCTACTTGGGAGGCTGAGGCATGAGAATCTCTTGAACCCCAGAGGCAGAGGTTGCAGTGAGGCTAGATTGCGCCACTGCACTCCAGCCTGGACAACAGAGTGAGACTCCGTCTCAAAAAAAACAAAAAAAAACAAAGGATGTCTTTCTATTTTACCCTACCTTCCTCTTTCTGTACCAGTCCCAGCAACTTGAACCTGGGTTCTTAGCTTGCCAGGACACCATCTCTCTACATAGTCTCCACCTGCATGGGCACAGGATGTTCTCCTCACCTGTCTCATGAACTCTTTGGTGGTCAAGACAAGTTCGTGGTAGAGCAGCCAGCGTGGCTGTTGCTCAAAGAGGGAGGAGTTGGGATGAATGAAGACTGTCTGCTGCTGTTTCACTGTGCGGTAGCCACTCCGAGTCAACCGTGCCGTGTGGTAAAAGTAACCAGCAGTGATGGCCTAAGGAGCGGGCAGGAAAGAAAATCAATGGAAAAGGCAGACATCTGGGGACCCTAAGAATGCACTACCTTTTTAGTTCAGGCTTCAGGAAAACTAGAGAGGTAAGGAATGCATGAAGAACTTCCCAGGAATGAACCTTCAGTGGTCTGGGGAAGAAAGGGCCCTGGGAGGACACGTCATACACAAGGGGAAGAGGGCATGCTCTCACGCTGGAGGAAATGCTGCATGCCCCCAGAGAAGCTTGCTCCTGGGAAGGTACTGGGGGTGGAAAGCAGGAGGCTGAAGAAATGCTGACCTTGCGTACACGGATATAGTCCCCCTGGCAGGAACTGAGACCAACTTCCACACGTTCCAAGAGCCCTTCCAGCTGTTCCCGCACATCCCGGGCTCGGCGCATCGATCTGAACTGTACAAAGTTCTCATAGCACCACTGGGAAGAGTAACCACTCTCAGCCCACTGGGAAGACAGTTAAAAAGAAAGGAGAGATAATTAAGTATACAGCAGGACTAAAGTCCCCCAGTGTCTCTCATTCCCACTCACCCAAGCCCAGTGACCTGTGTGTAAACATTTAGCAGAACCAGGTGGTCACCGCCAGGGAGAAAGAAGTTGACACGGGCATTGTCAGCATGGACGACCTTGTCCTTTGGTCGGTAGAAGATGGAGTTGTTGACAGAGAGCATGGCAGCCACTGTCAGGATCTCCTCTGAACAGCTGTACCTGGGACAGGAAGGGGAAAGCATGAGTTCAAAGCAAGACACATAGGAACAGATATGGTGGAGTGGGGAGTGATCACTGTGTGATGGATGTTTCCTCATGTGGGGAAGGCTGGTTGGCATAATGGCTACAAAGCAGCCAGCAGATAGATTCTGGCAGCAGCTTGGGGGTCAAGGAAGTAGGGGCCATAGATGAAACACAGTCACAAAGGAGGGACATCCATGGAGGCAGGAGCAGGAAACACCGGGGAATTCTGAGGCTTCTGCAGAAAGTGTGCATTCACTATGTGCATTTGGAAAAGATCTCTGACAGCAGAGGAATGGCATTTAAAGGTCATCCCTCCACAGCTACATCTAAATGTTCTAGTTGGAAACCTTAGGAACAAGTAAGTTCCTCAAGGGGCCGGGCGCAGTGGAATCAAGGATAGGATCAAGTGTCTTACCCTTGTGGGCCTCAAAAGGGGGCAATCAGAGTTATCTAATACTTTATTATGTGTTAAGGGATAGTATGATGAACAGAAAAAGACAGACAAAGGGGACCCTGGAGACAGAGGAGGCCTGGCCTGTTTGTGTGCTGGGGGCCCAGGTGGAGGCGAGGGCTTACTTCTCAGAGGCTAAGATCATTTTGGACAGCATGGGGTCCACCGGCAGCTCTGCCATCTTTCGACCAGACTAAGGAGAAGAGAGAGAGAGTTGAGCCCAGTCCTCCCTCAGGTTTCCCGCTACTACTACAGGGGTCCCTGGAGCCATCCTGACCCCTATCATCCTGCCTCCACCCATGCTGTCCCCCGACTCACCGTGGTGAGCTCCCCAAGGTGGTTGAGGGCTCCCAGAGCATACAGCTGCTCCAAAGCCAGCAGCAGTGTCTCATATGGTGGAGGGTCCAGGAAATCAAAGTGCATTAGGTCATGGATCCCTAGAAAGAGGTGTGATGGATGGAACAGAGTCCCTTCAAAGGACAGTGACTCCAGCCCCTCCCTCCTCTCTCAGGTAGCCCAATCACCTAAGCTCTTGAGCAGCAACACGACATTGCCCAAGCTGGTCCTCTGGATCTCAGGCACTGTGGTTTCCTCAAGCTCGTGCTGATAGGCCCAGGCGGTATACAGGCGGAAGCACTTCCCTGCAGCCACCCGACCTGCCCTGCCAGCTCGCTGATTGGCTGAGGCCTGGAAAGAAAGGGGAACAGGCTGGCTGACAATTTGGTCAGGGAAAAGAAAAAGGCAGTATTTATGCAAGAAATCTGGAAGGATGCAAACTGCTCATCCCGGTTCCCTAGGAAGCCCCCACCCTGCTTCTGAGTTGGACCTTCTCTGTGGGCCAACTCCACCTCCCCCACTCCCATGCATCCCCAGGCTGACCTTGCTGCAGGGTGTGACAGTGAGCGATTCCATGCCTGTGCGGGGGTTGTAGCTCTTCTGCTTACAGAACCCTGGATCCAGCACATAAATGATGCCCTCAATGGTGAGTGATGTCTCAGCAATGTTCGTTGCCACAACCACCTGAGTGATAGGATATGGGGTCACCCAGTGACCCCACCTACCTAGTTACCCAGAAAAAGTAATCTTGGAAAGTTAGGAGTAGTGAAGCAGTTGCAGTAAGGGGCAGGAGCTGAGGGAATTAGTAGTATCCAAGGTCAGGAGCAGGGGACAAGGCCAGAAGACAGGGGACAGGGAAGTGGGGGCTGGGAGTCAGCAGGGCCATAGGAGGAAAGGAAATGGAGAAGAGGATTTAGGGTTTTTTTTTTTTTTCAGAGATGGGAAATGGGGGTGTTCAAGTTCCTGCCCGATCCTCCCCATCACCGCTTTCGTCTTCACACAACACTTCCTGTAAGAGCCTCCTAACGTGTATCCCTGCTTCTGCTCCTAGCCTCTGTCACATGGCATCCAGGATGGTCCTTTTAAAATACAAACCTGTCACATCACTCCCCATCCTTCAGTGGCTTCCTATCCTACTCTAGAATTCAATCCAAGCCCCTTAAAAGCCTGGATCACCTACCCCAGCTGCCTTTCTGACCTCATCTGCTAGCACTCCACCACCTCCCTCACTCCTCCCACACACTGCTTTGCTCTGCCCAAGTAAGTGCACTCCTCACTGGATCATTTGCATCAGCTATTCCCTCTGTCTGGCATACTCTTCTCCCAGATATCAGCCTGGCTCCCTCCCTCACCTGGTTTGGGTCTCTATTCCACTTTCCCCTTACTGAAGAGGCCCTCCCTACACCCCAAGGAAAATACCTTCATGCCAGTCCTCACTCCCACCCCACAGAGTCAAGTTCCATCCTACTATGCTGCCTTGTATCTCTTCATAGCACTGGCCACAAATTGACAATATGTATTTATGCATCCACTGCTTCCCCGATAGACCACAAGTGCAAGTTTGTTAGGCTAAGGACTTTGTTTTGTTCATCACTGTATCATCAACCCCTGTGTACCTGACACACAGAAGGAACTCATTAAATATTTGTTGAATGAAAGTTATATCTCTGCTCAAAATCCTTTGACTGCTACTCAGCTGTCTAAAGTCCAAACTTCGCCAAGCACAGTGGCTCATGCCTGTAACCCAGCACTTTGAGAGGCCAAGGCAGGCGGATCACTTGAGTCCAGGAGTTCAAGACCAGCCTGGCCAACATGGCGAAACCCCATCTCTACTAAAAATTAGCTGGGTGTTGGCCAGGCATGGTGGCTCACGCCTATAATCCCAGCACTTTGGGAGGCCAAGGTGGGCAGATCACCTGAGGTCAGGAGTTTGAGACCAACCTGGCCAAAATAGCGAAACCTCATCTCTACTAAAAATACAAAAAATTGGCCAGGCGTGGTGGAGGGCACCTGTAATCCCAGCTACTGGGGGGCTGAGACAGGAGAATCGCTTGAACCTGTGAGGCAGAGGTTGCAGTGAGCAGAGTTGGTGCCACTGCACTCCAGCCTGGGCGACAGAGTGAGACTCCATCTCAAAAAAAAAAAAAAAAAAATTAGCTTGGGGTGGTGGTACACACCTGTAATCCCAGCTACTTGGGAAGCTGAGGCACAAGAATCACTTGAGCCTGGGAGGTGGAGGCTGCAGTGAGCCGAGATCTTGCCACTGCACTCCAGCCTGGGCAACAGAGCGAGACTCTGTCTCAAAAAAGAAAAATAAATAAAGTCCAAACTTTCCTGTCATCAAAGGCCCTCCCTAATCTTAGCCCCAAATTGTTTTTAGCCTTGTCTCCTACTCCTTCACCACATGAACCTCCCACTAAGCCTACTAGCTCACACTCTGACCTCAAACATACCTTGGGCCTTCCTCTGATGACTTCTCAGCCATTTTTCTTTTTTGAGATGGAGTCTCGCATTGTCACCCAGGCTGGAGTGCAGTGGCACAATCTCAGCTCACTGCAACCTCCTCCTCCTGGGTTCAAGCGATTCTCATGACTCAGCCTCCTAAACAGGTGGGATTATAGGCGCACGCCACCATGCCCTGCTGATTTTTGTATTTTCAGTGGAGGCAGGGTTTCACCACGTTAGGCAGCCTGGTTTCGAACTACTGACCTCAAGTGATCCGCCCACCTCAGCCTCCGAAAGTCCTGGGATTACAGGCGTGAGCCACCGCACCTGACCTCAGACATTTCTCTTAAAGGTCCATATCAAATCCCACCTCTTAGCACATCAAGGACTTCCCTTCTCCACTGAATCTACTGTGCATACTTTCCAGATCACATATTTGGCTCTCTCTTGGTTCACACCATATTTCTCCTCTCTTCAGTCCCAGGAACAAGGGACTGGCTGCTCCTCAGCTGTGTGCAGCAGTGCGCAGGACTCACCTTGCATGGGGCAGGCACACAGCTTTTTCACTACTAGTTGTGGGAAGCATAGGGGTGAAGAGTGTGGGTTTCTCCAACTGACCTTTCGTGCCCCAGGTGGTGTGGGCTGGAAGATACGGGCCTGCATGTCAGAGGGCAGATTGGCATAAATGGGCAGCACCAGGAGCTCCCGGATTTTGGAGCCCAGGCGGCGGCAGCGATCCTGGAGCATCTCACAGGCAGCCTCAATCTCCTCCTGGATAGAGGGTAGGGAGAGCAGCAGGGGTCCCAGAGTCACAGAAGGCCAACATGCCGGCCCTGTCTTCCCCTGGGATACATCATCCCCTCTCCCCACCATGTCAGGCACCTGTCCTGTCAGGAACACCAGGATATCCCCAGGGGGCTGGGTCACATGGATCTGCAACACAGATACTACACAAGCTTCCAAGTAGTCAGCCTCTGGAGCCTGGAGAGCAGAAAGAGATGGGGTCACAGGAGGGCCACCTGCTTAGGCAAACCTTTCCTCTCCTCCCAATTCAACATACACTTTATCCTAGTTCCCCTTTGAACCTTCCATTCCATCTTTCCCTCCACAGGATAACCTTCTCCAAAGGCCTCAGCTTTTCTGCCACAGACTTAAGCCCATCCTCCCTGAGGGGGCACCTTGGTGTAGAAGATGTCCACAGGAAACCTGCGTCCGGGGATTCGAAACACAGGGGCGTCATCAAAGAAGGTGGAAAAACGGGCAGTGTCCATTGTGGCTGAAGCCACCAGGACCTTGAGCTCAGGTCGGAAGCGAGCAACATCCTTGATCAATCCAAAGAGAATGTCTGTGTGTAGGGTCCTTTCGTGTGCCTCATCCACCATCACCACGCTGGGGAGGGAATAGGAGAGCAATGAGGGAAGAGCGCTAGGCAATGCAGTATCAGACACCAGGGTTAACTGGATGAGAGGGGAGTAATGGACACAAAGAGTTCAAGAATGACTGTTGACGGAGGGGGCTCTAAGGAGAAGTCAGCCATCCCACTTATGTAGAGCAACAGAAAGTCAGAGAAGGCCAGGGCCCCATGATCTGCAACCTATCCCAGCCTCAGCAGATAATAGGAGACAAGATGTAGAGGCTGCACACTGAGGCCAGGACAAGTTAGCCATACCCTCTAGTTCAGTCAAGAGTCTGCTTAGACTCAGCAGCTGCTCTTACTAGAAAAAGTTGAAGGATATGTTTTAGGCTGGGCATGGTGGTAGCTCACGCCTGTAATCCCAGCACCTTGGGAGGCCGAGGCAGGTGGATCACAAGGTCAGGAGTTCGAGACCAGTCTGGCCAATACAGTGAAACCCCGTCTCTTCTAAAAATACAAAAAAAATTAGCCAGATGTGGTGGTAGACGCCTGTAGTCCCAGCTACTTGGGAGGCTGAGGCAGGAGAATCGCTTGAACCTGGGAGGCAGAGGTTGCAGTGAGCCAAGATCGTGCCACTGCACTCCAGCCTGGGTGACAGAGCGAGACTCCATCTAAAAAAAGAAAAAAGAAAAAGTGGAAGGATTTTTTTTTTGAGACAGTCTTGCTCTGTTGCAGGCTGGAGTGTAGTGGCATGATCTCAGCTCACTGCAAGCTCCGCCTCCTGGGTTCACACCATTCTCCTGCCTCAGCCTCCCAAGTAGCTGGGACTACAGGTGCCTGCCACTGTGCCTGGCTAATTTTTTGTATTTTTAGTAGAGACGGAGTTTTGAAACAGAGTCTCACTCTGTCGCCCAGGCTGGAGTACAGTGGCACGATCTCGGCTCACCGCAAGCTCCGCCTCCTGGGTTGCGTTCACGCCATTCTCCTGCCTCAGCCTCCTGAGTAGCTGGGACTACAGGTGCCCGCCACCACGCCCAGCTAATTTTTTATATTTTTTAGTAGAGACGGGGTTTCACCGTGTTAGCCAGGATGGTCTTGATCTCCTTACCTCGTGATCCGCCTGCCTCTGCCTCCCAAAGTGCTGGGATTACAGGCGTGAGCCACCGCTCCCGGCTGATACGTTTTAAAGGAAAAAAAAAGTGGAAGGCAGGGTCCCTTTCAATAAGGGTGGGCCAGCAAGGCTGACTGGGGGTAATAGACCTGAGCTGCTGTGATTCAAATAGCCTAGAAGCTCCTGGTGTCCTGTGGGACAACTGCTGCTGGCATCATTCTTGACTGTTTCTTCTTTTGGAGACAGGAGCAAGTTAAGCCTTTCTACCTCAACTCTCACAGGACTCTGCATGCTCCTTGGTTTCCTCCTAACTCAGTTATGTGCATGACACCTTCTTTCTCTTTGTTCTTTGGCTTTTCTGGGTGGCAGCCAAGTCCCAGGAACTCATCCCCATCTTCCCCTACCCACCTCCCTGACCTCAACTCTTTGTGCCTAACCCTAACTGTGATGGTGAAGTCCCCAGCCATTCCACAAAGCAGGCTGGCTCGATGGGCAAAAACATCTGCATCAGACACTCTTGCGCTGGCTGGCTCTCCATGGGTTCTTAGAGATCTTTTGCAAGGGATATGAAGGATAAAATCCTATCTGTCCAATTGCTCCACTGTGATCTTCCAAGACCAGAAATTCACAGCCTCTGAAGAGTCAAAAAGGCACATATTGTTCAGCTGGCCTGACCCCACCCCCATTACATTCATGAATCCCTTTTCCCCCTCAACACATGTTCAACCAACCCCTGCTTGGCCATTTCCAGCACTAAGAGCTCATTATTCACAGACCAAGCTACCCAAGACTTGTGTGGAGGGCCAAGACCCAGAGTCCAACCACTCTGACAGGCCCTGCAATCTCCACCACTCTGAGGGTTACTCAGCCATTGGTATTGAGTTGGAATCTGTCTCCCTGTAACCTCCCCATGGCTCCTAGCTATGTCGTGTAGGGTCACATAAAACAATCTGATCCTTCTTTCCATGTAACAGCCTTCACATATTTAGAGGGAACCAGGATGCTTCCTGTTTCTCCCTCTGAGCTGAGCATTCCAAGTGTTTTCAAATGGTCTTCACACGGTATTTCAAGTCTCGGCAGCAATGCTCTGCTATCCTGGTTGTTTTCTAAACCCTGGAGATGAATGGGGAAAGAAGAGGCTTTCTCTACAATCTCTTCTGTCCTCCAGCCCCATCTCCGTGGTACCTGGAGGTCAGTTCAAGGACCATTTGAACCACAAAGATTCAAGAACGGGTGGATTAATCAGAAGACAATGGCTGAATTGGCTGGGTGGGAAGAAGGGAGAGAAAGGCCAGAGATTAGAGATACCTGTAACTCGCCAGGTCAGGCTCAGAGAGGAACTCCCGGAGAAGCATCCCATCTGTCATGTAGCGGAGGACAGTTCGCTCTGATGTGCAGTCCTCAAAGCGGATGCTGTAGCCAACCTGGTCAAGGGAACCATTAGCAACCAAGTGTGGGCTGGTGTGCCCTGAAAGGAACTTGGGGAAAGGTGAAGTGGGGCAGCACCAAGACTTCTGCTGTAGGGACCTGAGGGAACTGTAGACTGAGTCACAGACCCCAGACTCTACCCCCCGGTTCCCTAGAAATCTCACCTCATTCCCAAGCTTCACACCCATCTCCCGGGCCACTCGGGCGGCCACACTCATGGCAGCCACTCTCCGGGGTTGGGTGCAGGCAATCTTCATACCCTTGTTTGTATAACCCTGAATGACAAAGAAAAAAGAAGAAGTTTGCCCTTTACTAAATATGCACCCTGGGACCAGGTACATTTCAGAGAAAGAAGTTGTAAAAACCAGGCAGGAGAAAAGGAGGAAAAGACAGATGCTGAAAACCAGAAAAGAAGGGCAAATAGATAGGATGACAGACCTAGGGCCCTCAAAGGGGGTCCTCACCCAGCTCTGGGTAATTAAGTTCATGACTCTGCTAGACTTGAGCTGGAAAAGAACAGATTAGCTGAGACAGAGCCAGCTAAGGTAAAAAAGCAGGAAGGCTGGGCACAGTGGCTCATGCCTGTAATCCTAGTACTTTGGGAGGCTGAGGTGGGAGGATGGCTTGAGCTCAGGAGTTCGAGACCAGCCTGGGCAACATAGTGTGACAAAAAAATTAAAAATTCAAAATTTTGACCAGGCACAGTGGCTCACACCTGCAATTCCAGCACTTTGGGAGGCCGAGGCAGACGGATCTCCTGAGGTTGGGAGTTCGAGACCAGCCTGGCCAAAATGGTGAAACCCCGTCTACTAAAAATACAAAAAATTAGCCGAGCATGGTGGTGCATGCCTGTATTTCCAGCTACTTGGGAGGCTGAGGCAGGAGAGTCGCTTGAACCTGGGAGACAGAGGTTGCAGTAAGCCAAGATCATGCCACCGCACTCCAGCCTGGGCAACAGAGCAAGACTCTGTCTCAAAAAAAAAAAAAAAAAAATTTCAGGCCAGGCACAGTGGCTAACACCTGTAACTCCAGCACTTTGGGAGGCTGAGGTGGGCAGATCACGAGGTCAGGAGATTGAGACCATCCTGGCCAACATGGTGAAACCCCATCTCTACTAAAAATACAAAAATTAGCTGGGTGTGGTGGTACGCACCTGTAGTCCCAGCTACTTAGGAGGCTGAGGCAGGAGAATCACTTGAACCCAGGAGGTGGAGGTTGCAGTGAGTCAAGATCGCGCCACTGCACTCCAGCCTGGTGACAGAGCAAGACTCCACCTCAAAAAAAAACAAAAAATGTTTAATATGGGCATGGTGGTGTGCACCTCCCAGATACTCAGGAGGCTGAGGTGGGATGATCTCTTGAGCCCAGGAGTCCCAGGTTGCAGTGAGTCATGATGGTGCCACATCACTCCAGCTTGGGCATCAGAGCAAGAGCCTGTCTCCAAAATAAGGCAGGGGCTAGGCACAGTGGCTCACACCTGTAATCCCAGCACTTTGGGAGGCTGAGGTGGCTGGATCACTTGAGGTCAGGAGTTCGAGAGCAGCCTGGCCAACATGGTGAAACCCCATCTCTACTAAAAAATTAGCCAGGTGTGGTGGCGCATGCCTGTAATTCCAGCTACTCTGAAGGCTGACGCAGGAGAATTCCTTGAACCCAGGAGTCAGAGGTTGCAGTAAGCCAAGATCGCACCACTGCACTCCAGCCTGGGTGACAGAGCAAGACTCCGTCTCCAAAAAAAAAAAAAAAAAACTAACAAAAAGGCAGGAAAATAGTCCTTTAACTCCTTGTTTTTTGGCCACGTTGGAGCATAGGGAGGTCCACATTTATACACGCCCCACTCCACCTATCCATCTACCCGTCCTTCCAAATGAAATGAATGCAGGAAGTGAGAACAGAAATGTGAAAAGGGTATGGTCTTTACTCTCAAGAATTTCACAATTTAGTGGAAAAGATAGGTAAGTGACTACTAAAAATATAATGTAAAAGGAGCTCTGACAGGAATGAGGACATTGATGCCAGGTGCCCTGGCAAGCTGAAGGGTGAGATGACTGTACCTCCTCAAAGAGATACTGCGGGATCTGGGTGGTCTTCCCTGAGCCTGTCTCGCCTTCAATGATGAGGACTTGGTGATTTGCAATAGCAGCCAGGAGCTCCTCTCGAAATGGGAACACCGGGAGGCTGCGGCGGACGGCCTGGATGGACTCTTTCTGCTGGGCCTGAGTTGAAGTGGGTGGAGCTGACGGCTCCTAAGGAAAGAGAAGGAGGTGTGAGCTAAATAGCTCGCTACGGGTCTTCCTCAGAAAGTCTCCCAGCTCCCCTCTTACCTCATCACCCTGGAGCTGAGTGGCCCGGACAAACTCAATGGTCTCCTCCTCCTCCAGCACCAGTTGATACTTGGGCTCCTGAGAGGCAGCATCTCGGGCCCCAAACTTCAGGGACGCTGCCCCAAGCCGCGCCTCCTCCCAGCGCCGCTGCTCCTCCCCAGGGGCTCCTGATTCCTCCTCCACTAGATCCACAGCTCGGGCTGGCTACAGAGAGAGGGGATATGTGAAGACTCAAAAACAGGATGTCCTCTCTGCCCTCTCCCCTCTTCCCATTACTACCCCCGCCCACTGCCCATTGGGAACGGCAAGGCAAGAAAGGGGATGACCCACGTGTTGCCCAATCCCCTGAAGCCTTCCCCACAACTTGTCTTGGGGACCAAGGCTGAAGCAGACGCCGCTTCACCTCACCTGTCCTCGGGTTTCCTTGGGCATGTGGTAGCGATTGGTGGCCTCCAGCTTCTCCTGCTCCCCAGCTGCCCGGTACTCCCGGGCGAGATCCCGCACTCGCCGCTTATATTTGAGCTCCTGCCGCTCGTGCCGGCTCAGCTCCACGTCCCCAAAAAGGAACTCCTCATCAGCCAGCTCCGCCTCCAGGTCCTCAAGCTTCTCTCGCTCCCGCTTAGCCAGGTACTCTCGGCGAGATTTCTTCCGCAGCTCAGGGACCTGAGTTGGGAAAGGACAGTCGAATCCTCATCTTGCTGGAGGAGCAACCCCTTTCTCTACCAATCCCTACAAGGGAAAAATCCCCTGACAGGCAGGCATGAGAACCTCAGGATGCACCCTCTACCTTCCCTCTGCAATGCACAACCAAAACAATGACATACTCAAATCTGGGCCTCTTTGGATGCTACATGCTGACCCCACATCGTATCTTCCTGCAGCAGAATCCAGCTGGAAAGTCCTCTTAGGCAGCATTATCATCTTTGTTAATATAGATGCACTAGGGAGATGTCTGCGTAGCTTATATTTTACTCTTGCCATTTTATTCAAATTAGTGGAAAGGGGGAAAATAAAAGGCTAATCCAGCATTTAGAAGCACAGGACTCAAACCGAAAACAATTCAGACAAAGATAGAAACCAGTGAGGGGGCCAACAGGAGGCAATCTTCAGCCCCAGTTAGATGTTCTTTGGTCTTAAACGGAATGACTGTAGTTTGAGGAAGGGAGAAAAACTGATTATAAAAAGTTAGGACTACAGCATCAGAGTGTTTCTGTAAGGCAAATGTAATCAGGGATGTTTGGCTTTCTGGTACTAACCTCTCTTCACCATGCTGTGTCTCACTTAGTTTCTACACATTTACCTTTGATACAAACTTTTCAGGACACATTATGGATGACAGCAGAAAACTGGCAATATCTATAAGGCCCTTTCCTGCCAGGAGTCCTCCCACTATGACATCATCCTCTCTGTGATCACAACTTCCTCTACTGCAAGGTCAAAGCCCCTCTGGTGGCTGGGTGGGCGTGGTGACTCACACCTGTAATCCCAGCACTTTGAAAGGCTGAGGTGGGTGGATCACCTAAGGTCAGGAGTTAGAGACCAGCCTGGCCAACATGGTGAAATCCCGTCTCTACTGAAAATACAAAAATTAGCTGGGCATGGTAGTGGGCACCTGTAATCCCAGCTACTCGGGAGGCTGAGGCAGGAGAATCATTTGAACCCGGGAGACGGAGGTTGCAGTGAGCTTAGCTCACGCCATTGCACTCCAGCCTGAGCAACAAGAACAAAACTGCATCTTTAAAAAAAAAGCCCCTCTGCTGTTCTACCCTTAAGGGGCCTGGTTCTATTTAGTTGTTTGGCTTTTCTTGTTTGTTCTGTAAAGACTTAAAATGCAGTTTATGATCATGACCTAATCTGGGTACCACAGTCAAATATTCCTTCCATGGAAGAGCCAGATAGATTTTTTTTTTAATATGGGCAAAAAATCAGAGCCATTTGAGCATTAAAAAGAATAATGATGTGAGATTATAAAATACTGAAAAATAAAAATTCATGAGTCCAATTTGACACACACAAACAAAAAACAAGGGAAAAAAATCTGTCACCAGTGAAATGACTGTTACAGCAAACGCCTTACTCTAAAAATTCGTATTTAAAAGGAAACAAACATTTACCCTTTTTAAGAAGGAACTGTAGCTTGTTCCTAGTTGTTGAGGAAAAGCTCTTCTTTATAGACAAATTCTAGCCAATACACGTAACAGGAATGACAGAATCAAAAAATCACCATTTCGGCCGGGCGCGGTGGCTCACGCCTGTAATCCCAGCACTTTGGGAGGCTGAGGCAAGAGGATCACGAAGTCAGGAGATCGAGACCATCCTGGCTAACATGGTGAGACCCCATCTCTACTAAAAATACAAAAAATTAGCCGGGCGTGGCAGCAGGCGCCTGTAGTTCTAGCTGCTCAGGAGGCTGAGGCAGGAGAATGGCATGAACCCGGAAGGCAGAGCTTGCAGTGAGCCGAGATCGCACCGTTGCACTCCAGCCTGGGCGACAGAGCGAGACTCTGTCTCAAAAAAAAAAAAAAAAAATCACCATTTTGCAATCCCCAATAAAAATAACATGTTCAGGAAAGGATTACCAGTGGCTTCTAAAAGCATTTGATGAAAGGCTATTGGTAGAAAGGATATTAATACTAATATATAGATACACAACTGGATAGTATGTCCCCGTGATATGACATAATATGAAGTGCACATCACCGCCCAAGAAGTGTTCCTGCCACAACTGTTTAATCTGAGTGTCAATAAGCTTTAGACCCAATTCCTGCTTCAAAGAAAGCACAGGGCAGAGAAGTACTTAACACCACAAGATAAGAATCAGGCAAATCCAGAATGTAGGACACTGCAAGGTGAGACAGACAGAGAGAGAAACAAACTTAACATCTAAGACCCAAATGCAATGCATGAACCTTGACTGCATTCTTGTTAGGAAAAAGCAGTCATTAAAGTTATTTTGAGGGTAATGAGGGTATCTTTTATTGTAGAGAGATCTTAGTCGATACATAAGAATTACTGTTCAACTTCCTGACTGTGACAAGAGCATTCTGATTTTAGAGGACAATATCTTTATCCTTAGCAGGTACACACTGATGTACTTAGAGATAAAACGCCATGATGTCTAAGACTCTTTTAAATGGTCTGAAAAGAAAAAACATACCACATTTACAATTACAATGCAAATACTACCCATAGTATTAACCATTTTTCAATCTGAATAGTGTCTATGAGTGTTCTTTGTTCTATTCTTTCAACTTCCCTATGTGCTTAAATATTTTTGTAATCGAAAAAGAAAAATTACAGCTGGGCACAGTGGCTCACGCCTGTAATCTTAACATTTTGGGAGACCGAGGGGGGTGGATCGCCAAAGGTCAGGAGTTTGAGATCAGACTGGCCAACATGGTGAAACCCTATCTCTACTAAACATACAAAAATCAGCCAGGCATGCTAGTGCATGTCTGTAGTCCCAGCTGCTCGGGAGGTTGAGGCAGGAGAATCACTTGAACCCGGGAGGCGGAGGTTGCAGTGAGCCGAGATCATGCCACTGCACTCCAGCCTGGGCGACAGAATGAGATTCTGTCTCAAAAAAAACCCGAAAAATTAAATTCAGGCCAAAACAGTAACACCACTACCACCACAACTGCACTGAGATGTCCCAGAAGCCTAACCACAGTCAATTTCAGGAAGAGATATGAGATAAATTGGTCAGGAGAGACCTGGGAACCAGTAGGCCATTCTTAGAACTCCAAAAGTTGGCCGGGCACGTGGTGACTCACGCCTATAATCCCAGCACTTTGGGAGGCCGAGGCAGGTGGATCACCTGAGGTCAGGAGTTCAAGACCAGCCTGACCAACATGGAGAAACCCCATCTCTACTAAAAATACAAAATTAGCCAGGCGAGGTGGCTCATGCCTGTAATCCCAGCTACTCTGGAGGCTGAGGCAGGAGAATCGCTTGAACTCGGGAGGTGGAAGTTGCAGTGAGCCAAGATCACGCCACTGCACTTCAGCCTGAGCAACAAGTGCAAAACTCTGTTTCAAAAAAATAAATAAATGAATTTTAAAAAGTAAAAACGGCCAGGCGTAGTGGCTCATGCCTATAATCCCAACACTTTGGGAGGCCAAGGCGGGCAGATCACAAGGTCAAGAGATCAAGACCATCCTGGCCAACATGATGAAATCTCCTCTACTAAAAATACAAAAAATTAGCCGAGTGTGGTACTGCAGGCCTGTAGTCCCAGCTACTCAGGAGGCTGAGGCAGGAGAATCGCTTGATTCCTCCACCAGGGAGGCACAGGTTGTAGTGAGCTGAGATCGCACCACCACACTCCAGCCTGGCAACAGAGTGAGACTCCATCTCAAAAATAAATAAATAAAAATAAAAAATAAAACAAAACAAATAAAAAGAAGGCTGGGCATGGTGGCTCACGCCTGTAATTCCAGCTCTCTGGGAGGCCAAAGCAGGTGGATCACAAGGTCAGGGGTTCGAGACCACCCTGGCCAACATGGTGAAACCCCGTCTCTACTAAAGGTACAAAAAATTAGCCAGGCGTGGTGGTGTGCGCCTGTAATCCCAGCTACTCAGGAGGCGGAGGTTGCAGTGAGCCGAGATCGCATCATTGCACTCCAGCCTCGGTGACAGGGCAAGACCCCGTTTCAAAAAAAAGAAAAAAGGTTTAAAAAAAAAAAAAAAAAAAAAAAGGAACTTCAAGAGTCTCAAAATTCTATTGGGGTATTGGGGAATCTAAGTGTGACTTTACTTGACAAGACCAGGCCTTTGGAAAACAGCTTACCCTACCTAGTTTCACACCATAAAAAGTCCAGTTTATGAATTACAAGGGCTCTGTCCCTGTCCAGTGAGAAGACACAGGGAGATCACAAAGCCACATAAGGGGTGCAGGAATTAGGTGGTGGGAAGGTATTTGGAGATGGTGTGCCTAAGCTGAATGGTCAGCACATCCCTGTACAGTGGGACTGCTGCCCTGCCCTTGCCCTCCAGCAACCTTCTTGACAACATTCCAGCTGCCTCATATCTCATTAGGACTCAGGAATAGGGAAAGCTCACAATTTCATTCACTAATAGAGTATATTTGATCCTAAAGTTAAGAGTCAAGGAGGACTTATGGGTAGCCTCCTTCCCCCTACAACTTAAGAAGGATCCTTCCCTCAACAACATAAGTCTATCCTCAGCTGGCTCCTAACAACCAAGCCCCTCTTCTAGAAACCTGACCACCCCATCAGCATCCACACTGTGCTTCCTCTGTATCCTCTCTCCCTATACACTCTATCAGAAAGTCTTTCCTTTTGTCTTCTGATCTTGGCTCCCTAGGCCCTGGGACTCACCATGGCCTTCCGGTCTTCCTCGGCCATCTTGAGGCGCTTCTGAGCCTCTTCATAAGCCTAGAAGAAAAAACAAGAATGGAGGGGTGTGAGGCCAAAGAGCCCCCACACTGACAGCTGCTCCCCTCTAGAATCACAAGGATCATTCAGATGCGCCCTAACACAAAAAATGTCCCCTCTCAGTGAGGAATCTCTCTGATTGCAGGTACAGCAGACAGTTGTCTTAGCCACAGGATGCACAGGGCTTCTCTCACCACAGAGGTGAACATCTCACTAGAGACAGCCCCTTGTCTTCCCAGAGATCACTATCTCTGCACTCACAGCCAACCTCAGATTTCACCCTGGGATCTTGGGGATTTACAGAACATGCTGCTCCTATTCACCTTCTTGTCTGACCGTTCCAGGACATTTCGAGTCCGATCCTTGTCCCGCTGTCGAACCCGCTCAGCAAAGGCATCACGCTCCTCCAGGTCCTGAAGGCGTTCACGCTCTGTCCGTTCCCACTCATCTTCCGACTCTGGCTTCTCTGTCTGCTGTTTACTCCCCCTGCAGCCCATCCAGGGGATTAAATAAGGGCATAGAGAACACTTCAGCCTGCCCCATCCTCTCTCACCCTGCTTCTGACTTACCCTGTTTTCTTCTTCCCTTTCTCAGAAGCCTCTTCCTCCTCTTCTTCCTCACGCTTCTTCCTGAGGTGTTTCCGCTTTTTACGTTTCTTCTGGAGGCTGCTTCCAGCCCTACTCACAGTCTCCTCACTGCTCTCTTCACTGTCTTCCAGTAACCTATAAGATCGGTTCTTCTCCAGCAGGGCCCGGGCCTCTCGCTCTGCTGCCCGAGCTGGCTTTTCTACCACTGCCTTTCGTGGTACCTGTCAGTAGAGGGGAAGATAAGGAGGTCTGAGCAACTCCTGATCTCTGCCCTCCCACTTAGCTCTGTTCCTAATTTAAGCAATTACTTAGTCTTTCCTGCCCCCGCGGCCCGGCCCCACTGTCAGGCAATGGCGTGATCTCGGCTCACTTCAACCTCCGCCTCCCAGGTTCAAGCAATTCTCCTGCCTCAGCCTCCCAAGTAGCTGAGATTACAGGCACATGCCACCACGCCCGACTATTTTTGTATTTTTAGTAGAGATGAGGTTTCACCATGTTGGCCAGGCTGGTCTCAAACTCCTGACCTCATGATCCACTCACCTCAGCCTCCCAAAGTGCTGGGATTACAGGCATGAGCCACCGCACCCGGGCACAATTACTTAGTTTTAAACCAGCTAACCAGCATTCATTCTCTTTCTTCCTCATGGCTTCACCCCATCTTCATCATCCTGAATGGGGTTTTTTATTTTTTTTTACAGACAGGGTTTCACTCTGTCCCTCTTGGGCTCAAGGGATCCTCCCACCTCAGGCTCCTAAGTAGCTAGAAACACAGGTGCACACTACCACGCTCAACTAATTTTTAATTTTTTTGTAGGACGAAGGTTTCGCCATGTTGCCCAGGCTGGTCTCGAACTCCTGGGCTCAAGTAATCCTCCTGCCTCAGCCTCCCGGGGTGCTGGGATTACAGGTGTGAGCCACTGCACCCGGCCCCCTCTGTTAATTAAACGACTGAAAGGAAGTTCAGAAGATGAGGGGGGCCGGGCATGGTGGCTCACGCCTGTAATCTCAGCACTCTGAGGGGGCTGAGAGAGGATTGCTTGAGCTGAGGAGTTAGAGACCAGCCTGCGCAACACACCAAGGCCTCATCTCTAAAAATAAAAATAAAAATAAAAGATATTAGCCGGGGGTGGTGGCGCGCGCCCGTAGTCCCAGCTACCGGGGAAGATGAGGTGGGAGGGTCGCTTCAACCAGGGAGGTCGACGCTGTAGTGAGCCGTGATCTTACGACCGCACTCCAGCCTGGGCGACGGGGCGAGCGAGACTGTGTCTCTCAAAAAAAAAAAAAAGAAAGAAAGAAATGCAGAAACTAAGATCCCTACTGAATCGCAATCTGCATTTTAACAAGAACCTTGGATGCATGTTAAGAGTTCGAGAAACACCGTTCTATTGCGCTTAACCCGACACACCTAAGCCCTCCTCAATCTTCTCCACTGAGCTGGGCGTCCAGCAGCTAGCACAGTACCTACGCGACAACGGACAAAGAATAAGTGCTTGTGAACTGAGCTTTCTTAACTTCTCGATGGACCGTTAGGCCAGCCTCACCGGGACAAATCACAGGGCCCCTCCCCACCCCTGCCGACACCTTGTTCCAGAGTCTCAGGGCGAAGTCCCGGGCCGGCCCACTGAGATCCAAGGTATCAGTGTCTCGTAGGCGCTGCACGAACTCCTCGGCAGAGGTGCAGCGCTGTGCGGTACCGATCAGAAACTGGGCGACGTGCCGCTCGCTCAGCCCCAACACCGAGTGCAGCTCGTCCTGAACCCAGCGCTCCAGACCCGCCGGCGTCGCCATGGCGACTCACGCTCCCTGCTCCCGGCCCTGAAGCGTCGGGCAGCCGCGCTCACTGCTGGGCCGGTCAGAGGCCTGGAGCCCTCGGCTGGAGCCTCAGCTTCGCAAGTCAGCTACCTTGGGACCTCTAGGATCTTCCGACATCCCAAAGCTGTCTTCCCGTACCGCGGAGCCCGGAAGGGGCTGTACTTTTTCGGCCTCTAAGCACTACGGTGGCCGAGCGAGTTCAAACCTCGCGGAACCATACCTGAAAACTCGGGGTAATTCTTTTTTCTTCATTTCGCCTCTGTCCAGTTTCTCTGACGCCCCCTGATGGTCAGTCTGTGAGTGCTTCGCTCACGCATTCATTCAACAAGTGAAATTAATTTAATGGATGCCTAATGTGTGCTCATTGCTTTCCGTCCCTGGGATATAGCAGAGGACAAATCAAAAGTTCCTTACCAAATTTACATTTTGCGGTGGGGGAGGGACAGGATACATAATAAAGAAAGTATGGAAATTTTATAGAGCCAAAAACTATACAAAGTAAGGGAGGAATGAAATTCTATTTCAGATTGGAAGATCGGGTCCATGCTCATAAAACATATTAGCATTGTTGGCCGGGCGCGGTGGCTCATGCCTGTAATCCCAGCACTTTGGGAGGCCAAGGCGGGCGGATTATCTGAGGTCAGGAGTTCGAGACCAGCCTGGCCAAGATGGCGAAACCCTGTCTCTACTAAAAATATAAAAATTAGCCTGGCGTGGTGGTGTGCGCCTGTAGTCCCAGCCACTCGGGAGGCTGAGGCAGGAGAATCATTTGAACATGGGAAGCAGAGTTTGCAGTGAGCCGAGATCCCACCACGGCACTCCAGCCTGAGCAACAGAGGAAGTCTCTGTCTCAAACAAACAAAAAAGTGACCGTTGCTAGGACTGGTTTGCCTGCAGCAGGAGTGAAGACAGGTCAGGTATAAGGGAAGACCTCTAGGCAGGAAGAAACTGGGGAACTGGGGAAAGTTGTTAAAGACAAAATCTCCAAACTAAGGAACAGGCAAACTGTGTTCTGCATTTTTGCTTAACAGCTTGAGAAAATCACTGGTGGCTGCTTATTTAAAAGTAAGCAAGGCCAGGTGCAGTGGCTCTTGCTGTAATCCCAGCACTTTGGGAGGCTGAGGCAGGAGGATATCTTGAGACCAGGGGTTTGAGACCAGCCTGGGCAACAGGGTGAGACCCCACCATCTCTACAAAAAATTAGCCAGGTGTGGAGGTGTGCACCTGTAGTCCCAGCTACTCTGGAGACTGAGACAGGAGAATTTTTTTTTTTTTTTTTGGAGACAGAGTCTCGCTCTGTTGCCCAGACTGGAGTGCAATGGCACGATCTCGGCTCACTGCAACTTCCGCCTCCCAGGTTCAAGTGATTCTCCTGCCTCAGCCTCCTGAGTAGCTGGAATTACAAGTGTGACAAGCACATGCCATCACGCCCAGCTAGTTTTTGTATTTTTAATACAGATGGGGTTTTACCATGTTGGTCAGGCTGGTCTCAAACTCCTGACCTCATGATCCGCCCGTCTCGGCCTCCCAAAGTGCTGGGATTACAGGCGTGAGCCACCGCACTGGGCCTGAGACAGGAGAATCTCTTGAGCCCAGGAGCCAGAGGTTGCAGTGAGCCGAGGTCAGGCACTCCAACCTAGGCAACAGACCAAGACTATGCTCAAAAAAAAAAAACAAACAAAACAAAAAGCTGAATTTGTTACTCGATGCTCTGCTGTCTGATTTGTTTGATCCTGCATCATACTTTTGTGATTAATTGCAGTTACCAGGCACTACTGTTAGGAAATGAAACATTGTTCTTATTAATAGCCACAAGTGGATCTACATCACTGACTTTTTTTTTTTTTTTTTTGGAAAGGGAGTCTCGGAGTCTCACTCTGTCGCCCAGGCTGGAATGCAGTGGCGTGATCTTGGCTCACTGCAGCCTCCACCTCCTGGGTTCAAGCAATTCTCCTGCCTCAGCCTCCTGAGTAGGCGGGACTACAGGTGCGTGCCACCACGTCCAGCTAATTTTTTGTATTTTAGTAGAGACGGGGTTTCATCATGTTGCCCAGGCTGGTCTCAAACTCCTCAGATGAGGCAGTCCACCCGCCTTGGCATCCCAAAGTGTTAGGATTACAGGCATGAGCCACCACACCTGGCCTGACCTCTTGAATGCATTGTTTTCTGTTTCTGAGATGGACTGTGAGCACCCCTGGCACCTCGGAGCTTCCTAACTCTGTTTTCCTGGGTCACAACTGGAAACTTTTTAAGACCTTTACCTAACAGGCTACTAATATAATCATTCTGTTTCCTTCCCTACCCAGACCTTCTCTGAACTGGCTGAGTCTTTTGACACCTGGCTTGTTCTCTTGCTAGTAAATTGAAAACCTTTGGCGTATGCTTAAGTTCAATTTGTCTCATATATTTTGTTTTATAGTAAAGGTGTGGGGCCTCCTCTGACCAGTCTGAGAGGAGCAACTTGTAGTGGTAGAAGGACTATAACTATTCAACCATATCTTTGTTAGCCTGGAGAGCTAACAACAAACAAACAAATTTTCCTGATGAGTAAAATATTGATGTTCCACATTTGTATAAGATATTCTTTGAAATGGGAAAATTCCAAATATCAACTACATGGGCACCAAAGCCATGCACTATCAAGATGGTTTTTAAACCTTTTTTTTTTTTTTTGAGATGGAGTCTCACTCTGCTGCCCAGGCTGGAGTGTAATGGCGCAATCTCAGCTCACTGCAAGCTCCACCTCCCGGGTTCATGCCATTCTCCTGCCTCAGCCTCCCGAGTAGCTGGGACTACAGGTGCCCACCACTATGCCCCGCTAATTTTTTGTATTTTTAGTAGAGACGGGGTTTCACCGTGTTAGCCAGGATGGTCTCAATCTCCTGACCTTATGATCCGCCTGCCTCGGCCTCCCAAAGTGCTGGGATCACAGGCGTGAGCCACCGTGCCCGGCCTTTAGGCCTTTAACGATATAAAATCCATTGTCTATCAGAGGGGAACCTTTTCCAGGAAACTGACTCTTGTACATACTTACTTCATTTTGCAGCAATTTCAGATTTAGTATTCGTAGCCCCAGCTCTTTAAGTAAGTATCCCTGGATTAGCCACATGGGTTGTGTCATACACTACCTAGCTGCCTTCATGGCAGCAGGCTTCTGAATACTAGAACCCTTCAACTCAAAGTGTCCTCTGTAATATTTTAACCCTTTTCTTCTATTCATTCATTTGTTGTCATTCATTCTAGAAATAATTCCGTGTCTACTAGTTGACAGGTACAGGATATTGCAGTGAATCCAGCTGATGTAGTCAGCCCTCATGGCACTTCCAGTCTAGTGGACACTTCAACTGCCCTTTCTCATGTCACCTGCTTGTCCTGCGTGAAACCCACGTGCAGCTTCCCAGACCCCTTTTGACATGTCAGTGCCGAGTTCCTGGTTCATCCCCCATCATTTTCCTCTCCCCCAGCCACCAGAGCCTCCCCTCACATACCCTTTTTTTTTCCCAAAGAAGGAGAAGCAGACGAGTTGAAGAGAACTCCATTTTATTATGGAAAGTTAAAAAACAAACAAAACAAAACAGGCAATTGATAAAGGCGGCACAATGGGGAAGGAGAGGTGAGGTGTCTCCTTAGCCACCCGACACCATCTCAATTCAGTTCAATTGTGAACCACTAGGAGAAACAGAATTAAATAACTATCAAGGGGTACAGAGTTAAGAGTTCCAGCCTTCCCTCTTGGGGAAAACTAAGGCAAAGTAATACTGAGAAAAAGTGGAGGAAGCCACACCTTCAGGTCACTCCAATGAGGAGACTGGAGGGGACAGAGGAGAGAATTCCACGCAGACACAGCAAGTAAGCGTGGCTTGTAAACCTGGGACTTTGGCAGGTGGGGCTGGGAGCTGATGGAATTTGTAAACCAGGCTGTGGTCAAGGGAGGAGGCAGGAGCTGTAAACAAAGGGGCAGTGACCTAGGAAATGAAGGAGATGTGCCTATAAATGGAGTGGGGTCTGGGCCTCCCAGAGAGACGAGTGCTTAAATCCCGAGAGTCCCCACGGGATGGTGGGGAGGAAGGCTGTGGGGAGAGTGTACCCTGCCATGGGGGGCAGGTGCTCCATCTCCACCCTCCAGGGAGTTCTGTGCCCCTTCTCAGGACTTGGCGCTCACTCTTGGATGACCTAGGATGCACCAGCACGTTTAACCCCACCCACACCAGGGACTTTGGATTAGGGTAGAAATTGGGCAATTGGCTCTGCCCCCAGAAACAGGGTGGGGAAAGCAAGTTACAAGATGTTGGTTGCCCTTCCCTGCCAGGCTCATTATCAGGGTCTGTCTGCCCTGAATCTTCCGGGCTCCAGGATCTTCAGTTATAAGAAGGAGGGAGGTATATCCCTATGTTGGAAGATGGTCACCGCCGGCAGGACTCATCTGTGGGAGAGGGGGCAATAATGTTAGAGAATGAGTGAGAGCCTCTGCCTTCTGCCCACCCTTCCCCCCCACACAAATTGAAGGGCAGTTGGCATGCAGGAAGTCCTATAATATCTTCCATATCTAAAGCATGTTACCACCAGTAACCACATCCATCACTCATTTAGCTCGGACTCTGTGCCAGGCATCCTTATAACTGTTTAATCTCACCATAACTCCAGGAGAGATTAAGTAATATGATATCCAGCTGTGGCTCTTGGTGCTTCACAAAAAATTACTTAATCTTGGCCTGGAGCACCTGTAATCCAAGCAATTTGGGAGGCTGAGGCAGGAGGATCACTTGAGGTCAGGAGTTCAAGACCAGCCTGACCAACATGGGGAAACCCTGTCTCTACTAAAAATATAAAAACTAGCCAGGTGTGATGGTACACATCTGTAATCCCAGCTACTAGAGAGGCTGAGGCACAAGAATCGCTTGAATTTGGGAGGCAGAGGTTGCAGTGAGCCAAGGTTGTGCCACTGCATTCCAGTCCAGGCGACAGAGGGAGACGCTGTCTCAAAATAAATAAATAAATAAATAAATAAAATTACTTAATATTTTCTACAAGTCTAGGAGGTAGTTTTTGGTTTCTGTTTTTTTGAGACAGAATTTCACTCTGTCACCCAGGCTGGAGTGTAGTGGCGTCATCTCGGCTCACTGCAACCTCTGCTTCCCGGGTTCAAGTGATTCTCCTGCCTCAGACTCCCGAGTAGCAGGGATTACAGGTGTCCACCTCCATGCCTAGCTAATTTTTGTATTTTTAGTAGAGATGGGTTTTCACTATGTTGGCCAGGCTGGTCTTGAACTTCTGACCTTGAGTGATCCACCTGCCTCGGCCTCCCAAAGTGCTGAGATTACAGGCGTGAGCCACCGTGCCTGGCCTGTTTGTTTCTTTTGAGACAGGTCTTCCTTTGTTGCCCAGGCTGGAGTGCAGTGGGTGGTGCAATATTGGTTCACTGCAGCCTCCAACTCCTGAGGTCAAACGATGCTCCCACCTCAGCCTTCCAAGTACCTGGAACCACAGCTGCGCACTGCCACACCTGGCTAATTTTTTTTTTTTTTTTTGAGACGGAGTCTCACTCTGTTGTCAAGGCTGGAGTGCAGTGGCACGACCTCGGCTCACTGCAAGCTCCGCCTCCCAGGTTCACGCCATTCTCCTGCCTCAGCCTCCCAAGTAGTTGGGACTACAGGTGCCCGCCACCACGCCCAGCTAATTTTTTTTTGTATTTTTAGTAGAGATGGGGTTTCACCGTGTTAGCCAGGATGGTCTCGATCTCCTGACTTCGTGATCCGCCCGCCTCGGCCTCCCAAAGTGCTGGGATCACAGGCGTGAGCCACCGTGCCCGGCCCACACCTGGATAATTTTTCAATTTTTTTGTAGAGACAGGATTTTGCCATGTTGCCCAGGGTGGTCTTGAACTCCTGGGCTCAAGCGATCCACCCGTCTTGGCTTCCCGAAGTGCTGGGATTACAGGCATGAGCCACAGGAGGTAGTTATTATTAACTTCATTTCATAAATAATAAACTAAAGCAAGAGATCAGATGGTTTCCCTGAGATCACACAATTAAAGAGACAAGCTGGAATTCCAACTCAGGCCTGTCGACCCACCCTGTGATTTTGACCAGATTACAGCACTCAGGAAGAGTTCTCGTTTTGAAACCTGAAGACTCAATGTGTACTTCACTGCCGGGGACCTCAGTTTGCCCATCTGTTAAAGGAGCATGTTGAACCAGAGGACCCGCCAAGCCCCTTCCGAGTGCCTACATGTAATCCTCCCTCCTCTCTCCTGGACCACAGCGCCCGCTCTGACAGCAGGGGGCGCCCTCGGGCCGGCGGAGCCTCCGCTTACCCACAATCAGGGCCTTGGTGCGCAGCCCGCCCTGGAGCTCTGGCTGCAGCAGCAGCAGCTCTTCCTCATCCTCTTCGTCGTCGGGTTGGGCTGCTGGAGGGTTGGGGGCACTGGGGACCTCAGGCTCCGGGCCCAGCTCCTCCAGTACCGAACTCTCGGAGGGGTATTGGTACGTGGTCTCCAGGGCTGTCTCGCTGAAGGAGATCTTAAGCTGAAGGAGGGAGAAAAAGGGGGCAGGAGGCAAGGTCAGCAGGGGAGAAGCCCGCGGGGGTTGAGGGAGAGAAAGCGGGGGCGGGGGGGGCGGAGTCTGCAAGGGAGCAGGTGGGACTGGCGGAACGTGGGGGTGGGGGCTGGACTCAGGTGCCCCACTCACTCTCCCCATCCACTCTGGGATCCAGTTTTCCTTTCCATACTGGCTCTCCAATTCTAGAGTTTCCCTCTTCGATCATATCATTTCAAAACATCAGACTTTGCCCTGTACGTTGGCAGGGGCTTGGGAGGCAGAAGTGAATAATATAAGACCAAGGTCCCTGCTATTTCGAGTGTGGGAGGCAGAGGGGTAAAAAGAAATTAAAATACATGGCGATAAGTCTTGTGATCAGAACCGAGTCTTTGGGCACCTTGGGGGCAATCGAGTGAACTTCCCAGAGGAGCCCAGCAGACTGGCCAGTGGGGAAAGAACTGGCTGGGGAGCGAGTCTCAGACAAAAGCAAGGTTTTCATACCCACAGCCCCTTGCTGTCCTATGCAAAACCCAGGACCCTGGGCACCTGTTCCCTCCTACTCTCCTCATTCCTCTCCTATCCATAGCAAAGGGAGTCTAGGGCCTAGGAAGAGATGGGAGATGAACAGAAAGGCCGAGAGGAACCAAGAGACTCCAGCAACACACAGGGGAAAGATGAGCCGCTGACACCCTGAAGGCTGGGGGAGATGACAAGGGCAGAAAGGAAAGTCCACACAAACCTGGGGTGGGGGTCCACAGTGTGCCCAAAGGGACAGGCACAGAGACAAAATACCAGACAGGGCACAGAAAACCCTTGGTAATCACACTGTCCCAAGAGCAGGCGAGTCCCAGCTGTTCTCACTGCCTTTCTACCCTTCCCCTTTGCCCTATTAAGAAGCTCAGGGGGAAGGGGCAGGGTGGGATTAAGTCTAGGAGCCAAAGGGATTAGGGAGACAGCAGGAGGATTCCATATGAACTACTTGGAAAGGTCCAAATGATCTACTCAGGCCTTCCCTGGCATCTGTTTGGGAAGACTTGGGGTCAGCCGTACATCCCTGAGTCCCCTAATGAACTGAGGTATGAAAAGAGAGAAGCCAGAAGGGTGGCTGGGCAGGTGGTTGTTAAGAGCTGCATCAATATGACACCAGTCAGGCATGGTGGCTCACACCTGTAGCCCCAGCACTTTGGGAGGTTGAGGCGGGAGGATTTCTTGAGCCCAGGAGTTCGAGACCAGCCTGGGCAATAGAGTGACACTGTCTCTAAAAAAGAAAAAAAAAGAAAACCAGATATGACACCTGGGTCCCCATGGGAAGGTAGAACTCAGGAACTGTATATGTTACTCCTTGTTGGCTCTGAACCCTGCAGTGTCTCCCCATCTCACTTGGAGCAAAAAGTCTACTCCAGGCTGGGCGCGGTGGTTCATGCCTATAATCCCAGAACTTTGGGAGGCCGAGGCGGGCGGATCACAAGGTCAAGAGATTGAGACCATCCTGGCCAACATGGTGAAACCTGTCTCTACTAAAAATACAAAAAAATTAGCTGGGCATGGTGGCGTGCACCTGTAGTCCCAGCTACTCGAGAGGACGAGGCAGGAGAATTGCTTGAACCCGGGAGGCGGAGGTTGCAGTGAGCCGAGGTCGCGCCACTGCTCTACGGCTTGGGCAACAGAGCAAGACTCTGTCTCAAAAAAAAAAAAAAAAAAAAGTCTACTTGATTGCCCCCAAGGTGCCCAGAGCCTGACCAAAGCCTACAGGGTGCTCCCAGTATGCCACCCTCCCCTTGCCTCTCTGGCCTCTTCCTCCACTCCAGCCACACTGGCCTTGGTTCCCTCCACGCACTCCTACCTCAGGACCAGAACAGTACTAGCTATTCCTTCTGCCTGGAACACTCCCCCAAAATATCCCCATGGCTCTGACCCTCCTGATCACCCTATTTTGAAGTCTCCATATTCACTCCCCCTACCTCCTGACCCTCTAAGTTCCACTGTTCTATTTTTTTTTCCATAATCACTTACCACCTTCTAACTTACTAGATAATTTACTAATATATTATACTCATGTCTGCTGTTGAAAGGAGCTTGGGGCCGGGTAAGGTGGCTCACCCCTGTAATCCCAGCACTTTGGGAGGCCAAGACAGGTGGATCACTTGAGGTCAGGAGTTCGAGACCAGCCTGGCTAACATGGTGAAACCCCGTCTCTACTAAAAATACTAAAATTAGCCGGGTATGGTGGCGTGCGCCTGTAATTCCAGCTACTCAGGAGGCTGAGGCTGGAGAATCACTTGAACCCGGGAGGTGGAGGTTGCAGTGAGCCGAAATCTCACCATTGAACTCCAGGCTGGGAGACAGCGAGACTGTCTCAGAAAAAAAAAAGAAAAGAAAAGAAAAAAGAAAGGAGCTTAGAAGTTGGTACAATGCAAGAGGTTAGGGTTTGTTCAGACCTCACATGAGGTGCCATCAGAGGACCAATGCTGGGGAAACGATCTGCGGGTGGTCCAGCCTGTACACATTTGACCCCCAGTTCATGTCTGTGGAACTGCTGGTAGAATCTAGTGACAGCAGCCAGACTGCTTATATCCCAAGTTCTCAGAAGGGACCGCTTAGGTTTCTGTAACTGACAGATTTACCCACATTTCTGGGAACCCATTTTTGTTTTCTTCTCATATCCTCTTTTGGAATAATAACCTCTGTACTTTATTTTCTACTCTGAAAATGACTTATTTTATTTGCTCTCGGTCTATGTTTATATCTCCCCCCCTACCCTGCCTGTCTCCTCACCCCCCACCAACTTCTGACTGGGCTTCTCAGAAATGCACAGCCTGCATGGGAGTGGGGGGGTAGAGAGGGGGTGACTCACTCGCTCCTCTCCCATCAGCTATATAAGGTCACAATGGGGCTGGTCTCTCAGCCCAACCAAGAGGCCTCTGGGGTAGGGCACCAGCCACAGCCATCCCCTGGGCTCCAGTGGCAGGGCTGGGATTTCTCTCCTGATGGCAGGGATAAATTTGATGGAATTAGCCTGCAAACGAGTTATTTAGGGAAGGTGAAGCGGGGGTTGGTGGCAGGGTCCTCCTATCTCCTATTCCTGAGCCAGTGTGTTGCAGCAGAGCTGGGACAAGGCACCCAGTCCCTGAAGAACAGGTTGCTGACAGGGGGTAGAGGGTGGAGGGTGAGGCGTCTGGGTCAGAGGAACTCTGTGCTGCCTCCTCCCCACCCCCACCCAAGCAGCGGCTGCTTCCTTATTCTCTCACCACATCCTGAGCACAGATCTGGCAGGCCCAGGGCCCAGGGCCCAGGGTTCCCCACTCAGCCCCACCAGCCTTCCGGCCCCCACCCCAGGCTTCCTGTTTGGGCGATCTGCTTCCGGCTCCCCTGCTCTCTGGCCTAGGTATGGTCACCAGCACAGGTCCTGCCCTGCACTTGCTTCCTGGCTCCCCTGGGATGCTCCCTGGGCTTTGGGCCCCAAAGCTTCATGCTTCCCTCTGCTCATTCTTCCCCAGAGGCACAAGCCTCTCTCAGTAGGAAGTGACTTTTCTGAACACCTCACCCGGGTAGCATTTCCGGACTTCTGTTTTTTTCATCTGCCCAGCCCTGAGGGGAACAGGCTGGTAGCAGTCAGAGGGCTGAGGGTAGGTTCCCAAGAACCATGGCTTAGAGGTGGGAGCTTACGCTTCATGTGAAGATGAATTGGGGGATCAAATGAACCCCCCTCCACCCAAGGCTTAACCCGTATCTTTAGTCCCTGTGGTTCCCCACTGACACTGAGGACACAAAAAAATCAAATCTGAGGATGTTAACACATGGGATGAGAATGAGACTGGGCTTCCCAGGCTCTGGGGAGATGTGTGTGACTGGAGGGACTTCCTAAGTCTGAGATGTCTGAGTGTGGGACCTCTGTCTCCCTAGAGATTTTCAAGCTGGAAACAGATGGATGTGCACAGGGAAGAAGTGAGGCCAGGGCCAGGGGGAGTCATCCTGGCTGCCCCCACTTTCCTGCAGGTCTTTGTTGCAAGTCTAACCTCTGACCCTCTGCTGGCCTCAGCCCCAACCCCTGTCCAGAACTCCCACTGTGCTCCCTGGCCAGTGCCTGTTCTCAAAACTGTCTCCAAATTCACTTCTCTCTTTTGCTACCCTAAGGGGAGGGAAAGTCCAGGATGGCAGGAAAAGAGGGGAAAACCGATCCCTGAGCCAGTTCTTGGGAGGGAGGGGAAACCCAGGGAGGAAGGACAGGGGAGTGAGGGGCGGGGGTATTTTGGAAGAGGAGAAGGCTTTTCTTGTCCCAAGAGAGAAGGGAGCACTGTCTGAAGCAGTGGCCCAGCTGGGGGTGTGCAACCCCGAGGTCACCCACTTCAAATGGCCTCTCTGTGTCTCTCCCATGGGGCAGACTCGGGGTTCAAAAGCCTTCTCTCTGCTCTTTGGCCGGCCCGGTTCCATCTCCCCTCTCCCCTCCATCCTAGGATGTCCCTATTCAGCTCTGCCCTCCTTCCCACGGGGCAGTTGGACCTTTCTCCATTCACTTCTCCCTGCAGTTTCTCCCTAGAACACAAACCCACCCCACCCCCTCCACCACCCCAGGCTCCCTATCCCTTCTCCCCAGAAAAACTGCAAGTGCTCTCACCCTGGTGACCCTGCCCTCACTGATTCAAGCTCGTCACTTTAGGCTCTCCCACTGGATGGGCTGGGGCAGGTCACACTCAGGAAAGGAAGGAAAGAAAAGGGGGTTGGAAACTCAGAGCCCAAGGGAAGGGAGAATGAGCAGCCTGGCACACCCTGAAAGAGACACACCCAGAGACAGCCTTTGCTGGGGCAGGATCTTTTGGGCTCAAAATGGAAAAGGAGGGCTCTGAGAAGGAAGGGTGTATGTGCAGAGCGAGGAAGGGTGGTGGCAGGAATTAACAAGAAAGAATAGAGGAAGACAAGAAAACAGGGGTATAAAAAAGAAAGAGACCAGAGTCCAGAGAAAATTGACAAGTGGACTTCTAAGAAGTCTGGCTTGGCTGCTTCCCTACCTGTTTGTGGTGTCTTTCGGGGGACCCCTTGGCAAGGCAGCTGCGGCTGAGACGGAGGTAGCCCCCCAGAACCAAGATCTCCTCGGCAGTTGGGTACCGCTTCTTCCCAGCCCCCGGGACTGCAGCATCAACTGTGGCTGGAGAGGTTGGGGTGGCTGGGGTCGCAGGGGGCACAGACCGCCGGGGGTTGACGGTGAAGGTGTGTCCACTGCGGCGGGGGGCCCCCACCCCTGGCCCTGCCTTCACCCCATAGAACAGGCGGCTCATGAGGGGATCCCCAGGAGGTTGGGGGGCAGTTGGGGCTGGGGGTGGGGGAGACAGAGGGGCTGGTGGTGGGGGCTGGAGCTCCACTGCTTCCTCTTCCTGCTGTCTCAGGCCTCCAGTCCCAGCGTCCTCTGGTGGGAGGGGGGAGGGCACAGAGCAGCAGTTCTGCAGGGCTCTCAGAGGCCTGCCCTGAGCCCCCGCCTCCTCCTTCTCAGCCTCCCCTTCTCCAGCCTCCACACCGGGAGATTCCAGAAGCTTCTCTGCTGACTCTGGAGGTTCTGGTTTCTGAGTTTGAGCCTCTATGTCCCTGGGTGTCCATTCTCGAGCCTTCCCGGAGTTCAGGGTCCATTTCCACCCTTCTGTTGGCTTCATGCCCCTCTCGCCATCTTCCACAGGCCTCTGCTCTGCTGCCTCCACTCCTGCGGAACTGTTGCCTTGGGCCTCCCTTGTCAGGGTCTCGGACAGCTCTGCAGTCTCTTTTGGAGCTACCCCTGGAACTGGCCACTCTTCTTTTCTCCCACATTCTTCCGAGTAGTCTTGTCTTTCTTCTCCTGACCTCAGCCTCCACTCTGTTGCCTCCAGTTGTACCAAACTCTGTTCCTGAGACTCTCTGGAGTCAGGTCTCCATTTATGGGCCTCTGTCAGGCCCAACTTCTGGTAGGCAGATTCCCCTGGGCTCAGTCTACTTTCCACCTCTTTTCTCCTGGGGCTTTGCTCTCGAGACTCTGCTAGTCTCAGACTCCGCTCTGGAGTTTCTCCAGGACTCAGCCTCCATTTCCATGCCTCTGACAGTCGGGAGCTCCTGTCTCCCACCTCTCCTGGGCTTTGCCTCCAGTCCCGAGCCTCCAGAGGCCTCAGGCTCAACTCTTGGGCTCCCCCTATCCCCAGCCTCCTCTCTCTGGTCTCCCTCGGACTTAGTCTCTCTTCTCTTGACTCTCTTCCCTTGGGGCTCTGATCCCGCATCTCCCCAGGGCTGGGTCTCCGCTCCCGGGCCTCCAGAGGCCCAGGCTTTCTCTCTGCTAGCAGCTCTTCACTCCGTTGTTGTTGCTGCTGCTGCTGCTGCCGCTCCTGCCGGATGAATCGGTTCTGGTGCACTGGCCCGATGGCCTCCAGAAGGACCGCAGACTCATCCGGGTCTGGAGGTCCAGCCTCTACAGTCCCTAGCACAGGGCTAGGCTCCCCAGGGGACAGCCCAAGCTTGGCCCGGCGGCGCTCCAGGAGCCCTCGTTTCCAGGCTGGCATCTGGGACAGGCGCTCCCGTTCTGCTTTCTCTCGGCCTCGAACGGACGCCTCCTCCTGCCGGCGCCGGGCTAGCAGCTGTAGCTTCCAGTCTGGGATGGTGGCCATGGTCGTCTTGAGGTGAGGGTAGGGAGCACTGGGGACAGAGAACAGGAAGGAGAGGCTCCAGAGAGTGAGACAGCCCGGGGGTGAGACTGAGGGTGGGAGGAGAGGAAGTGGAGGGGGAGAGGTGGGACACAAAGCAGGGCAGAGGGGCTAAGGATGAGGACAGAGGGAAAGACGGAAGGCAGAGAACTGGGGAAATGGAAAAAGTGAAGAGAAGTTGTGAGCCCAAGTTGGGGGTGGTGGGGGTGATGTGAGAGGAAGAGTCCGGATTGGAGGCAATGAGGGCAGGAGCCAGATGTGGCAGCACAGGGTTAATGCGTATTAAAGACCGTCTCTAGGATGTGAGAAAGAGAGAGAAGGGCGAAAAGGAAAGTTGGCGTGAGGGAGAAGAGAGAAATGTGGCAGGGGTGAGGGGAACCTGGGTGCAGGCCAGGCTGCCTCAGCGATACCCCAGGGAGGCTAGTGTGGGAAGGAAGGACCAGGAATCCCTGAAAGGACCAGGAGGCAACGGGACCTGAGGGGGTGTTGGGGAGGCAAGGAGGGGCGGAGAGCGAACAGGTCTAGAGGAGAAGGGAAACCAGGGAAGAGGGGAAAGGAGGGCGGCGGCAGCAGCCGGGCGCGTCTCAGCGCGGGCCCCAAAGGTCCCGGCTCCGCTTCCAGCACCGCTCGGGCCACGCCTCTCCCCAGCCCCCACCCCTCTGCCCCGCACTCCGCCCCCGAGGCGGGTCGGGGGAAATAGCCACCCCCGAGACTTTCGGAACCCGGGCGTCAGGGCTGCCAGCGCGTTCCCAGAACCCTGGCGTCCACCCCCACCCTGTCCTGTCACCACCGCCTGCCTCCCCCACCGACTGCCCCACGCGACCCCAGAGTGCCAAGGGCCGGCTCCATGTCTCTTCTCCCCGGCGCCTGCAAGTCCTGCGCCCCGTCCCCGCTCTCATGAAGCCGTGACAGAGCCGGCCGTCTCCACCCCGCTGTAGCCGCACAGACTGACAATCTCGGCACAAAGAGGAGACAGCCAAGGTCCGGGCCAGGGACGGGAGCAAGGACAGGGGCGAGGAGACACCCACTCCCCAAGTCTGAGCCCCTCAGTCAACTCACAGGCCGCGGGACCCCCGGGGGAGGGGGTGCGGAGGAGCCGGGCGTCCAGAGAGAGGAAGAGGAGGAGAGAGGGACCGAGGGAGATCCGGAGACTGGAGGGAGGGGAGGAGGGAGGGAGAGGAGGAGGGAAAGAGGCAGCAAAGGAGGAGGGACGGAGACAGAGACCAGGGGGCCGGGCGGGGGCGGCGACCGCTTTGTCTAAGGACAATGAGGAGAGGGAAGGGGGCGCAGGGCGGAGCCGAGGAGAGGGCGGGGCCTAGATCCCTCCCACCCCGCGTGGGACTCGCTGCGGGACTGCCCTCTTCTCGCCCCAACCACTGGTCCTCCGCTCTGTCCCCAGGGGCCCTCACCAGCTTCCCGCCCGGACACGCCAGGTGTCCAGATCCCTTCCCCCAGCTCGCCGACCCAGGGCGGTGGCCCGTGACTCAGGCCCCTCGTGGGACTTTGGGAGGAAGCGGCAGCTGCTCCGAGCGGGGCCCGCCCTTCCCATCTCCTGCCGCTCCTCCCTACGCTTTTGCCTTCTCATCTGGGTCTGTAGGTCCAGCCTCTGAAGTCCTTTGTTTTGCGGGGTCGAGGGCAGCCGCCAGGCTGTGGGGGGCTTTGTGGATGGGCGGCAGGAGAGGCGCTCAGAAGCCAGAGGTTTTGGATGCTCCCTCCCCTACCAGAGCTGCTGCCCCGACTCTTTCTAGCTTCAACCTGTCTCCCTTGGGTCTACAGGTCGGCTGCCGGGAAAAAGGGGATTTGAAGGAATGGGAATGGGGACCCGGCCGCTCTGGCAAAGTGGGGGCGGGTCTGCGGGGGTGGCCGAACCCCAGCGGTTGCCAGAGGGCGTGGTGGCTGCCCAGACTCCAGTTCGGTGCTCCCAGGCTCCCTCTGGCTTTCTTTCCCAAACTCAGCCCTGTAGCTTGGGAGACACTGACAGACTGCATGCCATATGTAGAAAAAGGCTGACTTTTATTTTCCTGCAGAGCATCTTCCTCGGGAGAGCAGGGAGCCCCAAGTCATCGAGTTAAGAGCAGGAGAATCCCCTTGACTAGGTTGGGGTCTGAGCCCAGAGGCAGGGCCTAAGGAGGTGCAGAGACTAGGGCCGGGAGTGGTGAGGCAAGGTTGGGGCCTGGAGGGACAGCTATGACCGTTGAACTTGCAGACCCTGGTCCACCTTCTTGGAGTGGAAGCCAGCGGTGCAGAAGGGGACCCCTGAGGCGCAGAGGCAAGTAACAGTGCCAGGGGAGTGGTCAGGGCAGATCCTTTCCTTCTCAGGAGGCTGTTGAGGGGGAGAGTGTCATGCTCTAAACAGTGAAGGGACAGATGACTTCCATACCCCACTCTTCCTTGCTGGTGAGAAGTGGACCTTGGAGTTCAGTGGCTGAAACTCAGAATTTAGGGTATGGAGCTGGACCCAGAGAATAAAGTCTCAAGTAGTAGAAGGGGCATCTCCTTCAGTCCATGGATTTGGGCCTCTGGCATGAAGCAGCCAGGGCCTGGATGTTAAGGATTTAGAATTCAGTGGGAGAGGAAGAACAGGGCTTGTAACCAGAGTGAGCTCCTCACTCTGCCTCCCCATCCTGGGGCCGAGAGAGCAGGTGGAGTTTTCTTTGTAGCTGGGCCCGGAGGTAGCGGAGGTCTTGCTGATCAAGCCCGTGAGCCAGGCCCAGGTAGAGGGTAAGGAGGAAAGCAAGGAGGAGACGGTCCGTGCCCAGGGTAGGCACCACCCACAGCACTGTCAGCAGCTCCACACACACTGGGTGGCGCAGGTGGGAGAAGAGTCTGAGAGCCCGGGGAGACTTCAGGGCCAGAGGCTCGCCCAGCCCCAGCACATGGTAGTATACCTAAGAGAGGGAGAAGAGCTTAGAAATGGAGTCAAGCCCTTTTCTCATCTTGGGCACTTCTTTCCTCCTCTTCCAGGCACCACCCTTCTAGAACTCAGGCCCAGGAACCCCCCTTCTGAGACTTGGATCCCTGATCCTGACTTCTGATCCATGTACCTTCCCCAGGCCCAGGAGGCCCATGCTTGCTGCCCTTACGAGGGAAAGTCAAAGGGAAGGGCCACGAGGGAGAAGCAGGGAGACAGTAGAAGAGCATGGGAGGAGGGAAACCCTTGAAAGGGAACGAGGAGTTCTAAAACGGGTCAGAGGTCATAGGTAGGGATCTCGGAGCCTCACCTGTTTGAGGCCCATGAGCTCAGCATAGTCAAAGACGAGAAGGATGCTAAAGATGAGGAGCCAGGAGATGACATGGAGCACAAAGCAGAGGAGCGGCACCCAGGTGGCCCATGGCTCAGCCCGAGCCTCCCACAACACAGGGCCTTTGGGTATGGGCTCCCAGTACCGCATCACCAGCTGTGGAAGGATAAGGGGCTGGGTATCCCAGTGGCCTAGTCTGCCCGACCTTGGGAGACCCAGACCCAGATCTGCCCCCACCACAGGCTAGCCTGCAACTCTCCCCCACCTCTCTCCTAAGCATCACCACCAAATATTCACCATGTGGAGGGTGCGTGCTGGGTGAGGTCCCAAAGATGTAAGGATGGCCTGTCTCTACCCTGAGAACTTATAGAATAGATGGGGTGACCTGATAGCTACGCAAAGTAGTAGCCTGTGCCAACCACCCAGTGAAAAGACAGACAAGGCCTTCTCTTCAGACCTAGGGAAGTGGTTTTGAAGAAAGGGTAGGACTGAAGAGAAGGGATCTCAAGCAGGACATAAACAAAGTTGCAGAGGTGAGAAGCATATCTTGTGCTTAGGGAAGGACAAGTACACCCTTCTTGATAAAAAGTAGGATATGTGCTGTGGAGGAATGGAAGCTGAGATTAGTTCCTCAATTCTCCTCCTGAACCCATATTTTGCCCCTCCAATCCACGGCACCCCTCCCACACTTGGTCTCCCTTGGGGACTCAACTGCCAGGATTTCATACCTGCAAGGCCAGGGCCTCATACCTGCAAGGCCAGGGCAGTGCAGGCCACATACAGTGACCTCTGAAGGACCCCAAAGTACCGGGATGTCCATGCCTTCACTCTTTCAGCTGCCATGAGGCTGTGCTGCCCAACAAATAGAAGCAGGAGCCCCAGATCCCATGCCAGGGGGGCAAGGATGCTGCGGTCCTGCAGGGCAGCCAGCCATCCCTGGCGGGCATCTACAGGAAGTTGAGGGAAAAAGAGACAAAAGATCGAAACAGTGGCAGAATGTTTCCCCCACCCTCATCTCCTCTTGGATCCCCAGGCCATGTCCCTTACTGCTTTCAAGAGCCTTAATGCTTCCTCTCTAGGCTGTGCCCATCTCACTTTTCCATCCCTAGTTTCTGCCCTCTTCCCTAGGCCTCCTGCAAACCTGGGGAAGAGGATTTATAGAACACCACATGTTAGGCAGTTGCAAAAAGCATGGCTGGAGAGGCCACGCTGGATTGCCCCTCTTACTTCGGTTCTCCAAATGCTCCTTCTTTTTAACACTCTCCTCTCAACAGTCCTCTCTACAAAACACTTTACTTAGAATACTCCGGTCACCGCCCTTTTCGGCTCCCTCAGTCCTCACTCTCCCGCCTCTCCAAAACTCTAATCCTTGAGTTCCTAATTTAGAACTCAGGTCTCCCTCCCCTGTAGCTTCTCGGCCGCTTTCAAGGTTCGAGTTCCCTCTCTTGGACTTCCCCTGTCATTTGTTTCCAAGCCCCGCCCTCAATCCCTCTCCTACGGCTCCACCTTCCTCCTCCCAGTTCATCCTCGATCCCTCCCGCTCACCCGGACCACCAGACTCCGGGATCCCTCCAAGAAGTGGCCGAAGGGAGGTAAAGCGCACGAACTCCACTCCGGTGCCAAAGGCCAGGATGAAAGAGGCGAGGGCAGCAGGGATCAGGAGCAGTGCAGGGGCCATGGCGAGAAATGGAGGGGTGGGGAAAGGGGCGGGGTCGGGATTCCCGCTGCCACAGGCCCCGCCCGCGGCCCCGCCCCCGGCTGAATCCAGCCCAGGAGGGCGGGGCTCCTGCACGCCACCGCCAGGCTTCCGGCCCGCCTGGCGCAGCCTTCCCCATCCAGCTGTGGATCCGTCCTGGGATGCGTGTCCCGGCCTGCTGTCTCTCCGTCACAGAAGGGAATGTTAGAATCCCGAGAGAGAGCTGTTAAGGGTAGCGGCTCTGCAGCCGCTCACGTGGGTTGAATCTCAGCTCGTCTAGTTTTCCCATCTAAAATGAAAAGTTACTGTTTTACCACAAAATAAATTAATGTATGGAATACATTGTACAGAATACAATATACAGAATAAATTCTGTAACTTACTATAAAGTTGAGTTGTTGACTGGCCAGTTGCTAAGAATGGCAAATAACTTCTCTGTAAATACTGAAAGGTTTGTTGTAATAGTGCCAGAGATTGTTGATTAGTAACCACGAGAATAAACATGTTAAAATATTTGTGATAGTAACCTTTGTCAGAATTAAAGATCATGCAGCTAAGGACCTTGTCACAGTAGACGTACACATAGTAGGGACCTTAGATATCATTAGACTAATTCCATCAACTTATAGATAGAAGAAACAGGTCCAGAGAGATAATTGCCTGAGTTAGGAAGCTGCTAATCCTGTAGGCTAAGGGACCAGATAATTGCTGAGCAGCCTCTCGCAGGCTTTACATTCCTTCTCCGTCTCCTGGGCTCAGTACTCCCACCCTCCTCTGAATCAATGCTGTTGTATGCTGTACCAGACATCTTATGTTTTCCCTTGAATTCAGTCTCCACCCTGCTTTCTGCTTCAGTAAGTTGTCCCAAATGGACGGTATCAATGAAAGTCACAGTTTTTATTGAGAAAGTCCTCTCGCCGGGCGCGGTGGCTCACGCCTGTAATCCCAGCAGTTTGGGAGGCCGAGGCGGGTGGATCACGAGGTCAGGAGATCGAGACCACGGTGAAACCCCGTCTCTACTAAAAATACAAAAAAAATTAGCCGGGCGCGGTGGCGGGCGCTTGTAGTCACAGCTGCTCAGGAGGCTGAGGCAGAAGAATGGCGTGAACCCGGGAGGCAGAGCTTGCAGTGAGCCGAGATCGCGCCACTGCACTCCAGCCTGGGCGACAGAGCAAGACTCCATCTCAAAAAAAAAAAAAAAAAAAAAGAAAAGAAAAAAAAAAAAAGAAAGTCCTCTCTACACGACTGCTCTGTCCTCATCTTTTTGAGCTTGGAGGTGATCACAACAGAGCTGTGGGTACTAAGGCACTGCACTATTCTTTCTGATTTCCCTACACCCTGCCTACTTCTTTGTAATTATCACTTTATTAAACTCTCCCCCAAATTATCCTAATTTCACTGTGCTATTCATTTCCTGCTAGGACCATGAATAGAGACACTTACCACACAAAGCAATGTGCTACAAGCTATGGGGTTCATTGGAAGTGTAAGAGGCCAGACTCGGTGGCTCACGCCTGTAATCCCAGCAATTCGGGAGGCTGAGGTGGGTGGATCACTTTAGACCAGAAGCTGGAGACCAGAATGGCCAACGTGGTGAAACCCCATTTCTACTAAAAAATTTTAAAAATTAGCTGGGTGTGGTGGTATGCGCCTGTAATCCCAGCTACTTGGGAGGCTGAGGCAGGAGAATCCACTGGGTGATGGAGCAAGATTCTGTCTCAAACAAAAAAATAAATAAATAAAATACAAGGAAGTGTAAGAAAAGATCCCTAATCTCTAGATGTTTAACCTGAGGCATTTAAATAGTACCACTCATGAAGAGGGAGTGTAGCTGAGTGCTACATGGTGCTCTACAGACAGCAGGTATGGTAAGAAATCAAGGTCTCTGGCTGGGCGCAGTGGCTCACAGCTGTAATCCCAGCACTTGGGAGGCCGAGGCAGTTGGATCATCTGAGGTCAGGAGTTTGAGACCAGCCTGGCCAACATGGTGAAACCTCGTCTCCACTTAAAAGACAAAAATTAGCCAGGTGTGGTGGCAGGAGCCTGTAATCCCAGCTTCTCGGGAGGCTGAGGCAGGAGAATCGCTTGAACCCGGGAGGTGGAGGTTGCGATAAGCTGAGATCTCGCCACTGGACTCCAGCCTGGGTGACAGAGTGAGACTCCGTCTCAAAAAAAAAAAAAAAGGAGCTGGGCGCGGTGGCTCATGCCTGTTATCCCAGCACTATGGGAGGCCTAGGTGGGTGGATCACGAGGTCAGGGGTTAGAGACCAGCCTGACCAACATGGCGAAACCCCGTCTCTACTAAAAATACAAAAATTAGCCGGGTGTGGTGGCACACACCTGTAGTCCCAACTACTTGGGAGGCTGAGGCAGGAGAATTGCTTGAACCTGGGAGGCGGAGGTTGCAGTAAGCCGAGATCGCGCCACTGCACTCCAGCCTGGGCAACAGAACAAGACTCCATCTCAACAACAACAACAAAAAAAAAAGGAGCCGGGTGCAGTGGCTCACGCCTGTAATCCCAGCACTTTGCGAGGCCAAGGTGGGTGGATCACCTGAGGTCGGGAGTTCGAGACCAGCCTGACCAACATGGAGAAACCCTGTCTCTACCAAAAATACAAAATTAGCTGGGCGTGGTGGTGCATGCCTGTAATCCCAGCTACTCAGAAAGCTGAGGCAGGAGAATCACTTGAACCCGAGAGGCGGAGGCTGCAGTGAGCCGAGATCACGCCATTGAACCCAGCCTGGGCAACAAGAGTGAAACTCTGTCTCAAAAAAAAAAAAAAAAAAATGGAAAGAAAGAAATCAGGGCCTCCGGGACATGGACAATTTTAGAGTATGAAAGCTTTGAGTTGTGCAAGGGGACTAATATTTATCTGGGTCATACTGTCTGCCACCCCCACAATGGCTGTGCTTAATGTATATTATGAGATTAGATATGTTTAATAGCCAGCAAAATGCTTGGCAAATCTCATGCTATTTCTACTACACCAAAGTTTTCCAAACTTAAGTATTACTTACATGCAGAAAAGTGTACATAAGTAATCAACTATTTTTTAAAAATTGAAATTCATGCAACATAAAATTAACCTTTTTTTTTTTTGAGTTGCGGTCCAGGCTGGAGTGCAGTGGTATGATCACAGCTCACTGCAACCTCGAACTTCTGGGCAAATGGTCCTCTTGCCTCAGCCTCCTGAGTAGTTGGGACTACAGGCATGCGCCACCACATTCAGCTAACTTTTTATTTTTTGTAGTGATGGGGTCTCACTATGATACCCAGGTTGGTCTCAAACTCCTTGGCTCAAGTGATCCTGCTGCCTTAGCCTCCCAGGGTGCCACCATGCCTTGCCTAACCACTTTATTGTATTTATTTATTTATTTATTTTTGAGACAGAGTTTCGCTCTTATTGCCCAGGCTGGAGTGCAATGGCGCGATCTTGGCTCACTGCAACCTCCGCCTCTTGGGTTCATGTGATTCTCCTGCCTCAGCCTCCCAAGTAGCTGGGATTACAGGCGCCCACCACCACATCTGGCCAATTTTTGTATTTTTAATAGAGATAGGGTTTCACCATGTTGGCCAGGCTAGTCTCAATCAAACTCCTGACCTCAGGTGATCCACCCACCTTGGCCTCCCACAGTGCTGGGATTACAGGCGTGAGCCACCACACCCGGCCTAGCCTAACCACTTTAAAGAGAATAATATAATGGTATTTAGTACATTAGTATATTAGTAATAGGTACAACCACCACCTCTATCTAATTTCAAAACATTTTTTTTTTGAGATGGAGCTTTGCTCTTATTGCCCATGCTGGAGTGCAATGGCTGATCTCCGCTCACTGCAACCTCTGCCACCCAGGTTCAAGCAATTCTCCTGCTCAGCCTCCCAAGTAGCTGGGATTACAGGCATGTGCCACCACGCCTGGCTAATTTTGTATTTTTAGTAGTGACAGGGTTTCACCATGTTGGTCCAGCTAGTCTCGAACTCCTGACCTCAAGTGATCCACCTGCCCCAGCCTCCCAAAGTGCTGGGATTACAGGCATGAGCCACCACGCTGGGCCTTCAAAACATTTTCATCACCCCCAAATAAAACTCCATACCCATGAAGTTACTCCCCATTTTCTCATCTCCCCCACCCCACAGCCACTGGCAACCACAAATCTGCTCTTGTTCTCTATGGGTTTACCTATTCTGGATATTCCTTACATGTGTAATCACATAATATGTGTTCTGTTTCTGGCTTTCCTTCACTTAGCAAAATATTTTGATATTCATCCTCAAAATATTGTAGCATATATCAGTATTTCATCCTTTTCTATGGTTGAATAATATTTGATTATATGGATATATCACAATTGTTTATCCACTCATTTGCTGATGAATATTTGTGTTGTTTCCACCTTTTTGGCTATTGTAAAAAGTGCTGATATGAACACTCACGTACAAGAATTTGTTTGAATAACTGTTTTCTTTTCCTTTTTTTTTTTTTTTTTTGGAGACAGAGTCGTGCTCTGTTACCCAGGCTGGAATGTAGTTGCACAATCATGGCTCATTGCAGCCTTGACCTCCTCCCACCTCAGCATTCCAAGTAGCTGGGATTACAGGCATGTGCCACCACACCTGGCTAAATTTTTTTTTTTTTTTTGAGAGAGAGTCTTTCTCTGTCACCCAGGCTGGAGTGCAGTGGCATGATCTCAGCTCACTGCAACCTCTGCTTCCCGGGTTCACGTGATTCTGCAGCCTCAGCCTCCCCAGTAGCTGGGATTACAGCCACATGCCACCATGCCCAGCTAATTTTTTTATTATTATTATTATTATTTTTTGAGACAGAGTCTCCCTCTATAGCCAGGCTCGAGTGCAGTGGCATGATCTTGGCTCACTGCAAACTCTGACTCTCTGGTTCAAGTGATTCTTCTGCCTCAGCCTCACGAGTAGCTGGGACTACAGGCGCACGCCACCACGCCCAGCTAATTTTTGTATTTTTAGTAGAGAGGGGGTTTCACCATGTTGGACAGGATGGTCTTGATCTCCTGACCTCATGATCCACCCGCCTCAGCCTCCCAAAGTGTTGGGATTACAGGCGTGAGCCACCAGGCCCAGTTAATTTTTTTTTTTTTTTAGACGGAGTTTTGCTCTTGTTGCAACGGCATGATCTTGGCTCACCACAATCTCCACCTCCCAGGTTCAAGTGATTCTCCTGCCTCAGCCTCCGGAGTAGCTGGGATTACCGGCATGCACCACCACGCCCAGCTAATTTTGTATTTTTTAGTAGAGACGGGTTTCTCCATGTTGGTCAGGCTGGTATCGAACTCCTGACCTCAGGTGATCCAACCACCTTCGGCCTCCCAAAATGCTGGGATTACAGGCATGAGCCACCACACCCGGCTAATTTTTGTATTTTTTAGTAGAGATGGGGTTTTGCCATGTTGGCCAGGCTCGTCTTGAACTCCTGACCTCAGGTGATCTACCCACCTTGCCTCCCAAAGTGCTAGGATTATAGGCGTGAGCCACCGCACCTAGCCCATTTTTGTATTTTTTGTAGTGACAGGGTTTTGCCATGTTGCCCAGACTGGTTGCCCGTGAAGTCCTGGGCTCATGCAATCCTCCCACTTTGGCCTCCCAAACTGCTGGGATTATAGGCATAAGCCACCCCACCCAGCCTGGACACCTGATTTAAATTCTTTTGGGTGTACACCTAGGAGCAGAATTGCTGGACTGTTCGGTAATTCCGTATTTAACTTTCTTTTTTTTCCTCCAATTTGAGAGCAGGTACTGCTTAAGTGCTTAGATTAGAAAAACAATCACAGTAGACACCTTAGCTCATTCTTCTAATAAGTCTGTTGATCCGGTTCTCCCTGTTGCCAGCATGTCCACTTTCTACAAAATGGGTGGTCTTTTTCTTTACTCTACCTTGTGGAGAGGATAATTTGAAGGGCTACAGGAAGTTATTTGCTTCTTTGAAGCATTTTCCAACAGTATAGATCTCAAGAATCAGATCCTCCATGCAGGTGATGCCATATTTACCAAGAGATAAAGCAATCAAAGTGTCATCTGTCAAAGCAATTTGCTTCTTATTGATTTTTGCCATAACCATGCTGGTAGATTAGTTCATTTACTGACTTCAGCTTTGGGTACCCCCATGCCATATATGGTTCTACAATCCTCAGCATGTTCATTGAAGCCTTGTTGAGCTTCACAAAGGTTCCACTGAAGATTTAACAAAGGCGAAGAAGCTGCAACACCTTTCGGACCTTTGGGTTCACACCACTGATACCTCTGATCCTGATGACAAACGGCAATTTGGGTTTTGCAGGTACATAGAAGTTGCCAGCTTTTCTGGCCATCCTAGCCATTCGAATTTCAGTTCTGTACATCTGCCTATATTCCTTGTGATAGTGCTTCACTTTTTCATAGATAAGCTTCCTCCTTGCCTTTTGAATCATCTTTTGGGCAAATTTCTTTCTCGGGCCTTTGATCTTCAGCTCTGGGAAATTCCTTCGCTTTTTAAGGGTTTCTGGCATAGCAAGAACCTCCTTCTTTTTCTCTCTCTTTTTTTTTTTAAGACGGGGTCTTGCTCTGTCTCCCATGCTGGAGTGCAATGGTGCGATCTCGACTCAATGCAACCTCCCCCTCCTGCATTCAAGCAATTCTCCTGCCTCAGCCTCCTGAGTAGCTGGGATCACAGGGGCTGGCCACCATGCCCGGCTAATTTTGTTTTGAATTTTTAGTAGAGACGGGGTTTTGTCATGTTGGCCAGCCTGGTCTTGAACTCCTGACCTCAGGTGACCTGCCCACCTCGGCCTCCCAAAGTGTTGGGATTACAGGTGTGAGCCACTGCACCCCGGCCCTCTCCTTCTTATCTACAACACTCTACATGAGGGTTCCAGCCAGAAAAGAGGCTACTTTTTTTTTTTTGTTTTTTTTTTGAGAGGGAGTCTCGCTCTGTCGCCAGGCTGGAGTACAGTGGAGCAGTCTTGGCTCACTGCAACCTCCACCTCCCGGGTTCAAGCGATTCTCCTGCCTCAGCCTCCCGAGTAGCTAGGACTACAGGCGCCTGCCACCACGCCTAGCTAATTTTTTGTATTTTTAGTAGAGACGGGGTTTCTCCATGTTAGCCAGGATGGTCTCAATCTCCTGATCTTGTGATCTGCCCACCTTGGCCTCCCAAAGTGCTAGGATTACAGGGGTGAGCCACCACGCCTGGCCTTTTTTTTTTTAGATGGAGTCTTGTTCTGTTGCCCAGGCTGGAGTGCAGTGGCACGATCTCAGCTCACTGCAACCTCCACTTCCCGGGTTCCAGCAATTCTTCTGCCTCAGCCTCCCAAGTAGCTGGGATTGCAGGCACATGCCACCACGCCCGGCTAATTTTTGTATTTTAAGTAGAGACGGGATTTCACCATGTTGGCCAGGCTGGTCTCTAACTCCTGACCTCAGGTGATCCACCTGTCTTGACTTCCCAAAGTGCTGGGATTACAGGCATGAGCTGCCGTGACTGGCCTTTTATTTTTTTGAGACAAGGTCTCACTCTGTTGCCCAGGCTGAAGTGCAGTGGCTCGTGTCCACCCACTGCAGCCTTGACCTCCTGGGCTCAAACGATTTTCCTCTTAGCCTCCCAAGTAGCTGGGACCATAGGTGTGTGCCACCATGCCCAGTGAATTTTTGTATTTTTGGTAGAGACGAGGTTTTGTCATGTTGCCCGGCTGGCCGTGAACTTCTGAGCTCAAGTGATCTGCCAGCCTTGGCCTCCAAAGTGCTGGGATTACATGTGTGAGCCACTGTGCCCATCCATATGTTTAACTTTTTGAGGAACCATCAAACTGTTTACCACAGAGGCTGAACCATTTAACATTCCTACCAGCAATGTATAAGGATTCTAATTTCTCCACATCCTTGTAATCAACCAACTTTTAAAATTTAAATCTGGCTGGGCACGGTGGCTCAAGCCTGTAATCCCAGCACTTTTGGAGGCTGAGGTGGGTGGCTCACTTGAGGTCACGAGTTAGAGACCAGCTTGGGCAACATGACAAAACCTCGTCTCTACCAAAAATACAAAATTCATCGGGCATGGTTGCACACACCTATGGTCCCAGCTACTTGGGAGGCTGAGAGGAAAATCGTTTGAGCCCAGGAGGTCAAGGCTGCAGTAAGCCGACATCGAGCCACTGCACTTCAGCCTGGGCAACAGAGTGACACCTTGACTCAAAAAGATAAAAGGCCAGTCATGGCGGCTCATGCCTGTTATCCCAGCACTTTGGGAAGTCAAGACAGGTGGATCACCTGAGGTCAGGAGTTCGAGACCAGCATGGCCAACATGGTGAAACCCCGTCTCTACTACAAATACAAAAATTAGCCGGGTGTGGTGGCATGTGCCTGTAATCCCAGCTACTCGGGAGGCTGAGGTGGGTGGATCACTTGAGGTCAGAAGTTAGAGACCAGCCTGGGCAACATGACAAAACCTCATCTCTACCAAAAATACAAAAATTTAGTAGAGCCCCGTCTCTACTAAACAATAAAAAAAAGAAAATTAGCCAGGCATGGTGGTGTGTGCCTGCAGTCCTAGCTACTCAGGAGGCTGAGGTGGGACTATTGCTTGAACTGGGAGGTGGAGGTTGCAGTGAGCCAAGATGGTGCCACTGCACTCCAGCCTAGGTGACAGAGATGAGACCCTGTCTCAAGAAAAAAAAAAAAATCTTAAGAAATGTCATACAAATTGTCCTAAATAGAAGATAATGATGAATTAAATACAAGTCTATGACTTTTTTTTTTTTAAGTTTGTGTCTTGAGACCTAGACATTTTAAAAAACTACACTACACCATAAGGCACAGAGTGAATATTTATTTATCACAGAGGTCAAGCCGAAGCTCTAATTTTATAAATCCTGGAAAAGCTGGCCAGAAAAGTACAGAGACTTGCCCAAAGTCAAAGCTAAAGATGCTTCCAGAGGCCAGGAGAGAAGAAAATGTTTTAGTAGCACTCCATAACTGGACCCTCAAATCTACTCACTCCAAGCATCCCTTCAAGTTCCTGACCCCAAAGTAAGAATCTCAGTAAGAAAAAAATAGAGATGGTTTCCAAATAGGAGGTAGGACACCATGAGTGGCATCGAGCAATAACTGCAACAGTCTGGCTAAAGATAGCTGCCACTTATGACATCTGAGCATGAAACTAGCTAATTTTAAAATGGCCATTTAATACATGCATGTAAGAAATCTTGTATCCCCTAAATCTATACAAATAAAAAACTATAAATACAAATAAAATAAAATGGCCATTAAAAAAACAAACAAACAAACAAAAAACAACCTGTGGCTTCCAAATCCCTTATCTTTTCATTTATTCATAAAGATTTCTGGTCCCACCCATGTTCCAGGACAAGTTGTATCAATATACCCCAATCCTTTCTAACGCCCTGAGTTCTTTCTTCCACATATCTTCTAATTCGTGGTCTGGGAGGGAAAAGGGTAGTGGAGTTCTCAGGTGGATGACATCTCCAAAGGGGAGAGGACAAAGGCCTCTGGCTTGGCTTCCTGCTTCAGCACTCCAGTCAGCAGGAACTCAGGCGAGAGGAGGGGCAGCCCAACCCGTAGTGGAATGGAGCAATGAGGGAAGTCCTGAGGGCATGTGATCACAACTCTCTGAGGCTGGGGAAGACAGAGCAAAGGCAAAATCAGGTGAAAAAGAATCCTAGAAATGGGTTCAGGACCCACTAACCAGTCTTACCATCACTAAAATAATACCTCCTAATATGAAGCCAAGTGAAGCACACCGCATACTGTCTATGAAATACTCTTGCTAGGCCGGGCGCAGTGGCTCATGCCTGTAATTACACAGCACTTTGGGAGGCTGAGGCGGGTGGATCACGAGGTCAGGAGATCAAGACCACGGTGAAACCCTGTCTCTACTAAAAATACAAAAAAAAAAAAAAAAAAAAATTAGCCGGGCGCGCTGACGGGTGCCTGTCGTCCCAGCTACTCGGGAGGCTGGGGCAGGAGAATGGCGTGAAAACCCAGGAGGCGGAGCTTGCAGTGAGCCGAGATCGCGCCACTGCACTCCAGCCTGGGCTACAGAGCAAGACTCCATCTCAAAAGAAAAAAAAAAAGAAAAAAAAAAAAGAAATACTCTTGCTAGAGGCCAGGCACAGTGGCTCACGCCTATAATCCCAGCACTTTGGGAGGCCGAGGTGGGTGGATCACGAGGTCAAGAGATCGAGACCATCCTGGCCAACATGGTGAAACCCCGTCTTTAGTAAAAATAAAAAAATTAGCTGGGCGTGGTGGTGTGCGCCTGTAGTCCCAGCTACTCGGGAGGTTGAGGCAGGAGAACAGCTTGAACCCGGGAGATGGAGGTTGCAGTGAGCCAAGACTGCTCCACTGTACTCCAGCCTGGCGACAGAGTGAGACTCTCTCAAAAAAAAAAAATACTTTTGCTAGAAAGATGAACCTGAATTTATTCAAGCTTTTACAATTATCTGCAATTTCCAGGAAATATGGAGTACAGAGGAACAAGATAAATTATATGACAAGGAGGCAAACCCAAAATTCCAGACTGAGGAACATTCTAAAGGACAAGTGACCCAGCTTCTGCAGGAAATAGATGGCATAAAAAAAGCTGGGTGGGTTAAGGGATGCTCTAGAGTAAAGATAATTAAGAAGATAATAGGTGTGGCAGTATGTGGACCTTATTTGAATCCTGATTTGAACAACTGTATAGAGACATTTTTCAGACAATGGGAGAAATTTTATTAATGGAGTGTGAGCAAATGACCAATAAACTACTGTTAATTTTGCTTAGGATCAATAATGGCATTGTGATTATGAAATAAAATGTACGTATTTCTTAGAGATATATATTTAAGTATGTAGGAAGAAATAATATAATATTGGCAGTTTGCTTTAAAATATTTCAGCAAAGAAAGAGAAAGGAAAAAAAGAAAGAATAAAGAAAAATAAAAAGAAATGAAATACTTCAGCAAAGAAAATCAAAGGAAAAAGCCGGGCGCGGTGGCTCACGCCTGTAATCCCAGCACTTTGAGAGGCCGAGGCGGGCAGATCATGACCTCAGGAGATCAAGACCATCCTGGCTAACACAGTGAAACCCCATCTCTACTAAAAATACAAAAGAATTAGCCGGGCGTGGTGGCGGGCACCTGTAGTCCCAGCTACTCGGGAGGCTGAGGCAGGAGAATGGTGTGAACCCAGGAGGCGGAGATTGTAGTGAGCCGAGATTGTGCCACTGCACTCCAGCCTGAGAGTGAGACTCCATCTCAAAAAAAAAAAAAAAAAAAAAAAAAGAAAATCAAAGGAAAAAAGGGATAGATGGAGCAAATGTAGCATAATCTAAATTAAGCTGCTGCTGAATCTCGGTGATTGTTATATGGGGGTATCAGCAGATCTGTCCCCTCATTCCTATCCCTTTCTATACCATAGGTCTTTTCCCCCACCCTCTCACTACTTTATATTCCTTTCTGAACCTCCATTTTTTTCCCTCCAATCTTTGCCATTCCAGCCACCTCTTTAACTGCCACTGCCACCTCACCCAGACCCAGAACATCCTAAGCATACCTTATAGGACCGAGGCATGCTGGGTAGGTATGTGCCTCCACAGCAGCTAATAATCTCTCCCATCTGAGGTGGTGGTGGCTGGACTCCAGGGGTCACATAGATCTCATAGCCCTAAGAGAAAGAAATGATGGAGATGGTATTGTAGATTGGGAAGCACTGGAGGGAGGGCTGAAGCACAGGTTAAAAGATAGCCTCTCACCTCTAGCAGCCTTCGCTCCCGAGCCCTGCTCAGTGCGTCTTGAAGGCTAAAGCCAAAGTTCTTCTCTTGCTCAGGGTCGGTCACCACATATTCATCCGGGGGTAAGAAGAAACCAGCCTTGCGGGACTAAGGACGGCAGCAGTCAGCATCAAAGCTCAGCCCAGCCCCTCAATCAGCTCTGCTGCCTAGCATTTAGAGAGAGCTCACAAAATGTCTTTTAAATCAATGCAGGCTTCTGGCTCACCAATGCCCCTGTCTTCCTGTAACGCCTCTTCCCTTCCACCACTTTCTAGGGCACTATATGAGCAGTCTTGCCACTATATCGGTCTGTCATCATCCCTTGGCCTCTCACCTGATGCAGCCAGTCCAGGGACAGAATGGGGATTCCCCGCCCCAGGGCACACAGGAACTTGACTGTCCGGCGGATGCGATCAGTGACCAGGTGGGAAGCCTCTGCCGCTGAACCAGCCAGACTTCCCCCCAGTGCCAGCACAGCCCGCTCTCCCCGAGCATCCACCACTCCTGTGAAGAGCACCTGTGGAAGGGTTGACCTGAGGTGGTTACGGCAACCCATGCCATCAGCACCCATCTCTACAATCCTCTAGGTCTCCTTGCATCCTCCCCTCATCTCTGTCTCCCACAAAGTCCCATGCCTTTGTCTCTTACTTTGGGGGCTGTTGATTCTTGGTTAAGTTTGGTCCGTCGGAGGCTGCGGCTTGGTATTCTGTTGGGCTCCTCCTCTGCCTGGTCTCTCTTTCTCTTGCCTGGTTTTGGAGTCACGACATCCTGAGATTGAGAAAAATCTTGGTGGGAGTTTCAGAGCCCTGAAGTCATTTTTCCCAGCTTTGTGGTCCCAACCCTCTCCTCACCTCTTCCTTCCCTGGCTTCTCTGCAGTATCTTCTTCCTCTTCCTTGATAATCACTGTCTTCTGGGAGACTTCCCCTCTTTGGGGCTGTTTTTGATGTGGTGGTGAATCCATGGTAGCTAAAGACCTCTTGCGGCTTTGAGAGGCCTTAGGCTGGAGCTCCGGGGTGAACCTAGATCTACCTGCTGGTTCCACCTTTTGGATCTGGGAGGCATGAATTGGTGTCTCAAGAAGCTGGGGAGAGGCAGGCTCAGGAATGGCTGTAAGGGATTCAGCTGCTCTCACTGCTCCCCATCTTTGGTTCCTTGAGGCCTGGGATTTAGGTTCCAAGGGTGCAGAGCAAGGCTTATGGTCAATGGGAGCTGCGAGGGAGCCAGGGTTCCCAGCGGCTCTCTGCCTCTTGATGCAACTGGGTTGAGTAATAGGCTCAGGGGAAATAGGCTGGTCTGTGGTGACAGGAGATTGGAATTCAGGGGTGGTAGGAACCGGCATAGCTCTTACTGTGGAAGACCTCAGTGTTTTGCTCTGACCACCCTGAGCTATGGCCTCAGGGGTGACGGACTGGTCTGTGGGGGTAAAAGGCTCAAGATCAGAGGCTGCTGGTTCAACTGGTTTGGGAGTCTTGACAGAGGACCTATTTGTCTTTCTCCTAGTGGCCCTAGATGTGAGCTTGGGGGTGACAGGCTGGTCTGTGGAGGTGGTAGGATGGGGCTCAGGGGCTGTGGGGACAACTGGCTCAGGGGTCTTGACAGAGGACCTATTTGTCCTGCACCTAGTGGCCCGAGATGTGGGCTCAGGGGTGACAAGCTGGTTTCTGGAGGTGGAAGGCTGAAGCTCAGGGGCTATAGGGACAATTGATTCAGGGGTCTTGACAGAGGACCTATTTGTCCTGCCCCTAGTGGCCCGAGATGTGGGCTCAGGGGTGACAGGTTGGTCTGTGGAGGTGGAAGGCTGGAGCTCAGGGGCTGCGGGCACAACTGTTTCAGGGGTCTTGACAGAGGACCGATTTTTTCTTCCCCTAGTGGTCCGAGATGTGGGCTCAGAGGTGACAGGCTGGTCTGTGGAGGCGGAAGCCTGTAGCTCAGGGGCTGTGGGGACAACTGTTTCAGGAGTCTTGACAGAGGATCTATCTGTTCTTCCCCTAGTAGCCTGAGACGTAGGCTCAGGGGTAACAGGCTGGTCTGTGGAGGTGGAAGGCTGGAGCTCAGGGGCTGTGGGGACAACTGTTTCAGGGGTCTTCACAGAGGACCTATTTGTCCTGCCCCTGGTGGCCTGAGATGTGGGCTCAGGAGTGACAGGTTGGTCTGTGGAAGTGGAAGGCTCGAGCTTAGGGGCTGTGGGGACAAGTGTTTCAGGGGTCTTGCCAGAGGATCTATTTTTTCTTCCCCTAGTAGCCCGAGATGTGGGCTCAGGGGTGACAGGCTGCTCTGTGGAGGTGGAAGGTGGGAGCTCAGGGGCTATAGGGACAGTTGATTCAGGGTTCTTCACAGAGGACATATTTGTCCTGCTCCTAGTGGTCCGAGATGTGGGCTTAGGGGTGACAGGTTGGTCTGTGGAGGTGGAAATCTGGAGCTCAGGGGCTGTGGGGACAACTGTTTCAGGGGTCTTGACAGAGGACATATTTGTCCTGCTCCTAGTGGTCCGAGATGTGGGCTTGGGGGTGACAGGTCGGTCTGTGGAGGTGGAAGGCCGGAGCTCAGGGGCTGTGGGCACAACTGGTTCAGGGGTCTTGACAGAGGATCTATTTTTTCTTCCCCTAGTAGCCTGATATGTGGGCTCAGAAGTGACAGGCTGGTCTGTGGAGGTGGAAGGCTGGAGCTCAGGGGCTGTGGGGACAACTGGTTCAGGGGTCTTGACAGAGGATCTATTTTTTCTTCCCCTAGTAGCCTGAGAGGTGGGTTCAGAGGTGACAGGTCGGTCGGTGGAGGTGGAAGGCTGGAGCTCAAGGGCTGTGGGCACAACTGTTTCAGGGGTCTTGACAGAGGATCTACTTTTTCTTCCCCTAGTAACCTGAGATGTGGGCTCAGAGGTGACAGGCTGGTCTGTGGAGGTGGAAGGCTGGAGCTCAGGGGCTGTGGGGACAACTGGTTCAGGGGTCTTGACAGAGGACCTATTTGTCCTGCTCCTAGTGGCCTGAGATGTGGGCTTGGGAGTGACTGGCTGGGCTGTGGAGGTGGAAGGGTGGGGCTCAGGGGCAGCAGAGGTAGCTGGAAAGGGTGTCATTCTGGAGGACTTCCGAGTTCTAATTTTAGGCTTTGGGTGGAAAGGCTCCAGCTCTGAGGACAAGGGAGCCTCTGGAGCTTCCTGACTCCCATCTTGCCTGGTCTTACGAACGGTTGGCTTGATAGAAGGTAAAAGGGGAGAAAGAAGGGGCGGAGGTGCAAGATGTTTCTGGCTCTGAGAGTTAAGGGGCTTTTGGGGTGGGGCTGGGGCTTCAGGTACTGTAGGAGGCAGACAAGCATCTGGAGATTCCTGATCGCCCTAGGGAGAAACAGAAGCAAGTGAGGGGGAGGAGGTGGAGAAAAGAGATAGAACTTGGATACTGTTCTTGATACTTGTTTATGGTTAGATAGGCTTACCAGATTTCCACCGGGCGTGGTGGCTCACGGCTATAATCCCAGCACTTTGGGAGGCCGAGGCGGGCGGATCACGAGGTCAGGAGTTCAAGACCAGCCTGGCCAACATAGTGAAACCCCGTCTCTACTAAAAATACAAAAAAAAAGGCCAGGCATGGTGGCTGATGCCTGTAATCCCAGCACTTTGGGAGGCCGAGGCGGGTGGATCACAAGGTCAGGAAACCGAGACCATCCTGGCTAACACGGTGAAACCCCGTCTCTACTAAAAAATACAAAAAATTAGCCGGGCGTGGTGGCGGGCGCCTGTAGTCCCAGCTACTTGGAAGGCTGAGGCAGGAGAATGGCGTGAACTCGGGAGGCGGAGCTTGCAGTGAGCCGAGATGGTGCCACTGCACTCCAGCCTGGGGGACAGAGCAAGACTCTGTCTAAAAAAAAAAAAAAAAAAAAAAAAATTAGCTAGGTGTGTTGGCAGGCGCCTAGTAGTCCCAGCTACCTGGGAGGCTGAGGGAGGAGAGTCGCTTGAACCCGGGAGGCAGAGGTTGCAGTGAGCCAAGATCGCGCCACTGCACTCCAGCCTGGGTGACAGAGTGAGACTGTCTCAAAAAAAACAAAAAAATACACAAAAATTAGCCGGGTGACATGCGCCTGTAGTCCCAGCTACTTGGGAGGCTGCGGCAGGAAAATTGTTTGAACCCAAGAGACGGAGGTTACAGTAAGCTGAGATCACGCCACTGCACACTCCAGCCTGGGTGACAGAGACAGACTCTGTCTCAAAAAAGAACAAAAACAAAAAATATGCTCACTGGATTTTCCTTTCTGTCTATGATCTCTCCTCCATTAGACTGGGATCTACCTGGGAAGCTACCTTTTTCCCACAGACCTGTCTCCATAATGCTACTATAGTGTTCTCCACACGTGGATGATGGTAAGGAAAAGGATGGCTGGGGCAAAGAAAGAAGAAACACGAAGGGTCTTTCTTTTGAGTCAGGTAGGAGATACAACTTAGGAAACAGATATGGAAAACAACGGGTGCCGAGGATAAAGGAATAGAAGCCAATCAAGGCGTGACAAAAATGGAAGAAAACTGAATAATGAGAAAGGAATAGATTAAAGTGAGGCTAGGTGAAAGAGCATTGGAGAAGATATAGAGATGACTTGTGGAATAGGAGGTAGAAAAAGTAGCTCTCACCCTGGAAACCTTCTCAGCAGCTCTGATCCTGGAAGCCTTCTCAGCAGGTGGCATCTTGCAATTCAGGAGGCCTAGACAGAAAGTAAACACAAAGGTGGCTGAGTTCCAAGCAGCTGGTTGCCCAGGGGTTGATTATCACGAGGCCTGTGTATCACCTTGGGTTCCCCTCTGCCTTCACTTACCTTTCTGATGCCTCCTGGGGCTCACTGGGGATCCCCTTCCACCTGACTGGCTCCCAGAAGGTACGGGGGCTGAGGTAGGTCCCGGAAGGTCCCCCGCCCCCACCCCAGGCTCTGGTGTTGGGCTGGAGGCCTGCCCTTTCTGGTCCTGGCTCCCTCCCTCTGGCTCCCCTCTCTGTGTATCTCTCTCCAGGATCACTTTGGGCACCTTCTCTTCTAACTCGGCTGGATCGCACTCTCTGTTTGCTACTGGTCTCTCTACTTCTCTCTCAAATGCTTTGCTTGGAAGGGTCTGCTTCTGTACTTGTTTCTCTTGTATTTCCTCAGATGTCTCAATTTCTACCTTCAAACTCTCCCTATCTCTTTCAGGACTTGCACTTTCCCCATTTTTGTCAGATTCTTGTCTCTGGGTGTCTCTAGCTAACAACTGTTTTTGTTCTCTGTCCTGTTTCCCCTTGGTTAATTCTTCCTCTCCTGTCACATCTGTCTGTCTTTCTGGTAGCAGTTTCTCAGTTTCTCTCTCCAATGGCCCTCTCTCAGGGCCCACCCTCTCTGCTGTTTCTTTTGGTATACCCATGACTTTATCCACAGTCTGCCTCCCTCTGCCTTGAATCCCCATTGGCTCTGTGTGAACTGGGCTCTCTGGATGTTGGTCTCCTGGTATTGCCCTAGGTGGAGACAGGCAAGGTCCATAGGCCTCAAGGTGCGTGTCAAAAGGCTGGGTCTCAGAGTCCTCAGACTCTCTCAGACAGAATGGCTGTGTAGCCAGGACCTCCCATGGTTCATCTAGGGTACCTGGAAGGGGAGGAAGGAAGAGAGAGAGAGGGAGAGGGAGAGAAAAGAGGGAGAGGAAGAGGGAAAGGGAAGTACAGGTTGACATAATAAATATGATGAGAAAGGATTTAGATAAACTCATGAATAATAAATCTGAACAGGTTATTAAAGGTAAGCTGGGAATAAGGGTGGTAGTTATAACATTTAACGTTTGTCTCAAAAAGGTCATAGCCTTAGGCGGGCATGGTGGCTCAGACATGTAATCCCAGGACTTTGGGAGGCCAAGACATGAGGATTGCTTGAGGCCAGGAGTTTGAGACTAGCCTGGACAACATGGCAAAACCCCATCTCTACAAAAAATACAAAAAAATTAGGTGTGGGGACGGGGACCTGTAGTCCTGTAGTCTCAGCTACCCGGGAGGCTGAGGTAGGAGAACTACTTGAACCCCAAAGGTCAAGACTGTAGTGAGCTGTGATCATACCACTGCACTTCAGCCTGAGTGACAGAGACTCTGTCTCAAAAAAAAAAAAAAAAAAAAACCCAAGAGAAAAAGAAAAACATCATAGCCTAATATGAGTTCCCTGAATAGTCTCTCATCATACCACTGCATTCCAGCCTGAGTGACAGAGACCCTGTCTCAAAAAAAGAAAGAAAGAAAGAAAGAAAGAAAAACATCATAGCCTAATAAGAGAGTTCCCTGAATAGTCTCTCTCTCTCAAGACAGTTTCACTCTGTCACCCAGGCTGGAGTGCAGTGGCATGATGTTGGCTCACTGCAACTCCCAACTGCTGGGCTCAGGAGATCCTCCCACCTCAGCCTCCCAAGTAGCTGGGACTACGGCATGTGCCAAAGTGCCCGGCTAATTTTTTGTATTTGTTGTAGAGATGGGGTTTGGTCTTGAACTCTTAGACTCAAGTGATCCACCCACATTGGTCTCCCAAAGTGCTGGGATTACAGGTGTGAGCCACCATGCTTGGCTGGAATTTCCTTCTTTTTAAAGGCTGAATAGTATTCCACTGTGTATATATACCACATTTTCTTTTTTCTTCATTGACACATAATAATTGTACATATTTATGGGGTACCTGTGCTATTTTGACTCATGCATACAATGTACAATGATAAAACCAAGATAATTGGGATATCCACTATCTCAAACATTTATCATTTCTTTGTCTTGGAAACATATCAAATCTCTTCTAGCTATTTTGAAATACACAATAAATTATTAACTATAGTAACACTACTGTGGAACTGAACACTAGAACTTATTCATTCAATCTGACTGGATTTTTGTATTCATTAACCAACCTCTTTATGCATTCTGTCCCTCTACCCTTCCTAGCCTTTGGTAACCACCATTCTACTCTCTACTTCCATGAGATCCATGTTTTTAGCTCCCACATGAGTGAGCATACAATATTTGCCTTTCTGTGCTGACTTATTTCACTTAACATAATGTCCTCAGGGTTCATCCATGTTGCTGCAGATGACAGGATTTCATTCTCTTCTGTTGCTGAATACTGTTCCACTGTGTATATATACACATTTTCTTTTTTTTTTAGATTGAGTCTTGCTCTGTCACCCAGTTTGGAGTGCAGTGGCATGACCTCAGCTCACTGCAACCTCTGCGTCTTAGGCAGCAATCCTCCCATCTTAGCCTCCCGAGTAGCTAAGACTACAGGTGCATGCCACCATGCCCAGCTAAATTTTGTATTTTGAGCCACTGCACCCAGCCTATATACACATTTTCTTTTTTTTTATTATTAGAGATGAAGTCTCACTCTGTTGCCCATGTTGGAGTGCAGTGGTGTGACCTTGGCTCACTGCAACCTCTGCCTCCGGGGTTCAAATGAGTCTCCTGCTTCAGTCTCCCGAGTAGCTGGGACTACAGGCACCTGCCACCATGCCCAGCTAATTTTTGTATTTTTAGTAGAGACAGGGTTTCACCATGTTGGCCAGGCTGGTCTCAAACTCCTGACCTCATGTGATCCACCCACTTCGGCTTCCCAAAGTGCTGGGATTACAGGCATGAGGCACTGTGCCCGGCCTACATTTTCTTTTCTTTCGTTTTTTTGAGACAGAGTTTCACTCTTGTTGCCCAGGCCAGAGTGCGATGGCACAATCTCAGCTCACTGCAACCTCTGCCTCCTGGGTTCAAGGGATTCTCCTGACTCAGTCTCCTGAGTAGCTGGGATTACAGGCATGCACCACCACACCCGGCTAATTTTGTATTTTTAGTAGAGACGGGGTTTCTCCATGTTGGTCAGGCTGGTCTCAAGCTCCCGATCTCAGGTGATCTGCCTGCCTTGGCCTCCCAAAGTGTTGGGATTAGAGGTGTGAGCCACTGTGCCCGACCCCGGCCTACATTTTCTTTATCCATTCATCTGTTGATGGACATTTAGTTTGATTTCATATCTGCCTATTGTGAACAGTGCTGCAATAGTGTGTGTGTGTTTTTTTTAAGAGACATTGGGGGTGGGGGTTGAGGGATGGGCTATTGCCCAGACTGGGCTCAACTGATCTTCCCATCCTGGCCTCCCATGTAACTGGGACTACAGGTGCTCACTACTATGCTGGGCTAATTTTTTCATTTTTGTGGAGACCAGGTCTCTCTCTGTTGCCCAGGCCAGTCCCTAAATATTTTCAACCTGCAGCTGGTTGAATTCACGGACGCAAACTCGCATACACAGAGGGCTCACTGTAATCAGAGTATGAAAGAAACATGTAGGAAGGCAAATCAAGAAAGAACGCAGGCCGGGCGCAGTGGCTTACGCCTGCAATTCCAGCATTTTGGGAGGCCGAGGCAGGCGGATCACTTGAGGTCGGGAGTTTGTGACCAGCCTGGCCAACATGGTGAAACCCTGTCTCTACTAAACATACAAAAAATTAGCCAGGCATGGTCATGGACAGCTGTAATCCCAGCTACCTGGGAAGCTGAAGGAAGAGAAACCGCCTGGGAGGCGGAGGTTACAGTGAGCCGAGACTGCACCACTGTAATCCAGCCTGAGTGACAGAGGAAAAAAAAGAGAATGCAGAATTGGGGACACAGAGGAGGGAAGAGTTTCTTATACCTGTTGTCTGGAAGCTGCAATGGGAAGGGCCAAGCTCTTGGGGTGGAGTCAACATGAAGGCCTGGGTAGGTTCATCCTCCATGCTCTGGACTGCTGTACAGGAAAAGATGGCCTAAGTTCATCTCCTCCATACTACTGTAGGGTTCCATTCCTGGTCTCCTACCCTACCCATACTAGCCTTTACCCTTCAAGGACCACCAGTCTAATCTCCCAGCTCCCACTGGTACAGGATTCAAATAACACAGAAGTCCTCACCTTCCAGGCCCTGATTCTCCAGAAAGCACTGGGTAGCTTGTAGGTCCAGATCTTCAGAATCTGGTCGGGGAGGAATATAAGACAGTTTAAAACAAAAATCATACCTGACACTAAACTCCTTAAATAATCTCTACCTTTCTCTCCCCAACCCCAGCTGTTAGAACCCTGGTTGATTTCAGAGGTCAAGGAAGGAAGGCCAGCACTTACCACCATAGTTGTCTTCAGAGTCCTTGGTCCCACCCACATGTTGTTCTCTCTCCCTTCCTGTGGGGACCTGGGCTCCCTCTCTCTGTGGCTGGGTGGATTCCCCTAGAGTGTCTGTGTCCACCACCAGATCTGTGAGGTTCTCTCTTGAGATAGGGAGGTCCTGCTCCACTTGTGCCACAGGTGGCCCACCCTGGGCCCCCACCTCATGAGCTCTCTCCTGCTTAAGAACAGCTGCAGCCCACTCTGCCCCAGCATCCCCTTCTGCTGGAAGCTGGCTCTTTCTTACATCTGCAACTACTGAGGCTGTTAGGGAGGTGCCCTCCTCTGCATCTGTTTCACAGTCCCCATGCAGAGGCCAGGCTTCCTCTAGAGATACCACAAGCAGCTTTGCTGGTCCCCCAACTGCTTTCACATCTGTTTGATTTGTCCCCTCCACAGACACCTGATGCTTCTTTATATGTATAATGGCTGACCCTGGCGGGACTTCCTTCTCCACTTGTGTGTTGATGTCCACTGTGGTGGAGGCTTGGCTTCTCTCCAGGTGGATCCCAGGTGAGCTCTTATCTGCTTCCACACTGTCATCACTGTCCCCAAAAGGAGGTTGGTCCTTTTCTGAATGTGCTCTAACAAGGGCTCTAATCTTTGTGTGATCCTTGAGGACAGCTTCTCTATTTTCCACTGGGAGCTCTTCCTCCTCCACGTCTGTGTCACTGTCTCTCTCAGTGGTGGTTTGGCTTCGCTGCAGAAGGACCACACGTTGGGGCATGTCCTCTTCTGCATCTCTGTTCCATATAGCAGGCTGGCTCTCTTTCAGATGTGCCAAAGTCAGCGCTGCTGAGACTTCTTCCTCGTCATCTGTATCGCTGTTGATAACCATGGAAGCTTGGCTTTTCTCCAGAGGGACAGCCTGTGGGGCCTTGCCTTCTTCCACATCTGTATCACTACCAGCCTGGCTCTCCTGCAGATGGGCCAGGCCTGGTGCTCCAGGACCCCTTGTACCTACTCCATGGAAGATCTTCCTCTTCTTCATAGGAATGACAACTGGGGTTGCTGGGATCCTCTCTTCTTCCGCATCAGTGTCGCTGTCGATGAAGCCAAAAGGCTGAGCCCTTTCCAAATGGACCTCAGCTGGCCTTCCAGGAGGCCTGCTGTCATCATCCACATCTGTGTCACTGTCCTCTCCAGGAGGTTGGCTCCTCTCCAGAATCACCCCAGCTGGAACCACCCCATTCCCTGCACCCCTCTTGACTTTTGTATCATTGTCCCTCTCCTTCACTAAAGGCTGATCCTTTTCAAGCTGGATTTCAGTTACAACTTCAGCTTCAGACTGCTTTGCCTCTACAGTGGCACCTCTTCTGGCAGCTGAGGAGGCCTCCTCTGTGGCTGGTTGCTGACCTTCTTCCACATCTGTGTCACTGTTCAAATTGAAGGCAAAAGGCGGCCCAAGGCCGCCCAGGACCGGGGAATGCCCCTCTTCATCACTGTGAAGGGAAGAAAAGAGAGTCTATAGAATTTATTTCCCTGGAAGGGATACCCCAACTCAACTGTGAGCTCCTTGAGGGGAGACACAAGGTAGCATATTTCTTCTTCTGTTTCCAATTTGTTTTCCACTTGGCACATCAGATGTGCTCCATAAAAATTCAGCTGAGTGAATGAATATGTATGGTTCCCCAGCCCCAACTCTCATGATAATCATCTCTTTTAGAGATTGATCCTCCAGCCCCTGGTTCTTCCTCATTTTGAAGACTCAGGTGTCTGACTCTTTGGCACTCACCTCTCTGGAACTATCACAGAGGAAGATGTGGTCCTTGATTTTTTTACCATACGCCTTTCAGAAAGAAAATCTGTCAAGAACAGAAAGGAATGAGTTGACAATTGTACACTCATTATTCCTGTCTCCTCATTCTCCCTGCCAATATACAAACTTACCTACTTCCTCCTCCGAGTCCTCAGCCAACAGAAGCCTCTGGGGTTGAGTTTCTCCCTGTACTCTGGGTGTCTCTTCTACTGTCAGAGGGCCCCGGGAGACAAAGGGCAGAGAGACATCCAGGCGATGGTACTGGCAGAGCAAGTCAGCAAAGAGAATCAATTCCTGGTCCCTCAGACGGTGACTCACCCCAGGGCTCAAAACCTTAGGAGGTCTCAGGATTTGAGTACCATTAAGGCTCCCACAGTCTCGGAGGATAGGTGCCTTGTCCCAGGCTAAGATTTCAATCTCTGCATGTTGTTTGGAGATAGATGGAAAGGGCAGGGCCACAGAGCAGTCAGGCATTCGGCCTACCACATTCTTCCCGAGGTGTAGTGGGAAATCTAAGAATTAGAGAGGTAGATAAGCTCCAAGATCAGAGTCCTGGCCTGTCATTAGGAAAAAGTGCCTATTAGGTACTCTACTACTCACTCAAGGCCTCCATATGCATTAGAAAAATAAAAGGCCCTAGGACATCTAGGCACTGAAAGAGTATATGCGATACCCCATCCATCCACAATGGATGTTTTTTTACTGTTATAAAATACACATAACACAAAATGTATCACCTTAATAATTTTAAGTGTATAGTTCAGTGGCATTAAGTGCATTCACACTGTTGTGCAATCATCACTACCATCCATCTCCAGAGCACACAATTGGATTTTATTTGATTTTTTTTTTTTTTTTGAGACAGGGTCTCATTCTGTCACCCAGGCTAGAATGCAGTGTCATGATCATAGATCAGTGCAATCTTGAACTCTTGGGTTCAAGTGATCATCTGGCTCAGCCTCCCAAGTAGGTGGGACTGCAGATGTGAAATGAACCACCACACCTGGCTAATTTTTAAATTTTTCGTAGAGACAGGGTTTTGCTATGCTACCCAGGCTGGTCTCTAACTCCTAGTCTCAAGTGATCCTTCTGCCTTGGCCTCTCAAAGCACGGGAATTACAGGTGTGAGTCACTGCACCCAGCTTCATTTCAATCTCTTAATTTTCTTTTATCAAAGTAAAATCACTTCCAGTGAGTCCAGGGTAGTAGTCTGCAACTATCAACTCAATCGGCCCCATCTCTTCCATTCATGAAAAAAAAAAATTCACATCTCATTGAAACATACATAAGCTTCTTGCAACCCTCCAAATACCTTACCACAAAAATAAAAGATCTATATCAATACTTGAACATCCAATACCCTCTGACCTTTTTCTGGTCCATGGGCACCACTAAAGATATGTAGCCGCCCTACTGGCTCCACGTTACACCTCAAGGATTCACTGGATTGCTCTGTCTCCTCCTCTTCTTCAACATCCCAGTCAATAGCCTGGGTGTCCTCCATGATCTGGGAAGGATACACATTATCAATTATCCTCATTATTGGTTCACACAAACAGCATCAGAGTTATCAGACTGAAAACTAGGGGGTAAACTGGATCATTATGAACGTTGATGCTTCTCTTTCCACCAATCTTTCTGTTGTTAACCTTCTGAAGCACTTAAAACATTTTTTTCTTTTTTGTGATGGAGTCTCGTTCTGCTCCCCAGGCTGGCATGCAGTGGTAAGATCTTGGGCCCACGGCAACCTCTGCCTCCCGGGTTTCAAGCAATTCTCTCACCTCAGCCTCCCAAGTAGCTGAGATTACAGGCACCTGCCACCATGCCTGGCTAATTTTTGTATTTTTAGAAGAGATGGGGTTTTGCCATATTGGCCAGGGTGGACTCGAACTCTTGACCTTGGGTGATCCGCCCACCTTGGCCTCCCAAAGTGCTGGGATTACAGGCGTGAGCCACTGCGCCCCGTTGTTTTTCTTTCTTTTTTAGCCCATGCTTTTTATACTTTTACCAGACCACCTCAGTTTGATCAGATGCAACTGCAAAAAATGATAATAAAAGATGACATATATAGAAGCTTCCTATGTGTCAAGCACTGTTCTAATTACTTTATATCGACTCTGACTCATTTAATCTTCACAAGAACCTTGTAAAGTAGTATTACTATCTTCCATTTCTTCAGATAAAGAAACTGCAACATAGCTGGGTTAAGATTTTCAGATCTCCTTGAAACATACATAAGCATATATAAGGTTAAGACTTGCCCCAAATCACTCAGATGTCTCTCCTCTAAAATCTTGATGGTTTTTCGTGCACACAGAATAAAATCTAAACTCCTTAGCGAGACCCTCCATGATCTGAACTTCACATCTTGTAACGCCTACCCCTCGCCCGCAAAAGCCTATGGTTCAGCCAGACATTTTCCCCAGTCTTCGAACACACTGTTCTTGTCTTCCCACATCTTCATGCCTTAGCCCAATTCCTTGGCTTTTTCCCACCTAGTTTTCTGGTCCAACTTCTACCATCCTTTAAGATTCAGTTCAAATGTCACTTTCTTTCTTTTTTTTTTTTTTGAGATGGAATCTCGCTCTGTCGTCCAGGCTGGACTGCAGTGGTGCTATCTTGGCTCACTGCAACCTCTGCCTCCAGGCTTCAAGCGATTCTCCTGCCTCAGCCTCCCGAGCAGCTGGGATTACAGGCGCCCGGCATCACGCCTGGCTAATTTTTGTATTTTTAGTAGAGACGGGGTTTCACCACGGTCTCGAGCTCCTGACCTCAGGTGATCCGCCCACCTTGGCCACCCAAAGTGTTGGGATTACAGCAGTGAGCAACCGCGCCCGGCCTCAAATGTCACTTTCTCAGCAAACCCTTTCCTGGCGTGTTCCCTGCCTTCTCGTGTTCCTGGTGTATCCTGCCTGTTCCACAGTGGTCAATGGATTTGTGCTTACTCTAAGATCTCTCGCTATATTGTAACCATTACTTTCCATTTCTGCCTTCACACTCACCCACCTCCAGGACTGGATTAGGGGAACCGTGTCTTTCCCCTAGGGTCCATCATATTCATTCAATGGTTATGGTATACCTGTTTGAAGTATTTGGTATACATCTGTGAACCAAACATGAAATCGACCCTGCCCTCGGGAAGGCTCATCACCGAGCCTACTGATGAAGGAACAAATGAGATGGAAAGAAAATAGCATAAATGGAATTCACCTGAAAATATGCCACTCTAGAGGGAAATTGTTGACAGGTAGGGAAAGTAGGATGCCCCATGGATAAAGTGTCAACTCCGTCTTTATGACAGGCCAACTCAGCGGGTGCCCACCACGCTTGGCTCCAATTCAAAGAGCCACCATCTTTGGTCCCCACCTCAGTGGGTTCCCTTGTGGCCCGACGTCTCCCTGTGTCTTCATACCTAAACTCGGAGCGGGGCGCCAGGTAAGGATGAGTATTACAGTCCGAGAAGCGAACTTCCAAGTCACCTCCGCCCAGTCGCACCCAAGGTACGCCCCTCCCGCCTTCTGGGGGAACCAAGATGGCTCCCGGGGAGCCGTGGGCCAGGCCCCTAGAACTCACCTACTTTAAGTCCCCGCGCGCGCCACCAGTAACGGTCGCGACCCGGGTGGAGCGACTGCGTGTGCCGAAAAAGAGCTTATTTGCTGATTGGCTTCTGCCGCTGTCTTTCACAACCGCAGCCAGTCGAGCGGAGGCACACCCAAAGCCCCGCCCCCTTAGAGTTCAAATAGGTGGTGTCTCCCAGGCTGCTGAGATCAGTTAATGAGACGGTAATTGAAGGCCGCCGTGCGCCAACAGAATAATGCACGTCGATTGGGCAGCTCCAAGGGACAACCCACTACCGCTTGCCCGCCCACCACCCACTTCCCGCGCAGTTCCAAACCGCGACCAGAGAGTCTGGCGCCAGCTGCCGGCAACGGATAGAGGGGCTGTGTCATAGACGTCCGACGTGTCTGGTAAGGCCAGAGCGCCTTTCCTCGGTCCTCCTAGACATGGTGTCCGCTGACTCATGAGAAATGAAAGTGGGTTGCGCGTTGCAGTCGTGGCTGGAGGCTGCAGTTTGGAGAACAGCCCGTAGGCGTGGCAGTTCACTCCTGTTGCATTGGAATTTCATTTCCTTTTGATTTGGTTTGTAGTAGAAGTAATATCTTTCTTCCTGGGAATACGTCTCTGACGGACATTTTGAGGTCATTTTCTTAAATCCAAGATCCTAAAGATCTGTAGTCGAACAGAGAAAACTGGTTTGCTCTCTGTCTTAAAGGCTGTCCCCACCTTTCGAGGGGCGAGGGAAGGATCATAAAATCATTTATTTTTATTTTTTAATTAACTAATTTATCTATTTTTTGAGATGGAGTTTTGCTCTTGTTGCCCAGGCTGGAGTGCAATGGCGCGATCTCGACTCACCGCAACCTCTGCCTCCCAGGTTCAAGCGATTCTCCTGCCTCAACCTCCCAAGTAGCTGGGATTACAGGCATGCGCCACCACGCCCAGCTTATTTTTGTATTTTTAGTAGAGACGTGGTTTCTCCATGTTGGTCAGGCTGGTCTCGAACTTCTGACCTCAGGTGATCCGCCCGCCTCGGCCTCTCAAAGTGGTGGGATTACAGGCGTAAACCACCGCATGCGGCCATCTATATTTTATTTTTTGAGACGGACTTTCGCTCTTGTTGCCTAGGCTGGAGTGCAATGGCGCGATCTCGACTCACCGCAACCTCCGCCTTCTGGGTTCAAGCAATTCTCCTGTCTCAGCCTCCCGAGTAGCTGGGATTACAGGCATGCGCTACCACGCCCGGCTAATTTTGTATTTTTAGTAGAGACGGGGTTTCTCCATGTTGGTCAGTCTGGTCTCAAACTCCGGACCTCAGGTGATTCTCCCGCCTGGGCCTCCCAATGTGCTGGGATTACAGGCGTAAGCCACTGCGCCCGGCCTATTTTATCTCACAATAAGACATGAAGAAAATGGTAACTATAACACTTGCATAATTCATAAAGTCCTTTCTGTTGGTTATCTCAATTCTGTGCACAACAGTCAAATAAGCAGATTTTACAAACGAGGAGCTGGAGCCCTGCAAAGTTAAAGGACTTTCCTAGGATCCTACAGCTAATATAGAGACAAATTGAAACAAGTTATCTGATTGTGTATTTTGAGTTATTTCTACTCCCACAAAATGACTGTGTTCATTTCCCTAAAACGTAAAGCATTATATTTTAAGTGGGTAGAGAGGGCTTACACAAGTTGATGTTCCCTCATTTAGAAGGCAACTTAGAAATACATTGATCTGCCCAGCGCGGTGGCTCACGCCTGTAATCCCAGCACTTTGGGAGGCAAAGGCGGGCGAATCACGAGGTGAGGAGATCGAGACCATCCTGGCTAACACAGTGAAACCCTGTCTCTACTAAAAATACAAAAAAAAAAAAAAGAAATACATTGATCTGTGTGATCGAATGTGAATTAACAATGACGTTGACTTGATACTACATTTCTGAGTGGTTACCACATTTTATTGATTGTATGCTTCTCACCAGACTGCAACATCCTGGAGGACAGGGAGCTAATTCTTAATCATTTTGTAACCATAGCTCCTAATTTGGTGGATACATAGTAACTATCAAATAAGTGAATAATAAATCTATGGGAAGAAGCAGATGGACTCCGTCTTGAACCCACTCAATTTTTCCCCCATCAATTACCCCTCTCTCGTTTTTCAATACTGGGTCTCTTGCAGAGTTGCAGTGGCGGCCACCTGGTCAGTGAAATCAGCGAATTGAAAAACCACTGACTTCATTAACATGTCTAAAGAGGCAGGCTGAAAAAACTGAAAATCTATCAGGCATCTCATTCCATAGTTCCCTGTTTGACAAGAAGACCAAGGTGTCTTCAAAGTCTGCCCTAAGGTCCAGATCTCCTACCCACGTAGGAGACTTCTAGTTTCACAAATCCCCGATGTCGGTTTCTCTAAACTATTTTATTCTTTGAACATACTCTCCAGACAACATCGCTATCCTGAAAAGCCCTTGCTGCAATTTTGTTTCTCTTTCAAAACAATGGCTCGAAAATTTCCAAGGAAATAGCAAGAGGGCGATTCCCTTCTTGAAGTATTTGAGGGAGCAGAAGCTTACTGAAGTTCATGCCTTGGGTCACCAAAGGCCAGGGGAGGCAGAGCACGGTGCCAGACTTCTCCCCATTTTTCGCTGAACTAAGCAATCCTTTCTCCCCTAGAGGTACTGCAGCTGGGAGCTTTCAGGGCGTGTCTTCCCCACCACCCAACTTCTGGAACCCCAGACTTCTCAATTCCTGTACCCCCAAGAACTGCTCACTTTTTGTACAAAAACCTCAGGCATAGAGGAAAGGAATCTTGCGCAAGGTCGTTTTTCATTTACAAAACAAAAACCCCATGAAAACCAAACCGGTACCCACCCATTCGTCACTTCATTTTGCAGCATGGACAACAATAGGGGACTACAACTCCCAAAGAGGACTGCGCTCGTCCACTGGCTCAGAGGCCAATGGACGCCTGGTACATGACCGGCATCGACTAATCAGGGCCAGGCTCGATGAGGCTTTGTCTCCCTACCGCGCGCGGGGCCGATTCTCCCGCCTCCCAGCCCCGGCGCACGCGCGCCCCGCCCAGCCTGCTTTCCCTCCGCGCCCTCCCCTCTCCTTTCTCCCTCTCAGAACCTTCCTGCCGTCGCGTTTGCACCTCGCTGCTCCAGCCTCTGGGGCGCATTCCAACCTTCCAGCCTGCGACCTGCGGAGAAAAAAAATTACTTATTTTCTTGCCCCATACATACCTTGAGGCGAGCAAAAAAATTAAATTTTAACCATGAGGGAAATCGTGCACATCCAGGCTGGTCAGTGTGGCAACCAGATCGGTGCCAAGGTAAGAATTTTACACCTCTTTTATTTCTTTTTACAAGGAAAAATCCAGGTAAGTTATGAAAAAATGGTTGTGGGGCATTTGCACCCGCTATCCTTAATCAAGATTTGCCCCTCTCAAGTTTGTTACATTTATATATATAACAATTGTAGCTAGCATTTGCCTTTGGAAAGCTGGGAATCATTTTTCTTGGCAGGCACATTTTGGAGAAACTAGTAAAAGGGCTCTTCGGGTTTGGGGGCGGGAAGACCGAGGACTTATAAGATGTTACTTAAAAGGGCTTCTAACGGTCCGAGAACCGGGCAGGGAGAGAGATGCGGAAACGGTCGCAGACAAAGCGGGGCGAGGTTTTGCCCATGTGCATCCCGCCCAACCCCCCTGCGGGGTACTTAGGGCCAAACCGGAGCGGGAAGGGGTGAGGCCATCGGGCGGCTGCAGAGAGCTCCAGCGCAAGGGTGGGGGGCGATGCGCCAGGGTGGGCTGCGCTGGGCGCTACCTTTCACAAAAGACCAGGGACCCCAACGCGCCCGCGACCCCAGAGGGCCGGTCCTGTATTTGTTCCTGGGTGGAAGGAGAATAAGAACGGGATTAATTTTACTTGCTTTCATGGCCCCTAAGAGAGACTTTTTTAGGGCGTGAACAGATATGTCGAGAAAATGGGGGTGTGTGGTTTTCTTTAATGAGTCCCTCAGGACTTAATGGGAGAGAAAGAATCCTTTAAATCAAGGGGTAGAAATGTAGCGAAGGAATAAAAATTCCGAGGCCAAGGGGGATTTTTTTTTTTTGCGCGCGGTTACAGTGTAGCGGGGGAGGGGCGGGAGGAAGTGCGGCTGCTACGTTGTAGCAGAAGGGCGGGGCCCTGCGGGGCGGGGCCGGGGCGCCGTGGGCGCGCGGGGACAATGCGGCGTTGCCCGCCGGCAGGGGCGCGCTACCTTGGGCCCCGCCCCTCGCGCGCGGAATTTTTGTCCCTGGCCCCGCCCACGCGCGAAGTCTTTTGTCGGCGGCTCGACCTGCGCGTGCGCCGCAGTCACGTGGAGGGCGGGGGGGGTGGTCGACTGCGGCGGCAGCTCTTTCCTCAGACCCCCAGCCTTTTGTGCGCCGCGCGGTGGGGCGGTGCCCAGCTTGGGGGAAGGAGAGCGGCGCTTATCGAAGTGTGGTCGACCTCCATCCGCCCACCGAGCACTTGGGACCCGCTGCACATATCCAGAGCAGGGAAAGCTGTGGCTTTCTCGGGGGAGCGAGTGTCTAGGGGAAGGGTGTGGCAGGCCCACGGGATGCCATGCCCTAGAACAACGGCCTGAGCGCTTGTGGAATTAAAATGGGAGATGTGGGGCCGAGGTGGGCGAATTGGGATCCCTCCAGGTCAGGGGTTCGAGACCATCCTGGGCAACAAAGCGAGACCCTCCCCCATGCCACGTTTCTACAAAAAATAAAAGTAAAAAATTAGCTGGGCGTGGTGGCGCGCGTCTGTGGTCCCAGCTACTCGAGAGGCTGAGATGGGAGGATCGGTTGAGCCTGGGAGTTCCACGCTGTAGTCATCCGTGATTGCACCACTGCACTGCAGGCTGGGCAACAGGAAGACCCTGTCTTAAAAATTAGAAGAAGCTGGGCGCGGTGGCTCACCCTTGTAATCCCAGCACTTTGGGAGGCCAAGGTGGGCGGATCACGAGGTCAAGAGATCTAGACCATCCTGGCCAACATGGTGAAACCCGTCTCTACTAAAAATACAAAAAGTAGCTGGGCGTGTTGGTGCGCGCCTATAGTCCCAGCTACTCCGGGGGCTGAGGCAGGAGAATCGCTTGAACCCGGGAAGCAGAGGTTGCAGTGAGCCGAGATAGCGCCACTGCACTCCAGCCTGGTGACAGAGCGAGACTCCGTCTCAAAAAAAATTAAGAAAAAGATGAAATAAAATGGTAGTTGGGGACATAGTTGGCTGGGACTTGACCTGTTGTGGTCTCGTTGCTCCCCCTCGGCAGTTCTGGGAGGTGATCAGTGATGAACATGGCATCGACCCCACCGGCACCTACCACGGGGACAGCGACCTGCAGCTGGACCGCATCTCTGTGTACTACAATGAAGCCACAGGTAAGGGCAGGAGCCCGGGCAGCTCAGGTTCCCTTCCCTGTCTCCCACTTATCTGGGATCTCTTTCCATTTCTGGGCACGCCTTATCCCCTTTGGGTGAATCTGTCATTTTGTCCCTTTCGTGAACCACCGTCGGGGCCAAAGACGTCTGCTGCCACCTGGTGGCGGGACCTGGAATGACAAGTCTCTGATCCCTGCTGTCTCCCATTTCCAGTATATCTATAAACCTTCCCTTCTGCCAGATTTCACAGCTCTTAACTTTATTCTCTGTAGGTGGCAAATATGTTCCTCGTGCCATCCTGGTGGATCTAGAACCTGGGACCATGGACTCTGTTCGCTCAGGTCCTTTTGGCCAGATCTTTAGACCAGACAACTTTGTATTTGGTGAGTTATACAGATGATATTAGCAGATGATATACCATCGTGTTCAACTTATTTGGGTGCAAGGACACAGCAAAAGTTAGGAGATGATTGTTGTATTGGAGTGCTAATACAGAAATGTGTTCTGAAATCTAACGGAGGGTAGAGGTAGTGCCTACTATTGCTGGTAAATTATGGGGCAGTAGGGGGAGAATATATCACAGTGAAGGAGAAAGAAGATACATCCGAGGGAATTATTTGAAAAGTTGAAAGATGGAAACATCATGTATCTTCCATACCCTGTTAATTGAGCTTTTCTCCTGACTGCATTCCAGGTCAGTCTGGGGCAGGTAACAACTGGGCCAAAGGCCACTACACAGAGGGCGCCGAGCTGGTTGATTCTGTCCTGGATGTGGTACGGAAGGAGGCAGAGAGCTGTGACTGCCTGCAGGGCTTCCAGCTGACCCACTCACTGGGCGGGGGCACAGGCTCTGGAATGGGCACTCTCCTTATCAGCAAGATCCGAGAAGAATACCCTGATCGCATCATGAATACCTTCAGTGTGGTGCCTTCACCCAAAGTGTCTGACACCGTGGTCGAGCCCTACAATGCCACCCTCTCCGTCCATCAGTTGGTAGAGAATACTGATGAGACCTATTGCATTGACAACGAGGCCCTCTATGATATCTGCTTCCGCACTCTGAAGCTGACCACACCAACCTACGGGGATCTGAACCACCTTGTCTCAGCCACCATGAGTGGTGTCACCACCTGCCTCCGTTTCCCTGGCCAGCTCAATGCTGACCTCCGCAAGTTGGCAGTCAACATGGTCCCCTTCCCACGTCTCCATTTCTTTATGCCTGGCTTTGCCCCTCTCACCAGCCGTGGAAGCCAGCAGTATCGAGCTCTCACAGTGCCGGAACTCACCCAGCAGGTCTTCGATGCCAAGAACATGATGGCTGCCTGTGACCCCCGCCACGGCCGATACCTCACCGTGGCTGCTGTCTTCCGTGGTCGGATGTCCATGAAGGAGGTCGATGAGCAGATGCTTAACGTGCAGAACAAGAACAGCAGCTACTTTGTGGAATGGATCCCCAACAATGTCAAGACAGCCGTCTGTGACATCCCACCTCGTGGCCTCAAGATGGCAGTCACCTTCATTGGCAATAGCACAGCCATCCAGGAGCTCTTCAAGCGCATCTCGGAGCAGTTCACTGCCATGTTCCGCCGGAAGGCCTTCCTCCACTGGTACACAGGCGAGGGCATGGACGAGATGGAGTTCACCGAGGCTGAGAGCAACATGAACGACCTCGTCTCTGAGTATCAGCAGTACCAGGATGCCACCGCAGAAGAGGAGGAGGATTTCGGTGAGGAGGCCGAAGAGGAGGCCTAAGGCAGAGCCCCCATCACCTCAGGCTTCTCAGTTCCCTTAGCCGTCTTACTCAACTGCCCCTTTCCTCTCCCTCAGAATTTGTGTTTGCTGCCTCTATCTTGTTTTTTGTTTTTTCTTCTGGGGGGGGTCTAGAACAGTGCCTGGCACATAGTAGGCGCTCAATAAATACTTGTTTGTTGAATGTCTCCTCTCTCTTTCCACTCTGGGAAACCTAGGTTTCTGCCATTCTGGGTGACCCTGTATTTCTTTCTGGTGCCCATTCCATTTGTCCAGTTAATACTTCCTCTTAAAAATCTCCAAGAAGCTGGGTCTCCAGATCCCATTTAGAACCAACCAGGTGCTGAAAACACATGTAGATAATGGCCATCATCCTAAGCCCAAAGTAGAAAATGGTAGAAGGTAGTGGGTAGAAGTCACTATATAAGGAAGGGGATGGGATTTTCCATTCTAAAAGTTTTGGAGAGGGAAATCCAGGCTATTAAAGTCACTAAATTTCTAAGTATGTCCATTTCCCATCTCAGCTTCAAGGGAGGTGTCAGCAGTATTATCTCCACTTTCAATCTCCCTCCAAGCTCTACTCTGGAGGAGTCTGTCCCACTCTGTCAAGTGGAATCCTTCCCTTTCCAACTCTACCTCCCTCACTCAGCTCCTTTCCCCTGATCAGAGAAAGGGATCAAGGGGGTTGGGAGGGGGGAAAGAGACCAGCCTTGGTCCCTAAGCCTCCAGAAACGTCTTCTTAATCCCCACCTTTTCTTACTCCCAAAAAAGAATGAACACCCCTGACTCTGGAGTGGTGTATACTGCCACATCAGTGTTTGAGTCAGTCCCCAGAGGAGAGGGGAACCCTCCTCCATCTTTTTTGCAACATCTCATTTCTTCCTTTTGCTGTTGCTTCCCCCCTCACACACTTGGTTTTGTTCTATCCTACATTTGAGATTTCTATTTTATGTTGAACTTGCTGCTTTTTTTCATATTGAAAAGATGACATCGCCCCAAGAGCCAAAAATAAATGGGAATTGAAAAAAGCTGCGAGATGTGTGCTTATTTAGGGAAACACGGCTGGCTGATGGAGGCATGGGGCCTGAGTTCAGTTGCACTGCTCTCCTTAAATTGACACTTAATATTGAGTCCCTGTCCTACGGATTCAACCAACTGGATATTGGGAAAAGAGTTGTACTGGACATGTATAGACTTCTCATTATTCCCTAAACAATAATAGTATAAATTATTTACATAATATTTGCATTAGATTAGGTATTACAAGTAACGTAGAGATGATTTGAAGTACACAGGTTATATGCAAGTACTACATTTTATATGAGGGACTTGGGTGTCTGCCGATTTGGTATCTCAGGGAGGTACTGGTAAGGACACTGACTGCTTTATAGACCCTCACATCATTGTTTCTGGTACCCAAACTGCTCTGAGCACCAGTCAGTCTTTACTGTAGTCTCTGACAGCTCACTACAGCCTTGATGTCCTGGGCTCAAACAATCCATCTCATTCTCCCAAGCAGCTGGGACTGTAGGCATAAGCCAGGTGAGCCAGTGCACCAGGCCCACCAATGAGTCTTAACTGGGGAAGGCATAGGCTTAGATGCAGGATCCAGGGATGGAAAATGGAAGCTGAGAAGAATGACAAATCACGTGTAACTGGTTTCCAGACCAGCATCCACATCCTCTGGGAACTTGCAGAAATAAATGCAAGTTTTTCATCCCACCCAGATGTACTGAACCATAAATGGTTGAACTGGCCTTGGCCACCCAGCCCAGGATTCCTTTGGGTTATGTGTACCCATGGCCATTTCCTGTGATCCTGTGGGCTTAGTCAACCTATGACACCAAGATAACTAGTGAAGCCCTGGTATGGTGGCTCCCACTTGTAATCCCAGCACTCTGGGGGGCCGAGGCAGGAGGATGGCTTGAGCCCAGGAGTTCCACACCAGCCTGGGCAGCAGTGAACCATCTAACAAAAAAAAAAGCTGGGCATGGTGGTGCATGCCTGTAGTCCCAGCTGCTGGGGTAGAGGGGGGTGGTGGTTGTTGGGGGTAGGGGGGTGGGGATTGGATGGGAGGATTGCCTGAGCCTGGGAGGTAGAGGCTGCAATGAGCCCTGACCCTACCCCTGCACCCCAGCCTGGGTGACAGAGCAAGACCTTGTCTTTTTTTTTCTTTTTTCTTGAGATGGAGTCTTGCTATGTTGCCCAGGTTGGAGCACATTGGCGCGATCTTGGCTCGCTACAACCTCTGCCTCCCGGGTTCAAGGAATTCTGCCTCAGCTTCCCAAGTAGCTGGGATTACAGGCACCCACCATCACGCCGGGCTAATTTTTGTATTTTAGTAGAGATGGGGTTTCACCACGTTGGCCAGGACTGGTCTCAAACTCCTGACCTCAAGTGATCCACCCGTCTCAGCCTCCCAAAAAGTTCTGGGACTACAAGCATGAGCCACCGTGCCCGGCCCAAGCCCAAGACCTTGTCTTTAAAAAAAAAAAAGGATAACTAGGCGGGATTGCTACCTTATGGTCCCATTCTAAAACAATCTGTACCATCTACTACCTCATACTTTTAAGTTCACAATGCAAGTCTCAAAGCTACCCTGAAAACAATAATTCCTTTTGCCATGTTTTCAGGAATTCTAGGAACTAGTATTATTCCCAACATTCCTTCTATTTTAGCATGCTTTTCTGACTATAATACACTGTTGGGGGGAAAAATTAACTCTAAAACTCTTGACAGTATATAAGTAACTTGCTTTTCTCCCATTCTAGAAAGCCTATTGTATGCAAGAAAGCCTATTGTATGCAAGGGAAGAAGCTACATTCTAGCATTCATTTTCTTTCTAATAGAGCCAGGATCTTGCTTTGTCACCCAGGCTGGAATGCAGTGGTGTGATCATGGCTCACTACAGCCTTAGACTCCTGAGCTCAAGTGATCCTCCCACCTTAGCCTCCCAAGTAGCTAGGACTATAGGCAAGAGTCACCATACCTGAGTCTAGCATTCATTTTTTTTCTCTTTTTTTTTGAAACAGTCTCACTCTGTCACCTAGGCTAGAGTGCAGTGGTGCGATCTTGGCTCACTGCAACCTCTGCTTCCCAGGTTCAAGTAATTCTCCTGCCTCAGCCTCCCAAGTAGCTGGGACTACTACTTGGCATGTTTCACCCTGCCTGGCTAATTTTTGTATTTTTGGTAGAGACAAGGTTTCGTCATGTTGGCCAGGCTGGTCTTGAACTCCTGACCTCAGATGATCTGCCTGCCTTGGCCTCCCAAAGTGCTGGGATTACAGGCATGAGCCACTGTGCCGGGCCAAGCATTAATTTCCAGTTGCTTCTGTTTTATTAGTACTTACTTACAGCAATTTATTTGGGTAGCAAAGTTGAAAACCTCCAGCCCATCCCTCAGTCTTGGTCAGGAAAATATTCTAGACAACAGGCTCAAACAGTCTGATTTAATTAGGAAGTTAAATAAGTTGAGGTGGGGTGGAGTGGGATCATCAGAAGGCTGACATGGGACCGCTGGAGTTGGCAATCATAGCAGTGTGAGGTTGGCAAGGGGAGCAACCCCCTTCAAGACAAGGCACAAACTATTTGGCAAGGAGAGATGAGGGGTGGGACCTCACTGTCAATGGACATGCTCAGGGAGGCCAGTGGGTTACATGCAACAGGAGGATCATTCAGGCAACTTCAGCTATGAGGCTGGGCATCTGTGAGGGCTGAAGGCTCAGGCTGTTCTCAAAGGCTTGTGATTCACCTGGCAAAAAGACAACAGTAGATGACACTTGGGAACATTCGGGAGGCTGAGGCCCCTACTCTCCCGGGCCCCAGTTTAGACGAATGGGCTATAGGCAGAACACACACGGCCAGGGTTCTTTCTGGTGCCCTACCACCTGTTTCCCCAAACAAAGACATCAGGACCCACATACAATAAATCACTGAAGAGAGGAGAGGGGGCAGAGCCTTGTTTGCACACTCTCCTTAGCTCTGAATATTCTACTGCAGGCCTCCAGGAGGCTCCAAGGAACCCAGCTTGAAGGTCATTGGTATGATCCAGTGCTTTTATTTACATACGCTTTTTTTTTTTCTTTTTTTTTTTGAGACGGAATCTCACTCTATCACCCAGGCTAGAATGCAGTGGTGCGATCTTGGCTTACTGCAGCCTCCGCCTCCTGAGTTCAAGTGATTCTCCTGCCTCAGCCTCCCGAGTAGCTGGGATTACAGGTATGCGCCACCATACCCAGCTAATTTTTGTATTTTTGGTAGAGATGGGGTATCACCATGTTGGCCAGGGTGATCTCAAACTTCTGACCTCAGCTGATCGTCCACCCTGGCCTCCCAAAGTTCTGGGATTACAAGTGTGAGCCACAGCACCCAGCCCGAATATGCATTTCTTTCTCTTTTTTTTTTTGAGACAGAGTCTTGCTCTGTTGCCTAGGATGGAGTGCAGTGGTGCTATCTCGGCTCACTGCAAGCTCTGCCTCCCAGGTTCACACCATTCTCCTGCCTCAGCCTCCCCAGCAGCTGGGACTACAGGCACACACCGCCACGCCCGGCTGTTTTGTATTTTTAGTAGAGACGGGGTTTCACTGTGTTAGCCAGGATGGTCTCAATCTCCTGACCTCGTGATCCGCCCGCCTCAGCCTCCCAAAGTGCTGGGATTACAGGCATGAGCTACCGCGCCTGGAATTTTTTTTTTTTTTTGAGATAGAGCCTTATTCTGTCACCCAGGCTGGAGTGCAGTGGTGTGATCTCAGCTCACTGCAACCTTCGGCTCCTGGGTTCCAGCAATTCTCCTGCCTCAGCTTCCCGAGTAGCTGAGATTACAGGCATGCACCACCAAGCCTGGCTAATTTTTTTTTGTATTTTTAGTAAAGATGGTGTTTCACCATGTTGGCCAGGCTGGTCTCCAACTCCTAACCTCAGGTGATCTGCCTGCCTCAGCCTCCCAAAGTGCTGGGATTACAGGCGTAAGCCACTGCACCTGGCCCCATTTCTTTAACATACACATAATGCTTACTATATACCAGGCACTATTCTAAACACTGCAAATATTTGCTCGAGCCCCTCAACAATTCAACAGGGTAGTTTCTAATTATTAACCCAATTTTAAGATGAGGAAACAGGTATAGAGAGGTTGATTACTTGTCCAAGATTACAGCTAGCAGGCATTGTAGCTAGGATTCGCAACAAAACAGTGGTTCCAGAGCCTGTTTGCTGACTTCTACCATGATCTACAGGTGAATTAACTGGGGCGCTGAGAAAAGCAGTGATATGCCCTAGAATTAATTAACTGTCAATAGGCTGCAACTAGTTCCCTATACTAGTGGGGTGACCACAAGCACAGGTTGCAGAGACAGTCGACCTGGATTTCACTCCAGCTGCACTAGCAGAATGAGTAGGAACATGCTGGATGTTGAGTTTCTGGACTTTGTAAAATCCTATATACCCTAATGGTAGTTTGATTTAAAACAACTCATTTATGTAGAAGCTTAGCACTGTGTCTGGCACACAGAAAGTGATTAATAAACATCAATGACTCCCAGGCCTGGATGCTGGTTAAATGCTAGGCATACTGTGTCACACAACACAGGAACCTAGCAATTCTCCTCAGCTCCAACCTGAGACCTCACCTGGGAGATGCTCACGCCTGTGAGTCTTTCCACACTCTCTGGCAGGCGAGTTAGAATGTCCAGTACTTCCCCAGTCACTTTGGCTGCCCCCATGGTCCCACTGCCGCTGGACACCAGTGTGATCTTATTGGCTGAAGTCAAGGGACCACTGATCTCCTCTGCCACCTGGCAGGAGAGAGACACCCACTCAGTGCCCATGATCTGACCACATTCCTCATAAAACAACTTACTCTGGGTTTTAAGGTCCTCGTTCCACTGATCATCCTTCCTCACTTTGGTCACTAATAATTCCCACCCCTAATTTAGAGTCCCCCTAGGCTGTTTCTCCCTAAGCCCCTCACTACACCCCACCCCTTAGTCCCTGGTTCTATTTCCTCCTTTCTTGGTGCCCACATGACCTCCAGACCTGGGGCAGCTTCTCTAGCAGCATGTCCAGCTGAGCAGCCTCTTGGTACAGCTGGAAGGCTTCTGCCTTCTTGGCCATCTGCTCAGCCTCGGCTCGGGCTCGGGCCCCTATGGCAAAGGCCTCAGCTTCCCCACGCATCTGAGGGTTAAGGATGCTTGTGAGATTGACGGAAATCATTAAGAACAAGAAATCCCCGATCAAGCAGCAACCCCCACCCTCTCCACAAGCCAGCATGGAACTGCCTCTTAACTCACCCGCACAGACGCGGCTTCTGCCTCCGCCTGCATAATTAGTTGGGACCTGTGGACAGAAGGGAAGTGGAGGGTGGAGCCCAGCAGCCCTTACTCCCAGGAGAAAGGCCCAGTGCTGCAGAGGCAGACGCTCCTGAAACCTGAAATCCATAGGAGTCCAGGTGGTGAAGGCTTCAGCACTCCATCTTGGGGTGCCTAGGTGGCAAGTGAGCTAGGCAGGGTCAGGGAGGGGACATTTACTTCTCTGCCTCGGCTAGGCGCTCCAGCTTGTAGCGCTCCGCTTCCGCTGGCTTCCGCACCCGGGCCTCCAGCTCCTTCTCCCGCCGGGCGATCTCCTGCTCCTGCACTGCCACCTGCTGGGCCCGCTCCACCACCTGCACCTGCACCCGCTGCTCCTCAATCTGCTGCTTAGTCTTGGCCACCTGGGTAGGAGGGTGAAGTCAGGTTCACGCTCTGAGTCAGAGGTGAAGAGCAAGTGCCCGGGAACCAGAGCTCCAGAGTGGGATATAAAAATAGGAGCCGGTGGCCGGGCGCGGTGGCTCACGCCTGTAATCCTAGCGCTTTGGGAGGCCAAGGAGGGTGGATTGCCTGAGTTCAGGAGCTCGAGACCAGCCTGGCCAACATGGTGAAACCCTGTCTCTACTAAAATACAAAAAATTAGCCAGGTGTGGTGGCGAATGCCTGTAGTCCCAGCCACCCGGGAGGCTGAGGCAGGAGAATTGCTTGAACCTGGGAGGCGAAGGTTGCAGTGAGCTGGGATCACGCCACTGCACTCCACCCTGGGCAACAGAGTAAGACTCCATCTCCAAAAAAAAAAAAAAAAAAAAAGGAGCAGGTGCATGAAGGTGGGTTCCCTCCTGTCTGCTTGGCC